>NC_000005.10:101984807-102609807 GCF_000001405.40 Homo sapiens | reverse complement strand
ATGGACAATCAACCCAAATATTCTTTCTCTCCTCTTCTCAGAACTGGAAATTCCCTGTCTCCCCTTAACCAGCACTGGAAGCAGATGGGAAGAGAATAGCTGTGACTGACTCACACTCTAACCCAGCAACCCTCAGCATACAAGTGGGAGACCATAAAGTTTTTCAAGACCCCAAAAGAGGCCAAAGGTCTGATAATTGCTGGGAGAAGGTCCACTATCCAAGAAGAGAAGAGGAAAAGGAATTAAAGTCTCCAAGCACTGGGGATGCAAGAAGAGAGTTGCACAGGAGAGAAAGAAGAAGTTGTCCACGGGGTGACCCTGCAATTGGAGGGAAATGCATGTGGATATGTGCAGGGAGTCTAGGAAGTGAAGCCTTAGTGATCATTTACAAGAATGAGGGTTAGGTAAAATAAGGGATGCAAAGCCACCTGTAGTCTATTCTAACCTCACTCCATCACTCTATACAATCTGTGTTTTATCATCTGAAATGTTAAGTAAAGACCTGTTTGGGTCTTCTTCAGAATCCCATACATTTGAGTTCATTAGTCAGAAAAAGGGAAAATACCACCACCCCATCCTGGAATGGCAGTCATGTACACTTTTATAATGAGAGATTGGGCAGCAAAGGGGGCCCCTTGTGGACCTCACCCAGCCAGAGAAGGAGGCAGAATGTTTCCTTTACTATCTTTTCCTCTCCCCAGAGGAACACTACATATTGTTCCCTCCATGGGCTTAAGAGAAGGTGCCAGGGTTACAGATAGATATATCGCTAGCTGTAGAGCACAGGGTGAATTGGGATGTCCATGTACAAAGCTAGGGACAGGAGAATCAGTTTAAAGACTTTAAAAATAATTAGGAAAAAAAGGAAGGCCTGACCCAAAGCTTAGGAGTGCAGGTAGAGAAGAGATGGTGCCATGATATACCATGTCTCTGGGACTTTTCTGTATTCCTCTTCCTCTGTATACTGTATTGCCCTCATTCCCTATTTATTCAAAATCTGTGCTACCTCCACTGCGAAGACTTCCACGAGAAAATTCAGATATTTCTTCTTTTGTGGACACTTTCTACCTTACAAATAAGTTAATTTTAATTCAAGGAAGAGTTTTTCCGGAACCCTGTTGGCCTGCTCACAGGAATGTAAGTTCCTTAAATCTAGGGCACAGTGTCTTTGAGAACTGCAATCACCTACATCAACATGACATAGCTATTAGGACTAAGAACAGAGACCACCTGTGTCAACATGAGTTACTATTTTTTTCCGTGAAACATTTGTCCAAGAAAGATAAGACTGTAACCAATAAATAGTTTGCAAGTAATTCCTGCAAATCAATTTGTCTGAGATAACACTCTGCTTGACTAGGCAAATAGCTCACTTATCAAACAGCAATTTATTCGTTAAAACCATCATCTTGCTCTGATGACCAATACTAAGCTATTATGTGCTGACCACTGCTCCATCTCAATCCATTTTCTACTTTGAAGGGCCCTTTTAAACTACCTGAGGTAGACCTCCAAATCCTATAAATACCTTCTTTTGTACAACATTGCTAAGACTGTCAAGGGGGTGTTCTCTCTTACTACAGTGAGGGAGGCTATCTGGCGGTGATATTTTGAAGTATTCAACATCTTTCGTTCTAAATCCATCCTGAAATATTTATGAAGCTCACGGCAGTGCTTAGTAAATATTTGTTGAAAGAAGTATTTAAGAGGAAAATCAATGTGACGATGTTGGTAGATAGGAAAGTCAAGGATACTTCAAAAGTATGAAGTTAACTTGTGCCATCACTTAAGAGGGCAAAAACACAAGAGCATATTTTCAGTGAGAAGACAGTGATTTCAATTCTAGGTATGTTGTTTGACATTGCTGGGATGTGGAAATAGAGAGGTCTGATACACATGCTCTGTGCTCAGTGATGAAAGGCCCCCAGGAATAAGATTTGTGAGGAAGTTTGGGAACTTGTTTTCTTAATTAGTGGTTCTCAAAGTATGATCTTCAGGCCAGCAACATCAGCACCACTGGGGACTTTGTGGAAATGTAAATTTTGGGGCCCAGGCCACACCTACTTAATTGAAAAGTCTGGGATGGGGTTCAACTATCAGTGTTTTAAGAAGTCCTCCAGGTGATCTGCTATACCATGAAGTTTGAGGACCACTATCTTAAAAATTAATCAGAACTACCAAGCTCTAATGCTCAATGCTATCCAGACTTTTGGTGATAAACCTACTAAGGCATGCTAACATTGTGTTCTTTGTACAGCCAGGTCCTCCCTAACAGGGGATCTAAGAGGCTATAAATAAAAGCAATGAAAGCTTTTACTCTATGCATTTGAATGCTAGCTATACCACTTTCTATTTATGTGTCTTAGGAAGTAAATTGCTTAACCTTTTTGAGCCTAGGGTCCTCATCTGTAAAATGGGAATGCTAATGGTACCTATTTCATTGAATTCTTCTGATGATTAAATGAGTTCATATATGTAAAGTGCTTAAAGCTGTAATAAGTTTGCTGCTTTTAAAATCTTTACTCATTTAGAAAGTCACTTGCCCCTGGTCCCCCCAACCTTTTTTTTTTTTTTTTTTTTGAGATGGAGTCTCACTCTGTTGCCCAGGATGGAGTGCAGTGGCGCGATCTCAGCTCACTGCAAGCTCTGCCTCCCGGGTTCACGCCATTCTCCTGCCTCAGCCTCCCGAGTAGCTAGGACTACAGGCGCCTGCCACCACGCCTGGCTAATTTTTTGTATTTTTAGTAGAGATGGGGTTTCACCGTGTTAGCCAGGATGGTCTCAATCTCCTGACCTCGTGATCCACCCGTCTCAGCCTCCCAAAGTGCTAGGATTACAGGCCTGAGACACCGCGCCCGCCACCCCCCCTCTTTTCTTTAACTGGCCTAACTAAATATTTAGTCTTTTCAAGTTTACCTCAAACCTCTCACGTGTGAAAGCTCTACTGGTTAGCCCTAGAGTTAATTATATTGTATTGCTTGGCTCATAGGAGGTATTTAATAAACACATTAGTTGACTGAATGAGCACTCTAGTCCTCATTTCTTTATTTCTTCTCTGAATTTTATAGATTTATTATCAGTACCTCTTATTTTGACACTAAACTATACCTTGTTGTATTTATGCCTTGCTTCCTAATCATATTATAAGCTCTTGGAGAGGAAGTATTGTGCTTTACTTATCTTGTCCACCTAACACAGCACCTGGCAGTGCTAACCACACAAACAGAATTCATTAATAATTTGTGCAAAATGAGGAATTTTTTTGGTCACAAATCCATTTACCCTACTAAGTTTTCCAATTTATTATTTTCCTCATATCACAACTATTATTTACCCTATTAAGTTTTCCAGTTTATTATTTTCCTCATCTCACAACCATTTCAAAATCTTAAACTTCCACCACTTTCTCCCAAGGATCACAAGATTAAAAGAACAGAATATTTTTTCCCATTTCTGATGTCAGCCAGTAAAATCACTCTTATTATGTTGAGCTTCCATGTCAACCACATAAATTCAGCCTAAAATTCCTAAGATTATTCCTTAAATCAAAGCTAGGGTGTTATGTATGACCTGCTACTCTGTTTTTTCCTTTTTCTTTTTTTTTTTTTTTTTTTTTGAGATGGAGTTTCACTCTTGTTGCCCAGGCTGGAGTGCAGCGCAGGATCTCAGCTCACTGCAACCTCCACCTCCTGGGTTCAAGCGATTATCTTGTCTCGGCCTCCTGAATAGCTGGGATTACAGCACCTGCCACCATACCCGGCTAATTTTTTGTATATTTATTTATTTAGAGACAGAGTTTTGCTGTTGTTGCCCAGACTGGAGTGCAATGGTGAGATCTTGGCTCACCGCAACCTCCGCCTCACAGGTTCAAGCGTTGTTCCTGCCTCAGCCTCCCGAGTAGCTGGGATTACAGGCATGCGCCACCACACCCGGCTAATTTTGTATTTTTAGTAGAGATGGCGTTTCTCCATGTTGGCCAGGCAGGTCTCGAACTCCTGAACTCAGGTAATCCACCTGCCTCAGCCTCTCAAAGTGCTGGGATTACAGGCGTGAGCCACCGCACCTGGCCTGACCTGTTAATATCAAGCCAGAATAATGGCACGCTCTATCTCTCCAGAAGGACACCTTTACTGCTAAGAAACGATGTTGCTTATCCTCTATGTAACTCTATTTTACCAGCAGCTTACTTCAGCTTTCCTTTAACCTATCTAGTAAGCTCACTGCTTTGTGTAGCACTGAATTGAAATTCTGCTGGCACAGAGGATTTAAAATTTCCATCTTATATAGTTATGAAGCTCCTTTAAACATATAGATAATTAATGTAATTTATATAATGAAAGGTGAACATTAGAGCCAAATAAATCTGATATCAAAATTTAAGCTTTGTTACTAGTTTGCTTTGTGACCTTTAGTAAACTACTCAACACATTTGAGCCTCTATTTACTCATCTGTAGACAAGGACATAAATATTCACTTATGATGTTATGTGTGGAGATTAAATAAGACAAGTTAAGTACCCAGCATGTGAAAAATATTCAATAAATGATGAATTATAACAAAACAAATAAGCAAAGAGAGCAAAGTAGTGTAAATATCAGAAACAGAGGCCATTCTAGAGTCTAAAGACACATTGGCATTATGAAAACATGATCTCTGGTATTGTGGAATTAGTTCTATTCCAAAATTCTATTTAAATTTTATTCAAGAGTGGCCCCATCAAATCTCAAATCACTTTACTTTTGATAATTGATCTTCAAGTAAGATCTCTTAATTAATTACGTAACTGAAAGATCTCTGCCACACTTCTATCCTTAGAGATTGTTCACGGTTCACATGTGACTTCGTAGACCAGGAAATCTCATAACCCCTAGGCAAAGGCTTGCTGCAGCTATTCACTAAGCACATCTCAGTAACTCCTCTGGAAAATATTGAGTGTCCTTTCTCCAGGATCTGTGGAAATAGTTGTACTCTCCAAAGGCTCTTTTCATTTTTCTCCATAAAACTCTAGAGGGAACAGTGAGAAACTGAAAATCTAATGATACTTTTTTTCCTTTTATCCAGAAAGACATGTGCATTCAAGAGGAAAGCAGAAAAGTCTCTGGGTAGGCAGGACCCAGGTGGTCTGGATGGCAGAAACTGTTCTGAAGGGCTGTTTGGAGATAAGAATATAGTAATATACAAGTATGTCCCATATGATTTGTAAGAATATTATTTTTTGGGGAAAAGCTGGAAGGATTCCCCTTGAAAACTGGCCCAAGACAAGGATGCCCTCTCTCACCACTCCTATTCAACATAGTATTGGAAGTTCTTGCCAGGGCAATCAGACAAGAGAAAGAAATAAAGTGCATCCAAATAGGAAGAGAGGAAGTCCAATTATCCCTGTTTGCAGGCAACATCATTCTATGTCTAGAAAACCCCATAGTTGTGGCCCAAAAGCTCCTTAAGCTGATAAACAACTTCAGCAAAGTTTCAGGATATAAAACCAATGAATGAAAATCACTAGTATTCCTGTACATCAACAACAGCCAAGCTGAGAGCCAAATCAGGAACGCAATTTCATTCACAATTGCTACAAAAAAGAATAAAATACCTAGGAATACAGCTAATCAGGGAGGTGAAAGATCTCTACAATGAGAGTTGCAAAACAGTGCTGAAAGAAATTAGAGGTGACACAAAAAAATGGAAAAACATTCCATACCCATGGATAGGAAGAATCAATATTATTAAAATGGCCATACTGCCCAAAGGAATTTACATTGAATCTCAATGCTATTCCTATCAAACTAACAATGACATTCTTCACAGAACTAGAAAAAACTATTTAAAAATTCATATGAAACTAAAAAGGAGCCTGAATCACCAAGGCAATCCTAAGCTAAAAGAACAAAACAGGAGGTATCATGTTACCTGACTTTAAATTATGCTACAGGGTTACAGTAACCAAAAACAGCATGGTACTGGTACAAAAACAGACATAGAACAATGGAACAGAATAGAGAGGCTAGAAATAAGTCTGCATGCCTACAGCCAACTGATCTTTGACAGAGCTGACAAAAACAGGCAATAGGGAAAAGACTTCCTATTCAATAAATAGTGTTGGGATAACTGGCTAGCCATATGCAGAAGACTGAAATTGGACTCCTTCCTTACATCATGTAAAAAAATCAACTCAAGGTGGGTTAGAGACTTAAATGTAAAACCCAAAACTATAAAAAGCCTGGAAGGTAACCTAGGCAATATCATAATTCTGGATATAAGAATGAACAAAGATTTCGTGATGAAGACACCAAAAGCAATTGGAACAAGAGCAAAAATTGGCAAATGGGATCTAATTAAACGTAAGAACTTTTGCATAGCAAAAGAGACCATCAACAGAGTAAACACACGACCTACAGAATGGGAGAAAATTTTTGCAAACTACACGGCTGACAAAAGTCTAATACCCAGTATTTATAAGGAACTTAAACAAATTTACAAGAAAAAAGCCACAATCCCATTAAAAAGTGGGCAAAGGACATGAGCAGACAGTTTTCAAAAGAAGACATTTACTTAGCCAACAAACATGTGAAAAAAACCTCAATATCCCTGATCATTAGAGAAATGCAAATCAAAACCACAATGAGATACCATCTCACAGAGGTCAAAATGGCTATCATTAAAAAGTCAAAAAATAACAGATGCTGACAATGTCGTGGAGAAAAGGGAACATTTATACACTGTTGGTGGGAGTGTAAATTAGTGATCCATTATGGAAAACAGTGTGGTGATTCCTCAAAGAGCTAAGAACAGAACTACTATTTGATCCAGCAATCCCATTACTGGGTATCTACCCAGAAGAATATCAATTATTCTACCCTTAAAGACATGTGCATGTGAATGTTCACTGCAGCACTATTCACAATAGTAAAGACATGGAATCAACCTAAATGCTCATCAATGACAGATTGAATAAAGAAAATGTTGTACATATACACCATGGAATACTATGCAGCCATAAAAACAAGATCATGTCATTTGTGGGAACATGGATGGAGCTGGAGGCCATTATCCTTCGCAAACTAATGCAGGAACAGAAAACCAAATACTGCAAGGTCTAACTTATAAGTGGGAGCTAAATGATGAGAACTCGTGGACACGAACAGGGGAACAACAAACACTGGAGCCTACTTGAGGGTGGAGGCTGGGAGAAGGAAGAGGAGCAGAAAAAGTAACTATTGGGTACTGGGCTTAGAGCTTAGATATGTATAACAAATCCCCATGACACAAGCTTACCTGTATAACAAACCTGCACATGTACTCCTGAACCTCAAATAAAAGTTAAAAAATAATATTATTTAATTTATTTTTCTTGCAAAGCACCTGGAACAATTTCATGATTGATATTCTGAATCTAGTTTTATGTTCCACTGATTCACATATGAGAATAGCTACTATCATTCCTACTTTCCTCTCATCATCTCTTTTGGGGAACAGAGTTATTTTGGGACCCAGTGAAGGGGAAGTGGCATTCTTAAATAACCTGGGGTTCAGAAGTGGAGGCAGCAAATATCTAGGGCCAGTTTTCAGAAGTTGACTTCAAAGAAAAACTCATTTCCAGCTGGAACACAGACTTGGCTGCAGGCCCTCTGCTGCAAGTCTTCTGCTGCAAATTTCTTCTTCAGATAGCCAAATAGAACTTCATTTATATTAATATGCTTTCTATATTTTAGAAGGCAAATCTCTCTAAGGGGTCTAGAAACTCACATCATTCATACATCGGTATAAATTGCTTACTTGAATTCAATAAGTTATTTCTCTCTGGAATTCTGCATTATGAAACCTATACATATGTGTGGTAGATTAAACAGAAGAATAAACCACTGACACCTATAAATAATAATTGAGTTGATTAAATTACAGCTACATATATTTTGTGCTGTAATTAATATGTGTTCTCTATTCTTCCTCCTGTGGGGAAAAGCAAAGGAGTGTTTTTAATTCTTATATAAACATGATTCCCACCTCTCACTTATGACTATAAAAAAAAGTATGCTGTCAGGAATAGTCAGAATGTTCCCAGTATTCAAATTTGGTTTTGATTTATAAAAGCCTCCTTTTGACATCTGTGTTTCCTAGTTATTTCCGTGCTTTTTCCATGTCATGGTCTCATCATCCTTTTTAATATCTTGAAAAAGTAGTCAATATTTACTTCTATTTCCTCTTTTCTATTTCAAAACTTTGTAATCCAAATTTTGTCCCCACTATTTTCTCAAATCACTTTACACAGCAAAATGATGTATTCATGTTAGTCAAATTTGAAGGTCTCCTCTATGTTCTCATACACTCAATTTTATTACAAAATTGAATCATCTTCTCCATATCTTTGATTCGGTGTTTTTTTCTTCCATCTCTTAGAACACCTGATTTACTCACTTCTCTTCTAGTGCACTTTGTTCAAAAATTAGAAGAATTCCTTAAAGATACTTCCGTGACTTAAACCAGTGGTTCTCAGCTCTGGTTGTACATTAGAATCACCTGGGAAATGTTGAAATACTAATGATGCCTGGGTACTATCCCAAGAGGTTCAGAATTAATTATTCTGAGGTACAGCCTGAGTATTTGGAGTTTTTATTAACAGTTCCCCAGATGATTCTGGCATTCTGCCAGGACAGAAAACAGTCTTAAACTGTGACTCAGATTTCAGGGAAGGCTATTTTTTTTTTTTGAGGTTCAAACAAAATTGGTCCAAGCTCCTGTTCCATGGGAAGCCCCAGGTCCTCTTTAAATAACTTTTAATTCTGGGGATTGACATTCTCGTCGTCCTTTCTGGTTATACATTTTTAACTTTCTCAACATTTCATTTCATTTGCATCTCACCTCCTTAATCAAATGGTCCTCTTACTTCTGCTCTACACAAATCAAGATGTAGAACTTGGCCCCCTTTCCCTGAACCACACAGAGAAGACATTTTCATGGTGGTAGACTTTTCTGAAGATTTGCGTCAATCTAAAGGTTTTGCATTCAGGCAAATAAGCATGGAAAATTTATCTGTAGACTGTAACTTCCTGCCATATACCTGAGGTTTCTTTTGCCTGAAAGACTGTTCTCACATATTAAGTATCTTCTTATTCTAAATAGTTTAGATTTCCATCCCTTTGGCTCACTTCTTAGTATCAGTCTCATCAGTCTCTTAAAATGGAATAGAGTAGTATATAGGTTAATTTTTCCTCTAATAGAAATTGTATCTCCTCTTAAGGCAACTGCAAAACAAGTAGACTGGGAGAGATATAGAAGAGGAGGTTTAAAAAAGAAAAGAAAAATCTTATTACTCACAATGTATTTCAATCCCTGCTCCTGCCCAAGTCATAAAGAAATCTAATGTCAGAAGAAACACAAACAAAATCAAGAATCAAAGCAAAAAATTAATCCAGATGAAAAAGATTTGAAATAAGTATGCTTTGGATGTTCAAACAGATGAATGAGGCATGGTTTCCACTTTTAAAAGACAACAAATTATTAATTAACACAGACAAAAATGAAACTGGTAGATATTAAATATAATTGATTACACTTCTTAGAAATAAAAAATATAGTCATTGAAGTAAAAATGTAATTACTTCAGTTATTCATTACAGTTTAAGAAACTACCCCAAAATTTAGTGGCTTAAAACAAGTCTTCTCATGATTCTAGGTTGGGACCTTGGGGGAGTGTTCAGTTAGGAACATTGGCTGGGGTGCCTTATTTAGCTGCGGTCAGACGGTGCCTGGACTGTGCTAGAAGGTCCCAGAAATCCTTCATTCACAAGTCTCAGGCTTTCACCATGTTGCTTTTTTCTGTCCACCTGGTGTTTCATCATGCAGTAATCTAGCTTATGCTTTGTTAAAGCACATTAGCTGGTTTACTGGAGAGAATATGAAGGCAAAAAATGCAAGGCCTCTTGAAGAACTGGCATGGGCACAGTGTCACTGTGCCACAGTCTATTGGTCAGCTGCATATAGGACTGACCTAGGTTCATGGGGAAGGAACACAGACTCAATCTCTCCCTGGCAGGATTGGTAAAGTCTCATTGCAAAAAGCACGTGGGACGGGAGACAGTGTTGTGTTTATCTTTGGAAACACAATCTACTGCTACAATAGACTGAATAAACTCTATAGGAAAAATAATAAATTGGAAGGAATGACCCAGAAAGCAGCACAAAAAAAAAGATAAATAAAATGAAAGAGCAGTTAAGAGAGGAGATTGATAGAAAGAATAGTTGAGGGAATGACAAAGAAGCAATATTTAGTGAGGTTGTTGCTAAACTTTCTCCCAAACTGAAGAAAATAATGAGCCCTAAGATCAAAGTAACTCTGAGTAACAAAATAAATAATGATACATCCATGACTAGAAAACCATAGTCAAACTGCAAAATGTCAAAATTTAAAAAAAAATTTTTAAAGCTACTGGATATTTACCCTATAATAAAATGAGAAATAAAATTTAAACTAATAGATTGCGGAATGCAGTGGAATATTTTCAATGCATGTAGAGATACGTAGATCTTCAATCTAGAATTTGATAACCAGCTAAACTATAAATCTGTAATGTTGGCAAAGGTAAGACATTTTTAGACACTGTAAGCCTTAAAGAGTTTATGATCCATAGATTCCAATTAACTTTGCAAGATGAGACATGAATGAAGGCAAAGGATGCAAGAAACAACAGCAAACATAGAAACTGATAATGTATTGGTAAATTTAATTATGTACAGTTAAAAAAACCTGCAGTTAAAAAAATTCTATATACTAATATTTTAAACAAAATAATATGATAGGGTGTGGTGATGTTAAATATTGCTATGTTGGGAGGAGGATCAGAATGTGGAATAATAGCTTTGTTAGAACAATATATGGCTAATTATACAAGTTAAGATGAAGATCTAAGGTTTAAAAACTAGCACAGATTTAAGTAGAAAATATAGAATACTTTAGCAAATCAACCAAAGGTAAGGGATTAAAAAGAAAAGAAAGAAGTAGAGGTAGTTAACAGAAAACACAAAATAAAGATGTTAGAAATAAGTCCACATACATCAGAAATTGTAATAATATAGATTGATTAAATTCACCTGTTAAAGAATGATGGTTAGATTAAATTTTTAAAATTCCTGCTTTATACTACTTATAGATAAGTTGTATAGCAATGTATAGAAACTATAATTTAAAGCAAAAGGAATGAATAGAGATAGTGACACTACAAAGTAATACAATGAACAATCCATCACAAAGATATAATAATCATAACTGTTTTTCATTCACAATATAGCCTCATATAAAGCCAAAATTGACAGAATTAGAAAGACAATTGGACAGGCCCACAACTAGAGTGAGAGATTTAAAGATGTTCTATGAGAAGTGGGTAACTTCTGATGTAATAGATGAAACGTTAATAATAGAATATAGTAGAACTTTTTTTGTGCCCCATGGGCTCCAGGAGCCCTAAGAGAGTCCTTTTCACTATTGTGACTTCTTGCTGGGCCTGGGGCACCTGGAACACTTCTTTATCCCCTGCATTTGCCTACAGTTGTGAACTGCTTAAAATACTGATAAAACTGATCATGTTCCCGGTCAAATTGGTGAGCAAATATTTAGAAAGGAAACGTAGTGTTCATATAGGAAAAGGAAGAAGGAAATTAGCGCATTCATGTACAATTGCAAGGTTTTTAAATGGGCATAATTTTTTGGCACTATAATTTGGCAATACTCTAAAAAAAACTTTAGAATTTTGCATATATTCCAATTCAGCAATAGCAATCCTAGAAAGTTTTTTTAACAATGTAATTATACAAATGAGCAGGTATATATGCATAAGGAGATTCATCATAGAGTTATGTGTAACAGGCATAGAAAACAACCTAAATGCCCCAAAACATGGAATTGGTTAAAATTTATTTGCAATTATTTGAAAGAATAATATGTGGTATTAATAGAGATATAGAAGTGAGTCAGCCAATAGTTGGTACTTGTAGCATGGCATCATTAACCTGAACCTGTGAAAACATGCTAAGTAGTTTTTTTCTCATTTAATTAAAAGACGGTCTCATGATCCTCTTAATGTCAAGTTCTAAGCAGCCATAATCAGGAGAAGAAATAAAAGAAAACATGAAACTTATGAGCCATACCTATTGCATAAGAATAGCTAATCACATAGAAAAATGTTAATTATGTATTGTTAAGGGGAAAAGGCAGATTACCAGGGAGTATACCTCTGAACACTGATGACTATTAAATTTTCTTTAAAGAATATTTGTGTTGACATATATATAGACAAAAATGTTAGCGTGAGTGTTAAAAGTAATTATTTTCAGCTGGTGGGATTGTATATGACTTTTATTTTTTATTTTTCACAGTGAAGTTGTATTACTTTCATAGTAGAAAATATATTTTTCAAAATATTTTTACTTATTTTTGAGGCCCTAGCATCTAAGAAACCTTCCTCATACTGAATCAATTTCTCCCTTGACTCTTTAGGTGTCTTGAGCCTCTTTCATGGCAGTTATCAAAGTTTGACCTTTGTTGGAGTAATCTATATATGTGTGTCTTCCTCCTCATCTAGATTGGAATTTCTGGGGTGTAGTGACTCACACTACTCCACACAAGTGGATTGCTCTTAATAGGTGCTAGGACACATAGTGTTGAATTGAATTGAATGAACTTTTGGAATACACTTTCATCTAAGTCAGATAGCAATAACTCAATACACCACATGCTCAAGTACAGAGTCAGTAATTGGAAACTCTAATTCCAAGTGACTATAGAGTGTTGAAAGGAAACAAACTGACTTGTTGGGCTCAGTGAACTTCTTTAATCCTTATATAAAACTTTTCCCGTACAACATTTTCATTTCGTGCAAGCAAAGGTATATTTTTTACTTCTACTGTTTGGAACTTGGTAGGATGAATATTTTACATAGGATGGACCATTTAGTTAAGATGGACAATCTGGGCAAACATTCCAGTTTTCTGTTTGTAACTGAGGAAGAACAGTTCATCTTTTCAGAAGTTTTTGGAGTCAGCATATGTAGACAGTTTTTAACCTCTGAACCCTGATGGGCATGATGTGTCATTGTTAAGAAAGGCTGGGCTGGAATAATTTCTCCACTGGGAAGAATATTCAGTGATCCAGAAAAAGTTACCTACTCTCATGCCTTTGTCTGTATTTTTAAAACTAATTTCTGATAGAATGTACCTAAAGAAGAAGTACTCTAAAGTCAGGACGGAAGTGGAGCACAAGAGAGAAACTTCCAGGACACACTTACTGGTACAAAAAGAGAACTTGAAAAGCTAACCTGGGCCTGAAATAAAGACACTGGAGCTGAAGAGTAGAAATATCCTTATTTCTAGGAGAATTAAGCTAAATCTTATTATCAGCTAATATTTTCTTAAGTTAAGGCTTACATAACAATACAACAACAAGTCACAGTGCTGGAGTCTCTTTTGTTCACTGTTCTGCTTTTACATTAGTCATTACCAAGCCACTTCAGGAAGGAAAAAGTACCTTCTTTTTAATGAGCTTCAAAAAACGAAAGTACATAACCTTTGCGGGTAAAGTATTCCAAAGCTGAGCAACACTTGCTTTAAACAGAAAATAACGTTATGTATATAAATAACTGACAGTAAAATTGAAGTCTATGTCCTTTTGTTCTAAGCTTAATGGATGTGGGACTTGTGATCCTGGTTCTCAGTATTCTAAAACTTCATTTATATGACAACTGGCACCAGCACCAAAGTTATAATTATTATGGAGATGGCAATAGAAGATTTAGATATGTCTAAAGTTTACTGCAGTCTTTCCAATTATTTGTAGGTGGTTAAAGTTGGTCGTTGAGATGGCAGAATCACTACGCCTATATCCACGTGTAATTTTGTGTGGATCATGAAGAAGAGAAAGAACTGCATCCATGCAAATAAAGTAGAACATAATTAACAATTCTTACTACTTTCTCTTCTCCAAGGTAAATAACCTAGCTGATTTTTTTTCTTCAGAAGACTTCATTTCATAGAAACATGGCATTTAATAGCCAGACAGGATTGATAAAATCATCTAGACTAATCCATAATTTCCTAGGCAAAGAAACTGTAGGGCTAGGGAGTTTTAGTTAGTGAAAGAGCTGGTATGGCAGGAGCACAAGGCTTCTGACTTCTGGTCCTGGGCTTTTAACATCATTTCATTGTATTGTTCTGCCACTTCCCCTAGACATTTTTTCCCCATTAGAGATATGTGTACACCAGGACCTAAGTTAGTGCTACTCTAAGTGTAGTTCTTGGACCTGTGTTGACTCATGACTGTTACTGATCAATGATGAGATAAGTAAATGCATTGAAAGTATTTAGAAACTCTTATAAGCCTGTCAAATTATTTGACAGAATAATTTATGTCTTTGAATGTAGCAATAAACAATTTGGACCAGTGGTTTTTTATGTCTAATTATGTAATTTTATTTACCTAGAAATTCTTTTCTATAGTATTTTATAAATACACTGATCTTTGCTGGATTAGAAATAAAAATTGGGCCATTGCCACAGATGGATGGAGAAGCACTAATTTAAGTGGGACATTGGGTTTTCCTAACAATTATTGGGGCATTAACAGAACAGAATGTCTACAAACTTATAAAAGTAATTGAAAAGAGTGTGCTTAGTATTTTCATTATGGTTGGAGTTTGACATTGAAGTGACTAGTTTGTGGAAAATAAGATAGGAGAAGCTGAAGAGCATTGAGCTATGACACATTTTTATGGCACTCCACTAATTACTCTCTAGTTCAAGTTCTTTCAGTTCAAGTTCTTTCAGTAATGTGATTTTTTTTGGCCAAGTTCAAGAAATCTTTTAACAATTCATAGCATATGGGACAATTATTATACACTATTGCTCAAATATATTTTCCACCATATTTTTAAATACACAGTTAAGTTTACATTCTTTTCCTTAATTTTGAAATTTCTGCCTAAGTCTGCTAGTATTTGTCCTTACTTACATAGTCAAGTTTATTATAATCAGTAGTCTGATTTCATCATGATTGCAAAAGGTCTAATTCAGTCCTCTGGACTTTCTTTCACCTATAGATTCTGTAAGCATAATTGCTTCCCAATATCCAAGTCAAAGAAAAACACAAGGATTTTTTATCATAGTATCAGTCTCAATTAAATATTCCTGGATATTCTCCCAAGGTTGTTGATATAGTTTGGCTCTGTGTCCCTACTCAAATCTCATCTTGACATGTAACTCCCACAATTCCCACCTGTGATGGGAGTAACCCAGTGGTAGGTGATTGAATTATGGGAGCAGGTCTTTCCTGCAGTGTTCTCATGATAGTGAATGAGTCTCACGAGATCTGATGGGTTTTAAAACAGCAGTTTCCATGCTCAAGTTCCTTCCTTTGCCTGCTGCCATCCATGTAAGATGTGACTTGCTCCTCCTTGCCTTCTGCCATGATTGTGAGGCTTCCCCAGCCATAT
Source organism: Homo sapiens (assembly GCF_000001405.40). Classification (NCBI taxonomy): domain Eukaryota; kingdom Metazoa; phylum Chordata; class Mammalia; order Primates; family Hominidae; genus Homo; species Homo sapiens. Next base: position 102,594,333 of record NC_000005.10, on the reverse strand, counting down.
GGAACTCTAAGTCCAATTAAACTTCTTTCTTTAGTAAATTGCCCAGTCTTGGGTATGTCTTTAACAGCAGTATGAAAATGGACTAATACAGTAAATTGGTACAAGGAATGGGATGTTGATGATTAGATACCCAAAAATGTGGAAGCAACTTTGGAACTGGGTAACAGGCAGAGATTAGAACAGTTTGGAGGGATCAGAAGAAGACAGGAAAATGTGGGAAAGTTTGGAACTTCCTAGAGACTTGTTGAATGGGTTTTACCAAAAGCCTGATAGCAATATGGACAATAAGGTCCAGGCTTAGGTGGTCTCAGATGGAGATGAGGTAATTGTTGGGAACTGGAGCAAAGGTTACTCTTGTTATGTTTTAGCAAAGAGGCTGGCAGCATTTTGCTCCTGCGCTAGGGATTTGTGGAATTTTTCTACTTGAGAGAGATGATTTAGGGTATCTGGTGGAAGAAATTTCTAAGCAGCAAAGCATTCAAGATGTGACTGTTAAAGGCATTCAGTTTTATATGGAAAGCAGAGCATAAAATTTCAGAAAATTTGCAGCCTCACAATGCAGTAAAACAGAAAAACCTATTTTCCGAGGAGAAATTCAAGCCTGCTGCAGAAAGTCGCATAGGTAATGAGGAGTCAAATGTTAATCCCCAACACAATGGGGATAATGTCTCCAGGGCCTGTCAGAGGTCTTCACAGCATCCCCTCCCATCACAGGCCTGGAGGTCTAGGAGGAAATGGTTTCATGGGCTGGGCCCAGGGTCCCTGTGCTGTGTGAAGCCTAGAGACTTGGTGCCCTGTGTCCCAGACACTCCAGCTGTGGCTGAAAGGGGCCAATGTAGAGCTCAGGCCATGGTTTCAGAGGGTGCAAGCCCCAAGCCTTGTCATCTTCCACATGGTGTTGAGCCTGCAAGTGCACAGAAGTCAGTAATTTGGTTTTGGGAACCTCTGCCTAGATTTCAGAACATGTACGGAAATGCCTCGATGCCCAGGCAGAAGTTTGGTGCAGTGGTTGGGCTTTCATGGAGAACCTCTGCTCAGGCAGTGCAGAAGGAAAACATGGGGTGAGAGCACCCACACAGAGTCCCTACTGGGGCACTGCCTAATGGAGTTGTGAGAAGAGAGCCACTGTCCTTCAGACCCCAGAATGATAGATCCACTGACAGCTTGCATTGTTCACCTGGAAAATCAACAGACACTCAACACCAGCCCATGAAAGCAGCCAAAAGGGAGGCTGTACCCTGCAAAGCCACAGGGGCAGAGCTGCCCAAGACCATGGGAACCCACCTCTTGCATCAGTGTGATCTGGATGTGAGACCTCAAGTTAAAGGAGATAATTATGGAGCTTTAAAATTTGACTGCCTTGCTGGATTTTGGACTTGCATAGGCCCCGTAACAATTTTGTTTTGGCCAATTTCTCCCATTTAGAATGGCTGTATTTACCCAATACCTGTACCCTCATTGTATCTAGGAAGTAACTAGCTTGCTTTTGATTTTACAGGCTCATAGGCGGAAGGAACTTGCCTTGTCTCAGATGAGACTTTGGACTGTGGACTTTTGGGTTAATGCTTAAATGAGTTACGAGTTTGGGAGACTATTGGAAAGGCATGATTGGTTTTGAAATGTGAGGACATGAGATTTGGTGGAGCCAGGGGCAGAATGATATGATTTGGCTCTGTGTCCCCACCTAAATGTCATCTTGAATTGTAATTCCCACAATTCCCATGTGTCATGGGAGGAACCCAGTGGGAGGTGATTGAATTATGGGGGCAGGTCTTTCCTGTGCTGTTCTTGTGATAGTGAATGAGTCTCACGAGATCTGATGGGTTTAAAAACAGAAGTTTCCAGCCGAGGCAGGTGGATCACAAGGTCAGGAGTTCAAGGAGAGCCTGGCCAAAATGGTGAAACCCTGTCTCTACTAAAAACACAAAAATTAGGCAGGTGTGGTGGCGGACACCTATAATCCCAGCTACTCAGGAAGCTGAGGCAAGAGAATTGCTTGAACCTGGGTGGCAGAGGTTGCAGTGAGCTGAGATCGCACCACTGCACTTTAGCCTGGGCGACACAGTGAGACACCATCTCAAAACAAACAAACAAACAAACACAAGAGTTTCCATGCACAAGCTCCTCTCTTTGCCTGCTGCCACCATATAAGATGTGACTTGCTCCTCCTTGCCTTCTGCCATGATTGTGAGGCTTCCCCAGCCACATGGAACTGTAAGTCCAATGAAACCTCTTTCTTTAGTAAATTGCCCAGTCTTGGGTATGTCTTTATCAGCAGTGTGAAAATGGACTAATATAGTTGTTAATGACTTAACTGATAACTGCTCCCTCAGACACTCCAACCATTTATTAACCCACATAACACAATAAGAGAAGACTCCTAGCCACCTCGACTACCTAGCAGTTGAAACCTGAAAGTGAAAAAACTGTGAGCATGAGTAAGACAGCTATCATAAAAGCTGTAATGATTCTAAATGCCAGGTCGTAGCATGGAGCTGCCTCAAGTCAGTATCAAGTCTTGGTGTTATGTGTAGCCTCAGATCGGTAACTGATACTATTCCTTTAGTCTTGAATAGCCTACACACCCTGGACACAGACCCCTCAGACGCCACTTCCTCTGTCAAGTTCATTTTAAGACTTTCATTCTCAGTGCACTGACAGAGTTTTGCACGTATTTCAATGGCTTTTCTCTAACATTCCTGTACTTTTTTGCTTACATGTCTGCCTGTTAGAGTTTTCCAATAAACAGATAGAAAGCAGGCAGTTTCATGTATACTTGTGTCCTTAGCACCTAGTGCATAATAAGCATTCCACAGAATTTGTTGAAGAAATTATTAGATGGTTATCTGATTTTCCCTTCAGTTCTTCTAAGTATAAAATCACACATGTGGCCCCAGCTAGTATATATTTTCTGTAGTCATAAAATCCACATACAACCATAGTATTTCTGTCTATCAATAGGTAGCAGTTTCATCTTGAAAATATCTATGATTCCAATAGGAATTATAAAAGGGGATGGAGTAGACGGTGCTTGGGTCAAGAATAAAGCTCACGCCTGAATTCGTGTTTCTGGTGTCATTTTATTAGCCTACCTGCCCTGATGTTTGACTCTTACTTGCCTTGATCAATGAAGAACTGATTGGCTCTTCCCTCCAGCCAGGCATATCCCTTCCCTTCCTACCTTCTGCAGCACATCTTTTCCCTTCCTGCCTCTTCCAGACTGTCTCATGTCCAGTGCACACTGTTCTTGTTTCCTGTTATTATTAACTTGGAGTATCTGCCCCATATAAGTTATTAAGTATGAAATGTGAGCAGTAAATATGAAATCTTGAATTTATACCAGGCCGGTAGTTTGTTAGGCATCTTATTATATACAGTGGGCATATGGAAGAGCAATGTGTAATCTTTGCTCTTGAGGGACTCACAATTTAGTGGGAAATAGAAGGATTACTATTAAATTACCTAGTACTATCATTAATTGAGCAGTCACTCTGCCAAGTCTTTTACTTGTATAATCCCATTAATTTTTCATTAGATGATACTATTATTATTCCCATTTTGCAGATAAGGAAAGTGAATCTTGGGGAGATTGTGCAAATTGCCCAAGATCGCATTCCTTGTAAGAAACAGAATGAGGATTTAAACTTAAGGTGTTTGAATAGCAAGTCTGCACACGTAACTGTGTCATAATGCCTCTCTATAGATATTTCAACATCTCTTTTCCTAACTCATCTAAAAATTTCACTGTGGAAAAGAAGGAGAGTAGACCTCATTTTCCAATTATGTTTGATAAATTAGCAGATACTATAGCTGCCATGCGGAAACTTATTTTCCTGTAATATTGATGGAGAGTATCATGCAGGATCTTAAGTAAATTTTCAAGAGACTAAAATCTGTATCTCCGCTCTAATATGCCAGGACCAACACCTTACCATTGATTAAATTATTATTTTACATTTATTATTTAAGAAAATAAACAGATAATCACCCATTGCCCTGTTTTTTATAAGGGTCTTGCCAATCATTTTTGCTTGATTTCCTCTCACTATTCTTTCCAGCTAAGTTTTTTGCTTTATGATTTTCTAGGTTATTACTGCATTTTCCTTTTTGAAGCAGAAGTAGAGGTTCTTTTGAACCTTCTTAAACCTGTCCAATCTTGTTCAAGTTCTCAAACACAACAGCCATTTGACCCATAAGGTCTCTGGTAATTTCATAAACACTTCATTATGAAAATAATCAGGCACTACAGACTTGAACTCATTAAGTTCCTCCCAGGTCTCCTCCTATTGTGGCTTGATTTCTTGCCCTTCCATCTTCTGTGAGATCTGTTCTGTTTCCAATTACAGTTCATTTTACTAACACGATTTGTTTTTAGTATTAGCTATGATTAGTTTTCTATTGTGCTATAACAATAACAACAACAAAAAGACATCCAAGACACAATGTCTTCTTTGTCCTTCCAACCCTGAGAAATGAATCATATTGGGTTAGAGCCATGTTTTCCCTTAGTCTAGCAAATCCTTGTCTTTCTTATTCGAATGTGACTGGCAGTAAGTAAGCAGTGAAAAATTTCTTCTCTACTTTATGTGCTAATGTTGCTCTGGTGCTTTTTGCCTCATAAACTAAAAACAGAAACCACAAAATTTGTTGAAAAAAATAGATATTTATAATTCACTGGTGAATTAATGTATAGGTGAGAGATTGATGTGAATTTTTGAGTGCTATTTATAAGTCACTTTCTGCCATATTTGAAACTCTGTACTTATCTTGATAATCCCATTACCCAAGGAGAAGCAACAGTTAATTCAATTTATTTAAATGAAACCAACATGTTGAATTTTGCCAAATATTTGATTATTAATGCTGCAATTAGATTTTTCTGTTTTTAATAGAATTTTAATAATGAAAATTATGCTGCTTGGTTTGTGAAACAAACCAAGCAGCAGAATTTCTTGATGATTTCATAACAATAAAGATTTCTGTATCAAAGAATATTATTTTATCATAAGCTGCTCACACAGTATAATGTGGTACATTAGTTAAGTTCCTCTAGAACAAATGAGATCTATGTATCTATATATTATCTTGATATTATATATTTATATCATCTTGAGATATATATCTCTATATATTATCTTGATATATCTATATGTTATCTTGATATGTATATATAATCTTGATATATATATATATATTTCAAGAGATTATTTCGAGTAATTGGCTTATATGATCGTGGGAGTTGGCAATTCTAAAATCTGCGTGGAAGGATGGCAGGCTGGAAATCCAGGGAAGAGTTCATGTTGTGGCTCCAGTCTGAAGGCAGTCTGCTAGTGGAATTCCTTCTTCCTTGATAGACCTCAGTGTTTTCTCTTATGGCCTTTAACTGATTAGGTAAGACCAAACCACATTATGGAGAGTGATCTGCTTTACTCCAAGTCTAACAATTTAAATGTTAAACATACCTAAAATATATTTTCGTATCAATGTGTAGACTGGTGTTTGACCAAAAATTTGGGCACGTCAACCTAAACAAGTTCGCACATAAAATTAACCATCACAAGTGGCTAACCAGTTCTTAATTTTAATTGCCACAAAATTTAAAGACAGTATTCAAAATAATTAAGGAAAAATCCTTTCCAAATGGATGCAAGAACATTTTATAAGATCACTATAAGAAAAGAGAGCAAACTGAAGTCATTTTTCTCTAGTTCTCTATACTTCAGGCGTAAGTATTTTTTCAAATGTGAAAATGGAGTTTACAGTTAAGAAGCCAGATGACTGGAAAGAAGACTGTGTTAACGCTGAGGAAAATTAAGGCAAAAGTTATTGTCATTACTTTGAAAAAGAAATAAGTAGAAACATCCACACACAAATTTCTTAACTCCTCTCTTAAGCTGTAAACTGCTTATGAATAAGGATTACATATCACATTTTTTCTGCTCTTTGTGGATCTTAGCATATTGTTGGATATTTAAGTAAGAGAGAGAATCTCTACAAAAGTTAACCCACAGATTCAGTAGACAAAAGGACCAAGTAAAGCCAAAAGGGCATCAAGGATGGAGTAAAGTGTAGAGGTTTGAGTGACTGCAAAGCACGAGAGGAAGGAGTTCTATGAGTTGTGAGGAGAAAGAGGCTGTGGTGGAGAAAAAGTGCAGTGAACTTGATATCTTGGTTGTAGTGTAGTGCTTTTAGATAATGTGATCCGTCCGCAAGGTAAATGTCCAGAGATAGAGGTAGATGCATGTCATTGATGAAAGGAGGGGCATGAATAGCATGATACTGAGGTGGCTCATAATTCATAAATACATTTTTTGTTACTTAGAATGATGACAAATAATGGCGGTTGTGAAGAAAAATGTGTGCTCAGTACCATATTATCTAGAAAGGTGGGAGAAGTTTCTGGAAGTTATAGATGAAGGCAGCATTGTCATTATGAAGGTAATTGACAGATGTTTATGAAGGAGGTAGGCCAAAGCAGCACCTTTGGAAGGCATTGGGACCTTTAGAAATGAGAAGCCAAGAGAAGGTGTTCCTTCATGACTCCTAAATGGCGCTGGGAATGGAAAATTGTGACAGTTCAAGTTCTGAGTTTAAAAAAGGGTTGAAGTGAAATATGTACTGCATGATGTGGGAGTATTCAAGGGAGGCAACTAAGGTGAAAAATCTGGGTCAAGAGTAGTTGAGAACACCATTGTAAAAACAATGAATTGGGAGTAAACAAAGATATATTCAAGACATAATTCTTTTCTAGAAATATTGGGGGATCTAATGCTTTATGAACCCTGCTATACACATATACACACAAACTCACACACTAATCAGCAATGCCTTAAATTCTATTAAAAAAATTGAAAGTAAAGTTAAAATTCTGAAGAGCAGCACAATATTTCATTTAATTGCTAATATTTAAGGACATTGATTTCAAACCATCTATGCGTATAAAATATTTTTTAAAATTTAAATATTTGCTGAGTTCCAAAGAATGTTATATATTGCTAATGTATATGCAAAGTATTACACTGAGTTTAGAATCAAATTTCCTGTTCAGTAAATTAAAAATCTTATCAATGATAGATAAGAGTTGGGAAATAGGATGCTGAGTAAAAGTGAAAATAAAATAGAGCAATTAGTATTCTCCAACCCACTAAGGTGGATGAATGAAAACTGTTACCAGGTAGCTCTTGGCACATGAATGATGGATGGTGAATTTACAGTGCTAAAATAAATCCAACTGATAATTTACCTATTAGACATTCTGCTCTCAATACTGTTTTGAATCAAGACATTTACTAATACAAGCATCAGATTCTGAGTTCATTAATGATACATGGACACATCTGCCTTTCATCATGTGATTCATCTCTAAAGGCAAATTCAGGTAGAATGCTGGCCTTATTTCACAGAAGAGCTTTAGTTCAGAGAACAGTTTAGTTCAGAGCTAAGAGCTTATCTTAAAGGTATCCGAGTCCTTTGATAGGCTTCTGGCATTTGTTGCTTGCTCTCATGCCTTTCATGCTGAAGCTTTTGTCTCCTTTGAGGGTTTGTTCTAAAGAGCAGGCATAGAGAAACACTTCTATGTACCTGGCTATGCCAATTGCTCCATCACATTTGGGGTACCAATAACTTTGGGAATCCACCCATCTCATTACTGCACAAAGAACAATCAACTCAATTCTTTCCTTCTTATTCTGCAGACTGTGGCAACATACGCTCTGTGGGGAAAAGCATAAATGCTCTCTGCCTCACCTCAAGGGAGGAGGCTTTATTCTATCTTCCCTACATAAACCTGACAAGGGCAGGTTTCAGCAACACAACTTTGACCTGTGGGGTTGCAGAACTGGACTAAATAACTCTGAGCACCTGTGAAAGTCCTCTGGGGAATGTCTTTTCCAAGACAATGTTGTATTCCTTGAAAATGTATAAAGAAAAAACCCTGAGCTTGAAATGAAAAGGCATGATTTTGAGTCTAGCCCTACAACTTGCTAGCTGTGTAACATTAGGCAAGCCGCCTTTCTGAGTCTCCTTTTGATATGAGAATAATAAGGATTACCTCCAAGCTGATGTGTAGAAGTCATGAGCTAGTAGATGAGCAATTACCTGGCAAAGATCCTGGTCTCAAAAAATGCTGATCAATAAATGCTAACCCTAAGATGTCCTTAGTAGACATTTGGTAGAAGGCCAAGCATATTGTTAAGTGTTTTCCAGATACCATCTCATTTAATCCTCCCAGCCATCTGGCGAGGTAGTCGTCGTCTGTCTTCATAAACTTGGTGAGAAAAGGAAAGCTGAGAGAATTAAAATAACTTACCCAAGTCACCCAAGAGTAAGTATAAATCATGGAATTTGAACTCATCTGACAACACACTCTTTCCTTTAGCATCTATTGGCTCTGAATTTGAAGTAGAAAATTAAACAGCTTTAAAAAGGAATAGGTTGGAGCTCTATAGAACTCCTGTTCTCATATCCAGGTTACTTGACACTTCTCTTGCCTGACAATTACTCTCTGATATTTCCCCAAAAGTCATTAGAATCTAAGCGCTTGAGAATCTAAGTTTTATTCTTTTTATTATGTTTTTTGTATAGACTACAGTGTCTGCAACGTAGTAGAACATTAGTAAAAGGTTTTTGAATGATGAATAATTTCATGTGTTGGCTGGGGTAAAGATTTGGGACTGTATGGGGGAAGTAAGGCCTGTAACTATTCAAGAGACATAAAGTAAATAATGACTGTGGATTCAAACGTGACACTCTCAGAACTAGTAAGAGCTTAGAAAAGTGTTCTGGACTGCTGGGTCATTCCAAAGATTCATTAGACCAGCAATTAACCAAAAAACTAGCCCAAATCTCATGCAGACCTTGGGATGATTTGGGTTTATTTGACATTCGTTGTTAAACTGGCGCTGATTTCATGACCCAGAAATCCTAATGTCTCTTCAGGTTTCTTTGATGCAGGTCATTCACATCCCAATAATATCATGCAAGCTGTAGAAGTGTATTCAGAATTGGCAGCAATTAAAGGGAAGAGAGTTAAAGGGAGGTAATAGATACTGTGATTTATGGGAAAATAACGCTTCTCTTGCAATTCTATTGCAAGAAGGGATCTACAGAATTAGAAAAAGAAATCATAATACCATTTCAAAATAATGGATTAAATCTTTGTAGGAACTAGTAATAACTTCAAGGGCCTTGCTTAAGGGAAGGGGGCTGTATCTGTTGGGCATTAATTCTGAAGGTTTTTATTCCCTTTGAGGCATCCTATGATCTCTATTCAATAAAGGAGCAAAAAACACCCAGTAATTGATGGCTGTCCTCGTCAGCTGGGGACATTTGCAGGTTTGGGAGAAGGAGAAAATGGGGCTGGAGTGAAAAGTTGGAAGCAGCCCACTGGATAATAGAAGAGAAGAAAATTATAGATCAAAGGATCTAGCTAGCATTTTTTAAAAAGGAGTTTCGGACCTACTCCATTCTCTTCTGTTAGGGTCCTAACAGTTGTAGTTTCTGCTTTTTGAGACACTGTTTTAGCACATAATGGGACACAAGTTTTAAGTTAATTTCTTCTAAAGTACTGACAATTTAAATTTACCTTTAAAAAAATTATTGCTTCCTGAGCTGGTATACTCTTATCAGATAACAACTTCTCAGTAAATAGATGTTTAAAAAATTAAAACTCTCCTTAGATTAACACGTAAACAATTATGATTTCAAGTTCTAATGTTTCTTAGAAAACAAGGTTGTAGGTCCCTTAATATTCACAAGACTTGGGATTCTGAAAAGGAAGTAGTATAGTTCAGTGGGGAAAAATCAAACAAAAATGTTATCTAATTTAATAATCAGATACCTTTTATTCTAGTTCAAATCTTATATGAATAACATATCTCAATCTCAATCCACATTTAAAAAAGCTATCTGTCACATAGAGTAGTACTCTCAGGTCTGAATTTCTATAACAGATATTTCCAAGTTATTCTGCCTTCCTTTCCCACAAACTCAAGCAGTTTTATGTATTTGTGGTATGAAAGTTTTAGTTCCATTATTTAGCACAACCTGCAAGGTATTTACATATGTTGCGATTGTAACCATCTAACGATGTAGGTCTGTTGCGTAAGAAAGGGTTATTACTGTATGGAGGTTAAAAAAAAAAAACTCCAAAAACCAAACAAAACAAATAGATGCATCCATTCCATTGTTGATGTCATGACTAGGTGTTGGGAGGATAAATGAGGGAATGAAAGAAGCTCTTGAGTTCTGGGGAGGACAGCTGCTTCATGCAGGCAAGACATCATTATTATTAATTATCTTTATTCACTTTCAAACCATCTGTTTCCAAACATGGGCACGTGTGGCCCTATTTTCCTATCTCAGTGCCCCCTAGTGTGTACCTTATACATATTTAATCTTCAACTGATTTCAAAGGAAGCAACATTATGTACAGATGGATGGCGCTGGAACAAAGGACAGACATTAATTCATTTCTTTGATGATTTTTTTTTTGTTTGAGACAAGATCGTTCATTCATATTAAACTATTGCTGATGGTATTATGCTAGTAGTTTTTCTTTAACCTTAAGAAAACTAAATAATGCCATCTGGTGGTGAAAATAAATATTCTGGAGGGTATTTCCAGAATTTGTTTATTTCATTTTTTTGTATTTTAATATCTTCATTACTGTAATAGTTTTTAACGAGTTGACTGAAGTCATTAGAAAGTAGAATAAAGATTTTACACAAAAGATAGAAATAAATAGTTTGGAATATATCTAGCCAGATCTAATTATACAGTGATAAAATTCCCAATTCAAGTTCTTTTCACCCATAAAGAGTGGTGACAGATTATGCAAAACCGTGGAGCTGGTTCTCTTCTTAAGTAACTGAGAGTAGTAATTTCCTGGCATCTGATACTATCATTTCTTCTGTAGTCACAATAAATAAAATGATATCCAGCCATGAAATTCAGTACTGCTCTCATGGGTGATAGACCAACTTCCTGATAAGATATGATGCTTTTATTGATTCCCTCTCAATTTTGCTCACCTTTGGAATTCAGGTCATGTCTGAAACCTAGAGGGGTATACTTGCTGGAAGATTTTGTTTTGTTTTTGTTTGTTTGTTTACATGAGAACCTGATGAGTCTGCTATGATAACTCAATGGGGCTGAAACTGGAGACCTGTATAAGTGAAAGATTATATTTTACTTAGGATCCACTCTCTCTCACCCTTTCTGTCCTCTAAAGACTAGGGTATGTCCCAAGAGAGAATTTGTCACACAGGGAAATGTCTTCAGACAACAAATTTCACTGAAAGTTGGCTTTTTCTAGGGTAACAAGGAGGAAATAGGGCTGGCACAAAGACAGTGTTCAATAAATATTTGTTGAATTACATCAAAATGAAGAATATTTCTTCCCTCGAAGCCCTTGTAAGAGAAGACTTCAACCAAAATGAAATTTCTGAAATGCCAATGAACCACATCTCTCTGTTGCTTAAAGTCTTGCAATGGCTTCATAATCCACTCCAAATTCCTCACAAGGCCACCCATAATACGGTCCTTGTATACCTTTTGACTCATATTCTGTCATTCATCATTCCCCCCACTCGACTTCTCTGCTTTAACACAAACATATATCCATGTGCATGCATGTACACACACACACACACTGAAATAGATCTATCCCACCCCCCAAAGCCAGTGTTCTGTTTAGCCTTTGCTGACCAAAGCACTCTTTCTTACTTTACCTAGTAAACTTTTAATCATTTTGAAAGATTCAGTTCAAACACTGCACTACTTCCACTAGGAATCTTTTCTTGAGTTTCTCATGTGGACAGTAGTGCTTTATCCTCCATGCTCGGAGAACCTCATATACATACTCCAAAAAAATACAGTTACTTTGCTAAAATTGTTTCCATGGACATCTTCACTATACCATGTGTTTCTCAAGAGCAAGGGCTACATTCTATTTGTTTAAAATCATTTTTAAATGTTTTGAGTGGTAATTGACCCCCATTAGGTACTTATTAAATGCAAGCTAAAGGCATGAATAATTGGTAGCAGATATTGCTAATCAAGCTCCAACATCCAGTCTTTCTTCTTATTTAATAGAACTCCAACCCACTTCAACCTCTCCGTAGCTACCCACCTAGGGAAGGTCCTATGACAAAGCTCTCACCGTGAGATATAACTGGATAAGATATGTGATGCTTCCTCCTTGCAACGTCCTTATTAAGAAACTGCTGTTCTTAAATTCTTTTGTCTTTTCTGCTTCTCACAGACTGAAAACAGGTGACAACTGGCAGTTTCCTTGGACTTAGTGATGGAAATGAATGTTGATGTTGGCTGAGCTCTCCTGACAGCCTGGGAACCTGCAGAAACTTGGTGACCAGACCACCCTACTTTGGGTTATGTTAGAGAAAAATACATCCTGTCATATTTAAGCCACTGTATTTTGGGGTCCCTTTATTACAGCAATTCAGGTGATGCCCTAATTAGTACACGGTTGAAATGGAAACTATTTTCTATGATATTGAAGCTTTATTTTCTCAGCATTGTACCATAGAAAATATTTCCATTTCTATTATGTATCAGGATATAACCTAGAAATACGTCATGGAAAACAATTAAATATTACTTTTACAGATAAGCTTCAAAACACTATCAAATTTCTATTTATTGCCTGTAGAACTTAAATTATCATTAAAAATTAAAAGGCAACTATTTCCAAGAGTAGAAACTTTATTTACAATCTTTAAAAATATCCTCTAGTCTTAAGACCCTACCTTGTTTTTAGCTTCTGTGTCTTCTTCCCTCATTGAAGAATCAGTCATTCACTTTAGGCACAGCCTTGTGTTATATGTTAGGAAAATCTTGACCTTGGATGGAAGAGAGAAAAGGAACTCCAGAATGACAGCCAGGTATTAATTGCTAGCATTACCTTCAGCAGCACTTAACACTGTTGTGCTTTTTCTTCTGAAACCTAATATTCATTCTTCTTTCTGGCCCTGGTATCTGAAACCATGTTTTAGAAACCTGAATAGCAACTGAAATGCTGTAAGGCTGGAATTGCATTCTTGCAATTGCCAGTGACCTGATTCAGGATACATTCCCTTGATCTAGATCATATGACTTATTTCTTGACCAACCTGTTAGAAATTTCCACTCTGGTGATTTTCCTCCAGTATGTACCACTGGGTATCTGTTACTATACTCTGTACATTTGTCTTTTGCTTATCAGGAGGCTATTATCATACCTAAAATCTGTGTTTGTCCCCTATTTCACTTGAGTGCCTGACACTTTCAGATGAAAAAGTCTTGGTTCCTCTTAGTATTCCTTTGTTTCCACTGGAGTTAAGGGTCAGTAATGAGAATGTCCTGAGATATAATGATATTGGTGAGTAGCTTCCAATTTGTCATTAATATATCATTAATATATATATATTTATTAAAGAATTTCATTGCAAAACATTAGGCTTTTGGGCAATATTGTCTTTAGCAATTGCCTTCAATCTAAGGTTGAAGGTATGCAAAACCATCATAGTGAACACTGTAATTTATCCCTGCCCTATACTTTCCTTTTCTCTCATAAATTATGTGGACTTTTTGGCCTTTTGTTAATTGCTTCTCTCTCATCTAGCTAGTCTAGCAATCAAATGTCCCTCCTTCTTCTTTTATAGAGGTAGGCATGTGAGCAGGGCTGAGCAGTGAGTGGCCTGGAATGTTGATTGATCCAAGGATAGGAAAATGGCTTAAGCAAGGCCTCAATATCCTTTCAAGAACTGATGTAGTTGCTAGAAGACAGAGAGTTTTTTTTCTCACCTTCTGAGATCATGTGTCATAAGAGCATTCAACCTGGAGAGGCAAATGACCAAGAAATAGAGAGAAAATAGGTTCCTGCCAACATCTTCTGAACATCCGGACTACGATTATTTTTCCTGCTCCTTCCAATAAATATGCAACAAGTTTGAGCTCTTTTACTTGCAAGGAAGGTAGTCTAAACCAGAGGTGATAAACTATGGCCCCATCATCTGTTTTTTTTTGTAAATAAAGTTTCATATGAACACAGGTACATGCATTTGTTTACATATTGTCAATGGCTTATTTCCCACTCCTACTGCAGAGTAGAGTGGTTGTAATGGAGATTGTATGGCCAAAAAAAACCCCTAAAGTATCTAATATATGGCCCTTTACAAAAAAGTTTTGCCAAACCCTGCTTACTTTTGAAATAGGCTTTAAAAAAAGAAATTTTAATATTTAAACAATTTGAAGCGTTTTCAAATATAACTTTTCTTTTCTTTCCGTAACTTCTATGTCTTTTTAATGTGGACAAATTAAATTATGACTGAAGGAGTGATTCTAAGGGTGGCACCAAATGTCAGGCAATTTTTGTTTTGTTGGTTTATGCTTCAATATACTTTGTTGATTTCTAGGCTGACTTATATTCAGTAAAATTGTATGCCTTACTACAAGGTGACGTACCGGGTGCAGTTTATTTTTGAGATAATATTGGCACCTTCTGTACCTCATAATTCGCAGAACTTATTCATAGTCTGTATAATGCATAATGATCTGCCTCATCTAGAGTTATCCAGTATAGTACCCACTAGCCACATGACATGTGACTATTGGCAAGTGAAACGGGCTAGTCTGAATTGACATATGTTGAATATGTAAAATACACACCAGATTTCAGTGAGCAAGCATGACAAATACAACACAAAAAGTCTCAGTGATAATTTTTGAATATTTATTAAATGTTAAAATGATATTTTTAATATATTGGATTAATAAAAATATATTATTGGAATTATTTTTTATGTTTCTTTTAAACTTTTGAAAATGAATATTAAAAAATTAATTACCTTTAATTTTTTAATATTTCTATTATATTTCTATTAAACATTATATTTCTATTTCTATTAAACAACAGTGATCCAGAAATCATAGAAAAATGTAGTATGACTGAAGATTAAAGTAAACTTTCATAACTTTGAAAGCATTTTCAGTATTTTATCTTTGTAAGATGGGCAAATCATCTCTATATTATTATGTTATATCCTTACATTCTCTTGAGGACCAGGCATTTGTGAATATGCACATACTGTTGACCAAACATGTAATCTGTATTTTGTTGATAAAATTTCAGCCTATGAAAAACATCATTACATATATACGATTAATTATGAGATACATATAGGTTCTGATTCTCCATATTTAATTTTTAAAAATCTATGCAGGGAGCATAGAGGAGCATGCAGAGTTGGTTACGTTCTTGTAAAAAATCTTATTATGTTATTTATTAAAGTAAGTCTAAATACATACAAATGTAGGGACATTGTAGGTATAATTGAAATAAGATTTTCTCTTCATTTATTTCTAAAGTTATTATCCTGTGAAATTTCTTATAGTGAAAAATACGAAAAGAATATTCATTCTTGTTTAGTTACTATGTTGTCATACCGAAATTGAGGTCTGCAAAATGGGGATGATGGGTAAAATGGAAGCTGTTCAGAGGTTCCAACCAAATGCCACTCTTTTAGATTTGATTGCTTTATTTATGTTAATCTCTTTTTAATATAAATATACCAATATATGCCTAAAATGAATAGTAACACACTTGCACCTTTCTTTCTAAACTAAAGCATCTGGAGACATAATGAATTCAGTACAAATGTTATATATTCTGTTCACATCTCAATACATTTAGCATGTGTTGTTAGTATGTCATTTTTGAGAAAGAAAGGCAGCTGTCAGAGTATGAAACATGCTCACCAAGTCAATATGAAAGCAGTATTTTAGCTTCCTATTGAGCATTTATGGTTGCAAAAGGTATTTATCTACTGGGATGAACAGGAATCTAACAACCATTAGAGAGTTCTCCAATCATTCCTGAGCATGATGACTTTTTGGTGAGCAGGTAATATGTGAATCATGCATTGTATTTTATTTAAGAATTTAAAAGTAGATTCATAATAGAGTCTATATACTTCAGACATTAGCAGGCTCTTGGGTAACTGTCAGATGCTTTGTTTTGCATTTATTATTTCAAAAGAACAGCATGGAAATTATGCCAGATTTTTGCCTATTTATATTTCAGTTTATATCATTTAAAATTTGAAATTCATATCAACGATTACATAGAATGTATTGAGAAAATTTAATAAGTTATTTAGATTTGTTTTAGATGATAAAATATATATATAGACAGTTGCTGAAAAAGAACTGCCATAATAACAGAATTTGCAAAGGCGTAATTAAATTATAAGAAAACTATTTTTAGAATTTTTAGCATTTTCAAATTGAGTAAAGAGTACAGGGATCTCTCTGCATTATTTCTTATAATTCCAGGTGAACCTAAAAGTATCTCAAAATAAAAAGTTAATTAGGATTTGTGCGGTGGTGGCTCTAGCCTGTAATCCCAGCACTTTGGGAGGCCGAGGCCGGTGGTTTGCCTGAGGTCAGGGGTTCAAGACCAGCCTGGCCAACATGGCGAAACCTCATCTCTACTGAAAATACAAAAATTAGCCAGGTGTGGTGGCGGGTGCCTATAATTTCAGCTACTTGGAAGGCTGAGGCAGGAGAATCGCTTGAACCCAGGAGGCAGAAGTTGCCGTGAGCCAAGATCGCACCACTGCACTCCAGCCTGAGTGACATAGTGAGACTCCATCTCAAAATAAATAAATAAATAAATAAATTTTAAAAGTTAATTAAACTGAACTAGAAACAGAGTCTAGTAAGATGACAACATACAAAATAGATAGCTTAACTATGACAGAAATAACCAATTAGAAAGTGAAATAGAGAAAAAGCTCATGTATAACTGCATCAGAAACTAGCATCAGTAAAATGTTATAGAAGAAACCTAAGTAATGTCCATATCAGGAGCTTAAAGAAAACATAAAACTTTGCTGAAAGACTTGAAAGAAGACATGAAAACATGAATAAACAGATATGTAATTACTATGGATGGGAAGACTCTGTATTGTAAATAAATCAGTCATTTGCAAATTAAGCTGTGAATTCATTGTGATTCTAAAAATATAATCCCAAAGTGATAAACTCTTAAAACGAAATTACAAACTTCCTAAATACTAAAAGTTATACTGAGAGAAACAAAAAGAGGCTAGAATAAAACATATCACAGAGCAAAAAGTATCTATATACAAGACAAATGCACATACATATAAACATGTATATGTATAAAACAATATGACAGGCCAGGCATGGTGGCTCACATCTCTAATTCCAGCACTTTGGGAGGCTGAGGTGGTAGAACTGCTTGAATCCACAAGTTCAAAGCCTGGGAAACATAGAGAGCCCCTGTCTCTACAAAAAAAAAATAGCTGTTGTGGTAGCAGATACCTGTGGTCTCAACAACACAGGAGGCTGAAGCAGGAGGATCTCTTGAGCCTAGGAAGTAGAGGCTTCCATGAGCCATGTTCGTGCCACTGCACTCCAGCTTGAGTGACAGAGAAAGACCCTGTGTCAAACAAACAAACAAACAACATGACAAAAGTGAGGATAAAATAATGATCATATCAATAAATATAAACGGACTTACAAAATTATCTTCAGAGTGCATATAAATGAAGGAAGCAAAGTGAATAGAAATGTGCATAATATGTTAATGCTCATATGCCTAAACATGTTTGCTTATGATAAAATAAAACAATGGAAGGATAAACCATAAAATTACAAAAAAATAATATGGGTGAAGATAGCAGGTGGAGAGGATTGGGTAGAAGGTGAAATTCTTAGGCTGTACTCTGTTTTATAGACTTGGAGTCATTTCTCTAAAGGAAATATATATTTTATGTAATTATAAAACAGTTAATTAAAAAATGGATAAAACAAGTGAACCTAAATTTTTATCAAGTTGGTGGCATAACCACATAAGTAGGAACTGTTTCACATAGCTGTGACAGAGTGATCTTACTATACATCGTTAAAGGAGATGCTGAAACCAGAAACTCTTCCAATGTTTACAATGTTGTTATAGTTATCCTGAGATTATGGAGAGTGTAGTGTTGAACAAAGCAAATAAATAATTTTTGCTTTGAGAATTGAGATTTTTGGCATGACAGAGATTTATGGTTAATAGGGTCCAAAGCATCTGTATGATCCACTGAGACATATTTTTACTAAAAAAAATTTCTAGTTTTGTGTATTGAAAGTTGTACAAACAATGATCAGCCTAGTACCAGTAAATGTTGCAGGTGTCCAGACTGTGGACTCTAAATACAATTTTCCACCAAAAAGAAACAGAACACCTGGAGAAACAACAGATTACAGGTCTGGTTAAAAAAATGTACAAGTTTAGCTTAGCAACTCCTACATTACAAAGAAAGAATAATATATGACTAATCTGATCATGTCTAAAGGATGAAAGAGATCATCAGAATACATTTCCACTGGTCAAAAAAGGTACACCAATGAATTTAAACACACTAAATATATATTTATATGTTATTATTAATTAATATATTAACAACATATACTTTCTGATTTCAAAATCTTTCTATACAGCTATACAGTAATCAAGACAGTAAGCTACTGTCATGAGAATAGCCATATAGATCAATGGAATAGAATCGAGAGTTCCAAAGTAAAATTGTACATCTGTAGTCAATTGGTTTTCCACAAGGGTGCCAAGACAATTCAATGGGAAAAGAAGAGTCCTCAAGTACTGCTGCGACAACTGGATATCCATGTGGAAAAAATGAATTTGGTCTAATACAATACAAAAAAACTCAAAAGTGATAAAAAACCTAACTGTAAGACCCAAAAAGATAAAACTCTTAAAAGAAAACATGCATATAATCCTCTGTGATCTTGGGTAAAGCAATGGTTTATTGCTATGAAACCAAAGCACAAGTAACCCAAATAAAAACAGAAGAACTGGGACTCAACAAAATTGAAAACTTTTGTGATTCAGTGTATACTGTCAAGAAAGTGAATACAACCCACAAACTAGGAGAAAATATTTAAAAATCATATATTAAAATAGGGCCTTGTATCTATAATATATAAAGAACAATTACAACACGATAATAAAAAGTCAAATAACCCAATGTTTAAAAAAAATTGGCAATATGATCTGGCACTTTCATTTCTAGGTAAAGATCCGGAGAAATTGAAATCAATATGTTGAAGAGATATCTGCATACCCATGTTCATTGAACTATTATTAACAATAGCTGAGATATGAAATTAACACCTGTTTCCATTAACAGATGAATGAAAAGAAAATGTCACACACACACACACACACACACACACACACACGAATACAATTCAGCAGCCTGTCACTTGTGACAACATGGATGAACCTGGAGGACATTATGGTAAGTGACACAGGCCAGGCATAGAAAGACAAATACTGTATGATCTCACTTATAAGTGGAATCTAAGAAATCTGAACTTATAAAAGCAGAGAATAGAATGGTGGTTACTGGAGGGTTGGGGGTGGGGGAAATGGGGAGATACTGGTCAAAGGATATAAAGTTTCGGTTAGACAGGAGGAAAAAAGCTTTTTAGATCTATTGCACAGCAGGATGACTCTAGTTAATAATAATGTATCCTATACTTCAAAATAGCCTAGTAAATTTCAAGTGTCTCATCACAGAAAATGGTAAGTAAGTGAAGTGATGGATATATTGATTAACTTGATCTAGCCATTCCACACTATATACATATGTCAAAATATCAAATCATACTCCATAAATGTATACAATTAAGATTTGTCAATTAAAAATAATATTAACAAAAAAATAGAAATTTAAAATGCACAAGATATTTGAAAAGTAATTTCTGTAGAGAAAATATACAAATGGCCAACAAACAAATGAGAAGATACTCAGAGATGACACCATTAGTCACTAGGTTAATGCAATTTGAAAACACAATGAGATACCACTTTATACCCACTAGAATGGCTAGAATAAAAACCATGGGCAATAACAAGTGTTGATGAGGATGTGGAGAAATTGAAATCTTCATACATTTCTGGATAAAATACATTGCTAGTGAAAATGTAAAATAGTGCAGGCACTTTAAAAAATGGCTTTGCATTCCTAAAGAACCTAAACATAGTTACCGCATGACCTAGCAATTAGACTCCTAGCATGTATCCAGAGAAATGAAAAAATTTGGTCACACAAAAACTTGTACACAAATGTTCATAGTAACGGTATTTATAATAGCTAAGAGGTAGAAACAGCTCAAAGTCCATGAACTGACAAATGGATGAACAAAATGATGTATATCTATATGATGAAATATTGTCAGCTTTAAAAAGAATGAAGTTTTGATACATGCTACAACATGGATGGACCTTGAAAGCATTATGTTAAGTGAAAGAAACCAGACACAAAGAGCTACATATTATATAAATCTATTTTTTAATATAATTTTTATTGATACATAATAGATGTACATATTTTGGGGGCATATGCAATAATTTGATACATTCATGTAATGTGTAAAATAATGTGTAAAAATTAGGATATCATAAGTAATCATGATATCCATCACCTAAACTATTTATCTTTACTTTATGCTAAAAACAATTAAGTTATTCTCTCCTGCCTATTTTGAAGTTTACAATCGATTGATGTTAACTGTATCTCCCTTCTGATTTATTGAACACTAGGCTTTATTTTTTCTAACTTGCTGTATATTTGTGCCCATTAATCAACTTCTATTTATCCTCCACCTCCCCTCTACCCTTCTGGCCTCTGGTAACCATTAATCTACTCTCAAACTTAAAAAAAGATCTGCTTTTTTTAATCTCTCACATATGAGTGAGAACATACGATATTTATCTTTCAGTGATTAACATATTTCAAGTAAAAACCTCCAGTTCCATTCATGTTGCTGCAAATGACAGGATTTCATTCTTTTTATGTCTAAATAATATTCCATTGTATATATGTATCACATTTTCTTTATCCATTCATCCATTGATGGGCACTTAGATTGATTCCCTATCTTGGCTATATGAATAGTGCTGCAATAAACATTGGAGTGCAGATGTCTCTTCAATATACCAATTTTCTTTCTTTTGGATATATACCCTGTAGTGGAATTGCTGGGTTATATATGATAGTTCTATTTTTAGTCTTTTGAGGAACCTCCATATCGTTCTCCATAGTGGCTGTACTAATCTACGTTCCCACCAACAGTGTATAAGGGTTCTCCTTTTGCTTCATCCTTGTTAGCATCCATTATTGCCAGATTTTTTGATAAAAGTCATTTTTGTTGGGGTGAGATGATATCTCAATGTGGTTTTGATTTACATTTCTCTGAAGATTAGTGATGTTGAGCACTTTTTTTGTATATTTGTTTCTCATTGTTAATCTTCTTCTGAGAAATTTCTATCCAGAACTTTTGCTCATTTTAAACTGGATTACTTGTGTTTTCACGATTGAGTTGAGCTCCTCATATATTCTGGTTAGTAGTAGTACCTTGTCAAATGGATTGTTTGCATTTTTTTTTCTCATTATGTGGGTTGTCTATTCACTTCGTTTATTGCTTCCTTTGCTGTGCAGAAGCTTTTTAGCTTGATGTAATCTCATTTGTCTATCTTTGCTTTTGTTGCCCATGCTTTTGAGGTCTTAACTCAAGAAATTTTTGCCCAGACCAAGGTCCTAGAGCATTATCCCAATGTTTTATTCTAGTCGGTTCATGGTTTCAAGTCTTAGATTTAAGTCTTTAGTCCATTTTGATTTGATTTTTAAATAAGGTGAGAGATAGGAGCCTAGTTTCATTCTTCTGCATATGGCTATTTCATTTTTCCACCACCATTTATTGAAGCCTGTCCTTTCCCCATTTTTATGTTCTTGGTGCCTTTGTCAAAAATGAGTTGGCTTTAAATATATGAATTTGTATCTGCATTCTCAATTCTGTTCCATTGGTGTATGTGTCTGTTTTTATGCCATTACCATGCTCTTTTGGTTACTACAGCTTTGTAATAAATTTTGAAGTCAGGGATGGCTTCCAGCTTTGTACTTTTTGCTCAGGACTGCTTTGGCTACTTGGGGTCTTTTGTGGTGCCATATAAATTTTATAATATTTTTCCAATTTCTGGGAAGAATATAAATAGTATTTTGATAGAGGTTACATTGAATCTGTAAATTATTTTGGGTGGTATTGTCGTTTTAGCAATACTAATTCTTCTAATCTATGAGCATGGAATGCCTTTCTATTTTTTTGTATTCTGTTCAATTTCTTTTTTCAGAGTTTTATAGTTTTCCTTATACAGGGCTTTCCCTTCTTTGATTAAATTGATTCCTAGATATTTTGTATTTTATATTTTTTGTAGCTATTATAAGTGGGTTTCTCTTCTTACTTTCTTTTTCAGATTGTTCACCATTGGTGTATATAAATGCTACTAATTGTTTTATGTTTATTTTGTATCCTGCAACTATATTATATTTGTTAATCAGTTCTAACAATTTTTTTGGTGGTATCTTTTGGTTTTTCTAAATATAAAATCACATCACCTGCAAATAAGGCTAACTTGACTTCTTTTTTTCCCAACCTAGATGCCCTTTATTTCTTTTCTTTGCTTAATTGTTCAGGCCAGGAATTTCAGTATTCTGTTAAGTAAAAGTGGTAAAAATTGGTATTCTTGTATTGTTTCAGATCTTAGAGGAAAGGCTTTCAGTGTTTACCTGTTTAGTATGATGTTGGCTGTGGGTTTTTCATATATGGATTTTATCATTTTGAGGTTTCTCCCTCTATACCCAGTTTGTTGAGGGTGGTTTTTTTTTTTATCACAAAGAGGTGTTGAATTTTATCGAATGCTTTTCAGCATCTATTGAAATAATTATATGGTTTTTGTTCTTGGTTCTATTAATGTAATGTATCACATTTATTGAGTTGCATATGTTGAACCACCCTTCCCATCCCTAAGATAAATCCCACTTGGTCATGATGGATGATCTTTTTAAGGTAATGTTGAATTCAGTTTTCTAGGATTTTGTTGAGGATTTTCACATCTATGTTCATCAGTGCTATTAGCCTGCAGTTATCTTTTTGTGTGTGTGTATTTTTGCCTGGTTTTGGTGTCAGCATACTGCTGGCCTGTAGAATGAGTTTGGAAGTATTCCCTCCTCTTCAATATTTTTGAAGAGTTTGAGTAGAATTTGTGTTAGTTCTTCTTTAAATGTTTGGTAGATTTCAGCAGTGAAGCCATTAGATCCTGGGATTTTCTTTGATGGGAGACTTTTTATTATGGCTTTGATCTTGTTACACAGTATTAATTTATTGAGGTTTTCTATTTTTTCGTAGTTCAATGTTGATAGATTGAATGTATCCAGGTATTTACGCATTTCTTCTAGGTTTTCTAATTTTTTGGTATAGATAGTCATGATATTAAAAACCGCAATTACTTTTGCACCAACCTTATAATCTGTAATGATTATTGTATTTCTGTAGTCTCAGCTGTTATGTCTCCTTTTTAATTTTTCATTTTACTATTTGGGCTTCCTCTCTCTTTTTTATGTTAGTTCAGATAAAGGTCCGTTTATTTCATTTACATTTTCAAAAATCAACTTTTCTTTTATTGTTCTGTATTGGTTTTGCAGTCACAATCTCATTTACTTTTGCTCTGATGTTTATTATTTCTTTACTTCTAATAATTTTGGTTTGGTTGGTGTTCCTTTCCTAGCTACCTGAGGTGCAATATTGGTTTTTTATTTGAAGTCTTCCTGCTTTTCTGATGTAGGTGTTTATTGTTATAAACTTTCTTCCTAGTACTGCTTTTGCTGTGTTCCATAGATTTTGGTATGTTGTGTTTACATTTTTATTTGTTTCAGGAAAGTTTTTTCTTTTTAACTTCTTTATGGATTTATTGGTCATTCGGGAGCATGTTTAATCTTCATGTGTTTGTATATTTTTATTGATTTCTACTTCAGTCCATTATGGTCAAAAAAGATACTTGAGAGAAAATGGAGCAGTATAGTAAAATAGAAGGCTCCACTGACTGCCTCCCCAGTAAAAACACCAAATTAAACAACTCTCTACTCAGGAAAATCACCTTCAAAAGAAACAAAAATCAGGTGAACCCTCATAGTTCCTGGCTGTAATTTAATACCACTGAAGAGGCACTGAAAAGAATAGAAAAGACAGTTTGAATTGCCAATGCCACCCCTCACCCATCCACTGGCAGTGGTCATGTGGCATGGAGAGAGAATCCTATGGTAACCTCAAGTTTAAAAACACACAATGGATACCATATACACTTGTACTAAGAAAATATCTTCATTTTATTTCCTTTCTTTTTCCTTTATCATGTGATATAAGATTTATTGACTCCAAATCAGCTTTTAAGTGTTGTTAACTTTGCATAATAGCATTTGGGTTGGAGATTGGTGCATTTCCGGTTGTACAAAGGATAGCTGTTTATATGTTAGGCATAATTATGACCTTATTACTGTCTTTATTTGAAGATTATGTATGATTTCAGAAGGTGTGTATGGGTTCAAGTGGACAAAGGGTGGACTTGCATTGGTTAATATTGTCAACTTAATCGGATTGAAAGATACAAAGTATCATTCCTGGGTGTGTCTGTGAGAATGTTGCCAAAGGAGATTAACATTTGAGTCAGTGGACTGGGAAAGGCAGACTCACCCTCAATCTGGGCGGGTGCAATTTAATCAGCTGCCAGTGTGGCCAGAATAAAAAGCAGTCAGAAGAACACGGAAAGACTATACTGGCTGTCTCCTGGCTTCCATCTTTCTCCCATGCTGGATGCTTCCTGGCCTTGAACATCAAACTCCAAGTTTATCAGCTTTGGTACTCTTGGAACTTCAACCACAGAGCGAAGGCTGCACTATCAGCTTACCTACTTTTGAGGTTTTGGGACTTGGCCTGGCTTCCTTGCTTCTCAGCTTGCAGACAGCCTATTATGGGACTTACACAACCTGTGATTGTGTGAGTCAATATTCTGTAATAAACTCATATATATATATATATATATATATATATATATATATATACACACACACACACATGGATAGATATACATATACATACATCTATATATACACATACATACATATATATATCCTATTAGTTCTGTCCCTCTAGAGAACCCTAATACAGATACACAAAAAAATGAAAAGGAAGAAATTAAATCATACAACCAGAGAAAATCTTCATTAAAAGGAAGACAGAAAGGAAAGAAAGAAAAAAAAGAAAATCACAAAACAACCAGAAAACAAATAATAAAATGGCAGGAATAAGTCCTTACTTATCAATAACACATAAATGAACTGAACTCTATAATAAAGAGACATAGAGTGACTGAATGGATTAAAAAAACAAAACAAAACAAAAAACAACAACAACAAAAAACAAGACCTAATGATTTATTGCCTTAGGAAACACATTTCACTTGTAAAGACACACATAGACTGAAAATGAAGGGATGCAAAAGGGTATTCCACGCCAATGGAAACCACAGAAGAGAGCAGAAGTAGCTATACTTTTATAAGACAAAATAGATTTCAAGACAAAAACTGTAAGAAGAGACAAAGAAGGTCATTACATAATGATAGTGGGGTCAATTCAGCAAGAGGATATAACAATTGTAAACGTATATGCATCCAACACTGGAGTACTCAGATATATAAAGCAAATATTATTAGGGCTAAAGAGAGAGATAGACCTCAATACAATAATAGCTGGAGACTTCAACACCCCACCTTCAGCACTGAACAGATATTTCAGACAAGAAATCAACAAAGAAATATTGGTCTTAATCTGCAGTATAGACCAAGTGGACCTAACATATATTTACAGAACATTTCATCCAAAGGCTGCAGAATACACATTTTTTTCTCAGCACATGGATTATTCTAAAGGATAGACCATATTTTAGGTCACGAAAAAGTCTTAAAACATTTTAAACAATTGAAATTATAGCAAGCATCTTCTCTAACCACAATGGAATAAAACCAGAAATCAATAACAAGAGTAATTTTGGTAGCTATACAAAAACATGGAAATTAAAATATATGCTCCCGAATGACCAGTGGGATAATGGAGAAATTTTTAAAAATGAAAAATTTTTTTGAAAAAAATGATAATGGAAATACTACATTTCAAAACCTATGGGATACAGCAAAAGTAGTACTAAGAGAGAAATTTACAGCAATAAGCACCTGCATATAAAAAGAAGAAAAGCTTTAAATAAATGTTAGGTTGGTGCAAAAGTAATTGTTTTTGCCATTAAAGGTAATGAAAGGGAAGAAAAGAAATAAGGATCAGAACATAAATAAATGAGTTTGAAATGAAAAAATAAAAAAATCAATGACACAGGTCATAGATTTTTTGAACAGATCAACAAAATTGACAAATCTGTAGCCAGACTTAAAAAAAAAAAAAAAGAGTGAATACCCAAATAAATAGACTCAAGATAAAAAGAGACTTTACAATTGGTATGATAGAAATTCAAAGGATCATTAGTGGCTACTATGAACAACTATATTTCAGTAAATTGGAAAATCTAGAAGAAATGGATAAACTCCTAGACACATAACACATATAACCTACCAAGATTGAACCATGGAGAAATTCAAAACCTGAGCAGACCAACAACAAGCAATGATATCAAAGCCATAATAAAGTGTTCCAGCAAAGAAAATCTTGGGACCCAATGGCTTAACTGCCTAATTCTACCGAACATTTAAAGAACTAATAACAATCTTACTCAAGTTATTTTTAAAAAGTAGAGCAGGAGGCAGCACTTCTAAACTCATTCTACAAGGTTAGTATTACCCTAAATCAGAGTCATTAAAAAAAAAAAACAAACTACAGGCCGATATCCCTGATGAATATTGGTGCAAAAATCCTCAACAAAATACTAGCAAAGAGAATTCAACAGCACATTAAAAAGATTATTTATTATGACCCAATGGGATTTAGCCCAGGGATGCAAGGATAGTCCAACATATGCAAATTAATCAATGTGATACATTATATCGACAAAATGAAGGACAAAAACCATATAATTATTTCAATTGATTCTGAAAAAAACATTTGATAAAATTTAACATCCCTTCAAGATAAAAACCGTAAAAAAAGGTAGGTATAGAATGAATATACCTCAACATCATAAAAGCCATATATAACAGTCCCACAGCTAGTATCATACTGAATTGAGAAAAACTGAAAGCATTTCCTCTACAATCTGGAATATGACAAGGATTCCGCTTTCACCAAGATTATTCAACATAGTAGTGGAAGTCCTAGCTAGAACAATCAGACAAGAGAAAGAAATAAAGGGCATACAAATTGGAAAGGAAAAAGTCAAATTATGCTTTTTTGCAGATAATATAATCTTATGTTGGGAAAAGCTAAAGACTTCACCAACAAATGATTAGAATAGATCAACAAATTCAGTAGAGTTACATGACACAAAATCAACATAAAAATCAGTAGCATTTCTACATGCCAACAGCAAACAATCTGAAAAAGAAATCAAGAAAGTAATTTCATTTACAATAGCCACAAATAAAATAAAATAAAATACCTGGAAATTAACTTAACCAAACAAATGAAAAATCTCTACAATGAAAACTCTAAAACATTGATAAAAGAAACTGAAGAGGATGCAAAAAAAGAAAAAGAAAGAATGACATTCCATGTTCATGACTTGGAAGAATCAATATTGTTTAAAATGTCCAAAGCAATCTACAGATGCAATGCAATTCTTATCAAAATACCAATTATATTCTTCACAGAAATAGAAAAAAACTATCCTAAAATTTATATGGAACCACAAAAGAGACTGAATAGCCAAAGCTATCCTAAGCAAAAAGAAAAGAAAATACTGGAGGAATAACATTACCTGACTTCAATTTATACTACAGAGTTATAGTAACCAAAATGGCATTGTACTGGCATAAAAACAGACACATAGACTAGTGGAACAGAATAGAAAATTCAGAAATAAATTCATACATCTATAGTGGTGCAGAAGAATGAAATTATACCCCTATCTCTCACCATATACAAAAATCAAATCAAAATGGAACACAGACTTAAATCTAATACCTCAAACTATGAAACTATGAAACTATTATGAGAAACCTTTGGGAAAACTCTCCAGGACATTGGACTGGGCAAAGATTTTTTGAGTAATACCTCACAAGCACAGGTAACCAAGGCAAAAATGGACAAGTGGGATCATGTCAAGTTAAAAAGCTTTGCACAGCAAAAGAAACAATCAACAAAATGAAGAGGCAACCCATAGAAGGAGAAAATATTTGCAAATTACCCATCTGACAAGGGATTAATAACCAGAATATATAAAGAGCTGAAACAACTCTATGGGAAAAAATCTAATAATCCAATCAAAAAATGGAAAAAAGACATTTCAGGAAAGAAGACATACAAACGCCAAACAGGTATATGAAAAGATGCTCAACATCATTGATCATCAGAGAAATGCAAATCAAAACTATAATGAATATCATCTCACCCCTATTAAAATAAATTTCATTCAAAAGACAGGCAATAACAAATGTTGGTGAGGATGTGGGGAAAGAGAACCCTGGTACACTGTTGGCAGAGATGTAAATTAGTACAACCACTATGGAGAACAGTTTGGAAGTTTCTCAAAATACTAAAAATAGAGCTACCATATGATCCTGCAATCCCACTGCTAGGTATATACCCAAAGGATGGAAAATCACTATATCGAAGAGACATCTGCACTGCCATGTTTATTGAAGCACTATTCACAATGGCCAATATTTGGGAGCAACCTAAGTGTCCACTAACAGATGAGTGGAAGAGAAACATGGTACATATAGACAATCCAGTACTGTTCAGCCATAAAAAGAATGAGGTCCTGTCATTTGCAACAACATAGATAGAACTGGAGGTCATTACATTAAGTGAAACAAGCCAAGTACAGAAAGACAAATGTTTCATGGTCTTACTTACTTTGTGATTTTGTGGAAGCCAAAAATGAAAACAGTTGCACTCATAAAGACAGAAAGTAGAAGGATGGTTATGAAAGGATAGGAAGGGAAGTGAGTGGCTGGGGGAGATGTGGAGATGGTTAATGTGTACTAAAAAATTTTAGAAATAATGAATAAGACCTAGCATTTGCCAGCACAACAGGGTGACTATAGTAAAAAGTAATGTAACTGTACATTAAAAAATAACTGAAAGAGTAAAATTGGATTGTTTGTAATATAAAGGATAAATTGGGTGATGGATACCCCATTTGCCCTGAAGTGATTATTATGCATTGCATACCTGTATCAAAATATTTCATGTAACCCATAAACAAACACAGCCACTCTGTACCCACAAAAGTTAAAAATTTAAAAAGATACTTGATAGAATTTCTACTTTTAAAAATTTGTCACAACTTGTTTTGTAGTCCAAGATATGGTCTATCCTGGAGAATGTTTTATGAGCTGATGAAAAGTATTTGTATTCTGTAGCAGTTGAGTGAAGTATTTTGCAAATGTGTATCAGGTCCATTTGGTCAAGTACGTAGTTTAAATCTGATGTTTCTTTGTGGATTTTCTCTCCGAATGAGCTCTTCATTACTGAGAATGTGGTGTTAAATGCCCCTACTATTATTGCATTGCAGTCTATCTCTCCCTTTAGATCTATTAATGTTTGCTTTATATACTTGGGTGTTCCCTTCTTGGGAACATAAGTATTTATAATTGTTATATTCTCTTACTTGTAATATCCTTCATGATTACATAATGACCTTTTTTGTCTCTTTTACAGTCTTTGACTTGTAATCTATTTCATTTAATATAAGATTAGCTACTACTGCTCTTTTTTAGTTTCTATTTCCATGGAATATCTTCTTCCATACCTTCCCTTTTAATCTATGTGTGTCTTCATATGTGATGTGTGTTTCTTGGAGGCAGTATATAGCTGAGTCTTCTTTCTTTACCTATTCAGCCACCCTATGCATTTTAATTAGAGAATCCAGTTCATTTACATTGAGATGTTATTGATAAGTAAGGACTTATCGCCTTTTTGTTGTTGGTTCTTTTCTGGTTATTTTGTAACTCCTCACTTCCTGTCTTCTTTTTTCACTGTCTTCCTTTGAGGATAATTGTTTTTTTCTGGTGGTATCTTTTAATTTGTTGCTTTTTATTTTTAGTATATAAATATGTATTAGTCTGTTCTCACGCTGCTATAAGGATATACCTGAGACTAGGTAATTTATAAAGAAAAAGAGGTTTAATGGACTCACAGTTTCACATGGCTGGGGAGACCTCACAGGGCAGAAAGCAAAGGAGTAGCAAAGGCATGTCTTACATGGGGGCAGGCAAGTGAGTGTGTGCAGGGGAACTGCCCTTTATAAAACCGTCAGATCTTGTGAGACTTATTCACTATCATGAGAACAGCATGGAAAAAACCTGCCCCCATGATTCAATTATCTCCCACCAGCTTCCTCCCATGACACATGGGGATTATGGGTGCTACAATTCAAGATGAGATTTGGGTGGGGAAACAGCCAAGCCATATCAATGCATATTGTTGGTTTTTGTATTGTGGTTACCACGAGGCTTACAGAATACATCTTATAGATATAAAAAGTCATTTCAAAGAGATGACAGCTTATCTTTGATGAGAAAAAAGAATAAAACAAAATAACTTAAAAATACCTCTACACTTTAACTCTATTTTTCCTACAATTTGACTTTTGGTTGTCTCAATTTATATATTTTTACTATCTCTTAAGAGGTTGCTATTGCTATTGTTTTTGAGAGATTTGTCTTTTATGTGTCATAGTACAATTATGAGTGGATTGCAAACCGCAATTACAGTATTAGGGAATTCTGGGTTTGTCTGTGTATTTAATTTTATCACTGAGTTTTATACCTTCAAATGTTTTCTTTTTGCAAATTAACATTTTCTTTCTTTCAGGTTGAAGAATTCCCTTTAGCATTTCTTGTAAGACAAGTCTGGTGGTGGTGAATTATCTCAGCTTTTGTTTGCCTTGGAAAGACTTTCTCTCTCCTTCATATTTGAAGGAGAGCTTTTCTGGATATGGTATTCTTAGATAGCAGTTTTTTTTTTCTTTCAGCACCTTGAAAATGTTATCACTCTCTCCTGGCATGTATGGCTTCTGTTGAGAAGTCTGTTGTCAGAG
This sequence comes from Homo sapiens, assembly GCF_000001405.40. Lineage (NCBI taxonomy): Eukaryota > Metazoa > Chordata > Mammalia > Primates > Hominidae > Homo > Homo sapiens. The sequence goes on along the minus strand of NC_000005.10, from coordinate 102,563,204 downwards.
GAATTGGAGCTACTTTTCATGTTTTTTAAAATACGTTATTTGTCTTTTCTCTTGTTGCCTTTAAGATCCTCTCTATGCCCTTGACTTTTGAGAGTGTGATTATTAAATTCCTTAGAGTAGTCTCATTTGGATCAAATCTGTTTGGTGTTCTCTGGCCTTCCTGTACCTGGATATTTATGTCTTTCTCAAGTTTTGGAACCTTTTCTATTAATATTCCTTTGAATAAGCTTTTTACTCCTTGCTCTTGGTCAACTTCCTCTTGAATACCAATAATTCCCACATTTGGTCTTTTGAGGTGATCTTCTATATGTTGTAGGTAATTTTTGTTGCTTTCCATTCTCTTTTTTTTTCTCTGACTATATTTTCAAATAGGCTTCTTCAAGCTGATAAATTCATTCCTCTATTAATCTGTTTCTGCTGCTGAGAGTCTCTAATGAATATTTCAGCTGAGTAAGTGTATTTCTCAGTTCCAAGAATTCTGTTTTACTTTTTAAAATTATTTCAATATCTTTGTTAAGGTTCTCTGATAAACTTCTGCAATGCTTTTTCTGTGTTATTTTGGGGATTATTGGCTTTCCTTACCACTGCTATTTTGAATTATTCGTCAGAGAGGTCACATACCACCACTTCATTAGGGTCGGTTACTGGTTCCTTGCCTTGTCTATTTAAGGAGGTCGTGGCTCCCTGGTTGCTGTTGTCTTTGTGTATGTAAATCTATATTGTTGCTTGGAGGATTTATTCCAGTCTTCTTTGTCTGGCTTGTTTTGTTTTTTATTGGATATAGTTGCTTAGAGATTCTTTGTAATTTACTTGAATTTCTTTTGCTTTTCCCACTAGGTGTCTGCCTCCTGTTGCCACTAGACGGCGCTGTACGTTCAGGCTTGACTTTTCTACAGGAAAGGATCGGCGTACTGGCCCTCCTGAATGGGGGAGGTCCCAAAAGGGATATCCTGGCAGAGTGGGAAGGCTGGCTAGGGATTCCTCGGGGGACTTGTGAAGTGTACCTCTTACATTGTGGTGCTGCTAAAAAGTCACTCTGATTTGGTATCCTCTATTACGTAGCAGAGTTTCCAGGCCTGAGGATAGTACTCCTGCCTCCCTTCTTTGTCTCCGACTGTCCTCAGGGCTTTTTCTCCCTTCAGGTACTTGCCATGCTTCCTGTGTGTTGAGGCAGGGACAGGTCTCCTGCCAGGGAACCAAAGGTGGTACAGAAGCTGGTTGTCCATCTCAATCTCATTTTTTTCCAGTGTAGAAACTGGAATTGGGGGAATATTTTCCATACACTTGGTGCTGACCAAATTGGGGGAAGATTTTTTTTATTCCCTGTAGCTCCAGGAACTGTTTCATCATCATATTTGAATTCTGGGACATTACAGGTGGTAATCTCAGTGCTGTATCTTTGTTTTTGGTTTTCAGTGTGAGGAAGTTAAGCTAGTTTGCTTATCTGCTACCATTTTGGAACTAGAAACTTCCATATGAATCTATTTATTTGAAATGTTCAGAAAAGGCAAATCTATGGAGACAGAAAATTGATATGTGGTTTCCAGAGCTGGAGGAATGAGGGACTGGAAAATAACCACTAATAGTTTCTTTGGGGGATGATGAAAATGTTCCTGAATTAGTGACAGTGGTTGCACAGCCTTGTGGATATATTAAAAACCACATTGTACACTTGGAAAGTGTGCATTTTATGGCATATGAATTATAACTCTATGATATCCATCTATAATATCTATTTACCTGCCATAATAATACTAACAAAACCCTCATTAGTCATTTTTAGAGATGCCAAAGTACTCTGTAAGCTGATATATAAGAAAAAGATCAGGAAAAACAATTCAAGATGGAAATTCAACAAGCCATGTCTATCATACATTTGACAGACCTTACACAGCATTGAAAAGATTATTTTGTAAAAAGGATTGAAGTTGGGGGGTTATTTTTCCTGTCAAATATTAAAATTCCATTTTATTTACATAATTGAAACCGTGGTATTAGTAAAAGTTCGTAGAAATAAATCAATAAAATGGTTTACAAAGCTAAGTAGATATATGTGAATATTCATATATATGAAAAATATAAAATATAAATATATAAAGTATAATATATTACATATTTTATAGAATGAAAAAATATACTTGATTATATAAATACATATAATTATAGTATATGTCATATAAATATATTTATAACATTTTTATGAAAGTTTAGTTTGTAATTTCAATGCAGTGAAGAAATTATTCATCCTTCACCCCTGAAAGGGAGTATTTATTTTATTTATTTTAATTTTAAGTTCAGCGGTACATGTGCAGGATGTGCACATTTGTTATGTAAGTAAACGTGTGCCATGGTGGTTTGCTGCATAGATCATGCCATCACCTAGGTATTAAGCCCAGCATGCATTAGCTATCCTTCCTGATGGTCTCCCTCTTCCCCCACCACCCACAGATAGGCCTCAGTGTGTGTTGTTGTTCCCTGCCGTGTGTCCATGTGTTCTCATTGTTCAGCTTCCACTTATAAGTGAGAACATGCAGTGTTTGGCTTTCTGATCCTGCGTTAGTTTGGTGAGGATAATGGGCTCTAGCTCCATCCATGTCCCTGCAAAGGACTTGATCTTATTCTTTTTTATGGCTGCATAGTATTCTGTGATGTATATGTACCATATTTTCTTTATCCAGTCTATCATTCATGGGCATTTAGGTTGATATCATGTCTTTGCTATTGTAAAGTGTTGCAGTGAACATACGTGTACATGTATCTTTATAATAGAATGATTTATATTCCTTTGGGTAATGGGATTGCTGAGTCAAACAGTATTTCTGTTTCTAGGTCTTTGAGGAATTGCCACATTGTCTTCCACAATCGTGAAACTAATTTACACTCCTACCAAGGTGTAAAAGCATTCCTTTTTCTCCACAACCACTCCAGCATCTGTAGTTTTTTGACTTTTTAATGATAACCATTCTGATTGCTGTGAGATGGTATCTCTTAGTGTTTTTTATTTGCATTTCTCTAATCATCAGTGATGATGTGCTTTTTTTCATAATTTTTTGGCCACATGTATGTCTTCTTTTGAGAAGTGTCTGTTCATATCATTTGCCCACTTTTTAATGTTTTTTTTCTTGTAAATTTGTTTAAGTTCCTTGTATATGATGAATATTAGAACTTTATCACATGGATCGATTGCAAAAATTTTCTCCCATTCTGTAGGTTGTCTGTTCACTCTGATGATAGTTTTTAGCTATGCAGAAGCTCTTTAGTTTGACTAGATCCCATTTGTCAATTTTTGCCTTTGTTGCAATTGCTTTTGGCATCTTTGTCATGAAAACTTTGCACATGCCCATGTCCTAAATGGTATTGCCTAGGTTGTCTTTCAGGATTTTTATAGTTGTTGGGTTTTACATTTAAGTCTTTAACCCATCTTGAGTTGATTTTTGTATGTGGTGTAAGGAACGAGTCCAGTTTCATTCAGTCTTCTCCATATGGCTAAGCAGTTATCCCAGCAGCATTTATTGAATAGGGAATCCTTTCCCAATTGCTTGTTTTTGTCAGGTTTGTTGAAAATCAGATAGCTGTAGGTGTGTGGTCTTATTTCTGGGCTCTCTATTCTGTTCCATTGGTCTATGTGTCTATTTTTATACCAGTACCATGTTGTTTTGGTCATGGTAGCCCTGTTGTACAGTTTGAAGTCTGGTAACATGATGCCTTCAGCTTTGTTCTTTTTGCTTCCAATTGTCTTGGCTATTCATTCTCTTGTTTGGTTCCATGTGAATTTTAAAATGGCTTTTTCTAATTCTGTGAAGAATGTCAGTGGTAGTTTAATGGGAATAGCATTGAATCTATAAATTGCCTTGGGCTGTATGGCCATTTTCACAATATTGATTCTTCCTATCCATGAGCATGGAATATTTTTCCATTTGTTTTCGTTATCTCTGATTTCTTTGAGCAGTAGTTTGTAGTTCTCCTTGAAGAGGTTCTTCACTTCGTTAGCTGTATTTCTAGGTATTTGATTCTTTTTGTGGCAACTGTGAATGGGAGTTCATTCATGATTTGGCTCTTGGCTTGCCTATTGTTGGTGTATAGAAATGCTAACAATTTTTGCACACTGATTTTGTATCCTGAGACTTTGCTGAAGTTGTATACTAACTTAAGAAGCTTTTGGTCTGAGACAATGGGGTTTTCTAGATATAGGATCATGTCATCTGCAAACAAAGATAGTTTGACTTGAAATGGAGCATTTAAGAAAATAAAAAATAAAGTATTCATTAATGTTAGTACAGTTACCATGGATTTTAAAAATAAAAGTTGACTCTTACTTCAAACCACACACAATACATTTTAGATAAAAGAACTAAATGTAAAACATAAACAAACCAAAACAAAATAAATGCTAACTACAGCCATATCAAAACAAAAGCACAAAAAATTAATGTAGGATTGTGATCAGGAAAGCCCACTTCACCAAAACAAAAAATCCTGAAGTAATTCAGGAAAAGTCTAATTAATATAATCTCATTAAAGCAAACACTGCTTATGGAAAACAAATAAATGTTGGGAAAAATATTTGCAACATGGAAGTAAAAAGAAATTTAAAAAATTACTACACACCATTAAGAAAAGCTCATCAAAAGAAGATATGCAGACTAGAGATTACAGTATCAAATATAAGAATAAGGAATATTCAGGACAGACAATTGGAATACTAAAGGGATTATGGAACCAGGTTTTTGACAGTGACATCACTCTTTTTAAAATGACATCTATTCTTAGAACAAAGAGCTAATTTTAAATAAGAAGTGCAAATTATCTTTTTAAAAAGCCTTATTTTTCACCTTTGTCAATGGTCAAACGGGGGCATTGACAAAATCCTATTTAATGCAACCAAAATTTGATATGAAAAACAAAAGTGTAAACCTTTTAGAAGAGGCTTCTAGAAATTCCATTCCAGAAAGACTTTAAGAAGATAATTTATAACCATTTATGCATTATAATAGATCTTTAAAATGAACTAAAAATGTATGTTTTTCCAGTGCATGACATGTTTACAGGTAAGGAGTTGTATAGATTGTATCTCAAGCTCCCTCCAAGACATCATCATATCAATAATCTTTATTCCCAGATTCTGGCCTACACAATCAAGTGTCAATTATCCAATCTAATGGAAGGCTACATGTATGCATATGTGCAAAAATAACAATAACTTCACTATCCAAATTATATTTTATTCATGTTATTAACATTAGTTTATATTCCTGCAGCTAACCACTGGTAATAAATGTACCTTAAACCATTACCTATCAAAGCATCTCATTCTATGTAAAGAAGAAGTGAGCTAGATGCATCCTGATGCAATGAGACATGAACATGCAATATTATGTTTTTCTTGGAAAATTCAAAGGAACTATATTTGAGTTGGAAGTGCTTAGCATTGGGGCTTAATATATGCAAGGTTTAAAAAATGTTTTTTTTTAAGTAGAGACAGGGTCTCTCTCTGTTACCCAGGCCTAAGTGCAGTGGCATGACCACAGCTCGCTGCAGCCTTGAACTTCTGGGCTCAAGGTATCCTCCTGCCTCAGTCTCCTGAGTAACTGGAACTACAGGCACTTGCTGCCATGCCTGGCTAATATTTTATTTTTTGTAGAGATGGGGTCTCGCTACGTTGCCCAGACTGGTCTCAAACTCCTGGGCTGAAGTGATGCTCCTGCCTTGGCCTCCCAAAGTGCTGGGATTACAGGCATGAGATACCACGTCCAGCTCAAGTTTCAATTATAGCATTACCATTTACTAGCTTGGAATTTTCACTACCTGTAAATAAAATTGAAGTCATTTTCCTCTTTGATGAAAATACTTATGTCCTAATGAGGAGAAGTGTATTTTTTTGCAATAGTTGTATTTTACTGTGAACTAACATATATTTGACTTTTCAAAAGGCTTTTATGCCTTTCAGATATTGAAAATGAGATTTAGAATGAAACTGAGTAAGTCGGTTAAAGCTTTATTAAGGAAAGACTTGGGAAAACCTTGAAATGCCAGAAAGCCCTGTAAGAAAAAGTGCAGAAATGGAATTGAAATCTGCATCTGCCACTGTCATAATTAAATTTTCTTTGGCATAACCAAATAAAGTTTTCAATACAGCTTTATTCATGCCATTGTGCTTGGCACTGAATAAGTCAGACTGAAGAGCCTCTTGTTTATGTCTCTCTAGTCTTTCAATCAGAGCTGACCATACTGTCTACAAAGGAGATCAAAGTACATTAATGGGAACATATCTATAGTAAAATAGTAAATGCCATATGTATTTGATACAGGTAAAAATAGTTACTTTCAACATGATCATGTTTGGTATTTTTTTAAAAAAACTTCAACTTTTAGTCTAGATACAGGGGTATGTGTGCAGGTTTTTACATGGGTATATTGCATCCAGATAGTGAGCATAATATCCAATAGGTAGTTTTTCAACCATTGACCTCCCCTCCTCCACCTTCTAGTAGTCTGCAGTGTCTACTATCCCCATGTTTATGTCCATGTGTGCTCAATGTTTAGCTCCCACTAGTAAGTGACAATGTGTGGTATTTAGTTTTCTGTTGCTGCATTAGTTTGCTTAGGATTATGGGCTGTAGCTCCAAACATGTTGCTGCAGAAGGCATGATTTCATTCTTTTTTGTGGCCACATAATATTTCATGTTGTGTATATACCAGATTTTCTTTGTCCAATCCATCATTATAGGCACCTAGGTTGTTTCTATATCTTTGATATTGTGAATAGCACTGTGATGAACATAAAGTGCATGTATCTTTTTGGTAAAATGGTCTATTCTCCTTTGGATATATTGCCTGCAATTGGATTGCTGAATTGAACGGTAGTTCTGTTTTCAGTTCTTTGAGAAATGTTCAAACTCCTTTCCATAGTGTGCGTCATGTCCTTTCCTTTCCAAAGCTTTCTCAAGAGAGTGAGGCACTTTGTTTTTTCAGATAAACTTCTGACAAGTTACTGAGTATTAAGAAAGTCACACTGCTATCCTCATTTGTTTATGAAGTACCAAGAAAGTTGGAAATCTTTTTCTAAGGAAATCTATTATTTCTACAATGACTTTGACACAATTGAACAACCCTGTTTGGTTTAATTGAGGATACTACGTGATATGGCTTGGCTCTGTGTCCCCACCCAAATCTCATGTTGAATTGTAATCCCTAGTGTTGGAGGTGGGACCTGGTGGGAGGTGATTGGATCATGGGGGTGATTTCTGATGGTTTAACACCACTCCCTAGTCCTATCTTGTGATAGAGTTCTCACAAGATCTGGTTGTTTAAAAGTGTGTGGCATCTCCCTCTTTGTCTTCCTCCTGCTCCAACCGTTTAGGACACGCTGGCTTTCCATTTGCCTTGCGCTGTGGTTGTAAGTTTCCTGAGTCCTCTCCAGCCATGCTTCCTGTACAACCTGTGGAACTGTGAGCCAATTAATACGCTTTTCTTCATAAATTACGCAGTCTCAGGTAGGTCTTTATAGCAATGTGAAAATGAACTAATACACTATGCATAGGTATTAAAAATATGTGACAATTTATTTATAATGCCATAGACATTTTCTCTCTACAATTGTGTATAGTAAGTTTATTAATATATTTGATTAGCACAGAATTGAACTAGGGTGAAGTCTGTTTTAGGACTATAAAAAACATGTTTCACTACCTATAAATAAACTAAAGCACTAGATGTTTGTGAGGAAGTTAGCTCGTTGATTGTTTATTTGACAAGGAAGACTGACCACCTTAGGTCTCTAATGACTGCCAAAGTATAATGGTTCCTGTCCTCTGTCTTCAATTTAAGTCAGAAGAGTTCCTTTCATGGTAGTTCCTTTCATAAACTCCCTGTGGCTGAACCTGACCAAAAACACAAAGAACAATACATCACTCTCCTATCCACCGACAGTGACAATTTTCTAGCCAGTTAGGTAATACCATCCAGTTTATTACTCAGGTTTCTGCATCTTTTAATTTGGGGTTGCCACATTCTTTTCAGTGAAAGGTGAAATGTTTAATAATTTCTTTCAGTAATCTATAACCTGCAATTATCCTTCAGCCAGAATCAAACTGTTTCTCAAATAGAGTCTTGTTATATTTGTTTAACTTTCCATAGAACACTTGATTTCTTTCTTGTAATTCTGTAGAACAGTGTAAGCACAAGTACACAGAACTCTCACTGCATCATTTATGCATAAATATAATAGGTTATGAAACTGGTCTCTTTAATGTACCCAGACATCCCTTCACCCTCCAGGTGGTGCTAGAGCATTTAACATGCTTCTTCTTAGGTGGTCTAGTGGCTTGTTTGAAGACTAACACTGTGAGGTAAGAGATATATAGATACTTACATCACTTTTTTAACAATGAAAAAGGAATTAACTCAAGAATATATGATTATTAAGAAGCTAAATTTAGCCTTTAATAATCATAAGAAGATTGCTCTAAGTCCGGCTAAATTCTCTGAAAACTTAGAACTCATAGAATTCTTACTGAATTTAAAAAAGGAATCACAATGCAAAATAAAATCTGATCAAGATTTGTCTCTAAACCAATGAGTATGCTGAGTGCCTCTCAGAATTCCTGAGAGATTTGAGATATGTCTATTCTTTGAAACTCCTCATATCCTAAAAATGGGGAGCTATCAAACCAGGGTAGCCAACAACATTGTGATATGCTTTACATACTTATATTTGTCAAATGAAGACTTTTAATACATATACAAGTCTCTGACTATGTCGATAAAAACTCCTTTGGTAATAATGGCAAAAGGCTACATCTGAGGCTCCTTGTGGCTTGTGGAGCCCTGTGGTTGTGTTTTGCATGAAAGCTAGCACACAGGCTTAATCTCCTCTGCTGCTTGCTTAGAATATATCAATAGGCAAGGGGCCTTGTTTATCTTGCATTCAGCTGCTGTAAGAGTGAACTTGGAATAAAATACTTGACGTTCTTGAAAGGAACTGAGCCATGTAATCTCTTCCATTTGAACCATGTGTGGCATATGATCATTCTTATACAAAGATTCTAGGGCCCTGGGCACTTAGCCTTTCTCCTCTGATTTCCATCCAAATGACTGTGTTTGAGAAAAAGAGGTAAGGCCATTCCAGTTAGGAAGTTATATATTTTATTTGAGTTGGAAGTGCTTAGCATTGAGGCTTAATATATATATTTATATATTTTAAGAATAGATTTTCTCATAATTGATATTTTATGACTAAAAATAACAATAAGATAATATAGGATAACAATAATAAATAATAATATATAGGATAATAATATTTTGGAAATATTATTTAATTGATGTCTCAAGAAAATAAGATTAAAATTACTTCAGCACAAGGCATTGAGGTTCTGTTTGGTTTTTTTGCCTGTTAATTTAATTATGAGCAATATAGTTAGGGAAGCAAATTAATCACCATATTTAAAGAGCTGACATTTAAATATAGCATTTATAATAAAAGTAATCATCAGTCTAGAAGTTAGAGTAAAATTAATCTTTTATAAAGGATTTTCAGCAGCCATGACCATCACTGCTATGTAGAAAAATTTCTACATATTTATAATGAAATTAGAAATACCCAACCAATCAACCACAAAAGTTAACCTCATAAGCTCAAAGTCCCTTTGGCCAATCATTACCTGAGAGGACAGTAAAGTTTCTAAGAACACCCTAAAAGTATTCCTTACGAACAATATTAAGTACTGATTTAGAGGTGTTCTGCAGGTTAAGAGGTTAAACTAGATTAGCATACTTGATATCTGTTTCAGAGAAATATGTTTAATCATTGAATACCTTCTATGGTCAATGGCACATTTTTTCAAACTAGAATAAATTTTAGAATGTGCACTATGTAATATCAAAAATTTGAAAAATGTTTTCTTCTGTTTTTAATTGGGGTATTAAGACAAAGAGGAAAGTATAGTAGTCCTTGTTTTATTTAAGTAATTCTAGATTGTCTAAACTATGGCAAAATTCAAGTTATATCCCCAATGAAGGAATATAAATGAAGAAAATAAAACATACAGTTCACGTCCTACAAATAAAGTTTACATATGTTTAGTTATTATGTTGTCTTTTAGGTTCCTTTTAAATGACCAAGAGGGTTATATGTAACAAAAACATAATTGCTGCAATGAATAAAATTGAGGCTAAATCACTGGGTATATAGATTATCATTTTCTTAGAATAAATTTTAGAAACAGAGTTGATGCAACCAAAATATGCATATTTTAAAGCAGTAAATCCAAATGGATAAAACATACTCCTGAGAATTGTAATCATTTCATGTTCTCTCTGGATTGTGTGAGATAGCCATCTCTCTGGACAAAGTGTGGGCATTTTTTGATCATGTTAATTTAAATTTGGACAATATATAAAAAGGCAAATAACAGAAAACTGACTGGCCATATGCAGAAAACAGAAACCGGACCCCTTTTTTACACCATATACAAAAATTAACTCAAGATGGATTAAAGACTTAAAAATAAGACCTAAAACCATAAAAACCCCAGAAGAAAACCTAAGCAATACCATTCAGGACATAGGCATGAGCAAAGCCTTCATGACTAAAACACCAAAAGCAATGGCAACAAAAGCCAAAATTGACAAATTAGATCTAAGTAAACTAAAGAGCTTCTCCACAGCAGAAGAAACTATCATCAGAGTGAACAGGCAACCTACAGAATGGGAGAAAATTTGTGCAATCTATCCATCTGACAAAGGGCTAATATCCAGAATCTACAAAGAACTTAAACACATTTACAAGAAAAAAAACAACCCCATAAAAAAGTGGGCGAAAGATATAAACAGACAGTTCTCAAAAGAAGACATTCATGCGGCCAACATATATATGAAAAAAGCTCATCATCACTGGTCATTACAGAAATGCAAATCTAAACTACGATAAGATACCATCTCATGCCAGTTAAAATGGTGATCATTAAAAAGTCAGAAAACAACAGATGCTGGAGAGAATGTGGAGAAATAGCAATGCTTTTACACTGTCGGTGGGAGTGTACATTAGTTCAGCCATTGTGGAAGACAGTGTGGCAATTCCTCAGGGATCTAGAACTGGAAATACCATTTAACCCAGCAATCCCATTACTGGGTACATACCTAAGGGATTATAAATCATTCTACTATAAAGACACATGGACACATATGTTTACTGCAGTACTGTTCACAATACCAAAGACTTGGAACCATCTCAAATGTGCATCAATGATAGACTGGATAAAAGAAATATGGAACATATACACCATGGAATACTATGCAGCCATAAAAGAGGATGAGTTCATGTCCTTTGCAGGGGCATGGATGAAACTGGAAACCATCATTCTCAGCAAACTAACACAAGAACAGAAAACCAAACACTGCATGTTCTCACTCATAAGTGGGAGTTGAACAATGAGAACACATGGACACAGGGAGGGGAACATCAAACACCAGGGCCTGTTAGGGCGTGGGGCCTAGGGGAAGGATAGCACTAGGAGAAATACTTAATGTAGATGACAGGTTAATGGGTGCAGCAAACCACCACGGCACGTGTATACCTATGTAACAAACCTGCGCGTTCTGCACATGTATCCAAGAACTTAAAGTATAATTTAAAAAATTTTTTTAAAAAAGAAGAGAACAGAAAAAAAGATGTTTTACCATTGTTAATAATATAGTATACCTCAAGGAAAAGAGATGTATTGAAGAGAATATTCAATGCACTCAGAGTATGTGCTAATGACTATAAAATGTTCATAAGAAGCTAAAGGAGAAAAATCACTCATTTTAATGGATTTGCTATATTGCATCTACATGGAAAGAGAGAGTGGTACTCCTTACTTTGTTTTATGTTAATACATGAGTACCCTTTAATGAATGAAATAGCCTCTGCTAAATATCATAAGCATAAAATATTGAAAATAGAGATATTTGCTGTTTGCTTCAGAGCTATGAAAATGACGTTTCATTACTGGCTATTATCTGGTTTTATATGATAGAAGTAAACCAAATATGAGACTATAAATACTGAATTGTGTTAATGTGAAGAGAATAGAAAAATTGGTGCTTTTAATTCACAGATGTGCAGCTCTGTTAAAGATTGCATTTTATTTTTAGGTGGCTTATTATTCAGAGCTTAATGCTGAAAACTAGAAAATCTTTCTAGTTATCTTAGTTTGGCAAAAATCAACACTTAACTCACTTTTCAATTCTTCTTCCATTGAAATAAGTATGGGAGTTGTGTGATGTGGGGCAGTAAAAAGAATGTGGGGATTTGGAATCAGAAAAACTTGGGTACAAATTTTGAACCTGGCATTTATTAAATGTGTAAATTTGATCAATCTTGTATGTAAAATAGCACATTAATACATATTGATTTACCAAGATTTGTTTGTAAATCAGAGTAGGTAAAAGCTTATGATTCTTAAGTGATGCAAAATTGACTATATTAATCAAGGTAGGGTAAGTGATATAAATAGAAAATCCTAAAATTTCAGTTACTTAATACAACAAAAGCTTGTGATATGATTTAACTCTGTGTCCCTACCCAAATCTCATCTCAAATTATGATCCCCATAATCTCCACGTGTCAAGGGAGGGACCAGGTGGGAAGTGGCTGGATCATGGTGGTGGCTTTTCCCATGCTGTTCTTGTGATGGTGAGTGAGTTATCATGAGATCTGATGGTTTTATAAAGCGGTTTTCTCTGCTCTTGCTTGCTTTCTCTTGCCTGCCACCATGTAAGATGTGCCTGCTTCTCCTTCTGCCATGATTGTAAGTTTCCTGAGGCCTCCCCAGCCATGCAGAACTGTGAGTCAATTAAACCTCTTCTCTTTATAAATTACCCAGTCCCAGGTAGTTCTTATAGCAGTGTGAAAATGGACTAATACAGCTTATTTCTTGATTATGTGATGGATGTAAATCACTAGGTTGAGGGAGGCATCTGTTGGCTCTGTCATCCCCTACATCAGAGTCTTCTGGTAGCTGGAAGACACAAAGCAAAGAAAACATGGAATTAGGTGGGAGGTTTTAGTGAGCCAAGCCTGAATGTTGCATATATCACATGCATTTATCTTCCATCAGCCAAATTCAGTCACATGGCCATACAAATAGACTAGCTGTGTACTCAATAAAAAGATGAAATAATTTCAGTCTCTGCTCATTCACTAAGTGACCTGAGCAAATTTAACTGATGTAAGTAATCTAAGGTGATTGACCTAGGCCAGTTTAGCTATTCACAAATATTAGTCTCTCTCTCTCTCTCTCTCTCCTTTCTTTCCTTTCTTTTTGGCAGAGTCTCACTGTCACCCAGGCTGGCATGATCTCAGCTCACTGCAACCTCTGCCTCCCAGGTTCAAGCAATCCTCCCACCTCAGTCTCCCTAGTAGCTGGGATTACAGGTGCTTGCCACCACGCCCAGCTAATTTTTCTATTTTTAGTATAGTCGGGATTTCACCACGTTGGCCAGGATGGTCTCGAACTCCTGGCCTCAGGTGATCCACCAGCCTCAGATTCCCAAAGTGCTGGGATTACAGGTGTGAGCCACCACACCTGGCCAGTTTTCTTAAAACTAGATATTAGTAGTCTATAATCACAGTGATTATAAGTGAGAACACGTGGTATTGGTTTTCTGTTCCTATGTGAATTAGCTTAGGATGATGGCCTGCTAAGCTGGAGAGCTACATCCATGTTGCCGCAAAGGACATGATTTAGCATTTTGTATGGCTGCATAGTATTCCATTTTATGTATGTATCACATGTTTTTTATCTAATCCACTGTTGATGGGCACCTAGGTTGATTTACTGGAGTTAATTCTTAAGAGATGTATTTCTGTATCTTCTGGTTTTAATATTCTGGAGACTTGATTCAGATAAAGATTTGCTAGATTGTATTTATTTCTTTAACTCCTTCTACTTACCCCAAAATTTCAAGTAATTAATATCAGGTATAAGATTATGTTACATACTGCTTTTTGAAAGCACTAAGCTTGTCATTAATTTTCTTACTTTTTCTTCGTAAAGAAAGAATATATGAAAAAGAATCATAAATTCAACAACTATTTATTGAGTGCCTACTGTGTGGTAGGAATTGCTTTATATGCTGGGAAGTTAGCAATGAGCAAGAGTGAGAAGAATTTTACTTTCATGGGGCTCACTTTCTACTGATAGGAGGTGGAAAAGGAACAACATATAAGTGAGCAGGCATGCACATAGACAAAAATGCCAGAACATAAAATAAAATAGGGTGGAGTGTCAAGGAAACTTGTTGAAGGTGAATGCTGGTTGAGGAAGAAATAATTAACCTGAGATGTGCATGATAAGAAGTCAGGTATGTGAAATTAGATGGGGGAAACAGCTAATGCGAAAGCTATAAGGGAGGCATAGTACAGGAACAACAGCCATCCCTTTCCTCAAGCAAAAAGGGGTAGAAAGTAAAAAACAGAAATGTAGCTGAGTGGAGCAATGTAGGAGATGCACTGGAAGCAGGTGATATGTTTTATGTTAATACATGAGTACCCTTATATCAGATGATACAAGGCATTGTAATCTATCTTCCAAAACACTCTTCTGGACAATTGCACAATTTAACCAACACTTCCTTTTTAGGATATGTTTGTGTGAATGCTTTCACTGTTCCTTATGCACTTTATAGATACCATTTTCTCCTTCTGGCTGCATTTTCTTGGGTTGTTAATCTACGTCCAGTTTTGAATGTCTGAAAGCTCTGTGACCCGATGAACACACTTACATATCATTCCCAGTCACTTCTTGGCTCATTTACACCTACCAAAAGATGGTGAGCATTAGGCATCTGTGCACCTTATTGATACATATTATACATATTATCATAATCACTTTTCACACTGAGTTGAAAGGTTTGTGATGTGACACTGGTTCTTTAGCCTATAAGCAAAGTTTGGCTCTTGTACTTTAATAAATGCATAACTGGCTAGATTCTATGCATATTACATATGTTCATTGGCTGTCTTAAGCTCCTAAAGGACTGAGACAGTTTAGCTCTGACTACCCTTAGTATTACTGCCTTAATGGCAGGTATGAATATGCATATTATGCTGTAGCTGATGATGAAAAACAGAGATGGTTAACATCTGAAGTGTAACACCAGCTGTAAATGCCTCTATATTAAGAAAGTGTTTCTTTTCTAGAACAACTATGAATGGGAAAACAGAACACATTTTTGTGCCCATCTGTTTGTGACACAGCTTAGAAAAATATTGTTAAGTGATTTGAGGACCAGTTTCTGGGTCTCTTCCACACTGTTTCATGTATTTCATAATTTGGCAGCTATTTAGAATACTTTGAATGTTATTGGCTTAAATAGCTAATTTATACTTGCTCTAGAATATTGAACTATTCCAAAGAGCAACATTCTCTTCCTGCAGTCATACTTCATAACCCCTCTTGTTAATTCCAAGAAACAAACTCCCACACACTGAATAGTTGGAGCTGTTTGCATCATTATACTCTGAAGCTTGCAATAATTTTTCTTCCTCTCAGCTAACAAAACAAATACATTTTTATCGATGATCTGAACAATTAAAGAGATAAGTTAAATTAGAATATTTTAAAGGAATGCTACCTTCTAGATAAAACCATTAGTGAGGTTCTCATAAAATGCTCACTCTATCAACATCATTCAAGATTGGACAGAAATTCCAGAAGCTGAATCTCTCATACTTAGCTGCCAAAAGGTAAATATTGGCTCGAGAAAATGTGTTTAAAGTTTACAGAGGCAATGATGCTTCTAGAAGGATTCCTTATTCTGTCCTAAATATCATAGAACAAGTGTAAAAGCTCACAGTCTGACTCTGCCAAGATTCCTCATTTGTGAGATTTACTTAACTTCACAGAACGAACAAAAATGCTTTCCAAAAGATTATCTGCAAATGATCCAAAAATGCCTTTGTGAGTACTTTTATTTAATTTTTGAGATCACCACTCATAGCTATGATTTGGCAAGTGTTTGTCTTTTCCAAATACCTCATCATCTTTCACAGGTTGTGAAAAATGAGTTTGAGACCGATCTTATCTGCGAATTTTGTTACCTTTCTTTAATGTTGAGAGCAACTTTTTGTGAGAACAACTGGCTGAGACTCTAGATGAGGGTTTTTTTTTTTTCAAAAAAGCTAAGAGTAGTAAAAGAATAGAATATTTGTTGATATCCTATTATGTGGTAAACATGTTGAACAAGATAATATTCTTGCCCTCAGGTAGTTTATACTGTATTGAAGGACTGGAGCATATAAAAAGGAAATTCAGTATAATCTTATGTTTGTGTGTTAGGGGCTGGGAGAGGGGGAATGCAATCAGAGAGAAGATTTCCTGAAGGAAATAATATATAAGCTGAGATATGAATAATATACACAGTTGCCCAGAAGAAGAATGGGGATATTGAAAGGAAAGATGTCTCAGGTCAAGGGCCCAGCATTTGCAGAGCGCTTGGGTTGAGAGAACATGGACCATTCTGAGAACTGAAAATAAATAGTGCAATACGATTAAATCATCAGTTGCATTTTGTTAAGACACAATGCTGTCTTAGTCAGCTTGGGCTGCTATAACAAAATCCCATAGACTGGTGTCTTAAACAAGAGACATTTATTTGTCACAGTTCTGGAGCCTGGGAAGTCCAAGATCAAGACACTAGCAAATTTGGGTCTTGGTGAAACCCTCTTCCTGGCTTGCAAAGTGGTAGCCTTTTTGTTGTATCATTACATGGCTGAGAGGGGAAGCTCTGGTATCTCCTCCTTTTATTATAGGGGCACTAATCCCATCAGGGGGTTCCACCTTCATGACCTTATCTAAACCTAATTACTTCTCAAAGGTCTCACCTCCTAATACCATCACTTTTGGGGATAGGGCTTTACTGTATGAATTTTGGGGCAGAGCACAAACATTTAGTCCATACAAATGCAATTTTTCTTAAGATATAAAATATATTTCAAATTTTTGTTAAATTATTAATTTGTATTAACAATAGTGTATAAGACTTTATTCCTAAGTGCTTGCTAAAAATCTTCAGGTGGAATAAGAAACCTACAAAATGATTTTTATATCCAGTTCTCCCCAGAAACCTTGAAACTGGTATTTTCTAAAATGATTTTCTTAGTATTTCCTCTGGACAAAATATATTTCAATTTTGACTGAAAAGAATGTGCAATCTCTGGAGAGGAGTGTTTTGTTGAGCTAGAATTCTTCTTAGTAGACACAGGCCCAGACCAGAACCAAATCACCTTTAACTGCTCGACTTTTATATTAGTCAAATAAAGGTAATTATCCTTAGCTGTCTCCTTTCCTGCTTCCTTCCAAACTCAATTTTCTTAGTAGTGAGGAAAGTCACATTAAAATCCTACTTTAAGAAGGCTAGATGGCATAGTCTAATATGCTTTATTTGAAAAATAACAAAGAGATTAGATCAGAGTCCAAGAGGAGATAGACAGAAGCCACACAATAATTTGAAGAAGAAAAGTTTAATATAAGAATTAACTATAAATTTTAACTATAATTATTAATTATAACTCATAACTATTAATTATAACTTAATAGGGAACTAACTATTAAGATGTCAGGAGAACCCTGAAGCCTATCCTAGGGTTAAGAAAGAGTATAAGAAAGAAATAAACTTGGAAGGGTGGCCTCTGCTCGTGTCTGGGATTCAGACCTCGTTAGAGAAGGTGTGGTTGTAGCCCACTAGATGACAGAGAAGTTCTTGGGGGTTGAATGGCCAAAGCTGGCCTACAGTCTCAAGGCAGTAGGGGGTGCAGGTGAGCCGACACTGCAGAGCGGGTGCACAGAGCAGCTGAGATGTTAGAGTCAGCAGATGTGTGATGCCTGTGTATGGAGCGCTGCAGCAAAGCAGTTACCAGACTGGACTTGGGACTGAGACTGCACCAAGTGGTCGCATGCTCTGGGCCAGTAGTAGAATGTCCACTGCATATCCCCACCCATACTCCTCTGGCTGCCAGTGTAGGGACAAGAAGGAAAAAACAGGCCACATAAGCAATAGAACGAGAAGCTCTTTTTTTCCGTAATGTCCTTCCAGCCCTCTCTACTGAAAAAAACATAACATTGTAGTTACTGAAAAGGAGAATTGCTTAAATAGATTCACTCCATTGTCACAGAGCAGATCATAAGGAATATATTTGGATCTGAGAAGCAGTAATTTGATAAATGACACGGAAAAAAAATGGAAGATAAATTGGCAAAGGCAAATTGTAATCTTAACTAAGGGAAATATGTAGATGCCTGTACATCTTCTTGCACTCCCTAGAACAACATACTTAGAATTCTATCCTGAGGAAATATTGCAGTAGTGAAAATTTCATTGATTTGGCCCTTGTTTTTCTTCATTCTGCCCCCCCACCTACATATATGCATGCGGATGCGCGCGCGCACACACACACACACACACACACACACACACACACATAAACCTTACCTGAATTCTGATCCCTGATCTGCCAGATCATAAATCTCTAAAACAATCTGCCTATTTGTAAAGTAGCAATTAAAATATGTCTTCACAGTATTGTAAGGGTTAAAAAATGATGTTTGTGAAAACTCAGCCCATTGTAGATACTAAGAAAAGGTTTGTTAAATTCAAATCCTTTGTAATTTTTGGCTCAAGGACTTGTTTAATAGAATACAAATGAGAAGGACTAGAGCTGGCTTTTTGCTTCATATATGTGGAGGAAACTTCACAGAAGATCCTAATGGAGACAGTTCCAAGAAAACATTAGAATAATATCTATGCTCTACAATTAAATTGATTCA
This sequence comes from Homo sapiens, assembly GCF_000001405.40. Classification (NCBI taxonomy): domain Eukaryota; kingdom Metazoa; phylum Chordata; class Mammalia; order Primates; family Hominidae; genus Homo; species Homo sapiens. The sequence goes on along the minus strand of NC_000005.10, from coordinate 102,544,398 downwards.
GGCTTTGTAAACTGAAATTACAAACTCATTTTCTAAAGGCCTCAGACTTCTATACTTCTGTGAGAAGATAACAATTATTAATTGCTACTCTATTTACATAGATGTTTGAAAGTTACAATTGTAGGGTTGATCAATCAATGTGGTTATTTTTAATAAAGTTTCTCCTTTCTGCTGCATAATTACCTTTCACATTCAATATATATTCCTAGCTAAACACACTTCCACGTGTGTGTGCAGACACCCACACATTTATTTATTCCACCTAGCAGAAAATACTCTTAGTTGAAACATGAATAAAGCTACTTACTTCCAAACTCCAGCATTAGTCATATTCTGTGTTCTTTTATGCCTTACAGTTCTTGATGTTTCCCAATCATATACCATCTTATGTCATCAAATCATAACATTTCTTCTACCTGGAATGTTTTTGAAAGGTAATGCTTCCTTCAAGCCTTTACTGAGAGTGCAAACAAGAATGGTCACTCTGTCCTTCTACTTATCCCACTGCCATCCCCTCCACCCACCCCAACATGTGGTCTACATACAACTTTCATGGTGTATTTTCTTGTGTTGCAGGCTTGTATGTGTCTGCTGTGTCCAAATAAATGCTCTTGAATGAGACATCCAATATCTCCTTTGTGTAATATGTAGCGGAGGGAAGATGTCTTTTCCTCATCAATCCTAGGTTCATGGCTAAGGCCCTTTTACAAAAACAGATTAACAAGAGAAAGCATACAGATTTATTTAATATAAATTTAATGGAACACGAAGCCTTCATAGGAAATAAAGACCTGAAGAAACAGTTAAACCTACTTTTTTTTTTCTTTTTTGAGATGGAGTCTGTCTCTGTCACCCAGGCTGGAGTGCAGTAGTGTGATGTCGGCTCACTGCAAGCTCCGCCTCCTAGGTTCAAGTGATTGTCCTGTCTCAGCCTCCCGAGTAGCTGAGACTATAGGGGCACACCACCACACCCGGCTAATTTTTATATTTTTAGTATAGACAGGGTTTCACCATGTTGGCCAGGCTGGTCTTGATCTCCTGACCTCAGATGATCCACCTGCCTCGGCCTCCCAAAGTGCTGGGATTACAGGCATGAGCCACCGTACCCAGCCCCGAGTGTGTTTTTTATACCAATTTGATAAAGAGTGGATTGTCATGGAGAAAGGGCAAAGAGTACAACCCAGTGGTGGTAAACTGGGGGGAACTTAGCGAAGTCTTTTTTTCAGATTCTTCTCTGTTCTGTGTGTCTTCAGAGATAAGAATACTCCTTTCCTCCACATATGGGATGGGAGGGCACGTCTCACATGAAGGCCTTACAACCTTCTTCAGGGGAAGGTCAGAAAAATCCTTCCTAGTTTTTATGACCTGCTTCAGGGGAGAAGGATGTGGGAAAGGTCAGAGACACCTTTTCATATATCCTGTTTCTCAAATTTCTTCATCTTAAAGTATTCAATATGCCAAGGTGCCATATTTTGGGATAACATGCCTTGAATTCCATTGAATACATTGTGTATTATGGTATATGATAATTGCTACCCAATATTTGATTAGGATAATAATAGCAATAAGGTAAGTGATATCAATTTGATTGTAATAATAATATTAGCTATATTTTAAAATTTAATTGCTGAACAGTTAATACATTTAGAAGGCTCAAAATTCAAAAAGCATGAAGAGTCCTACAGTGAAAACTCTCTCTCCGCCTTCTACTCAATTCCCCTCCAGCTAGGTAATTAATGTTATTAGTTTCTTAGCAATTCTTGCAAGAAAATTTTATATATGTGTAAGTAAAAATATGTGAAATTCCCCTATTTGTTTCAGGTATGCAGCACTTTGCTTTTTCACCTTAACAACACATTTAGGATAGCTTTTCACATAACCTATAAATAATTATAGCTAACACATTTATTGTTTTCTATGTACCAGATTTTGTTCCCATTGTTTTATATGTATTAACTTAGTTAATGCTTACAACAGCCCTCAAAAGTAAGGACTATTATTATCCCCCTTTCACTAATGAAGAAACTCAAGCACCAAGAGTAAAATAAACTGCCCATGGTCACATGATAGTAAGCACACAACTCAATATTAGAATACTTGTAGTCTGGCTCTATCACTCATGTTTTTACCCCTATGCTACACTAACATTTGTAGAACTTCCTCATTTTTGTTTACAGCAGAGGCTGGAACATTGACTATTTAACAACTGCCGTTTTTAATCTCACTGTATATCAAGCACAGGGCTAGTCACATTATTAACTGAAGGAGGCACAATTTATATGGAGTTCTCTATGACTAGATCATCCATGGTGTTGTTTGATATGAATATTCTGGAGGCCCTTTCAATAATGCGAAGAAGATGAGATGTAGATTTGCAATTTGGCCAAGATTACATAAAGTGCTGGTAAGTGGCTGAATTGGGATTTGCATGTGAATCTACCTGACATCAATGTTTAACTACCACACTACACTTCCTCAGATGCTTTCAGGCTTAAAATCCATAGCAAATGGAAAATGTACCTTTTAGCTCCTAGGTGGTATTGAAACTTCCTTTGCAAAAATTGTAACAGAAATCGAACCTCACTTACTCCATCTTGCTTATATCTTCCAAGCTGCCCTAGTACATTCCTGGGTATAGGCCAAGTTAACTATTCGAGGAACTTAGTTGATAGTGTAACTTTAAAACAAAGATAATAAGAGCTCCTTCCCAAAGCCAGCCCCATCCTTGCTCAGGGACCAAAACCACTTTCTAAAACTAACAAATTAGCCAGAAGGTTAAATTTATGCTTCAGGAGTCATGTAGCCAGAGGTCACAAGATGTGTTACCTCCTCACTTACTTCTATAGATAACATCATTATTGTAAAACCTAAGACTCGTAGTTTCCAGGCCCTGTACTCTGATGGGCCAGCTGGCCCCACCTGAACCAGGAACCCATACCAAGAAACTGGCTTATCTGGTCATGTGGCCCCCACCCAGGAACCACCTTAGTGCAAGAAGACAGCTTTGACAACCTATGATTGCATCCCCAATACAACCAATCAGAGTTCCTCATTCCCTAGTCCCCTGCCTACCAACTGTCCTTGAAAAACCCTAGTCTCAAAGTATTCAGGGAGGCTGATTTGTGTAATTAGTCCCATCCTTTCATTTGGCTAACCCTGGGATTATTAAAATCTCTTTACTGCAATCTTGCTGTCTCAGTGAACTGGTTTTATCTGTGCAGTGGGCAAGGAGAACTGACTAGGTAATTACAGTTTTGAAGAAAAAACAGTGGTGCCTTCTCTGCTGAGTTTTCTTTTGGATACACCTATGGATTCTCTGCAAATACTTCTTTTCTTATCCACCACCCCTTTCCCAAACTTGCCTTATCTATTTCATTCAAACATAAGAGGATGCATAACAGGAATTCCTATGGGTAACATAAATGTCCAGCTTATGATATGGATTCTGGTTGACTCAGTCTGCAGAAAGAAAGTACAAAAGAAATAATGACAAGCTGTATTTATTTGCTTTGTAATCTTTTTTTTTTCTGTCCAGCTCAAATCTGATGGCCCTTGCCCTTATGATGTTAATTTTTCTTTGCATTTCATTTAAGTGACTCACAATTCTGGAAATTGGTGAAAATTTGTGAAGTGTCTAAACAGGCTTTTTAACTTTCCCTTTAACCTTTGAAAAGGGGTTACTCTTCTGGGGGAAAATGAGCAGATGGTACCTAAAACAGTTGGCCAAATATCTGTAACAACTCTGTTACTTGACTGTATGTAATCAGCTGGAGCATCTGTCAGGAAGAAGAGTTATGCTTCTGTGCTTCTCTCTCTTGACAATTAATCACACCGCTCCTCCATTTCTCACTGTTCAACATGTCTTTTTCAGAACCTGGTGCCAAGAGATTTCAGTGACTCTGACATAATTCAAAAAAGATACTACAACAATAGCATTATTGCAAGTCCTATGAGACAAAGAGAGACTTCACTAGAAGAGAGGCTGACATTTGTTCAGTTCTTTCTGACAAGACTATATAGAGTCAGTCACTTAATCTCAAGCGAATTATGATCTATGATGATATCTCAATAAGGAAAAAAAATCTAATATGCTATGGAAACTCTACAACTTCATTCTCCTCCATCATTCTGACTCATTTCCAGTCAGCCTATATTCAAACGTGTACATGGTGAAGAAAATCCATCATTAATCCTCATGGTGATAATATGTCATTATTACCACTCGAGATGCCTGAGTCAAAGATCAAGTGTCTGAATGCAATCGTATTTATAATATTGTCTGTGTCAGTGTATTAGTCAGGGTTCTTCAGAGCAATAGAGCCAATAGGATATATGGATACATATTTTGAAATAAAATACATATTTTCATGTATGAAAAAATAGGTATCCATATATCCTATTAGCTCTGTTGCTCTGGAGAACCCTGACTAATATATTGACATATATATACACCCACATATATATACATGTATATTTATATAAGGAGATTTATTATAGGAATTGGCTTACATAATTATGGAGGCTGAGGTATCCTATAACATGCCATATTGAAGCTGGAGAAACAGGAAAGCTGACAATGTAATTTAGTCTGAGTCAGAAGTCCTGTGTAGCAGAGAAGGGGTTGATGGTGGTGTCAGTCCTGGCTTGAGTCCAAAGACCTGAGAACAAGGAACACAGATGTCTGAGGACAGGAGAAGATGGATATCCCAGCACAAGGCAGAGAGAGCAAATTCGCCCTTCTTCTGCCTTTTTTGTTCTATTCAGGCCCTCAACAGATTAGATCATGCCCACTCACCCTGGTAAGGGCAATCTTATTTGTTCAGTGTCCATATTCAAATGCTAACCTCGTTCAGAAACACCCTCACAGACACACCCGGAAATAATGTTTTACCAGCTATCTGGACATCCCTTAGCCCAGCAAAGTTAACACATAAAATTAACTATCACTATCAGATAGAGGTTGTTAATGTCCATGACTATACTTTGGCCAAAGTAACAAAAGAAAGAACAGGATAGCTGTACTAAGCTGGAGGAGTCATAGTCATAATAATAAAACCACTGGTCATAGATGTACACATAGTTTGTTCAAGTAGAATATTGCAGGTATGTAAGACCCTTTAAAGGTAGAATGAATAAGCTCCATTTCATAGGTAAAAAGCAGGTTATATGCTGCATCCCAGGCATGCACCAGCTCTTATGACTTTCCAGACACCATCTCAATTGCTCCAAGCTCTTTAGCCAAAGTCATGATATTTTGAATGTTTTTGCTCAACACTGGTCCAGCCCAATGGAGGCTGTTTATGAATTAGGCTAAGCCAATGGGCCTTTCCACCTACATCAGAATAAGAAACTCACATACCAGTCCAGGCGATGAGGCAAGACAGAGGACTCAGTTTTATTTTTCTTCTTTCTTTTGCCAAACCTTGTGGGTTTTTTTCTTTCTTTTTGAGATGTATTTTATGTTTTGTAGCTGATTCTGGAATAGGGGATATATTTATGGGAACAGAGAAATAAGAACAGAGACTGTCCATGGATAAACTAATTTAACAGTGCTATGTTAGAAAGTAAGTGAACCTGCCACCTATTCCTTTGTTCTTAGAGGCTACCATGATAATACAGAACTGTACCCTCTCTTCCACAAATTTTGGAGACTTTAGATTTCTATATAAAAAGGGCTCAAGGGTACAACTGGAATTAGCAGAAGTGGGAAAGCTGGGGACCCTGACTTGAAATTGTATTTGCTTAATGTGATATCCTTGGATTACATATTATAGATAAAGTCTCAGATGCTTTTATTTCATAAAGATTAAAAAATTCAATTGTCTATAACAATATTGTTATCTGATATTACAATTACATTAACTGTTTTTATTTAAAACGGTTTTAAAGGACAGTGGGTCTAGCAGAGCTGAAGCTTACCCAGGTTATCCTTTGATTCTAATACTTTTCATGGGATCTTCCATGTTGTTTCCACCTCCATCCTCAAAGCTGTCAAATACTCCTTTGGGCTTCCATTGTACTTTATATACTTTTCAATTCCAGCTTTTATCATTTAGAGTTGTAATTATTTATTTGTATCTTTCACTAGATCATTTGCTCTTCAAGAGCAGGGATATTATACCTATGGCACTGGGTACTGGCACATAGTCTATGCTCAACATCAGCATAGACTGATGTTAATTGAACCACAGACATAGAAATGTTAATTGAACCACAGACATAGAAAAAGAACAAACAGTTTGAGTCAATCAATCTGTGCCATGACATTGTCAGTAGATCCCCTGACTCATTCCTCAGTGGAACTGGTGAAAAGTATTTTAAAACAACCATTCAAAGCTTCTGGAAATGGCCCTAAGTACAAACCGCAAATTCAAAAACATCTATTCAAGAAAATCTATGAAAGATTGGTATGAAAGGTGAGAGTCTGTGATATTTGAACCAAGTCTGCCTTTTCGTTCTGCCTTACCAGTTCAACAAGGTAGAGACTCTACTCCAAACTGCTGTAGTCAAGAACATGAGGCTGCTGCAGCTTCAGTCCCTGGAGGTCTTCCACACTTCTCATTCTGCCCTAGCTATCCGTTGCTGAGGCTAAATTTCAGGTGATTGCTAATGAGAGATGGAGTACTGAAAATACTGGGGTCCTGAATGCACTTCCCATAGGTTCATGAGGCAGTGGTTCCGTGACAGGACAGGCAAGCTGAGAGGATCTCTGGCTGTTTCCTCCCCTCCCATCACTGAATGCACAGCCCCTAGAGTAGGGTGGTCATGCAGAGAAAAGCTTTCCATTGTTCCCACACCCAGTTCCTGAGTCCAGCTCAGCAAGTTCACCTGGGAGAAGAATCAGGCCATAAAACAGTTTCTAATCTCATCTCAAAGGAATTGACTTCACTGCAACACAGCGTGGAGAAGTTCAAGCTTAAGAATACTCTCAATAATAGTGGAGATTGTGGTGAAAGGCATTTGGGAGGAGATTCTTGGATTTAATGACAATGCATCTTAGACTGTAGGCTAGCAGGTTTGTAGGAGAGAATCAGAGAATGAGACCATTGGGAGGAGTCCTCATAGGTCAGGACAAATATCAAACACTGACCTCAAAATCTATTTTTTTCCTAAAAGCCACAGTTTGGTTGAATTAATTTGCAGGGAAATTTCTGCCTTAGGACATTGTTGAAAGTAATAGAACAACCAGCTGGCAATTAATGGAGTTTAACATTAATGAGTATGGTTAGGGAAAGAAAGGAAGAAAAACCCTACAAATACCACTGTCATTATGTCACATCATAGGGTAACTGTAGGCATATCTGTGCTTCACTGAGAAGCATCAACAGAGACTTAACACTTTGTGTGTGTGTTGAAGGGCGGGGGAGTGGGCATAGGGAATAGACTTCACTAAAATAATCTAGCCAGTCTCTAACAAATAAACAAATAAATGAAAATGACAAGCCTGGGAAGTGGGAAACCAGAACTTGGAGTTTCTACAATATATTATCTGAAATTTCCAGTTTTCAGCAAAGAATTGCAAGGCATTAAAACAAACAAACAAACCAATAAACATTGGGTGAAAGATTTGAATAAACATTTCAGCAAAGAAGATATAAAGCAAGCAAATAAGCATGTGAAAAGATACTTGACATTATTACTCATTAAGGAAATCTAAATTAAATTTATAATGAGATACTACTATACAGCTATTAGAGTGACTAAAATAAATGGGTGGCCAAGTGACAATAAGGATATGAAGCAATTGAACTTTTATATGTTGCTGATGGGAATGCAAAATGGGACAGCTACTTTGGAAAACAAGTTTGGAGGTTCTTACAAAATTAAACATACACTGTCAATTTTCCTACAACTAGCTTAAGCAAATGGCTCCACCTAGTGTATATATGAAGATAAATGTTTATAAAATTTACATTTACATTTGAATTGGAGGAATTTCATGTCAATTTTTACCCTACTTTTTGTCTGAACATTCTTATTTTATTTTGAATCATATTTCTCAATAGTAGTTTATGCTCTCAAGGTAAGAAAATCCCAAAGAATAATCAAATGCATAAAACAAAATCTAATTAAATGTATAAAACAAAAACAGAAAATAACATGAAGCTAGAGTAGGAGAAAAGTAGTAGGAGAAAATTGCCTTTCTCTCAGGCGATTTTTGGCATGTCAGGTTAATTGAACATTAAAATATTCAATATTGAGGAAACAAAAATCCAAAACCAATTAGACAAAGGTTTGAACAGTAAAAGACAGCCTTTTTAGTGGTACAGTCAATGACTTTTGACAAATGTGCATAATGTGTAATCATGGCAACAAACAAGACATGGAATACTTTAATCTCAAAAGGTTTATGTATGCCTCTTTGCATTTCATTCCTTCTCTTCACTCCCAGTCCATGGCAACCACTGCTCCAGTTCCTGTCTGAAGTTGGATCAGGTGCTATATAACCTCTTGTGAATCTAAGACACTAACTAGTGAAAAATGTATTTTCTTAAAGGTAAAATGATATGTTGAAATAGAGTACTGAGAAAGCAAGAAACCCTTATAATTTCAAATTATCTCTTTTTTTCATTTTGTATGTTAGTAGTAGAATTAATATGTAAAATGAATATATAAAGAGATGATTATGCAGCTCTTTGACTTGAGATCATTCATGACATCTATTTATTTATCCTTCGACTTTAATTCAGTATTGAATATATGGCAGACACAATACTAGGTCCAGCAGATGCAAAGAAAGATAAATAAAGCATGGTTTCTATCTTCTAGGAGTTCATATATATTCTGGGACTGACAATAACATTATATAAAAGTAAAAGCAGCAAATTTTTAAAAGCACAAAAGGTAAAACCTCATTCTACATACAGCGGTGTACATACATTAATTTTCAAAGTTAATTTCCTGATAAAATTTCATTCATTTTACATGAAATTTGTGTCTCTTTTCAGATATGTGCAATTATAGGAAAGCCTACTTCAATTTAGAAGAGGGATAAACTTTTTCTTTGCAAAATTATATGAAAGACTTTAAAAATATATATATTGGGAGGCCGAGGCGGGCGGATCACGAGGTCAGGAGATCGGGAGTATCCTGGTTAACATCGTGAAACCCCGTCTCTACTAAAAATACAAAAAATTAGCCGGGCGTGGTGGCGGGCGCCTGTAGTCCCAGCTACTTGAGAAGCTGAGGCAAGAAAATGGCGTGAACCCGAGAGGCGGAGCTTGCCCTGAACCGAGATTGTGCCACTGCACTCCAGCCTGGGGGACAGAGCGTGAGACTCCGTCTCAAACAAACAAACAAACATAATAGACTTTATATTTGGGGCAATTTTAGGTTTACATAAAAATTGAGCAGAAAGTACTGAGTTCCCAGATACCCACTAACCACCCGCCACTTCTCTTGTTAACAGCTCCCATTGGTGTTATACATTTGCTACAATGGATGAGCCAATATTGTGACATAATTATTACTTAAAGCCCATAGTTTACCGATTTCTTGCTCTTCTTTTAATCATGGTAAAATATACATAACATAAATTTTTGCCATTTTAACCATTTTTAATTGTACCATTCAGTGGCATTCAGTACATTTGCACTGTTGTGCAATCATCACCAGGATCCATTTCCCAGATTGAAACTCTGTATCCATTAAACAAAAGTTCCCACAGGCTTCACTCTAGGTGTACAGTCTGCGGGTTTGGACACATGCATAATGACTTGTAGCCACCATTACAGGATCATACAGAGTAGTTTCACTGCCTTACAAATCCTTCTCTTCATTCCTCCTTCCTCCTGCCCAAACCTCTGGCAACCTGATCTTTTGTTTTATTTTATTTTTATTTTTTTTCTTTATGGAACTCTTTTTTTTATTATTACACTTTAAGTTTTAGGGTACATGTGCACAACTTGCAGGTTTGTTACATGTGCCGTGTTGGGGTGCTGCACCCATTAACTCGTCATTTACATTAGGTATATCTCCTAATGCTATCCCTCCCCCCTCTCCCCACCCCACAACAGGCCCCAGTGTGTGATGTTCCCCTTCCTGTGTCCAAATGTCCTCATTGTTCAATTCCCACCTATGAGTGAGAACATGCGGTGTTTGGTTTTTTGTCCTTGCCATAGTTTGCTGAGAATGATGGTTTCCAGCTTCATCCATGTCCCTACAAAGGACATGAACTCATCGTTTTTTATGGCGGCATAGTATTCCATGGTGTATATGTGCCACATTTTCTTAATCCAGTCTATCATTGTTGGACATTTTGGTTGGTTCCAAGTCTTTGCTATTGTGAATAGTGCCACAATAAACATATGTGTGCATGTGTCTTTATAGCAGCATGATTTATAATCCTTTGGGTATATACCCAGTAATGGGATGGCTGGGTCAAATGGTATTTCTAGTTCTAGATCCCTGAGGAATCGCCACATTGACTTCCACAATGGTTGAACTAGTTTACAGTCCCACCAACACTGTAAAAGTGTTCCTATTTCTCCACATCCTCTCCAGCACCTGTTGTTTCCTGACTTTTTAATGATTGCCATTCTAACTGGTGTGAGATGGTATTTCATCGTGGTTTTGATTTGCACTTCTCTGATGGCCAGTGATGTTGAGCATTTTTTCATGTGTCTTTTGGCTGCATAAATGTCTTCTTTTGAGAAGTGTCTGTTCATATCCTTTGCCCTTCGCCCACTTGTTGATGGGGTTGTTTGTTTTTTTCTTGTAAATTTTCTTGGGTTCTTTGTAGATTCCAGGTATTAGCCCTTTGTCAGATGAGTAGATTGCAGAAGTTTTCTCCCATTCTGTAGGTTGCCTGTTCACTCTGATGGTAGTTTCTTTTGCTGTGCAGAAGCTCTTGAGTTTAATTAGATCCCATTTGTCAATTTTGGCTTTTGTTGCCATTGCTTTTGGTGTTTTAGACATGAAGTCCTTGCCCATGCCTATGTCCTGATTGATATTGCCTAGGTTTTCTTCTAGGGCTTTTATGGTTTTAGGGAATCCTTTCCCCATTTCTTGTTTTTGTCAGGTTTGTCAAAGATCAGATGGTTGTAGATATGTGACATTAGTTCTGAGGGCTCTGTTCTGTTCCATTGGTCTATATCTCTGTTTTGGTACCAGTACCATGCTGTTTTGGTTACTGTAGCCTTGTAGTATACTTTGAAGTCAGGTAGCATGATGCCTCCAGCTTTGTTCTTTTGGCTTAGGATTGACTTGGCAGTGTGGGCTCTTTTTTGGTTCCATATGAACTTTAAAGTAGTTTTTTCCAATTCTGTGATTCAATGCCATCCCCTTCAAGCTACCAATGACTTTCTTCATAAGAAGGATTTTTAAATTGCCTTGAGAATTCATTGTTTTCAAGTAATTTAGTGGAACCAGTTTCAAGATAAGCATTTACTATAGAATGCAAGGCCCTAAGTGCTATTAGTACTTTCCATACCATGCTACAGGCAATTTGACAGTAATAAAACTGTATTTTTTAAGAAACTCTTTAATAAGACTTTATGAATTTAAATTATTCTAAACTAGCAATGTTAAGAATTAGAAATATAGTTTATCTCATTGTACTTCTTTGATTCATTTGATGAAAACCTCTTCCACCCACTAAGTAGAGAATATTTTCTTAAATGGTTTAGATACATTGAATTACATCGATAAAACAGAAAAATTTGGGTAGTAGAAAATATTGGGAAATTGGTTCATTCAGGACCATGTCATTATTTTCTCCCATATTTTTACTATGAAAAATACATTTCAGAGGATATCCATCTTTGAAAAAATCAAGAGGTTTTAAATTTTATATTCTACACCAGAACATTAAAATAAGTATTCAATGGGTTTTGTAAATTGGACTAATCACTTTCCAAGAGGACCAGGACACAAAATTCTCTCATGTAAATAGTGGACGTCAAAAAGCCATTAATGTAAGATGTTGGAAAGCCATTCTTATTCTGTGCAGACTCTTATCAGTGGTCAGATGTTCTATTGTTTTTCTAAGACATACTGCAACTGGGAACTGTTTTTATTCTCAATTTAGAATGGTCATCCCAAATGGCTGGAAAGCTTCATATTTCTCATGTTTCCTAGCAGCATCGGTCCCTGAAGAGTGGAACCGGCCAAGATCATGATGTCATTCCCACTGTGGCCATGAGTATTCCAGGGCTAAATTGTTTCTCATCTTATATAAATATCTATTGTTTATACTATTGAATATATTGCCCATGTTTAATGTTACGAGCTATACTAGTATGTACAGGAAATTAAGAAAATTCACCTGGTTTAGAAATTTATAGAATATTTCTTTTCTATAGTATGGCAGTTTATATGATAAACTATTCACTGCAGTTTGATTCAACTCTTAAGATAGCTAAGTTAAAAGATGCAATTCTAAATTCTTGAGAGAATAATTTCTATAACCTATTAATAGAAGAAACTTTCCATGCACATTAAACTTGGTTAGCTATAAATTATAAGAGAGTTTAACTATAAACCTTTAACCTATCGTATGTAATAATTTGTCTGTTTTGTGGTAAAAATTCTATATAAAAACAATAAATGGCTTCTAATGGGCTATAGAGCCATGCTTCCTGTGTGCCTGCACCAGTGATCTCTGCTTTTTGAAACTGTGGCTTATTCAGGACTGTATCCTGTTTCAATTCCTCTAATGGAAAGAGGTTTGTTTAGTGAGTTTATGTTTTACAAATTTCTTCCCTCAGAGGAAGTCAATGTCCATATTATTGCAACACCCTTACAACAATCTGGTGATGTAAGAGGCAAAAGTTGATTTCTACAACTTAGTATTGAGGAAACCAGTATTTACTGAAGTTAACTGGTTTAACAGAAGTCATTTGGAGGTACAGAATAGACTCTCTTACCTCCATTTTTAAAAAACTAACTCAGACCATATTTTGCGCACAATATATAGTCATAGTCCTAGAGTATATTAAGTTCTTAAAGTCAATATGCAATACAGATGCTGCTGCTGAAGAGACTGAGTTTTCTGCACATGTTTGATAGTGCCATGTCTCAGAGGTAATCAGCATTTTCCTAAAGCTTTCTGTTTAAATTACTCTTGCTAAACATGACTTTTTAAAAAATTGTGTCTGCTTGATCATCAAAATGATCATTTGATATTTTTTTCTGCCAGTGACAGGGAAAGGACATCATATTAGATGGGTTGAATAGGATAATTATTATTTAAAGAAAAGCTTATTATTTTTAATTTTGTTTAGAAATGAGGTCTCACTCTTGTCACCCAGGCTGAGTACGGTGGCATGACCATAGCTCATTGTAGCTTGGAACTCCTGGGCTCAAGCAATCCTTCCACCTTGGCCCCCCAAAGCACTGGGATTACAGGCATTAGCCACTGTACCCAGCCTTAAAGAAAAGTTCTTAATTGCACAGATTTGTGCAATAGCAATAGGAACAAATAAAGTAGTTCACGGACAATTGGTAACTGTTTGTGGTTGAAGCAAATCTGAACTCTGACTGGTATCTGACAGAGACTGGAGCTGCTCTGTACTGATAGGAAGAAAATGGCTCAGTTGACATGATCCATTTCTGGTTCTCCAGAAAAGGGCACCATGTTTCAAAGATATAAATAGAAGAGAAAAAAGAAACTAAGTCTGTGCCAAGACCAGGACCAAGTCAATTCTCTAGCCTTTCAGGACTGAGGCTTTCTTCAAGAAAGGAAAGATTGGAAATTAATACCAAATTATAGATTATACAGTTATAATTTACTTCAGGTTTGTTAAAGCACATGTGTTGTGAAATTTAAGATATGAAGAGGTCTTGTTATAAATATCAGCCTTTTGTTGTTGCCTCCAAAAGCCCTAATTAAAGTACTACAAAACATCTATTAATAAGTAGTCAAAACCAGGTAGATCAGGCATTAAGTTTACACAGCACTTTCACAGGCACTAGCTTGGCATAATAAACCCATCATGAAAGAAGTCATTTCATTAGCAATTCTGATTAGCTTTAACACATGTGTACTCATTTTATAGGGGGTTCTTATACAGTTACTAAAATTCTTTTAATAATATCTCTTTCATTTTAAAATATTTTATAATAATGAATAACTGAGTGATTACTATTTTGAAACATTCTAAACATTATGAAAGTGTCTGTGTGATTAAATTTGACCTATTGTATCCCAGAACCTAAAATATCTTTTGACGTTTTTCCCTCTGTCATTTAAAAGGGATCTCAATACTGACCAGGTACTGTTTGATGAAACATGACATCTTTGTAACAATATTCAACACGCATTTATGGAAAACCAACACATTTAAGCCATTGTCCTAACAGCCTGGGTGAAGTGCTAAGATTATTAAGATATTTGAATAACTTTATCCAGATACATGCAGTTCTGGTTTGATTATTTTTGACCAAAATTGACAAAGTTCAGTCAAACACAGGTTAGTTCAACCTTACAATCAGGCTCTCTCTCTCTCTCTCTCTCTCTCTCATTTTTAAATGAATTAACTAGTTGACTGAATTGATCTGGTATTTTTAGTAAAGTAGTTAAACTGGGTGTTGTGTGTAAGCACATCTTCAATTGTCAGAACCTTAATTCTGATTAACTCAGTTGAATCAGATTATGTAGGAACATAGACAATTTTTTTTTCCTTTATGTTACCTTCTTCTATTAGTTGTTGCTCTTCTTTCCTGCTTGAATAGTGGATTTTAGCTTTGCAGCAGCCTAGTGACTATGCCTGAGTTTACAGATGGCTGTGCATCTTATGCAGAACTCAGGTTCCAGCTGGTAAATGCTGTAGCAAAAATATAGTGACAAATGTAAGACATGGGCGTTATATTATGATTTTATAAAGATCCAAGTGAAATTCCCTGAGGTGCATTTGAATTTAAGGGCTATTAAAAATATACATTTGTTGTGGTTTCATTTTTGTTTTCTTGCGCGATATTCGGGAAAGTCTTTTTCTTTTCCCCTCTCTCTCTTTTAGTTCATGTTCCATGATAGCTATTTCAGCTTTATCTTTCCTTTTCACTCCAACAAGTCAGGCCAAATTGAATATGTCCTTCAATTCATAAGTTTTAGTCTGTATATGTTGCTGTAATTTACTAGAGGTCTTCTTAGCTTCAGTTGCTACAGACTTTTGCCTTGCAAAAAACAAAACCAAAAAACATAAACAAAACTTGTTCCCTGAGGCATAATTTACTGTATTGTAGGAATTATGAAATACAAGAGAACTTGGTAAAATTTCAAATTATCTTCTCAGTCCTAGCAAGTAATAGTAACCATTCCATAAACTGAGTTTGCTGCCTTTTTCCAGGAAACAAGAGGCCAACATCAGTATCACTGTGGAAATTTAAAGAGGAAATATGCTAATCCTTTTGCCAGATTGATTTTTATAAAGCAAAAAATTACTTGGTTTAGGGCGTAATACATAGACTATCTAAAATAACACACAGCAGCCATTTAGTAAACATTCTTAATTATCTTGTTTTGAAAATAAAAGTTGGGCAGTCTCTGTTGGTCTGTTGTTTTCCTTGCCCAGGAGATACACCCTGGACAACTCAGTGCAGTTAATCAGGAGCTTGCTCAGCCTTTTGTCCTTTCCTCTGGGAGATAATTCACATTCCATCTCTCCACAGTGCTTACCAATGCAGTAAGGCACACCAGTACAAGGGAGTTTAAAATACTCCACTGTCAATGACCAAGACCCACTGGCTTGCTCCTCCCCTTCTTCCCTCAGTATATTATAGTTCAGTCTAATCTGGTGTGTAGATTCCATGGAAAAGAGAAAACCCAGGTAGAAGTCTGGAGATTATACCTGAAAGAAGGCAAACAGAAGACGAAAGTTTTCAAGAATCCAGTATTTATCATCCCATATCATGAAGGTAGAGGAACCTGGATAAAATCTAGTGACTAAGAAATTGTAGCAGAGGATTTAGTACAACAAGAACAATTGTAAGATAACAACTGGTTACTTTAAGCAAAACAAAACTGGCACACTAGGGACAAAATTAGTAAGCATAACACAGTACTTAAACATTAATGATAATGTACACAGACAAACACACATACATACATACATACACATATATATAATTTATAGTAAGAAGATAAAATGTTTTCCTAAAAATTTTCCAAAATAATTACACTGTAATATTAGTACATTAATTCTAAACATACTCAAAAGAGTTAAAAAATGGAATCTGCTGGTGAAACTCAAATAGAATTAATGACTTCATGAATTTGGTATTTATATTACATTTAAGGATACAAAGTTGCATTGGTTAGGAATCGGTAAGTTGTAAGAAATAAAAGCACAAATTAAACCAGCTAAAGAAAACAAAAACAAAGGGATTCATTGGCACACAACACTGGAATTGAAGAGATATGCTTCAGTTGTAAGAGATTTAAATAATCTCATCAGAATTCTGTCATTCTGTCTGTATTCCTTCTTTCTGTATGTTGGCTTCATTCTGAAGATAGGCTCTTTTCAGATGACAAGGAAGAAGATTTCTGTTAGCTGAAGCTTATATACATTCATCTTAGAATTTTAGTGGAAAAACTCTTAATAAATCTATATTAGTCTCAGTAAAAACGATTGCTTTTGCTTAAGTCATGAGACCAGCCTTGTGTCAATTAACTGTGCTAGGAGATGAGGTGCTATGATTGGTCCAGAGTGGGTCATGTGGCCACCCTATAGTTGAGAAGTAGTCCTGAACATTATGTGGGAGCAGTCCAAATCAGAATGAATTGGAGAAAACTTACTGTTGTTACCATAGATGGGAGAAGAAATACTAGGCAGGCAAACCAACAAAAGTTCCCTACTGTAGTAATATTTTTAATTGGGAATGGTGGAAAAGATTATTTATGAGCATTGATTTAAAAAAATCAAGTGAAACCATTTTACTGTCAAAATACCAGAAAAATATGTTTTACACTTATAGGTAAAGTATAAGACGGTATAGTCTACTTATCAGAGTTAATGCTCTTCATGCTCAATTTTCTTTACAAATTTTAGCCAGTTGAAAAATAAAACCTGATTGTAACTATTATATTTGCAAGCCTTATAGGCAGACTAGACTGAAAGAAGTGTATGATACTTGTAGTTAACTCTGACTTGAGTGATAGAACTATATAAATAAAGTTGTTGTAATAGAAGTTCAATGATTCTGATTGTGGTATAGTACACTTATGTTCAGTGTAGAAAACAATATGTGATATGAAACTTATAATAGCTGTGACTGTTGGAGTGCACAAAATGAAGGTAATTCCTCAGAGCAAGCAATTCCCCTTTAACATTCACATGTGGCTAACTTAATAATTATTAAAAGTTTTAAAAAGAATTTTAAAGTCTGCAGTTCTATCTGTATTACATAGATTTGACATATCTTCCATTTATAGGTTATATAACTTTTAATTATATGGAATATAAGTCAACAAATTTATTAAACCTTTGCGGAGAAGATTTGTTAGCAAGTTCATCTACAACATACAGTATTACCAGTTCATGATTTTGTCATTCTCAATAGCTACCACCAATCTTCAACTGTTGAATAAGTTATTTCTAACAATGATATCTAGAAGTTAATAATAAATTCAAACTTTGTGCAAAGTTTTCTGGTATTAACTTAAAATATAAATACCAAGATTCAACAGTGATTTTTGAAATGGTAATCCAAATGTTTTGTGTTGACTTATTCTGAAAGTCTGGAAGGAGGCTTGCACATCTGAATAATTCTAATTTGAAAATTAGTTTATGAGTTAAGAAAAAGTGACAGAAAGGAAAGCTCAAACTTGCTTTCTGCTTACTCTCTTACTTTCATGAAAAAACAAACTCATGAAAAGTTGAAAACTTATGACTACAAAACATATATATGTAAATAAAACTCATAGTAAGAAAATATGTTTTTCTAAAAGTTTTCTCATTTGATGCAGATAAAACAAAAACCATCTAGAATCTCACATTAATCATTAACATTAGTTGTATTAAAATGTATGTTTCGTAATAAAGAAAACTCTCAGAATAATAAATGTGCTTTTGTAGTCACATGAACCTTTACAAATTACTTTATCTTAGTATTGTTCCTATATCCACCTAATAATACTGTAAATAGATTGCTAAAATACCTATGATGAATGAATTGAACCAGAAATTATTTTTTCCCAGTGACTCCTGAGATCTTATCAAATTATTTTTTTTGCTCCCTTGTAGCTGCAAAAAAGAGCAAAATTCTAATAAGTGCTTCTTTACAATTTATATACTTTGCAATAATGAAATTGATATTTAGTTGAGTTCTGAAGACTATTTAAGATTATCTAAAACATATATGATTATATTATCTATCAGATTACTTCAAAAAGTCTTTCTAATCAATAAGTTAAATCAAATAATAAGATTACATAAATATTTTTACTAATTTATTCAACAAGTTGTCATTGTGCACCTACTGCCTGATACATGCTATTCTAGGAGGCACACTGAGATTGTGGTCATGAATATCTGTTCTCTTGAATCCTATTTTTCTTTCCTTTTTTAACTTTCATTTTAGGTTTGGGGTACATATGCAGGTTTGTCAATAGAGGCAAACATGTATCATGGGGGTTTGTTGTACATATTATTTTGTCACCCAGATATTAAGCGTAGTACACATTAGTTATTTTTCCTGGCCCTCTCCCTTCTTGTTGAAAATCAGATGGTTGTAGGTGTGCAGCATTATTTTTGGGCTCTGTATTCTGTTCCATTGGTCTATGTGCCTGTTTCTGTACCAGTATCATGCTGTTTTGGTTACTGTAGCCCAGTAGAACAGTTTGAAGTTGGGTAACGTGAGGCCTCCAACTTTGTTCTTTTTGCTTAGGATTGTCTTGGCTATTTGGGCTCTTTTTTGGATTCATATGAATTTTAAAATAGTTTCTTCCAGTTCTGTAAAAAAATGTTATTGGTAGTTTGATAGGAATAGCATTGAATCTGTAAACTGCTTTGGGCAGTATGACCATTTTAACAATATTGATTCTTTCTACCCATGAGCATAGAATGTTTTTCCATTTGCTTGTGTCATCTCTGATTTCTTTGAGCAGTGGTTTGTAGTTCTCCTTGAAGAGGCCCTTCGCTTCCCTTGTTAGCTGTATTCCTAGGTATTATATTCCTTTTTGTGAAATTGTGAATGGGAGTTCATTCATGATTTGGCTCTCACCTTGGCTGTTGTTGTTGTATAGGAATGCTACTGATTTTTGTATGTTGATTTTTGTGTCCCGAAATTTTCCTGAAATGATTTATCAGTTCAAGGAGCTTTTGTGCTGAGACTATGGGGTTTTCTAGATACAGAATCATGTCGTCTGCAAACAGGGATAGTTTGACTTTCTCTTTTCCTATTTAGATGTCCTTTATTTCTTTCTCTTGGCTTATTGCTCTGGCCAGGACTTCTAATACTATGTTGAATAGGAGTGGTAAAAGACAAGACAAGGTGCCCTGTTTTATCATCATACTGAATGGGCAAAAGCTGGATGCGTTCCCCTTGAAAACGTCAGTTGGGCTTTTGCTCATTCAGTCAAATGGGCTTTTGCCCATTCAGTATGATGTTGGTTGTGGGTTTGTCATAGATGGCTCTTATTATTTTGAGGCATGTTCCTTCTATGCATAGTTTATTAAGGGTTTTTAACATGAAGGGATGTTGAATTATATCAAAAGCCCTTTCTGCATCTATAGAGATAATCATGTGGTTTGTGTTTAGTTCTGTTTATATGATGAATCACATTAATTGATTTGTGTATGTTGAACCAACCTTGCATTACAGGGATAAAGCCTATTTGATCATGGTGGATAAGCTTTTTGATGTGCTGCTGAATTCAGTTTGCTATTATTTTGTTGGGGATTTTTGCATCTATGTTCATCAAGTATATTGGCGTGAAGATTTTTGGTGTTGTTGTGTTTCTGCCAGGTTTTGGTATCAGGATGATGCTGGCCTCATAGAATGAGTTGGGGAGGAGTCCCTCCTGCTCAGTTTTTTGGAATAGTTTCAGTAAGAATGGTATCAGCTTTTCTTTGCACATCTGGTAGAATTCGTCTGTGAATCTGTCTGTTTCTGGGTTTGTTCTTGGTTTGTAGGCAATTTATTACTGATTCAATTTCAGAGCTCATTACTGGTCTTTTCAGGGATTCAATTTCTTTCTGGTTCAGTCTTGGGAGGATATATATGCAATAATTTATCTATTTCTTCCAGATCTTCTGGTTTGTGTGCATAGAGGTGTTCATAGTAGTCTCTGATGGTTGTTTGTATTTCTGTGACATCCTCTATTTCAAGATAATAGATCAATAAATAAGATAATTTCAAATAGTGATCAATTCTATAGAGACAATATAATTGAGTGATGGGAAAGTGTGCACTCATGTTTGAGTTTCATGTTATAGGTTTAGGAAATGAGTTAGTCTAGCTAAGATAATTTGCCAAGGAATTATGCTGAGGAAGCACTTAATTTAAATCTTTCATTAATTTTTTTGCAATGTACAATGTCTAATATCCATAAAGGAGATTAGAAATGTAATTAAAGATCTACCATAGAACAACCAGCAGGCAAGATGTTTATACAACTAACATATTTATAGTGAAAAATGTCTTTGCTGACACCCAGTCTGTTAGAGTGGGAACTGAGAATTGAAACAGAAACCACAACTTTTCAAAGCGTATTGTGCCATGCCTTGCAAAACAGATAAATTGTACTGAATGATACCCATTGTAGACTTATAGCACTAGTTCGCTCAGACCCGTATATTTCAAGGTAATACCATAGATAGATTGACATAACAGTAGCTTCTCAAGGGTTCTCTAAAGAGAACACTAACTGTTCCAGCAATTCCCTAGTTTACAAACTGTGATCATTCAACCTAGACTACTCTATTTCTCACTCCAGGCCCCCAACCCCCTGTGTTTCTTCCATTACTCCCCAATTTTTATATACTCATTACTCCATGGTATGCTGTCTTCCTTGCTGCAAGTGATGAGCCTAACTTTGTTGACTACAAGTGTGTTCCAAGTAGTCTTTGGTTGATGGGAACTGATAAAGAACTATTTTTAGATGATTTGAACTATTTCAAATCACACCATCTTTTTTGAAAGTGGAAATTAAATAGGGAGAAAGAGATGAGAATATCTGAATAAACTTTCTTATGTTAATTAGCCACCTGAAGAAATTAGAAAGGATATACTTTTTCAATTTAGTTTTCTGAAACAATAAGCAACTACATATGATTACAGAAATATTAAATTACCATCATGTATTTGATATGTCTAAGACTCTGAAGATATGCCTTAATCACAAATCATTATAAAATGAATGTCTTCTACCACAGGGCATTATTCTCCAAATTAAAAACTCTTAGAATCTGTTAATATGCATTATACAATTATGGAGATGTAGGATTTTCACTGTTTAGAATATATTCTATTGCTGTAAGACACCCAAGTATTTCAACCAAAGCACCTTATTTTTATCACGATATTTTGTATTTAGGAGACTTATCCCTTTGTATTCAATTTATTCTGAAGGATAGTATCTGGGTGGTTTAAGTGGCCTTCTAAATTGGTAGAATATTTGCTTTGTGAGCAAAGAAAAGTTGCAAGCAGTTCTGTCTCATGTTGTGAAGCAGCGTACATCTCTTTAAAGCCCCTTTGGGACAAAGCAGAGTTTCTAGCAGGTTGTCACACAAACCAGCAAAGAGAGCAACAGCTCTGCATAGGTGAGTAGCTCCTCAAGTCCACTTTGAGAATAATTCTGGGTTATCTAGAATTTTATTTTCCATAGAGCATCAAGGTAGAGGTATGGGAAATGTATAGTCCCTGTAATAGGTCTTAGGACAGTTGTCCTCCATTCTGGTTGCATATTAGAAGCATATGGGGAGCTTTAAAAAAATCCTGATACCCAGATCATAGCCCAAACCAATTAAATCAGAATCCCTGAGGATGGGACCCAGACATCAGGGTTTTTTAAAGCTCTCTGGATGATTACTGTGTGTGGCCATGATTGAGAACCACTACTTTAAGAATAAACTGAGTTACTGGCAGTAGTATGTCACTTGGAAAAACAATTTAATGATCTAAGAAGGGTAAAACAAACAAGCAAACAAAAAAGTAAACCTTATCCCTTAGACTTCCTTGTTAAGGAGACATTTCCTTGTGGATGTGCTAAAGGTTACATTAACCCATTTAAAACTATTTTAGTAGTTCAGATGATAGTTAATGTCCCGCCAGCTCTCCATTTGTCCTTGTTTTTCTGCCAGAAATACTTGGTTAATTTTGAGCTTCAAGTTTTATGATATTTCTAATAGGTAAAACATCTACATTGATTAAGACTATTGAGTAGTCGATATTTATTAAAAAACAGAATTTCTAGTTAATTTGATAGAATGTTCTAGCTTGACTCTCTAATAGTGGTTAGTGATTATCTGTGGACTATTTTTCATTAGACCTTTTGTTAAATCTTTAATCAACTAATAGTATAGTGATATTTATATACTTATAAATATCCATGTGGTTCAGAGCTTAGGCTTTTGTGTTAGACCTAGCTGTATAATCTTAGTAAATTAGGTGATTGTCTGGACTTTTTTTTTTAATCTGTGAAATAGTGATAATGTGTGTACTTAATAAAGTATAGGACTAATGACAGAGCACATAAAAAATACTTTCTACAGTACTTGATGAATAATAAGTACTAAGTGATAGCTATTATTAAATCATTTTAGTAATATGCACATTGGTATAATCTGGAGTAAGTAAAGTCTCTCATTTCTACATATGGAAGAAAGAAATAATTTTTGTTTTTTTTGTTTGGTTTTTTTTTTTTTTTTTTTTTTTTTTTTTTTTGCAACTAGAGTATACCGAACATTGGGCCAGGAGGCTTGTATAGATTTTTCATTTCATCCTCTTTGTGTCAATTAGATTATATCATCCAAGCTTTGCAAATGAGAGTACTGTGGCAAGACAGATTAAGAATGCTACAATTAGGCTGGGCGTGGTGGCTTACACCTGTAATCCTAGCACTTTGGGAGGCCGAATTGGGCTGATCACCTGAGATCAGGAGTTAGAAACCAGCCTGGCCAACATGTGAAACCCTGTCTCTACCAAAAACAGAAAAATTAGCTAGGTGTGGTGGTGGGTGCCTGTAATCCCAGGTACTAGGGAGGCTGAGGCATGAGAACCACTTGAACCCGGGAGGCAGAGGTTGCAGTGAGCCAAGATCATGCCACTGTACTCCAGCCTGGGCAACAGAGAGAGACTCCGTTTCAAAATACAAACGAACTACAAACAAACAAACAAAACAATGCTACTATTTCAGTGGACCCTTTTATTGATATTTAATAGAAATCATCTTAAGGAATGCCCAGAAACCTTGCTCTCATATTAATTTTAAACAGTAGAAAACGGTCAGTATTGTAGTGTAGGGAATATTTCTTGTGGCTCTTTTCTATTATTTAACCTTGGAGGCTGGGATAAGAGAAATCATTCAAGTGTTGGAATATCTTGATGTATAATATTAATTTTTTTCCTTTGGAAAATAGAAGAGAAAATGACACAGAGATGTTCAGAATCCAGAAAAGTAAATGTTTGGGGCTTCAAATATATAATAGGCCCAAGGTAACCCTGTATTGGTCAGCATGAACCAGTCAGATAAATAGTTTGATTTCTAATCTTAGTAAATATTTTTTTCCTAGTACAGCAATCCACATAGACCGATGATATAATTACATATCATATATATATAAAGGAGACCTGCTTTCTCCTTTAACTGGGTTTTAAATGAGGAAAGAGAAACAACACTCCCTTTGTACCTCATCTCCCTCTCTCTTTCTTTTTTGTTTTCTTTCTTTCTTTCTTTCTTTTATAAAGATGGAGTCTCTCTCTGTCACCAGACTGGAGGGCAATGGCACGATCTCAGCTCACTGCAACCTCTGCCTCCCAGGTTCAAGTGATTCTCTTGCCTCAGTCTCCTGAGTAGCTGGGACTACAGGCACGCGCCACCACACCCAACTAATTTTTGAATTTTTAGTAGAGACAGCGTTTTGCCATGTTGGCCAGGATGGTCTCGATCTCTTGACCTTGTGGTCCGCCCACCTTGGCCTACCAAAGTGTTGGGACTACAGGCATGAGCCACCACACCCAGCCTCCCTCTGTCTTTCTATTCTGTCCACCTTAGAGGTAAGCATACCCCAGCAGTAGGCTTATTTTAATAAACGGAGCCAGGACAGTGAGTATGTGGTAGTGGAAGTACCACATAAGCCCAGTACCTGGGGCTGGTATGGAGAATTTTTTGCTTGGTCTAATTATGCTTTGAGGCCCCCTACTTGTTTGTCTGTAGATTATTCTCTGTAAAAACAAGATTAACTATAAATATGGAAGCCCACTGGAGACTAGTTTTTGTCTTAAGGGCTCATAAACATAGTATTCATTACTACCCCATGTGTGCTGAGGAGGAATATCCAGATGGTGAAAGTCTTTCTCCTTGTGGCCACAACTGTGAATACTTTCTCCCATTTCTATCTTTTTGTTTTGTTCACAAGATGTGAAATAATGAAGCTCTTTCCTTTATTAGTGCTTGATATTAAGAGTTCTTAATTTAGTTGAAACTTGGTCACCTGTAATTCTTTGGGTTAGTTCACTTAATTGAGGTCCTCCAGAAAGCAAAGCCTGGAAAAAGAATTTGTGTGTCAGTAGTTATTTGGGAGGCAGTTACAGATAGCCGCAGTGAGGCTAAAGTCAAACGGGAAGGCAGGAGAAGCCAAGACCAAGGTAAGTTACTGAGCTGGTCATTTCTGTCAGTAATAAAGGCTCCATCCATCTGAGGAAGGCCCTGAATACCTTCCAGAATTGTCCACCTGAGGATGCTCCGGAAGAGACATTTGGCCTTGGGCTCTCATTCCCCACTCATTGAGGGTCTTCCAGGGTTACTACCTCTAACTACCATTGTGTGTATACCGAATGGGACCCTTCAGGACTCTCAGGGCACAGAACTGAAAAAGCCTGACCAGTTGGTTGGGTTGAGACACTGTCAGCACCAAGAGAACTAAAGCAAATACTGAACTGATCACCACAGCCATGGCTGGAATCAGAAGTGAAGCCAAGGGAAAAGGAGATTGGGTAGCTGATAAAACACAGAAGCCATTTTGGGTTAGGCATAATGGAAATATATTTATAATTGATCTACCTGTGTTTGAATCTGGACTCGCTCACTTGCTGTGTGGGTCATTTTTTACCAGTTTCTCAATGTTTTAATTTCCCTGTGTCTCTCTTTTTGTTTCTCCATGTATTCATTATACAATGGAAGTGATATGTGCTTCATAGCAAGGATTTAATAGTTAGCGCTATTATAGGCAAAGTGTTTGGTCCATATTACCTGGAAGACAGTAAGTTATATAGAAGAAGAGGAGGCTTGCAATCTCCTCACATAACTTTAAAAACACTTCGATAAAAATTATTTCTGTTGAACTATATAGCAATCCTTGAGTTAATTAGGGCAAGAATTATATTTATTTCATAAGTAAGGCCTTGAGACACAGAAATATTATGTTTTAATAAAAATCTCTTACCTGGTAAGGAACAGTGCCAGTTTTCTGTCTCCTTTTCTCAATGCTTAATCTCTTTCCTTCGTTTTTAGCAAATATTAAATTAAGTTGGTCTGCAATTTGCACATACTTACCTACAAATACAAGTAATGGATCCCAGGCCTAATTGCAGTGGACTAATAACTGTTTACTTACTGAACTTGGTGAGTAGCTCATTCCCTATCATTGATTTTACTGTTGAAAATTGGTCAAGGACTTTCCAAGTCATTTTCCCATGTCAGAGTTCACTACAGACAGGCCCGTATAATTATCTCCACTGACTTCTAGCTCTTAATTAAATTAGTGATTTC
Source organism: Homo sapiens (assembly GCF_000001405.40). NCBI lineage: Eukaryota > Metazoa > Chordata > Mammalia > Primates > Hominidae > Homo > Homo sapiens. The sequence continues at coordinate 102,518,528 of NC_000005.10, read as the reverse complement.
TGTTGTCTTCCTTAAACTTCTTAGGAAGCGATTGACTTGTCCAATAATTCTGATTAAGCATGCACATTGGATGCTATTTTTTAAAAAAGAACCTAAGTAACTCTTAAAAAGCACACAAAGGAGTTTATAATTCAAAGAGCCAGTACCAGAGTTATATAAGCTATATTAATCCAAAATTCATCATTTAACATAAATGTTGTTAGTGACAATAATTTAACAAAGGTTATTATTGTTATTTATTTATTTAATAAAAACTATATTGCAGTTTTACACAACATCTTAAAACCTATCACTATGGCCGGGCATGGTGGCTCACAACTGTAATCCCAGCACTTTGGGAGTCCAAGACGGGTGGATCACGAGGTCAGGAGATCGAGACCATCTTGGCTAACGCGGTGAAACCCTGTCTCTACTAAAAATACAAAAAAATTAGCCGGGCATGGTGGCGGGCGCCTGTAGTCCCAGCTACTTGGGAGGCTGAGGCAGGAGAATGGTGTGAACCTGGGAGGTGGAGCTTGCAGTGAGCCAAGACTGCACCACTGCACTCCAGCCTGGGCGACAGAGACTCCGTCTCAAAAAACAAACAAACAAACAAAAACCTATCATTGTATGTTCTTATTTCAATATTGGTATAATATTTATTATGTGCCTAGCATTTCTCTAAGCCTCTTACTTATATTAACCCATTTAATCTGCACAGTAGCCTAATGAAGTAGGAACAATTATTATCTCCATTTGATAGAGGAGAAAACTGAAGCACACAGAGGATAGGTCACTTGTTCAAGGTCCCATCACTAGTAAGTGGCAAAACCTAGTTGCAAACCCTTGTGGAGGGGTCTCAATATCTATACCCTTAAATCACCTTACCTATTTCCTGTGGTTCATGTGGTTCCTAAAAAAAATTAGATTCTAGTGATTTTAGAAAACACAGATGAGTTTTATTAGAGCCTGGGTTTTTGTTTTTTCAATTCTCCCAAGACCTTTTAAAGTAAACACATATAGTAAAACTACCTCTTGAAGAATTTAACAAGATATATGAAATGGACTACCATAGACAAAATGTGCAAAGATGTCTGTGTTTATTCTGTCTACTCAGTTTTCTTGATATAAGTTTTCATATCCCCTATTATCTGTGATCTATCTTTAGTTGCTAAAGTCAGAAATCTAATTAAGTTAGTTTAACAAAAAATAAAATTTATTGGTAGTTATAACTGAGCATTCTAAATGTTAGTGCCAGTTTGGGAGCTTACTTATTCAAGACATCTTTTTTTAAAAAAAAGAAAATCCCTCTCCATCTCTTGTCTTTGCTTTACTCTTTGTTGGATTCAAGTAGGCTGCCTACATGTGACATCAATGTTGACCCTAAAAATGGCAGAATTATAATTATTAGGGCTCTCAATCTCTGAAGGAGAGCTTCTTTCATGCAGAGTGTATATTAATTTCCAGAAAAGGACTGCTTAGCTCTGCTTGGGTCATGTGTCTGCTCCTGGAGTAATCATTAATTCCAGAAGCATCTGGTGCTTGATTGGTCAACTTGGGATCAACACATTATTAGAACCACAGCAAATAGGTAAAAAGCAATTCCCAAGAGAAAAAGAGGATTCAATTCACAGAACAGAAAAAGAAATCTATGTCACTGGTAAGTTATTGTTTCTTGGGGTTCTAAACTGTTGAGGTCTCTTTGAGACTCTTCATGATGAGAAAAATGGTAATAGACATTGCTGGGCTGTTTTCTATTTCCTCAGAGAGCAAGACAATGAAGATTAATCATAAAAACGTTGCCTATTATTTATCATCTCACTTAAAGGAAAACATACATTTTTAATTATTTATGATGAGCCATAAATTGCTTCTTGTGATTAATAAAAGTTATTCAATTTAAAATGAAAATATTGGCTGAGTGCAGTGCCTCATGCCTGTAATCCTAGCACTTTGGGAGGCTGAGGTGGGAGGATAGCTTGAGCTCAGGAGTTAGAAAGCAGCCTGGGCAACATGATGAAATCCTGTCTCTAAAATACAAAAATAATTAGCTGGGTGTGGTGGGGCACATCTGTAGTCCCAACTACCAGAGAGGGTGAGGTGGGAGGATTACCTGAGCCTAGAGAGTTTGAGGCTGCAGTGAACTATGATTGTGCCACTGCACTCCAGCTGAGGAACAGGGTGAGATCCTGCCTCAAAAAAATAAATACATAAATAAAATGAAATTATTATACTCTAAGCTCTCTGTAGTGAATGTAATACTGTATAATAAAACATGCCTGATAACATGTGAGTTCATCCTTTCTTCTCCAGTCTTATCTTCCACTATTTCGTTAGACTCATTTTTATTCCAGCCATAGCAAAGTATTGGAAACTCCCAAAATGTGTGGTCTTTTTACATGGTAGTATGCTTTTACATGCATTGTCATCTCCTGGAATGCCAGTACTTGTCTGCCACATACTCTTGGTTCCAAGGAAATCTACCCAGTCCATAGTCCTTTTAGCTTTGCACTGACCTAACTCTCATTCCTATCCTTTCCTCCTATAGCATTTTAGGCTAGGAATGATGCATGCATCAATTAATACAGCAAGCCCTCTGTAAGATAAATAGTATTGTTATCCTTTAATTACATTTGAGGAAACCAAGGCACTAAAACACTGCATAGAACTGGTAAATAATGGAGTCAAGATACACAGCCAGGCAGATGGATTTTCAAACCCATATTCTTAATCACTGTAATATATTGTAATATATTGTCTTTTATGTAAAGGATCTTACTGAATGAATAGATAAGTGATTATTAAGAATCATAACCAATGGGTAAAAACAAGAGTTAAAATTAAAAAGAAACTAAAACTGATATCAGTTTACTTAAAAACAAGACAGAAAAGCCAACTGTCACATTTCATGAGTGTGATGTCGATTGGCCAGAGGCTTTAGAAAAATGTGAGGATGTTTTTGCAGAACAAGATAACGTGTTTCTGAGAGAAATTTTTCATCTATTAGAACCATAGCATTTAATAAACACACACACACATGCACACACGCACGCACACATGCACACACCCCTTTCCAGTGTGACCTGTTAATTCAATATATACATTTAATATTTATTTTTTTCCTTTTGTCAAGAGTTAAACTTGTTAAACTTGCGGTAAACTACATGCACTTATTTTTCCTTTCACAAAATATCGCTAATGTTTGTCCTTTGACATTTCAGGAGTGAAACCTTCTGACAGTGCTGCTGAAACACTGCCTACTTTGGTTTGAAATTCACCTGGGTTTAGTGACGTATGACACGCAGGTATTGGAAAACTGTCAGTATGAAGTTTCTTTTGCCTGATTAGCACTGGCTTCCAAAGCAAACACTTCAATTAGGTTAGATTTTAATAAGATGCCAGGGAATGCAAATAAATGAGAGATGATGGGTTCATGCAAAAACAAACGAACAAAAAGAAACGTTTAAAAGCGATATGTAGCCTCTGTAGAAGCAGAATTCTGTCCAAAAGTTAATAAGCTTTAGACCTTAAATAACAGAATAGACAGCATGTTCCATATCCAAGGAAACCTTGCCCTATTCTTGTTTAACAACTATATTAAATCCAAATTTAATCTCATTTAAAAAATCATTATTCATCTTAATTTGTTGGCTTCTCCCTAGCTGGAGCTAAATGTTCCTATTTTTATCTGAACTCTGCCAATTACCTGATAAATCTTTCACTGTCATTTAGAATATGTTATTCAATACCAGGAACTTCCTTTATTCTTTAGATTAAACTGCCATTTTGGATTCTTCATATTGTATATTTTGAGATAAATTGCAAATAAGTAGTCACAGAAAAAATTATTTTATCTTAAAATTAAATGCTTTTTTTCATTATCTTCATCAAATACTTAACATCAGGTGTTTAGAATCATGCTTCTATACCCTTAACTTGTTTAAACTCTTCAACATTTACAGTCTATTCAATGTGTTCATTTCATATAAGATATGCAGAAATGAGAGAGACCCATGGAGATTTGTCTCTCAACATTCAAGGCCCTTTATATACTAAGGTCTCCAATTAATCCCTGATCATTTAGGCTAATTCACTCCTGTTTAAAAGATATACCAGTACTGGTTGCCTACAATATACTCACACACATATTCATACTCTAGTACATTCACACTTCTTTCTCCATAACTTCATGGGTTTGCGTAGACCATAGCGACAGGTGATGATCCAAAGGACTCCCATTCTCTTTTGGAAGACTTGATTTCTAATGTGTATTGACACCTGATGGGTTTTCCTAAAGCCCTTCTCCAACTTGAGCTCATATCAATACCCCCTGACTGAGGTCTTACCATTTGGTGGCTCACCCCAACCCAGCAAACCTTGCACCTAGAACCCAAGAGCAAAAAAGAATATCAGTAATCTTGAATGGGATTTTTAATGCTGGGATTTACTTCTGAAACAATTCTTTAGATCTGAACTATTAATATTATTGCTTATGCCTCTACTGAACTCCAGACCAAGCTCTTGTAAGCTTCAGTCTGTCACAACTCTGCCCACTACATTTCTTTCCTGGCTTCGATCTACTGGACTGTTCCTAAACCTTGCCTTAGTCCATATCATTATACCCATCTTCACAGTGAGATCTGTGGCCCTGGTTCTATGATCTGTACATGAATAAGACACTGGACTGCACATACTACAGAAGTGACAAGGTGGGAGAGTCGCTTTTTTCTGTTCACAACAGAACGAAGATTTCCAATACGTGAGTTCACATTAGTGTATCTTTTGTGTCCAAATTAAAACTTGACCAGGAAGTGCCCTGCCTCTTGAATAACAACACGCGTACATATGCCTATACTGAGCTCCAACTCTGTGCTGTGTACTGCATGAGGGACTTGGCCTATAGATTTATAGTTGATCCTAGTTATGACCATTATCATCCTTATTTATGAGTCCTTTGCACTGTAGTAGATGTTTCATACACTTAATTTTAATTCATACCCAGTACAAAGTCATAGTAAGGCATTACTGTCCATATTGTAGAGATAAGAAAACAGGTTCTGAAGTGTTAAAAATTAGTAGTAGCAGAACAGGAATTTCAACTGACAACATTAATGCTCTGACATTCTAGGAAAAATTACAAACGTAAAGAAACAAAAAATAGAAATTTAAATAGCAATACATATCTCTACGTTGTTTATAGGTAAAAAGATTTATTGCCCTGTTGGACACACAAGTAAACAATAGCATCCCAAATCTGAAAGTAATGGAATAACGAGCCTGATTCTCACTACATGCAATGTATCAGCCTTTTAAACACACTGTCCGCTCACTTTAGGCTCAAAATGTCCTGTTCTCTTTCTTTCTCTCCTTCTCTTTCTCTTTCTTCATAGACAAGCATGGGCATGTGCAGAAATTGTGACAAAATCAGGCACAGTATATAAGCAATACTTACCATGCTGTGGCTCGTATCATTATTGGCCAATTGTTTTTTTCATTATTTCAGACAAGTGAGTCTTTACCTGAGCTCTTAGTGAGAGCTGCTTTGCAACAAAAAATTGCAATAGTCTGTTGAATTGCTATTGAGATGCACTAGATTGTGGCTAAATCTACTGTCTTTGAGACTGTGGATAATGGAGTTTCCCTATGCTCGTAAGGTTAATATTATTTACAGTAAGATGATTTCCCTAGAGATGCTATTTTACTGTGGAATACCCTAGATTCATAGTACACTTTCAGCTAAGGTTCTGGACTTGTTATACCAATGCCATCTAATAAATTCATGTATCAAAACACAGATTCAGAAATTAATGGAAGCATGAACCTGAAGATTCCATTTCTAAAACCAACTTATCTTTTACTGTGGTGCAGAAAAAAAATATTACTCCAAGTGAGAGCTTAGTTCAATTTACTACTCAAATATTAAATTTTAAAGATTATTGGCACTTTAAAATGAACTCTTTTTGAAGTAATTTTTTTTAAAGAAAGAACAGATTGCTAAGAAAAACTAGTAAATTAGGAAAATGTAAGTAAAATTGCCATTTCTTATTTGAGGGAAAAAAAATGGCAGGGAGCTAATCCACTTCTTTCCTTGTGAGTGAAGGAAAACATCTTCCATGATTTGCAATTACATTGATTCAGGGTTTGCATCTCCCAAAGGACACTAATTGTACTTTTTCTTTAGTTCTGCTCTTGGGACAATAGGACAGATGAGATCTCAGAGCAAGAACTGGGAAAGAAAGATGCTGATTTGTGGCTGGGCCTTCTTTCCTGACAGTTGTAATTTCCTTTATTTTCACTTAACATCATTTTCTTCCTACTTTTTCTTTTATTCTGATATGTAGTTTTGTGGACTGAATGCTTGTGTATCCCCAACCCCCAACTAATATGTTGAAGCTCTCACCCATAGTGTGATGATATTTGGGGACAGAACTTTTAGGAGGTGATCAAGGTTAAATAAGGTCATAAGCAGGGGGAAAAGTGTATCCTAATCCAGCAGGACTTTTGGATTTATAAGAAGAGGAAGAGAGAAAGATCTCTTTATTCTTCATGTGCATCTACTGATCTCTTTATTCTTCATGTTCACAAAAGGCCATGTGAGGACACAGTGAGAAGATGGACATCTGCAAGCCGGGAAGAGAGGCCTCACCAGAAACAGAGTATGCTGGCACCAGAATCTTGGACTTGGCCGGTCTCCAAAACAGTGAGAAATAAATTCCTGTTGTTTAAGCCACCCAGTCTGTGGTAATTTGTTGTACTGTCCCGAGCAGACTAAGACATGTGGTTTGTATATTTAGTGTTTGAGGGGCACACTGGATAATGCCGAAGAATATGGGCTTTAGAAATAACTTGGATGTATATCCTGGTTTTGCCAGTTGGTAAGTTTGTGACCGTGGGCAAGTAATGTAATATTATCTTTGTCTAAATGTTCTCATCTGTAAAATAGATCAAAAGCAGCTACTTCATGGCATTGTTTTAAGAAAAAAGTAAGTTAATACAGCGGCCTAAACCTGAGACATGAACATTTTTAAAGTTGTGGACTGTTTGAAGGAAATCCATTTTCTGAACCTGAACTCCGCGTGTACTGTGCCTGAGAACTTGAGGCTGGAGGAGGGGTCATGCCAGAGTGTCATGCCTGTTTTCCTCTCTCTTTTCACAGCCTTTCTTTTCCACACTCCAATATAAGGCACACCTCTTACTCATCCAGAATCTTACTGTGCTGTTTTCACTAAATGCATAAATGTTCCTGTGCCAAACAAAGCAACTATATGAAATGGTGTTGTTAGTGTTGAAATAACGAATGATGGTAATAATTAAAAATATTTCTGCAAGTTTGGCGATTTCCAATATTTTGCTTTCAACAAAATTGAAGGAGGACCTAATTGAATTTTCAGGTGAAAGTATTAAGAATAATTAGGGATGGTTAGAGCCAAGAAATCTTTTATTCCTATCTACTTCTGTATGTGAACACAATTCTTAGCTTGTCATGTCCGTGTCACAATTTTTAAAAATTATTTTTGAATTTATGTATATATATTTTTAACTTAGGATGGTGGGTCTCAAATTCCTTTATGACCTAGCATCAGAAGGCAGAATGCATCACTTTGGCTGTAGTCACAAGCCAGCCCAGATTCAAGGGGAAGACACACAGATGCCACCTTTTGATGGGGAGCTATCAATGTCACATCATGAGAGGACATGACCGGCAGGTTATATTATTGCAGCCATCTTTGAAAAATACAAATTACCACATATTAAGTGGGGGAAAATTCTGCAACTTCAAAACTGCAAGGAATTTTTTGTTTCTATAAGTGGAGAAACTTGAATTTACCTTTGAGATCAGTTATATTCTTTGTTTTAGGGGAGAAATATAAACATTTTAATAGGGCTGTTCCTAAGGTAAGCTAATATCCCATTCTGGAACAGAAATATATCATAATAAAAAGTGGAATTATTCCACATTATAAATAAACTTTTTTCTTACTTAGCAATGAAGTCACCTCTCTGAAATTTGTTTTCTTTCAGAATAATAAAAAAACTCCCCATTTTATCTCCTTCTAGAGTCCTTGGGGAGTCCTGGTTCTGCATCCTAGTCCAGACAATTATGCTGAAGGATACTCCTGTGTGTGGAGAAGTTAAATCTAATGTGGCAAGAGTTTGGAGACTAGGGGCGGAGATATCCTCAAGGAGTTCCATTGGAATGCTTTGACCCAGAGGGTGCTGGGAGTATGTAATGTCTGGTTTTGAGTTTTTCTCTTCTTTTTGATATGGTAATTCTATATTATAATATCACAAAGGTTTAAGTAAAATTTAGCTTTATGTTACATTACATTTTGGGGTTCCTTGTTCTTTGTGGAATTAAGGAAGAGGCTTGTATTAGGATGACCAACTTCTCCTGGTTTGCCTGGGATTTCCCACTTTTGAACTGAAAAATATAATATTTCAGGAAATCGCTCAGACCTGGACAAATCAAAATGGTAGGCTACTTTGGCTGGAGTGTACACTTAGGATTAATTTGTTGGGAGAGAAGGGTAACAACCTGGACACGGCTAGTTTCAGGTCAGTTAGTGGCAAGCTTCAGAAGATGTGTACTGTGTCTTTCTTACTGGAATTTGCAGCTCAGATATTAAGCAAATGTTAAGAAAAATTATCAAAACCTTGGAAACAGGCAAATAAGATTATCGGATATTCTTTCAGTTTTGTGCTGGGTACTGTCCAGCAGAGGCTACATGGCATTATCTGATTCTCTAGGGGTTAGTACTTTTCTTTGACTTTCTATTTAGAAATGAACAGAATTTTTTTTGTCTCTGTAAAGGTAGACACTAACGTATGAAAACTGATACAAATGACTCTTTTCTGATAGTAATAGAAATGAATTTTATTCAAGAGATGCAAGTGATTTCCTGTAAAAAGAGATGACTCCTGAAAGTTACAGTTTTAATGCCTGATAAGATATTAACCAATTAATATTAGCATTAGCCAATTTAAATTAGAATTCTTACTCAACTCTTCTGTCTTTAAGCCACTATAAATACTTTGCTTTCCCCAATTACTTTGGAACCAGCCTCATGATCTTGCTGATACCCTCATTAATGTGATAAATAAATATTTGACCCTACTGATTTTTTGTATGGGTGGTGATTGTATCATTTTAAAAAATCATAGGTTCACATTAGGGATTTATAAAATACGTTAATATCCTTCAGAAACATCCAAGAAATTCATGGAGAAAGTGAAACTGGTAAAGCTCTGGGTTTCCTCCATCCAAGCAGGATGCAGACTTGGATTACTTGTATTGCAGACTAGTGATGTACATAGCCTTTATATAATGGGCCACTACATGGTAGGGAGTGGGGAGGGCATATTAGATTTAAACTTTGTAGTAAAAGAAGCATCTAAATCAATGATCTCCGCACAGTGGAGGATGTTTTTTAGATCGTTTCCGATAAAAAGTTGTAGTCCTAAGAAACATGGCTAGAAAACTCTTCCAGTGCAATGAGAGAACACTTTACAGATACCTAGAAGAAGATGACTTTCATAATATCTAGTTTTTTAAAGGTTTGAGACAGGTATGTTTATAGGGCTAGAGGTATTGAAATACACTTGATAATGCCTTGGTTCTTAAAATGTGAGTTTATAAAAAATTATAGGTAAAGAACATGGAAATTCTAAACTCTTGGTCAAACTGTATATAAATGACTTTTTTAGATGACAAAAAATGTATAACAGCAATTTTATACCATTCACTTGTGTACATTTGTCTTAAGACTTCTATTATTTAAATAAGAAGGAATTGGAATTCATTATCAGAACCATATTATTTATGTTTGAAGTTTGTTGAATATATAGAATTATCTATACTTGGATGACATTTTTGCAATAGCTAATAAATATTGGTATATTTTCCTCCTTTTCTTATTCCTTTCTTTTTCCCATAAAAGGAAAAAGCTTGCTGTTTGCTCATTACCACAGAGGAAAGTTATGAAGAGGTTAATTCGCTGACACAATAAATTGAGTTTTCCTAGCTTTAGTTTCAAAAGGCCTAAAAGCCTCACAATTATACAAGGTGACTGCATAAATATTAAGAGTTTCTCTGAGGAGAACATTTAGAGAACAATACATGTTCTCTCCCTCCTAGGGTTGGAGAAGGGAAAATAAATGTGATGAAGAGATTTGGATATTCCTAGAGGGAGATCTGACTATACAAAATAGTTATCTTCATAGAGTATGTATGAAATCTCAGTAAGATAACTATATCACCCTATATGTTTTCTTGCCCATGTCAATCCTCTTACTGGTTGCTCACTATAGCTAGAATAATGCAAGAGAAATACATATGCTGTGTGATGGTGTTATCAGTCACTGATGAATTTCCATTGTTCTGCAGATTAAAGCCTCTAATGTTTACATGACCACGGTAACATTGGTCATGTGCATTTGACTCTAACTACATTGGCCCCTTCTCAATTCCTTGAAGGTGCAATGTTCTTTTCTGCCATATAAGCTGTTCCCTCTGTTCTTCTTATACCTAGTCCTTGGCTTAGAAAATTCTTTATCATTCTTTGGATCTTAGCTTAAATGATTTCTGAGGGAATCCTTTTTAATCCTCTAACTTAGGGCAGATCTTCTTGTATATTCTCATTGCATTCTGTATTTCTCTTTAGCACATTTATAGTTGCAAGTAAATAATCTTTGGATTTTGTAAATGTTATTTTATATATATGTATATATTTCCACTCAGTTCCTGCATTTGCGTCAATACCTTTTCAGTATTTCTCTCTTCCTTGACCTTCCAAAGATCTTTCTCTATTCATGACTCATCCCTGAATTCTGCAAAAAGGAGATCTTTACCCATGAACTCCATTTCATTTTGCTTTAGAACTTGTTTTACAAATATACTGTGCACAGTTAAAAAGTTACAGACAGGGCACAGTGGCTCACACCTGTAATCCCAGCATTTTGGGAGGCCGAGGTGTGCGGATCACGAGGTCAGGAGTTTGAGACCAGACTGATCAACATGGTGAAACCCCATCTCTACTAAAAATACAAAAATTAGCTGGGCATGGTAGTGCCTGTAATCCCAGCTACTCAGGGGCTGAGGCAGGAGAAACGCTTGAACCCGGGAGGCAGAGGCTTCAATGAGCTGAGATGGGGCCACTTCACTCCAGCCTGGGTGACAGAGTGAGACTCTGTCTCAAAAAAAAAGAAGTTACCACAATATAAACAAAGATACATTGTTGTATACTGTTCATAATCAATAACAATAGTTCACCTCTCATAGATAGAGTACTGGAAACAAGATTGGAAATGTTAAATAACTTTGTGATTAAAAACAATTGAAAATATTTTCCAGAAAGAAAACATAAGTAACAAAAGTAACAGAAGAGGAAATCTATTTTAAATGTCAAAATCCATTTCTTTTAGACTTAGTCTAAGAATAAAAGTATATGCCCTCTAGATGGCAGCAAATTAAATCTTTTTTTTTTTTTTTTTTTTTTGAGGCAGAGTCTCCCTCTGTCGCCCAGGCTGGAGTGCAGTGGCGCGATCTCGGCTCACTGCAAGCTCTGCCTCCCAGGTTCACGCTATTCTTCTGCCTCAGCCTCCCGAGTAGCTGGGACTACAGGCGCCCACCACCACGCCAGGCTAATTTTTTTTGTATTTTTAGTAGAGATGGGGTTTCACCATGTTAGCCAGGATGGTCTCGATCTCCTGACCTCATGATCTGCCCGCCTTGGCCTCCCAAAGTGCTGGGATTACAGGCGTGAGCTACTGTGCCCGGCTGCAAATTAAATCTTTTAAAACAGTAGTACCTCTGATGAAGTAGAGGAAAAGGGGAATCCCTACTGGCAGCTAATTTGTAAGAGAGGGCTAAGGATATCAACAGAAACCACAGCTGGCAAAATGCACTAGCAAATCAGATAAACTTATGCAAACAAATCGTGACTACAGACCACACTGATCTCTTAAAGTCAATCTCTTTTAACATCTATTCCTTAGGACCCATATGTCTGTAGATCTTGTACCCTGATACATGCAAACTGATCCAACAATAACTCCCCACATTCTTAACGTGTTTTGAAAATTCAATCACTGACTGTGCCACAACCTGCGTAGTTCACAAGTTCTCACCATTCCCTGACATGACCACCCTGTGACTAACTCTAGCACCCAAAACCCTTTAAGTATACTTCCCTGATTCCCTTTGCTATCCATTCTCCCTTACTGCTATGAAGGTGTTAGCAGTGGTATTGACTGATGAGCTTTATTTAATAAATTTATTATTTGGCTGATAAGCTTTTCAACACATCAATGAGACACGTTATTTTCAAAACTTGTTAAGGTATTATCTTCAAAATTACCTATATATCAAAATAGATTTATTTCAGGTACCATAAACCAAATGTTAACAGTGCAAAAAGCAAACCATTAAATATACATACCGACAAAGACTCTTTGATCAAACTTTAAACAGACTCTATTGAGCCCTCTTTTTGTGTAGGCCTCATCCTTGGGCTCTGTCTTCAGCCTGTCTAAATAAGACTTAGCAAAGAATCCTGCTAAGTCATTAGACCCTCAATGTCTGATCAACCTTCATATCTGATCAAGTTCCTCATCCCACACCCTTGATATCTAAGTCCTTGGCCTGCCTTTAGCAAGAATCCTGTTAAGTCAGTTTAGCAAGAATCTCCCTACCTTTGATATCTCCTGTTAATAATTTTCCATCCACTGACACCCTCAATCTGCTCTTTAGCTTACAAATACTTGCTTGTTTTTGTTGTATTCACGAGCTGAGCACAGTTTCTCTCCTACGTTACAATAGTCCTCAGTAAAGTCTTCCTTACTATTGTAACAAGTGTCAGAAGAATTTCTTTTCAAAAATACTTATTTTTTAATGCTTTATTTGTTTTTAAAACTTTAGCATGCCACTTAGCAATCATTATAAATGGCTTCAAATCACTTTAAAAAAAAAATAACCGTAACAGAAATACACTTTTAAAGGTCCTCTTCATCATCAGTCTTCTCATTCGCATGTTTATTACTTCATTTATTGACTTCTTAAATGATCTAATATCTTCAACTTCAATCCACTTTACCATTTTACACACTGAATTTCTGAATTTCTACCTAATGAGTAAAAATAGTTTTGTATTAGTCAATTTTCATGCTGCTGATAAAGACATACTCGAGACTGGGAAGAAAAATAGGTTTAATGGACTTACGGTTCGACGTATCTGGAGAGGCCTCACAATCATGGTGGAAGGCAAAAGGCACTTTTTACATAGTGGCAGCAAGAGAGAATGAGAGAGAAGTGAAAGCGGAAACCCCTTATAAAACCATCAGATCTCATGAGACTTATTCACTACCACAAGAACAGTATGGGTAAAACTGCCCCCATGATTCAAGTATCTCCCAACGGGTCCCTCCCGCAACACGTGGGAATTCAAGATGAGATTTGGGTGGGGACAGAACCAAACCATATCATTCCACCCCTCGCCCCGACCAAATCGCATGTCCGTACATTTCAAAACCAATCATGCCTTCCCAAAAATACCTCAAAGTCTTAATTCATTTCAGCATTAACTCAAAAGTCCACAGTCCAAAGTCTCATCTGAGAGAAGGGAAGTCCCTTTCACCTATAAGTCTGTAAAATCAAAAGCTAGTTAGTTACTTCCTAGATACAATGGGGGTACAGGCATTAGGTAAATAAAGTCATTCCAAATGGAAGAAATTAGCCAAAACAAAGGGGCCACAGGCCCCATGAAAGTCTGAAATCCAGTGGGGCAGTCAAATCTTAAAGCTCCAAAATGATCTTCTTTGACTCCGTGTCTCACATCCAGGTCATGCTGATGCAAGAGGTGGGCTCCCACAACTTTGGGCAACTCTGCTCCTGTGGCTTTGCAGGGTATAGCCCCCCTCTCGGCTGCTTCCATGGGCTGGCATTGAGTGTCCGTGGCTTTTCCAGGCACATGGTGCATGCTCTTGATAGACCTACCATTCTGGGGGCTGGAGGACCATGGCCCTCTTCTTACAGGTCCACTCGGCAGTGCCCCAGTAGGGACTCTGTGTTGGAACTCCTACCCCACATTTTCCTTCCTCACTGCCCTAGCAGAGGTTCTCCATGAGGCACTGCCCAATGCAGCAAACTTTGCCTGGGCATCCAGGCGTTTCCATACATCCTCTGAAATCTAGGCAGAGGTTCCCAAACCTCAATTCTTGACTTCTGTGCACCTGTAGGCTTAACACTACATGGAAGTTTCCAAGGCTTGGGGCTCCCACCCTCTGAAGCAACAGCTTGAGCTGTACCTTGACCGCTTTTAATCATGGCTGGAGCAGCTAGGACACACAGCACCAAGTCTCTAGACTGCACACAGCATGGGGACCCTGGGCCCGGCCCACAAAGCCATTTCTTCCTCCTAAACCTCTGGGCTTGTAATGGGAAGGGCTGCCACAAAAGTCTCTGACTTTCCCTAGAGATATTCTCCCCATTGTCTTGGTGATTAATATTTGGCTCCTCGTTACTTTTGCAAATTTCTGCAGCTGGCTTGAATTTCTCCTTAGAAAATGGGATTTTCTTTTCTATCACATTGTCAGGCTGCAAATTTTCCAAACTTTTATGCTCTGTTTCCCTTTTAAAACTGAATGCCTTTAACAGCACCCAAGTCACCTCTTGAATGCTTTGCTGCTTAGAAATTTCTTCTGCCAGATACTCTAAATCATCTCTCTTAAGTTCAAAGTTCCACAAACCTCTAGGGCAGGGGCAAAATGTCACTACTCTCTTTGCTAAAACATAACAAGAGTCACCTTTGCTCTAGTCCCCAACAAGTTCTTCATCTCCATCTGAGAGCACCTCAGCCTGGATTTCATTGTCCATATCATTATCAGAATTTTTGTCAAAGCCATTCAACAAGTCTCTAGGGAGTTCCAAACTTTCCCATGTTTTCCTGTCTTCTTCTGAGCCCTCCAAACTGTTCCAACCTCTGCCTGTTACCCAGTTCCAAAGTTGCTTCCACATTTTCGGATACCTTTTCACCAGCGCCCCACTCTACTGGTACCAATTTACTGTATTAGTTTGTTTTCACACTGGTGATAAAGACATACTGAGACTGGGTAATTTACAAAAGAAAGAGGTTTAATGGACTTACAGTTCCACATGGCTGGGGAGGCCTCATAATCATGGCAGAATGTGAAAGGCACTTCTTACGGGGTGGTGGCAAGAGAGAATGAGAGAAGCAAAAGCAGAACCCTTATAAAACCATTAGATCTTGTGAGACTTATTCACTACTATGAGAACAGTAAGGGGGAAACTGCCTCACCAGGTCCCTCCCATGACACATGAGAATTCAAGATGAGATTTGGGTGGGGACACAGCCAAACCATATCATGTTTATTTCAATGTTTACACATTTCTTAATTGTAAGATTCCAGGCCTCCCAGTTTCTTCTGACTGTCTCTGTTTCCATAAGGTCTCAGGTAGGGAACCATTTCTGGGGATCTAAATATTATTCCACTTTTGATTCTAGCTCTCTCCCCATCAGGGTAATTTGTTGTCCCTGAAGCTACTTCATGAAGCTTTACAACTTATTGTCACAGCACTTGATTTTCTTCCTAAGTGTCTTAAACATTACCTCTAATGGGCCAGGTTTGGTGGCTCACACCTCTAATCCCAGCACTTTGGGAGACCAAGGCAGGCGGATCACAAGTTCAGGAGATTGAGACCATCCTGGCTAACATTATGAAACCCTGTCTCTACTAAAAATACAAAACAAAAACAAAAACAAAAACAAAAAACAAGTCAGGTGTGGTGGCACGCACCTGTAGTCCCAGCTACTCAGGAGGCTGAGGCAAGAGAATCACTTGAACCCAGGAGACAGAGGTTCCAGTGAGCCGAGATTGGGCCATTGCACCCCAGCCTTGGTGACAGAGTGTGACTCTATCTCAAAAAAAAAGAAAGGAAAAGAAAAATACCTCTAATGTACCTCACAACAAACATCAACTTAGTCTGCTATGCCTCCTGCAAACATTATTACTTATCTGAATTCTACCAGTTCATTACAGATAATCTGAAATGTTGCCATCTCTTTACAGCCTTTTGTGAAAACATTTGCTGATAGGTTTTCCCCCTCAATTGGTAAATCTCTACTCACCAATGAGGGTCTGACTTGTAGGGAGGTATATATAACAGTAGTTACTTTTTAATATGGTGGCTCATTATTCTAATAATTTGAAACATAATTATCTTTGTTTAAGCATATGCCAAAAATGAGCTAGATACTTTTAATATATTGCTTCTAATCTTCACAGTAATTTTTCAAATGGGATAATTATTATCCTCATTTTACAAATGAAGAATTAAGGGTCAGAATGTTTAAAAGACTTACCCCAAATCACATATCAACTAAGCAAAGTCTATACTTTATTCATTACATATAATGCTTCTTTCTTTCATGTCCCCACCCGTTTCCTCCAGTTGCCTTTGTTTTCTTCTGGACTTAAAAAATTATGTAGCATTTTACTTATCTAGCAGTTAGACTTCTAATCTCAGTAAACTGAAAAGATTCACAGAAAGCAAAAAGTAAAATAAAAAGTCTGTAGTTATCAAGAAAAATAGTACTTATAGCACCCAGATATCTAACATTAGTTTCAACATAGGACCTGTAAATCTTATATTGTGAAGGAAAGATGTAACAAGCGTCACTGCAATATTATAGGTGGTAGCATATTAGAAATTGTAGCAAAATGTCACTACTGTCTATCAGGGAGGAAGTAAAAATCATTTACCAGGAAAGCAAAGCAAATGAGAAACCATTTACTAAAAGAGAAAACAGTTCTATATCTCTTAATAGTTGAGGTCATCTTATATTAAGCTACATTATTATAATTTGCACCATCATGCGGTTTATCTACTTCATAGGCTCATTTGCTAAAAGGATTATATGAATTATCATCAATATGTTACTTTAGTGAGTAGTTCTTCCTACATGTTTAGAGCATTTAGCGGAAATAGATATTACATAGAGAATATAAAAGAGCACCTCATAAACATTCATTGTTTAATTTAAGCTGGTTTCTTGAATATCTTAAGCACTTGGATTGCTGAACTCATCAGGGAATGCTTTAGTTGGTAGCTATATTTCATTGCCTGTATCGAAATTTTATACTATAATTACTTGCTAACTTTTAGGAAACATGTAATTAATATGCATACATTTTAAGATTCAAAGATAATTTTTTTCACATTTAATATTTCTGGAATTGAGATAGTTTTATAACTCTGATCGACATCATCTATAAAAAGATTTTTAAAATCAGTGATCTGTCTCAGGAAAATACATACAACCATGTTAATTTCAGTATGGTCAGAGCAAAAATTGAAAAACAATCCAATACCCATCAATATAAAAGAAAGTGGTTAAATAAATTATAGTAAATCCATACCATGAAATTCTATCATGCATGGTACTATCATAAAGGTAGCCAAAATGAATTAAGTGTGATGTTTTCTAAGGTTAAATGAGCAAGGTAAACAAATATCCACAATTTCTACTTAAATACTTAGAGTACAATTTTTGTAGCTGGATGACAGTGTCCTACATTATGTAATAAAAATATGCTGATCAAAGAATGTTGAAGGTATGTTTGTCAGTGTTTCCATTCCACCCTTAGCTTTCAGCAGGTCCTGTATGCTTGCACCACAGGTAGGGTTTCCCTCTGCTCTCTTGACTCACCTATATTGGTGGAGTGCTGTTTTTTCACTCATGCAAAACTCCTCATCGAGGCAGAAGCTAGGTTGTCCCTGGTCCAGCCTCAATTTTGGACATGCCCTGAATGCCTGAACCTCAAGTTCGGGCTTTGCCTTGTTTCAGTGGGGTTCTTGGGAAGAAATGAAGTTCCTGCTCCTCTCTTTTTGGCAAACTGTTTTATTTCTATCCCTCTCTCTGGTGGCAGTCAATCTTAAGGTAGGCCATAGACAGGATGGTTTGCTGCTCCTCCTTCAGTGGGTTTTTTCTTCTGTAACAGATAACCTTTGTCACAGACTGGAGGGCATGAGAGTTTCCTGCCTCAATCCCAGAGGCAAAACTGCTTTTGCTTTGGATAGCAGAAGGGTCAGTGGAGGTAGGAGGGAAAGTATTCCTTCTTCTTTCTCAGGGACAGTCTACCACGACCAAATCTTTTCCCTTAAACAAAGATCTGGTAAACGGGTATAGACTCCCCTTATTTCTTAGGCTTCTAGGGTTTCTAAACTGTTAAGCTTCCCTTGGCCTTTAAGAATTCATTAAAATTTCAAGTGTTTCTATCTTCCTTTATGACTGCTTTTTCTTCTTTCTGTGCTCTTTGAAAAGTAAAATGGTTTGTGTGTCCCATCCTTTTTCTGAAGGGCTTATTGTCCTTTAGAATCAATTTGCCTAGTTTCTTTACAGCAGCCATAGCTATAGAAATGTAGCTCTCTGATAAAAAAAGTATTTTTTCATACTATCCAGCTTTGTTGTTGTTGTTATTATTGGAGTGGGGGTTACATTTTATTTGGCTTTCTACATTCTGGGTAGAAGTAAAATTCCCAGTACCATTCATTTTTAATGGAGTTGTCTTTTCCGCTCTGCACCCAAGCAGTACCTATTCTGGTTTTGAAGCACAAGAATAAGAGCCCACCACTCCCCACTGTCTTTCCTACCTCCTAGGATTCCTGTGGATTTTTTTTTTTTTTTACATTTATTATCATGAAGCAGTGTAGAGTCGAAATCAGGCTTCAGGTCAGTGGTTCTTAATTCTTCTTTCCCTGGTCTACCAGGCCAGCACTATTGGAGCAGCACAAAATCTTGTTGAAGAGCTAAATTGTTTTTGGCAACACAATGTCTAATCCATAGGAGAGAAGATAGTGCCATCTCTCCTGGAAAGTCACCCTCCACATATACATGGCCTAAAGAGCTTATATATCAGCCTAAGAAAAGAAAACCAATAAGAAGTTGCATTTTCATTAAAAAAAGAAAGCCACGTTTCATATCCTACTACTCTTCGCTTACATTCTTTCTCTTCAATAAAGTTTTTATACCTGAAAAAATAATCCTCTGGTTCTCGTGCCCTCATTTAAGGTGGAAAATGATAATCTTTTCTGTTCTTGAGTTGGGATAGAGTTTGTAGGGCAATAATTTCTATGTGTAAAACACTTCACTTAAGGACATTCAGTCGGACATTGATTTCTGATTTTTGTGCGTCCAAATCTTTTACTGTGGTGAAACTGTTTTTGTTGTTGTTGTTGTTGTTGTTGTTTTAATGTCTTCTGCTCTCTCCTGGTCCTTCAACAATTTTCAGGTTGTTTCTAGTGAGATTTTTCAGTTGGAAAGCCACCATAATAAAGTAAGTCTGGGGAAACTGGGGACGGACAGTTCCACTTTTTTTTTTTTTCCATGCTTCTGGTGCTCTTTGTCTGTGTTAGCAGTTATCAAAATCTAGTTTTAGCTTTTTTTTTTCCTTCCGCACGTGGAAGAAAAGAAGGAAAACAGCTTTGGAAGTTCTCAACCGTCAACCCCCGGGAGGACGTTTGCCTCCTGCCCTAGGAGAAACGTTCGCTCTGGAGGCTTGGGCGGCAAGAGCCCCTTGTGGCCACCGAGTCCTCCGACGCCCTCGCCAGGCTGGCCTTTGGGTTGGCCCAGGCAGGACGGGCAGCCGAGAGCACTCGGGCCGCGTCGCCAGGAGCCGCCCAGGGTGAGCCATGTTCGTAGGCGTCGCCCGGCACTCTGGGAGCCAGGATGAAGTCTCAAGGGGAGTAGAGCCGCTGGAGGCCGCGCGGGCCCAGCCTGCTAAGGACAGGAGGGCCAAGGGAACCCCGAAGTCCTCGAAGCCCGGGAAAAAACACCGGTATCTGAGACTACTTCCAGAGGCCTTGATAAGGTTCGGCGGTTTCCGAAAAAGGAAAAAAGCCAAGTCCTCAGTTTCCAAGAAGCCGGGAGAAGTGGATGACAGTTTGGAGCAGCCCTGTGGTTTGGGCTGCTTAGTCAGCACCTGCTGTGAGTGTTGCAATAACATTCGCTGCTTCATGATTTTCTACTGCATCCTGCTCATATGTCAAGGTGAGCCTGAAGGAGGCGGTTTGTTGTGGCGAGGGCAGCTGGGGCCGCACTGGCGGAGGCGGGAGAGGGAGTATGGCGGAGGACGCCCTGGGGTGGCCCAGCATGCCCTGGGGTGGCCCAGCCTGAGGCTGCTTTCTGACTTCTCAAGGCGTTGTCGGATCAAAGTTTAGCCACCCAGTGGGTTTACCTTGCCCGCTGCCTAGACAGAGAAGATTTATCAAGGAAGGGGAATTGCCATGGAGAAAGAGTAAGGCACGCAGAGCCGGCTGTGCGGGAGACCAGAGTTTTTTTATTGCTCAAATCAGTCTCTCCAGCATTCTGGGATGGGATCAGAGTTTTTAAAGATAATTTGGCTGGCAGGGGCTCGGGAACTGGGGAGTGCTGATTGGTCAGGTTGGTCAGGGAATCATAGTGTGGTTGAAGTCAGGTTTTCTTGCCATCTTCTGTTCCTGGGTGGGATGGCAGAACTAGTTGACCCAGATTACTTGTCTGGGTGGTGTCAGCTCAACCATCCAGTGAAGGGTCTGCAAAATATCTCAAGCACCGAGCTTCGGTTTTACAATAATGATGTTTTCCCCAGGAGCAATTTGCGGAGGTTCAGACTCTTGGCGCCAGAGGCTGCATGACCCCTAACCTTAATTTCTAATCTTGTAGATAATTTGTTAGTCCTGCAAAGGCAGATTAGTCCCCAGGCAACAAGGGGATCTTTTCAGAAAAGAGCTATTATCAATTTTGTTTCAGAGTCAAACTGTGAAATGAATTCCTTCCCAAAGTTAGTTCGGCCTAAGCCCAGGAATGAACAAGGAGTTTAAAGGTTAGAAGCAAGAAGGAGTGGATTAGGTCCAATCTGTTTCACTGTCATAATTTCCTCATTTATAATTTTTGCAAAGGTAGTTTCAAAAACAGGTTAACCGGCTGGCACGAACTTGGGTGCCTCACCTCCTCCAGAACCTGACTGGCACAGTCCATCCTACACATTGTGGGTGATGAGGGCCTGGCTTCCAGATAGCCAGCTGCAGAGAGGATATTGTTGAGTCATTTATCGTTGTTTGGTCACCAACTCTGAGAAGTTCTGGGTTGAATCACCTGGAGTTTAAAATAAAGTTGAAAACGGTGTCTATGATCATTAAATGGTTTCTGATCCTGCTCACAAATTTGCGACATTCTGGCTCAGCCACTCTCTATTGGATCTTTTTTCCTCATCTATGAATTTATACAAGAGAATCTAAACTTGAGGTTGTTATTTTTGCCCACATATTTTGAAGAAGGTGAATTTGAACACTTTAGACCTGGCATGCCTCTCTACTTGACCACAGCTCTCACCTCCCCTATTACATCAAGATTCTTTACTAGCCTCTTTTCAATGATGGCATTGGAATTTGACAAACCTGTTCTCTTTTTTGCTCTAAGATGCTAGGTCTAAATAAGTGCAATCAAAAGGCTGTATGTTGTAAGACCCATACTAGAAAAACTAATAAATTGTCATCGAGTTTGTCTTGAGATTATCAAAGAAGTTTCTTAGAAGAACAAGCATTTGAACTATGCCTTTATAGTAGGTACAGTTTTGAAAGCCAGAATGAAATTAAAGAGTATTTGTTGAATAGGGAAGCGAGTTAATGAATCGTGTTTTGTTTTAGAAAGGCTTGTTTCACAATAGTGAATGACAAGTTTGGCTGGATAATGGTTTCATCTAGGCACCATAAGGGGGTAATTATATTTATATTATCCATCATGTCTCCTTAGTGACTGAGGTATAGAAGACACTCAGTAAATATGTATTCGATGCATGAATGAATTTTAAAAGAAAGGAAAAGACAGATTATGCCTAGATTATGAAGGCCTTTAAATACCAGACATAATTCTGAAAGGATATAAAAGGTACTTACTTCCCACTATGTTGGGTCATGAGTAAGGTGCTTTGCAAGTATTATCTAGTTTAGTGTAATCCCCTTATTAGGTGGGTAATGAGGAGCCATTGAAGGTTTCTGAACAAGTGATGGACAGTATATGGTTTTTAGCTCTGTATCTTAACTGACTTCATACAGGTAGTTAGCTCAGTTTGGGTATAATATTGAGTCTTCCATTCATAAAAATGGTATCTCTCTTCATTTTTCTATTTGTCAATTGATCTATTTATTATTTTTACATTGTAAACAATTTTAAAATCATTTCAAACATAAAGAAGGGATACAAAGGCAGTACAAACAATACCTGCTTCCTGTGAGTCAACCAGATTCTTCATCTGTTAACATTTTACCACATTTGTTCCTTCGCCTTCTCTTTCCCTATACATGCCCAGTTTTTCAGACATGGTGCACCACTACTGCTAACTACTCCAGTGTGCAACTTCCCAAAGTGAGACACTCTCTTACATAACCATCGTTCCTCACAGGCAGGAATATCAGTACAATACTATCATCCAATTATGAACTGGTGGTCCCATCCAGATGTTGCCAGCTGTCTCAATATTGTCTCCTTTTCATTTTGGGGCCAAAATTCTATACAGGAACATATGTTGCATTAAGTTGTCATATTTTACAAGTCTTCTTTAATCTGGAACACTTCCTCATACTTTCTTCTTGTTTCTTATGTCCTTGAAAGTCTTACAGAGTATGGTTTTTTTGTAGTGCAGGATGAGCTTCAATCTGGGTCTGTTTGATGTTTTCTGATGACCAGACTCAGGCCTTTTTTCCCTCCCTTCCTCTCTTCTTCTCCCTTTCCCTCCATCCTTCCTTCTGATTTATTTAGATATAATTTATGTACAATAAAATTCACTTTTCAAAGTATGTTATTCAATGAGTTTTAGTAAATATGTACAGACATGAAACCACAGTGCAATCAATTTTATTTTTTATTATTTATTTATTTAATTAATTTTGAGACTGCCTCTGCTGAGTGAGTCTTGCTCTTGTCACCCACGCTGTAGTGCAATGATGTGATCTCGGCTCACTGCAACCTCCGCCTCCTTGGTACAAGTGATTCTCCTGCCTCAGCCTCCCAAGTAGTAGGGATTACAGGTGCCCGCCACAGTGCCAGGCTAAATTTTTGTATTTTTAATAGAGATGGGGTTTCACCGTATTGGCCAGGCTGGTCTCAAACTCCTGACTTCTGGTGATCCGCCCACCGCGGCCTCCCAAAGTGCTGGAATTACAGGCATAAGCCACCATGCCCAGCCAATGCAATAAATTTTAGAAACTTTCCATCACACTAAAATTTTCTTCATGCCCCTTTGCAGTCACTTCCTGCTCCTACCTCCTACCTTAGGTGACCTTGACCTACTTTCTGTCATTAGAGTCTTACATTTCCTAGAATTTAATAAACATGGAATCATACAGTTTCTGGTTTTTTTGTTTCTGGCTTCTTTTAATAGCTTGATGGTTTTGAGATTCATTCATGTTTTTGTGTGTATTAACAGTTTGCTCTTTTTTATTGTGAATAGTATCATTGAATGGAATTTTATCCACTATATCCACTCAGTAGTTGATGGACATTTGCGTTGTTTCTATATTTTTTTGACTACTATAAATAATGCTGTTAAGAGGAATTGCATATACATATTTGTGTGGACATACATTTTTGTTTCTGTTGGATAGATAACTAGGAATATAATTGCTGGGCTGTATAAGTATTTAAGTGTACCTGCTAGAAACTGCCAAATTACAAAGTGGCTGTACCATTTGCGATCCTGCCCGTCAGCAATATATGGGTTCCAGTTCCACATTCTTATTAATAGTTGGTATTGTCAGTTCTTAAAATTTTAGCTATTCCAGTGATTGTATAATGGGATCTCACTGTGATTTTAATTTGCATTTCCCCAATGACCAATTGTCTCAAACATCTGTTTATATGCTTTTTATCCATTTGTATGTCTTTGTTTGTGAAGTGCCCTTTAATAAATTGGGTTGTTTCTCTTATTACTGAGTGTTCTTTATATAATCTGGATGCAAGCCTTTTGTTGAATAAATATTTACTAATATTTTCTCCCAATCCGTGGCTTTTTAATATTTTTCTGTGTCTTTTTGACAAAGAAAGGATTCAACTTTCAACTTTGATGAAGTATAATTTATTAATGTTTTAAATGATTCATTCTTTTTGGCTTCTATCATAGAAACTATTGCCTAACTCAGTGTCATGAAGGTTTTCTACTTTGCTTTTCTTCTAGAGGTGTTATAGTTTAGCTCTCATGTTTAGGTCTCTGATCCATTGTGAATGAACTGTTTTGGTGTATGGAAAGGATCAAGTTTTAAATTTTTTTCATATAGAAAAAATGCTTTATTCCAGTATAGTTTATTGAAAACAGTGCCCTTTAATCCATTGAATTATCTTGATACTTTTGTGGAAGTTCTGATCTCTTTCTGAGTCTATTTCAAGACTTTCTATTCAGTTCTATTTTCCTAATACATCTATACTTATGCAAATATTATATTGCATTGGTTACTGTAGCTTTATTATATGCATTAAAATCAGGTATCCTTTCGACTTCGTTCCTTTTAAAAGTTGTTTTGGCTATTCTAGATCTTTGCTTTTCCATGTAAATTTTAGAATAAACTTGTCAATTTCTTTAAAAAAGTTACTAAGATTTTGTTGAGTCTATAAATTTGGAGAAAATTGACCTCTTAACGATATTAAGTGTCCTCATGACTGAACATGCTGGATATATCATCTTCATTTACATCTTCTATCCTGCATCTTTGTTCAATTAACCTATTAAGTTACAGAAGTCATTTTTTTGCAGACTCCTTAGGATTTTTTAGTATACATTATTATATCATCTGTGAATAAGGACAGTTTTACTTCTTCCCAATCTGGATGCTTTTTGTTACGGTTTGTCACTTTATTCCACTGGCTAGGCTCCCTGGTACAATGGTCAATAGAAATTAGGAAAAGCAATGTTCATTGATATTTTTCTGATTTTTAGATAGAAAAAATTCAGCCTTTCACAGTTAAATATGTTAACTGTAGGTTTTATTTTTTAAGATGCCTTTTATCAGTTTAAGGATATCTCTTATTAGTTTGCTGAGAATTTTTTGTCATTAATTGGTGTTGAATTTTATCATGTGCTTTTTCCTGCCTCTATTGAGATGTTCATAAGGAAAAATTTGTTGTATTAATATGATATATTGCGTTTTTTAATATTTGGATATTTGACAAACCTTGCATTCCTAGGATAAGCCCTTTTTATTAGATGATTGTCTTTTTCTGCGTATTGCTGGACTTAATTTGCCAAAATTTTGTTAAAAATTTTTGTTTCTGTGCGAGTATTGTTCTACAGTTTTCTTAGAGTGTTTTTATCTGTCTTTAGTAACAGGTAATAGTTTCGCTAAATTAATTGGGATGTTTTTCCCCTTCTTATCTTTCCTCCTCATTTTTTCTGAAAGAGTTTGTGCAGCATTATGTACCCTTTGTGTAGTATTTTTTTTAATACACTTTAAGTTCTAGGGTACATGTGCACAATGCACAAACCTGTCAGACAGAGACATTTAAGTCTGCAGAGGTTTCTGCTGCCTTTTGTTTGGCTATGCCCTGCCCCTAGAGGTGGAGTCTACAGAGGCAGGCAGGCCTCCTTGAGCAGTGGTGGGCTCCACCCAGTTAGAGCTTCCCAGCTGCTTTGTTTACCTACTCAAGCCTCAGCAATGGCGAGCACC
This sequence comes from Homo sapiens, assembly GCF_000001405.40. NCBI lineage: Eukaryota > Metazoa > Chordata > Mammalia > Primates > Hominidae > Homo > Homo sapiens. Next base: position 102,492,841 of record NC_000005.10, on the reverse strand, counting down.
CCTTCCCCAGCCTCGTTGCCGCCTTGCAGTTTGATCTCAGACTGCTGTGCTAGCAATGAGTGAGGCTTCGTGGGCATGGGACCCTCTGAGCCAGGAGCGGGATATAATCTTCTGGTGTGCTCTTTGCTAAGACCATTGGAAAAGCGCAGTATTAGGGTGGGAGTGACCTGATTTTCCAGGTGCCGTCTGTCACCGCTTCCCTTTGCTAGGAAAGGGAATTCTCTGACCCCTTGCACTTCCCAGGTGAGGCAATGCCTCCCCTGCTTCAGCTCACACTCGGTGGGCTGCACCCACTGTCCTGTCCCAACTGTCCAACGAGCCCCAGTGAGATGAACCCGGTACCTCAGTTGGAAATGCAGAAATCACCTGTCTTCTATGTTGCTCACGCTGGGAACTGTAGACTGGAGCTGTTCCTATTCGGCCATCTTGGAAGTGCACCCATTGAGTATTTTCTTGACCCTATCCAGTCTACTGAGGAGGTCATCAAAGACATTTTTTTTCATTTCTGCTGCAGTGTTTCTGATTTCTCACATTTTATTTTGATTCTTTCTTAGAGTTTCCATCTCTCTCCTTACATTACTTATCTGTTGTTGCATATTGTCCATTCTTTCCAATAGAGTCCTGATATGGTTTGGATTTGTGTCCCTGCCCAAATCTTATGTTGACTTGTCATCCCCAATGTTGGAGGAGGGTCCTGGTGGGAAGTGATTGGATCACGGGGGCAGACTTCCCCCTTGCTGTTTTGTGATAGTGAGTTCTCAAGAGATCTGGTTGTTTAAAAGTGTACAGCACTTCCCCTTCACTCTCTTCCTCCTTCTCTGGCCATGTAAGATGTGACTGCTTTCGCTTCACTTTCCACAATGATTGTAAGCTTCCTGAGGCCTCCCTGAGGCCTCCCCAGCCATGCTTTCTGTACAGCCTGCAGAACTGTTGAGAGGTGACAGCGTGCTGGCAGTCCTCACAGCCCTCGCTCGCTCTCTGCACCTCCTCCGCCTTGGCGCCCACTCTGGCCATGCTTGAGGAGCCCTCCAGCCTGCCGCAGCTCCGTGGGAGCCCCTTTCTGGGCTGGCCAAGGCCGGAGCCGGCTCCCTCAGCTTGCAAGAAGGTGTGGAGGGAGAGGCACGGGCGGGAACCGGGGCTGCGCACCGCGCTTGCGGGCCAGCACGAGTTCTGGGTGGGCGTGAGCTCAGTGGGCCCTGAACTCGGAGCCACCGGGCCACCCGCAGGCCCCAGGCAGTGAGGGGCTTAGCACCTGGGCCAGCAGCTGTTGTGTTCAATTTCTCGCGGGGCCTTAGCTGCCTCCCTGTGGGGCAGCGCTCGGGACCTGCAGCCTGCCATGCCTGAGCCTCCCCCACCTCCGTGGGCTCATGTGTGGCCCAAGCCTCCCCAACGAGTGCCGCCCCCTGCTCCACGGTGCCCAGTCCCATCGACCACCCAAGGGCTGAGGAGTGCGGGTGCACCGTGCGGAACTGGCAGGCAGCTCCACCTGCGGCCCCGGTAGGGGATCCACTGGGTGAAGCCATCTGGGCTCCTGAGTCTGGTGGGAACTTGGAGAACCTTTATGTCTAGCTGAGGGATTGTAAATACACCAATCAGCACTCTGTATCTAGCTCAAGATTTGTAAACATACCAATCAGCACCCTGGGTCTAGCTCAGGGTTTGTGAATGCACCAATGGACACTCTGTATTTAGCTACTCTACTCTTGTGGGGACTTGGAGAACCTTTGTGTGGACACTGTGTATCTAGCTAATCTAGTGGGGACATGGAGAACCTTTGTGTCTAGCTCAGGGATTGTAAACGCACCAATCAGCGCCCTGCCAAAACAGACCACTCGGCTCTCTGTAAAATGGAGCAGTCAGCAGGATGTGGGTGAGGCCAGATAAGATAATAAAAGCAGGCTACCGGAGCCAGCTGTGGCAACCCCCTGAGTCCGCTTCCACACTGTGGAAGCTTTGTTCTTTCGCTCTCTGCAGTAAATCCTACTGCTGCTCACTCTTTGGGTCCACACTGCCTTTATGAGCGGTAACACTCACCGCGAAGGTCTGCAGCTTCACTCCTGAAGCCAGCGAGACCACGAACCCACCAGGAGGAACGAACAACTCCAGATGTGCCACCTGAAGAGCTGTAACACTCACCATGAAGGTCTGCAGCTTTGCTCCTGAGCCAGGGAGACCACGAACCCACCAGAAGGAAGAAACTCGGAACACACCCGAACATCAGAACAAACAAACTCCAGACATGCCGCCTTTAAGAACTGTAACACTCACCGTGAGGGTCCGCGGTTTCATTCTTGTAGTCAGTGAGACCAAGAACCCACCAATTCCAGACACACTGTGAGTCAATTAAACCTCCTTTCCTTATGAATTATCCAGTCTCAAGTAGTTCTTTATAGCAATGTGAAAATGGACTAATACATGTCTTTAGCATATTGATCATAGTTATTTTATTTTTTAATTGACATATAATAATTGTACATACATATGGGATAAAATGTAGTATTTCAATTTATGTTTATATTGTGTAATGATCAAATCAGTATAATTAGCAATCCTTTGCCTCATATATTTATCATTCCTTTGTGGTGAGAACATTCAAAATGCTCTCTTATAGCTATTTTGAAGTATACAGTACATTATTGTTAATAGGGTGACTCTAGTCACCCTACTGTGCAACAGAGCACCAGAATTGATATCTCCTATCTAACTGTAACTTAGTACTCATTGACCAACCTCTGTGCATCCCTCCTTCCACCCTCTCCAGCCTCTAGTAACCATTATTCTACTCTTTACTTCTGTAAGATCAACCTTTTTAGATTATACATATGAGTGAGAACATGCAGTACTTGTCTTTCCATGTCTGGCTTATTTCACTTAACATGATGTTCTTTATCCATGCTGTAGTAAAAAACAGGATTTTATTCTTTTTTATGGATGAACAATATTCCATTATGTATATATACCACATTTTCTTCATCCATTCATCTGTCAATGGACACTTAGGTTGGTCCATATTTTAACTATTATGAATATTGCTTCAATAAACATGGGGATGCAAATATTTCTTTGACATACTGATTTTATTTCATTTGAATATATATCCAGTAGCAGAATTGCCGGATCATTTGGTAGTTCTATTTTTAGTTTTGAGGAACCTCCATACTGTTTTTATAATGGTTACTCTTACATAAATTCCCACCAACAGTGTATAAAGGCTTCCTTTTCTATACATCCTTGCTAATACATATCTTCTGTCTTTTTGATAACAGCCATTGTAACTGGATATCTTATGATTTTGATTTGCATTCCCCTGATGATTAGTGATGTTGAGCATTAAAAAAAATAGATCTGATGATCATTTTTATGTCTTCTTTTGAGAAATGCCTATTCAGGGCTTTTGCCCATTTTTAAATTGGATTATTTGTTTGTTTGTTTGTTTTGCTATTGAATTGTTTGAGTTCCTTAAATATTCTGGGTAATAATTTAAATTTCTGGAAATCCCCCTTTTCCATATGATTCTGTTTTAGAGTTTTCCACTGAGGGTAACGTATGCGATGTTTGGAAGTTTGAAGAGAAGGAGAGGAGAGTCATCCTTCTCCAGAGATGTTTGCAAGCAAATCCTTGCAGGTCTGAGGTTGCGTGTATCCTGCTGAGCATTTAAAAACCACCCACTTTGCTCCTGCAGGCTGATGCAGCTCTTGGGAACTATTGCAGAAGCTCTTGAGCATTGCTCAATTTCTTGATGACTTTTTAAAGAAAATAAAGGGGAGAAATAGCAGTGGGGCATACCCCTAACCAAAGGGACTCTAACTTTTATGCTTCTATGCTTTCTATGCTTCTGTCTCCCCTGGCCTGCTGGCTGTAACTTCCTGACTTTTTATGTGACTTCCTCAATCTTCTGTCTCTCAATTCTCCCAATATTTGAATGTAAGCCCTAATTCTTAAATCCTCATTTTCTAGCATTTTTAGAGTGGGTCTTCCTTTGTATTTGAATGAAAAATGATCAATTTTTTGATAGATGAAATTATTCCTTAAAATGGGAAATCTAGAATTTTTTCTCTGATGTGACTAAATTTGAAGACAGTACTGACCTTGTTGCCAGTGCAAATATGGAACGCTGATATCTCTAGGTTGTAGTAACAACATTATTGCTTAAATTAAATTGACTGAAGTGTCAAGTGTCTGTTAGGCAAGGATTATCTGTTTGGGTTTTCTTCTTCTCCTGAATCTTGTCCCCATAATTTCTCATTGCTTAGTTAGCTCTTTATGCTTTCAAACAGATCTAAAAGTATTTTTTAACTTTCATATTCTCAGCAGAATGAGAGAATTGAATTATTTAGTCTACTATTAATGGAAGTGTAATCAACAGGTCAGGGAACTATATCAAAGGGAGTTGTTCAAGTGTATCTTAACATGTTACTTTTTAAAATAGAATATTTGGAAACTCGTGAAAAATATAACAAAACATTAACATTTGATAAATCGAGGAGAATTGTATATTGCTATTTTCTATGATTTTACTGATTTTTGCTCACCTGATATATAACAGTTTGAAAACATTGAGATTTGTTTTGGTTTGTTTCTCTTTATGTTTTCTTTATTTTCTCATTTTATTTATTTAACCCTATGTCAGTTAATACTTAATATAATGATAGTTATTGTATTGGAATTATACTCTTTATCATTATAAAATTTTCCCTTACTTTGTTTAATTAATTGCCTTATTGTAGGGGAACATATTTACTACTTAACTGGTTGACTATATGCTTTAATTTATGCGAAACAGCTCCCGTTTATGCCAGCTGTCCCATTTTTCATTGCAGTTTTCTCCCTTTTTGCTAAGTATTATTATTAATAGTTTATTTAAACAAGCTGGGATGGATTTAGTTGGTCCTAACTTTGTGCTTTTAGATTCTGCCTTGGTCTTGTTTTACAGTGGTTAAAAAATTTGTGTGCTGAACACAATTCTTACTTTGACATAGAGTAAGATCTAAAAGACAACCAGCAATAACCTGTCTTTCTTTCTAGACCTTGTCCACATGTAGTGTTAATGAAAATTCCTTTCAGGGACAGTGTGATGTGCATTTCTTGAAAAATGAAGTAATCTTGGATCTAGTCTCTAAAATTAACTCCACCCAATTTTGAGTGGTTGGGCAAGTATTTGATGCGGCTGGTTCTGCCACCCACTTGGTATATTAGCCAGAATTGTGATGGTCCATGCTGCGACTTGCAAGATACATGAAGTCACCAGGCTACCTGTTGGTAGGGTCAGTGGGAAGCATTAGACATAATAGATTAGCTTTACTTAAAGTATCTGTAGGAAACAGTGGCCGAAGAGTAAAGTCACAGAGTGCATAGTAGTCTAAGCACACTTTGTACTACGGTATTTTCATTTATCATATAGTGCATATAACCATCATTTTATGATTTTGTTATTTGGTAATGCTTTTTTACTTTCTAGTATACCTTTTTTGGCACCATGACATCAAAAATGGCATGTGCTATTCTTAAGCAAATTGATGAAGACTTGTACATTGTTTACATTTACTATTTATCAAAGGCCATAGTGATATTACTGACCACATAAAAACCCGAAGACATAAATCTGCTGAAGTTAATGGTGATTTTAGAAGACTACAGCTGAAAAAGATAACACATGCAGCTGCAAAAGGCTTATTTACAAAACATTTTGTGAAGTATGATTTTTTCATCTAGATTTAACTGTTCTAGTTTAATTTTGCTCATTTTCAATTCCAAATTTTTATATTCACATATGAAAATTAAAATAATAGCTGTAAATGAATTCACCCCATTAGCAGAAGGACAGTTTTTCAAATTGTTAGATAATGCCAGCTTTATATCAGTACCATCGGGAACTTCAAATAGAAAATAAATTAACTCAAATAATAATTTATTTTTTGTGAAATTAAAGAAAAGTTTTGGAAGTTCATTCTGTTGAAGATAAACACCTGATATTAATGTGAATACTATATGTTTAAACTTTCATTTTTGAAGATACAATTATTTATTTCTGTAACGATATTTACACGAATTTTTGGGTAGAGAATCATAGTAAAGACAATGTACTTATGGTACTAGGAAAGCAGTGAAGCAGAAATGTGCTTGGAATTGGTACACAAACAATTCCTAATTGTATCCTAAGAAAATATAATATTTAACATCAACATTTACAAACATTTATTCATGTTCAAGTTTTTATGTATTAATACTTCATCTTATTGGTATACATTGCCTTTCTTTGCCTCCTGGAAACAATAGACTTCACAAATGTTGGACTTTTTTTCATTATTTTATAAATTAACCTCAGTTGATTTATGATTTTGAACTGTTTTATAAATAAATTCTCTAATTTGCAGTTGTACTTTTATTTAAAAGCAGCTGAAAATCTTCCATTAAAGTATTCAATGAATGAATCACCATACTTCTAAAATATTAGAAGCTTTTGTTGAATTTTAATTATTGAAAACAAAGCTTAAAAATGGGAAGATACTAAAATGCATCCCTCCAAAACTAAGAGAGGAACTAAACAAACTATGAGAGCTTGAGTAGCATACAAGATTTATTTTAGAAATCCTTTAATTGTGCTTTGTACACATTTTTATTTTGGGAAAGAATCTTTGGATAGTTCCTTTGCTCTAACTAGGCAAATTTATACTTTGTAAATTGAATTGAATGAACTTAAGTAGACCTATAGCTTTACATAGCTAAATTTGGTGAAACAAAGTAATCATAAATAGAGACAACTTATTTGAAGAGTTTTGTCTTGTAAAATATTTTTCAAAGAAATATTCTCTGAATGAAATATTTTGGTTGAAATAGTTTAATATGAAAATATAATTGAGAACATCCTTCATTTAACAGTGCTTGTTTTTGAGCTTACTAGACACTTACACACTTGTAGAGAGTTTTTATCAATTAAAATATCATTTTCTACAGTGACATGTCAATAGAGGTTGTAATAACTTCAAATTTATTAACTATGTATTAGAAGCCCCTAAGACCACAGTCAGTCTAAATGATTCCCTGGGACTTCACAGGACTTAAAATAAGCTCTTGGTTATGGTTTATTACAGTGAAAGGATACAGATTAAAATCAGCTGAGGGAAAAGGCACATGGGATGAAGTCTGGAAAAAAACAGGCGCAAGTTTTCATGTGTCCTCTCCCAGTGGAATCACATGGACATGCTTATTTCTCCCAACACGTGTAATAACACATCCAAAGTGTTACTAACCAGGGAAGCTTACGTGAGCCTTCATGGTCAGGGTTTTTCTGTCAGTCATGTAGGCATGCAAAACCTCTGTGACTAACCTCAGGTACTCAGACTCCACACCCACACCCCATGACAAGAAAGATCTTCACCATAAATCACATTGTTAGCATAAACTGTGTGATCAAACTGGTACAATATGGCCCAAGGCCTCTGCCATATAAAAACATTGTTATTGGATAGAATATTCCAAGGGCTTAGAGCTTTTCTCCTGGGAGCCACCGAAGAGCCAGTCCTGAAGTCAGGCCTTTTATTTTATTTTATTTATTTATTTATTTATTTATTTATTTATTTATTTATTTTTGAGATGGAGTTTCGCTCTTGTTGCCCAGACTGGAATGCAATGGTGCAATCTCAGCTCACCACAACCTCCGCCTCCCAGGTTCAAACGATTCTCCTGCCTCAGTCTCCCAAATAGCTGGGATTACAGGCAGATGCCACCAAGCCTGGCTAATTTTGTATTTTCAGTAGAGATGGGGTTTCTCCATGCTGGTTAGGCTGGTCTCGAACTCCTGACCTCAGGTGATTCACCCGCCTCAGCCTCCCAAAGTGCTGGGATTACAGGCATGAGCCATGCTCCTGGCCAGGCCTTTTTAAAACAACCCAGTCCTGTTCAGTTAACCCTTCACTGCAAAACTGTAAAAAGCAACTTTAATATATTGCACCTAACTTTGTAAAAACTACTAAAATATATTTTTCAGAAAAGATATGAATCACATTTTATTAAGGATAGTATGGCTAAGAAACTGGTTAAAGTATGTGTTTATTAATAATCTTATTTTTAAAAAAATTTCTGATGTATAACATAAAAATGCTTGGAAATGTTTTAAGTAAACTTTTTCAGCTTCACCAATGTAATAAAAGTAATTTATCTATAATTACAAAAATAATATGACCTTTTTTTTTTGACAGAGTCTCCCTCTGTCGCCCAGGCTGGAGTGCAGTGGCGCAATCTTGGCTCACTGTAAACCTCTGCCTCCTGGGTTCAAGCAATTCTTATGCCTCAGCCTCCCTGAGTAGCTGAGATTACAGGCACCCGCCACCACGCCTGGCTAATTTTTGTATTTTTAGTAGATACAGGGTTTCACCATGTTGGTCAGGCTGGTTTAGAACTCCTGATCTCAGGTATCCACCCATCTCGGCCTCCCAAACTGCTGGGATTACAGGTGTGAGCCACTGCACCCAGCCAGTAATATGACTTTTGATATAATATTCTGTACCGGTCATTGAACCAGGAGAAACAAAACAAAACAAACTAACGAACCCTCAAAGATGGAAATCTGGAATTAGCTGTCTGACATGATTGGGCTTGGAGTCAATGAAAACAGTGATATTTGTGCCTGTGAATTATGGTTCACTAGAAATCCATGGCATGTAGCGACAAAAAGAGTCATTTAAATTATTGCCTAGGATAAAGTTCTTATTGAAGGCAAGACATTGAAAGACAAAATAGCTGCTGCAATTGACTCTTGTGGTGGAACCTTTAACTGCATTGAAAAGTTTACAGAAGGAAAATGAAAAGTTTAGGGTATGGTTAGAAAACGTGTGAGCTTCTCTCCTAGTTTCATAAGAAACTCTTATTATTTTTAGCCACATATTTTTGGTCAATACTAACTCTTACTCACAGGCGGCAGAATTGCAACATAAGTTGAACTCAAACTCACCAGATCACTTCTGTGGGAGCTGGGGCATTGATTTGAGAAAAAAGAAACCTTGAGAATTAGGATAAAGGCATCTGGGTGAAATTTGGTGAACCTGAGAAACATGAAACCCCAAATCCTGTACCTTCTTTGCCAGTAGGAACAATTAGTCCTCTTATATCTGAAGAGAAACAGTTCCTTGCTTGAAGACATTGAATTGGCCTCACCTGAGTTAAAGGAATGCTAATTCCCCTTATAAACGATCCCATACCCCATTGCTGCCAGACTCATAACTCAAATCAGATCCAGCCTTCCCAGAATGATTAACATAAAATCTATCCTATGAGAAAATATTCTATATACCAAAAATTGCTTGCCACTTCAGTAGTAGTTCTAGACACCAATTGGTTTGGAGTATATGGAACACTCTCTCTTCCAAAATGAAGGAAAAGTGTGTGCTATTGTACCACTCACTATTAAGAGGCACACTTTTTGGTGAGCCTCTGTGATTTTTCAATGGTAGAAGTATGCTATGGTAGCATTATAGACTTAGGGGAGGCCTTGAAAAGTAGAGGAAAAAGGAAATTCTCCCCGTGGAAAGAACATTGAGCAGTACATCTGATTGTCCATATTGCCAAACATTGCCCAGTGGTTTGACCATTTGGTAATTAGAAAGGCTGTGTAAGTGGTGAGTCTCTCCATATGAGCAGAGTTATCCTATCTGAATGAATGTTCACCAAAAGAAAGCCATTGCACAAGAGGCTCTCAATAATGAAGTAGATAGATAGATACGAATATTAGCCAGCCTCTTTCCCTAGCCATTCTATCTCTTGTTCAATGGGGTCTTATTTATAGTGACAATTACATCAAGGATGGAGGTTATATAAGAGGTGAATACATGGCCTTAACTTCACCAGAGCTCGTCTGGTTGTTGCACTGCTGAATGCCTGCCTTGCTACCAGGAAGAGTCAATATAATCTAGGTACTGGCTCCATTCCTTAGTGAAACCAACCAGTTACCTGGAGGCAGGTATTATATAGTTCTGGTTCTGTTATGAAGTGGGCAGTAATTTCTCCTCACTAAATTAGCCATTTATTTGGATATGGGTTCTTCTTTTGTCATCATGGTCCTGCTAACACTACCATAACTGGACTTAATGAATGCCATATAAAGCAGTATTACCATATTTACCAACACATTGCTTCTAATTAAGGAACTAATTTTACAGTAAAGAAGTATAGCAGAAGGTTCATGTTCATGTAATTCACTGATTTTACTACATATCTCAATAACCAGAACTTTTGGTCTTATAGATAATTATGATGTCTTATTGAAGACTTGGATAAGACTCGTGGTAGTAGACAACATTCAACCACTCCCAGTAGTAAACAAGTTTGTAGTGCTGTCCTATAGGATGGGGTATGTGCTTTGAGAGAACAATCTATGTATGTTATCTGCGATCAAGGGGTAGAAGAGCGAGTGAATAGTAGAAGAAGGAAGCTATGAATATCAACTATAGTCTCATAACCACTGAGAGAAATAAAACTTGTAGCAGCTCTGCATTTCCTCTTACTTGCTTGTCTTGTGGATTCACACACAAATATGTCATATGTACATTTGCGTGTATATATGTTTATATATGTATATGTTCTGGTTTTTTATTTTCTCTCTTTCTCTCCTTTCCTATTTTATTTTTCTATTAATACTTTATGGAAGGTAGAGAACCATATAAATTAATCTCTAGGTTATAGAATATGCCTCAATCGGAAGGGGAATTAATAACCCCACCTTAGAGATAAACTCAGTTACTAACAGGACTTATTTCCTACATTGGCCATTATCCTCCTTGGCCACATCTAATGTAAAAGTTAAAGAAAATTCTTATCCTGGGTGCAGCAAAGTTTTTATATGTTGTTTCCTGCTGGTATTGGTCTGCTGAAACTAGTTGTGGCTCCAAATCTGGCTCGTGGCTTCTTTGGCAATATATTTCCCCTCAAAAATTTAGTTAGGGCTGTGACATATTTGCTTAACTATTGATGGTTACCTTTGCAATTTGGTTTTTAAGTTAAAAAAATCCATTCAGGTTTGTGATTAAACTGAAGGATTAACATTACACTGAGATAGATATTGTGATTGATTAGACTGTGTACCTCTCTTTTTTGGGAGAAAGTGTAACAGCATTTCTGTAAAATGATAATTGTGATACATTAGGCAGAAGCATGATGATATTGCTACTTATTTGATATGAAAGTTTAAATATGAGAGGAAGGGTGAAAATGTATACCAAGTAGTCTAAAAGATAAACTCTGCAAGTTATTTGTCTGTTGGCCATGAACTCCATTACTCACTCCTATTTGCAAGGGGAATGGGAAGTCTGAAACCACAATTCCCAGAGTTGCTGGGGCCCAGCTGACTTCGACTTACATGCTGCAAGTGAATCTGTGGCAGCAGATTTGAAAAAGGGCAAAGGGAAGACTCTCTTTTCCTTTCTGTTTCTGGTGGTTTTGGCATCAGGAGCAATGCTGGGTGATTAAAGCCTCCTGGATTTATGCTCAGGAATAAATGTGATGCTATCAGCACTATAGAGCCCATGGGCTCTGGCACCTGCAAGGGCATCAAAATCAGCAGGTGAGCTCCCTGTCATAGGAAGACTGTGGGCTCCTGGCTTCCTGCCAAAAAAAAAATGTAGTGATTGCAGTTCTAACAGCAGCAGCAGCAGCAATAGTAGCAGCAGCCTATGCACCAGTAACTTTGGTTGCATAGATATCATGAATTTTGATTAGTAACCATTTGGACTCCAACTAATGTACTACTTTTGTAATCAATCCCTACATCAATTAATTTTGTTTCAAATTCTTAGTGTGATTATGATTACTTTTTTCCTAGTTGGATGTTGAGTGATAGAAATACACATAATATGGTACCATTCATTTCACATTCAGGAACATGAAAAACAATACTTGATATTGTCTAAGGACATATGTATTGTCAAAAATGTTAAAAAGGCTAAAAACTGGTAAACTTTAAATACAGGATGCTGATTATGGAGGGGAGGGAGACAAACGAGTTTGGGAAATATGCATTGGGCTTTAACTATTTTGATAATGTTTTATTTTCTATTCTATATGGTAGATAAATAAATATTATATTAGTAATGGTTTTAAATTTTTTATAATGTGAAATGCAATACATAAAAACAAAGATCAGTACTAAGTGAGATGACACAGCAATCACTATTCTTTAGGAAATTACTCAGAGAGGTAGTTAAAAATAGCTTCAAAAATTCAATTAGTGAATATTTTGTAGAGGTTAAGGCCTATTTATGTTTTAGAAAAGGAATTGTTACTTGCTTATAGCTTTTAAACATTCAGAATAATTTAAAATAAACTTACATCATGTAATTTAAATTTTGCTTTGTAATAATCATAATGACCTCTTAAAATGCATATCGTTGTTTTCTCTTTTTCTTTTTACATTTTAGGTGTGGTGTTTGGTCTTATAGATGTCAGCATTGGCGATTTTCAGAAGGAATATCAACTGAAAACCATTGAGAAGTTGGCATTGGAAAAGAGTTACGATATTTCATCTGGCCTGGTAGCAATATTTATAGCATTCTATGGAGACAGAAAAAAAGTAATATGGTTTGTAGCTTCCTCCTTTTTAATAGGACTTGGATCACTTTTATGTGCTTTTCCATCCATTAATGAAGAAAATAAACAAAGTAAGGTAGGAATTGAAGGTAAGGTTTTAAAATATACTGTCATACATCAAATCAATATTCATTCAAACCTTGGCTCAAGGAACTTAAAATAGACTGTGATAATTATTTGTCTGTATATCTATCCATCCATCCATTTGATTTATATGACCAAGTTTGCTAATTAACTAATTGTAGCATTCCAGTGGACATATATGTCATCACAGAGGAAGTTAATGATTAATTTTAGTCTATTGATAGAAAACATTTATTTTCAGATGTTGTTCAGTAGGAAGCTCAGTACTGTGATCCCTAGGAGAAGGGAAACAAACAACTTGAATTTTCTTTGAGAAGGGAAGAGTGAATCGATTAGGGGCATTTTTTATTATTATCAGGAGCTTGAAGGACCTCCTTGAGTTTATTAATCATGAACTCAAAGTGGGATTTGCATGGTTGTGCAGCCACATCAAGCTTTAACAGTACATGTAGGGAGTGGGAAGAAGAGTTATTTTGAGTAGGGTTGCAGTTTTACCATGGTTTTGCATGATTTGAAAGAGAGCAAGGGAATTAAAAGTATTTAAATGATAGTGAAAGAAGTAAGGACATGAAGGGGACATTGGGATAGTGAAAAGGAGCAGAATCAATGGATTATATACCCTGATGAATTTTAAGGATTGTTGGAATTGGGTTGCTGGAAAGAGTGAGCGGAAAGATAGGGGTGGTTAGAATGTAGATGCTTGAAATTATCATTAGGAAAGGTTTGTAGTTATTATTTTTGACATTTAAAATGACTAGCTGTATTTGTCTATTCTCAGACTGCTATAAAGAACTACCTGAGACTGGGTAATTTATAAAGAAAGAAGATTTAATTGACTCACAGTTCTGCAGCCTGTACAGGAGGGCTGGGGAGGCCTCAGGAAACTTAAAATCATAGTGGAAGTTGAAGGGGAAGCAAGCCTATCTTCACATTGTAGCAGGAGAGAGTGAGCAACGTGGGGAGTGTTACACACTTTCAAACAACCTGATCATGTGAGAACTCACTCACTATCACGAGAACAGCAAGGGGGAAATCTGCTCCCGTGATCCAGTCACCTCCCACCAGGTCCCTCCCGCAACATTGGGAATTACAATTCCACATGAGATTAGGGTGGGGACACAGAGCCAAAACATATAACTAGCCAAGGTAGGTGGAGTACAGTGCATAACAGGAAAAAAGTTCAAGGAACTAAGAGGTCAGGGTGTTGGAAATATCACATTGACACTGATATCACAAGTTAATATGTCTGTATAAAATTGAACCTTTGGCATTTGAATGACAGTTGTAGAGACTACCTCCCACTTGATATGAAGTCAAAATCATTTCACATGGATACTAAACCAGATGAAAATTTTCATTTGTATACTGTATTGCAATCTGCACTTTAATAGTGTTTCCACAATATTATTTTAAGAGCATTTTGTTAAATGTCAACCCATGGTTAAATAACCATGGCCAATATAATCTAATAGTATTGCCTGGATCTAACAATCTACAAACAAATTTAATTACACAAGCATTTACTTAATATTGTTATATAACCATGTGAATAAAAAAAGTATAAGAAATATACTGTGACCTGGAAGATATTAAAATCTAGTGGATGACCACATAATGACTAACTCTAACGGAAAGAAATGTTTACTGTATAATGCCTTGTCCTTATGAACATATGTTCTAAAAGTTAGTGAGTCTAAAATGGGAAATTATTTAATCAGAGTGAGACAAAGTGAATATAAAGATTGTTAAAGAGGTGAACATAAAACTAAACTCAGAAAGTACTCTTTGATAACGCAGATAATCTAGAACATTAGAAATACTTTTAGCCTAGGGTCAAAAGTCAGGGGAACTAGATGCCAAATTTAAGAGGAATATGTGCTATGTCTATGTGCAAATGCATATATATACAAACATATTTATGCACACATATATACAATCATGCATGCACATTTATGTTTTGGTTTATAATATATGCATCTTTTGCAGGATTCCCACACAATTTCTTCCTTTTTTTTATTTTTTATTTTGGAGACGGGGTCACAATATGTTGCCCAGGCTTGTCACAATCCTCTCACTTCACCTTTCCTAGTAGCTGGTACTACAGGTGTGTGCTGTGTCTGGCCCAAATTGTATGATGGCATTTTTCTGAGAACATGATGATTGATTGCAGTACTACTACATTCAATGTAAATGAAATGTTAACTAAAAGAAAAAAGCATAATTTTGGAAATAGCTTGTAAAATATTTGATAAAGAATACTGCACATTTGTTTTATGTTTGAGTTCAATTAACAAAAATATAATCATTGTATTTTCAAAAGATATTTGCGAAGAAATAAAGGTTGTCAGTGGTTGCCAGAGCAGTGGTATATCATTCCAATCAAAATACCTGTCTTTCTTCATCCTTGGGCAGACTGTGCAGGGAATAGCAGGAATGCCTCTTTATATCCTTGGAATAACCTTTATTGATGAGAATGTTGCTACACACTCAGCTGGTATCTATTTAGGCAAGTTTTACCCCCTCTATTACGATTGACCCATTTTGAGTTTTCTTTGAATTTTGGTATGCATATCTAAGCTGATATAGAAGTACTATTGGCCCTTATGATAACATTGTAATAAATGATAATTGGTATGCTAAACCTCCAAATCACATTGATTCACCTAATTCTAAGTAGCTGTTTGAGATTTGAGATTCTAGACAAGTCACCTGAATGTCACTGAAAATATATAGAGCAATTGAAAAAATACGTACTTTCGGCCAGGCATGGTGGCTCATGCCTGTAATCCTAGAACTTTGAGAGGCTGAGGTGGGCAGATCACTTGAGGTCAGGAGTTCAAAACCAGCCTGGCCAACATAGTGAAACCCTGTCTTTACTAAAAATACAAAAAAATTAGCTGGGCATGGTGGCGAGCACCTGTAATCTCAGCTACTCTGGAGGCTGAGGCAGGAGACTTGCTTAAACCCAGGAGGCAGAGATTGCAGCGAGCCAAGATCGTACCATTGCTGCCTGGGTGACAGAGCAAGACTCCGTCTCAAACAAACAAACAAAAAATACTTTCTTAAGTAATAAAAATTATACTCTTTATGTATATGTATGTACATTTATAAATATGTATATTCATATATGTGTATATATACTTAATTAATAATAGCATACTATCCCTATTTACAATGTCTATGCCACTGTATCCTACAATAAGTAATCCTGGCTATATCTCAGAATAACCTGTACTGTCTTATATTGCAATAGATTCTGGTACTGGTAGATCATCTATTTGTACAGGGTTATCTAACTATCACTTTTGAAAATAAATTTAAAGTTGTTTTTATATACTTATTGCGAAGGTGTATTGACACATCCTGGTAGCTAAGGTGAAGGGTGCAGAAGTAATGATAACTTTAAAGTATCATCTTGCTAGAGCACCCCAAATTAAATAAAATAAGATATTTTTAATTTCTAGTTATATTAAATATATTTCATGTATTTTACATTAAATATATAGATTAAATAAAGTATAATGAATTATATACTGAGTTTCTCTAATACATGAATTGGATAGTATGTATGATGGTTAGTTTTATGTGTTTGCTTGGCTGGGTTATGACACCTAGTTGTAAAGACAAACACTACTCCAGATGTTTTGGTGACTGTCATTTTTAGATGCGATGAACATTTACAATCAGCAGATTTTGAGCAAAACTGATTTCATAATGTGGATGAGCCTCATTCAATCAGTTGAAGGTTCTATGAGCAAAAACTGAGGTTTTCTGAAGAAGCAATTCTACCTAAAGATTGTAACATCAACTCTTACTTGAATTTCCAGCCTGCTGGCCTGCCCTACAAATTTGGGACTTGCTAGGCCTCATAATTGTATTTTGTATGAGCCAATTCCTTAAAATGAATCTGTCTGTTCTCTATGTCTTTGTTTTTTGAAGGTCATTTTTATTTTTGTGTTTAAAATTTTTTTTAATTTCAGTAGTGTTGGGGGGAACAGGTGGTATTTGGTTACATAGATAAGCTCTTTAGTGGTGATTTATGAGATTTTGGTGCACCCATCACCCAAGCAGTGTACGCTATACCCAATGTGCAGTCTTTTATCCCTCACCCACCTCTCACCATTACCCCCTGGTCCCCAAAGTCCATTATATCATTCTTATGCTTTTGCATCCTCATAGCTTGGTTCCCACTTCTGAGAACATAATGATACTTGGTTTTCCATTACTGTTTTTCTCTGTCTTTTATTGATTTTGTTTCTCTGGAGAGCTCTGACTAATACAGAATGCTATGAAAAGCTTTCAGAAGTAATCAATTTCAGTCAATTTTTATCATAACGAAGCTGGCTTATGAAATTGTTTGATGTTCAGTTTCAGTGCTTATTTTACAGGTATTGCAGAATGTACATCAATGATTGGATATGCTCTGGGTTATGTGCTAGGAGCACCACTAGTTAAAGTCCCTGAGAATACTACTTCTGCAACAAAGTAAGGCATTATTTTTTCTTTTTTTGTTTACATTGTATAAAATACTTACTAAATAGCTACCATAGCTTACAAGTAAATATATATATTTAATTTGTAATAACCATAGTTTTAGAAAAAATATATGCAAATGTGACATATGCACATATTTGTACATATAAATACATCTGAAATATACATCTTAAACATTTTTAAGTGCATAGTACAGCACTGTTAACTATGTGTACATTGTTTTTCAATATATATCTAGAATTTTTGCATCTTGCAAAAATGCAATCATTGTTCTACTTTTGTTTTCTGAGAGTCTGACTATTTTAGACACCTTATAAAACTGGAATCATGCAGTATTTTTCTTTTTGTGATTGGCTTATTTCACTTTAAATAATATTTTGAAGTTTCATGCATGTTGTAGCATATAACAGGATATCCTTCTTCATTTAAGGCTGAATAATACTCCACTGTATTATTGTACATACCACACTGGCTTTATTCATTCATTTTTCAATGGACATTAAAGTTGCTTCCAGCTCTTTACTATTGTGAATAATGCTGCAATTAATACAGGTGTACAAATATCCCACAGAGATCCTGTTGTCAATTCTTTTGTATATATACTCAGAAATTGGATTGCTAGATCATATGGTAAGTCTATTTTTCCAGTTTTATTTTTTCGAAAAACTTTTATACTGTTTTTTATAACGACTGCACCATTTTACATTCCTGCAGTGCACAGGGTTCCAATTTCTCCACATCCTCACCAATACTGTTTTGTTTGTTTTTTCTGTTTGTTTGTTTGTTTGTTTTTCTGATAGTGACCATCCTAATGGATCCAAGGTGATACCTTATTGTGGTTTTTATTTGCATTTCCCTGATTATTAGTAGTGTTGAGTATCTTTTCAATGCTTCTTCACCATTTGTATACCTTCTTTTATCAATCCAAGTCCTTTGGCCATTTTTAAATCAGATTGTTTTTTGTTGCTATTGGGTTGAAGTTCTTCATATATTCTGCATATTAGCCTCTTTTCAATAATGGTTTGCAAATGTTTTCTCCCATTCTGCAGGTTGCCTTTTCACTTCGCCAATTGTTTCCTTTACTGCAAAAAAGTTTTTAAGTTCTATGTAGTGCATTTGTCTGTTTTTGGTTTGCTGCCTGGGCTTTTGGTGTAATATCCAAAAAATAATTGTCAAATCCAATGGCATGAAGCATTCTCCCTATGCTTTCCTCTAGGAACTTTATGGTTTCAAGCCTTGTGTTTAGATGTCTAATCCATTTTGGGTTAATTTTTGTATATGGTGTAAGGTAAGGTTCCAACTTCATTCTTTTGCATGTGGATATCCAGTTTTCCCAACACTGTTTTTTGAAGACAATTCTTTGCACATTGTGTAGCCTTGGCACCCTTGTCAAAGATCATTTCACCGTATATATGAGGGTTTATTTCTGGGTTCTCTATTCTATTTCATTGGTCTGTGTGTCGGTCTTTATACCAGTACCATACTGTTTTGAGGACTGTAGCTTTGCAATATATTTGAAATCAGGAAGTGTTATGCCTCCAACTTTATTTTTCTTTTTGCAGATTGATTTGGCTGTTCAGGGTCTTTTCTGATTCCACATGATTTTTTTTCTATTTTTGTAAAAAACGCCATTGGAATTTTGATAGGGATTGCATTAAATCTGTATTTCACTTTGGGTTGTATAAACATTTTAACAATATTCTAATTCTAAGAATATTAATATTAATTATCATGTTCAATCCATAAACATGGGATCGCTTTACATCTATTTGTGTCTTTAATTTTTTTCAATAATGTTTTATAGTTTGCAATGCGCAAGTCTTTCTCCTCCTTGTACACTGTTCATTGTCAGTGTATGGAAACACAACTGATATTTGTGTGTTGATATTGCATCCTGCAACTTTACTAAATTCATTTAGTAGTTCTAATAGTTACACATATGTTATGTGTATGCAAGTATGTATGATCCTTAGGGTTTTCTATATATAAGATCATGTCATCTGAGAACAGGGATAATTTTACTTCTTCCTCTCCTATTTGGATGCCTTTTATTTCTTTTTCTTCCCCAATTTTTCTGGCTAGGACCTTCCAGTACTATGTCGAACATGGTGAGAACAAACTATGGACTTGTTCCTGATCTTAGAAAACTTGCTGGTTTTCACCATTGAGTATGATGTTAACTGTAGGCTTTTAATACAAGGCCTTTACTATATTGAGGTGTAATTTCCTTGTATTCCTAGTTTTCTCAGTGTTTTTGTCCTAAAAGGGCATTGAATTTTGTCAGATGCTTTTTCTGAATCAATTGACATGATCATGTGGTTTTTCTCTATTATGTTAATGTGGTGTATTACACTGATTTATTTTCATATGCTGAACCATCTTTATATTCCAGAAACAAATCCCACTTGATTATGATGTATATTCCCTTTAATATGTTGTTACATTCAATTTGCTTGTGTTTTGATTAGGATTTTTTTCATCAGTATTCATCAGAGATATTAGTCTGTAGTTTTCTTGTAGTATCTTTTTCTAGGTTCAGTATTAGAGTATGTTGGCCACATAGAAAGAATTTGAAGTATTCCCTCCTCTTCAGTTACTTGGAGGATTTTGAGAAGGATTATTGTTAATTCTTATTGAAATATTTGGTACGGTTCTCCAGTGAAGCTATCTGGCCCTAGGCTTTCCTCTGTTGGGAGGTTTTTGATGGCTGATTCAATCACCTTACTAGTTACAGGTCTGTTCAGATACTTTGTTTCTTCATCATTTAGTGTTGGTAGGTTGAATGTTTCTAGAAATGTATCCATGTCTTCTAAGTTATCTAATTTGTTGGGATATAATTATTCATAGTAGTTTCTTGTGATTCTTCTTACTTCTGTGGCATTTAGTTGTAAAGTCTTCCGCTCATTTCTGATTTTTGTTATTTGAGTCTTATCTCTTTTTTCTTAATTTCTCTGGCCAAGGTTTGTCAATTTTGTTAATCTCTTTTAAAAAACCATCTCTTTGTTTTGTTTATTTTCTCTATGGTTTTTCCAGGCTCTATTTCATTTACAGTATTTCTGCTGTAATCTCTATTATTTCCTTTCTACAGTTACATAAATATATATTTTAAAGCTGTATTTTAATTATATATTGGGAACTAGTACCATCAATTACCTCCTCCTCAACTTTTCTTGTTCTCTTGTTGAGATGATGGAGTTAATTAAGGAGCTATACCTACCACTTTAAGAAAATAGAGAAGTGTACCTTCCATTTCTGAAATTCTGAGTTCATATGAAGGAAGAACTAGTAGAAACTGAGATAACGAAGAATAGTTCCATGGTTGTTTATTGCTACAGGTACTACCTGGAAACTATCCTGCTAGTTCCCCTGGCAACTCACTTGGGTTCTTACCCAGCTAGTATAACGTTTTGGTAACTACCAGACAAATATCATAAAAGGAAACAGATAAGTTTTCAGGGAATAAGCTGTGTGCTGAATATATTTTGTTTGCCTCTCTAAATTTACTCTTCATCTTTCTAAAATCTTCTCCACCCTCCTCTGCTCAGGGAGGCTGACCTGTATTGACAGCCTCAATGTATTCCCCTGTACTCTATCTAGATTTCACTTGGGTTTTGCCACTGAGAGTCATTGGCAGATGAGAAGGCAGGGGAAGCTTAAGATTACGGCATTTATTCTTTCGGTTCTTCCTGAAGGCTTGTACCCAGATTGGTTGTATTTCTCTTCTGAAGGCCATGGCTATCAGCAGGATACCCTCAACATTTATTAAGCACTATTCCAATGACATTCAGGGCTGTGATAAGAGCTTGCTACTATAGCTAGCCCCAGAATGTTATACTGTGCCTTGTTATTTTTCCTGAAGTCTGCCCACATTACTAAAAATAGTTCCCTTATCACTCTTCAAATGATCTAGTGTGAGTTAACTGTACATTTTCTACCAGGATTCTGAGTGATATTAGAAGTAGTATCAGAAGTAGCAATAGGGTTCCAGAACTATGTTGAATGTTTGTGTACACAGATATTCTTGCTAGGGATAAATTGGACACAGTTATTAAAATTATCACAGGTTGTGGATTGGGATTAAGGCTTTAGGAAATTAAGCGGGTGTAGCATTTAATTCAAATGACAAAAGTAATTTTAAAGAATTCTGGGCTGTATGGGTTCTTTTAACAACGCTAGAGAATATTTCCAGAGAAAAGGAAACATTTAAGCGTGTGAATGTTCAGAAAGGAATGGTCACTACATTATGGCTTCACTAAACAGTGGCCCTAAGATACAGGAAACCCGTCTAGCAGTTAGAATTTCAGGCTGTCCTGTATTAAGGTTGTTCACTTAATATAGGAGAGATGGCCTGAGGTATAAATCTCTATTGATTTATGTTCAGCTTGTTTGGGTAGTTAGAGACTTAGAGCAAGACTGGAAAATAGGTGGTAAGGAGAACATGTGATTGAACCTCTCTGAAGGGGTGCATGAAGAAGGTATTTACTTTGGAAGGTTCTCAAGTCAGTCGAACAGTATGACCAATCCTGTTAATGTCAGTGAGCCTCTGTCTCTTTTTTTAAAAACCAACCTAGGTCTTCATTAATGGGCCCATGTGAAAAATGACCGTGGAGAAATCATTACAACAACTCACGAAAGAAAAACCATGCCCCAAGAAAGGAGAAAACAAAGCTAACTCCACCGCCTATAACATCTTGGCTAATCAGAGGTCCTGAGTCTGTCCACATGACACCTTTATTGCAAGCACAAAAAACAATCGAGAAAACCAGTGCACTAAACAAAACTACAACCAAGGACCTTCACAGAATCCACTGCATTCCCCTGCTACCTCCACCAGAACAGGTGCTGGATTCCATGGCTGAGAGGCCTTAAGACAAGTCATATTATAGGACTCTTTAGAGATGCTCCCCAGTACCAGCCTGAAGCCTGGTAGTTCCACTGGGTAGCTAGGCCCAGAAGAGAAATAATAATCTCTACAGTCCAGCTTTCAGGAAGCCCCATCCCTAGGGGAAGCAGGAGAGCACCACATCAAGGGAACACCCCATGAGACAAAAAACCCTTCAAAAAATCAATGAATCCAGGAGCTGGTTTTTTGAAAAGATCAACAAAATAGACCGCTAGCAAGACTAATAAAGAAGAAAAGAGAGAAGAATCAAGTAGACACAATAAAAAATGATAAAAGGGATATCACCACTGATCCCACAGAAATACAAACTACCATCAGAGAATACTATAAACATCTCTATGCAAATAAACTAGAAAATCTAGAAGAAATGGATAAATTCCTGGAGACATACACCCTCCCAAGACTAAACCAGGAAGAAGTTGAATCTCTGAATAGACCAATAACAGGTTCTGAAATCGAGGCAATAATTAATAGCCTACCAACCAAAAAAAGTCCAGGACCAGACAGATTCACAACTGAATTCTACCAGAGGTACAAAGAAGAGCTGGTACCATTCCTTCTGAAACTATTCCAATCACTAGAAAAAGAGGGAATCCTCTCTAACTCATTTTATGAGGCCAGCATCATCCTGAAACCAAAGCCTGGCAGAGACACACACACAAAAAAGAGAATTTTAGGCCAATATCCCTGATGAACATCGATGCGAAAATCCTCAATAAAATACTGGCAAACTGAATCCAGCAGCACATCAAAAAGTTCCACCATGATCAAGTGGGCTTCATCCCTGGGATGCAAGGCTGGTTCAACATACGCAAATCAATAAACATAATCCACTCACATAAACAGAACCAACGACAAAAGCCACATGATTATCGCAGTAGATGTGGAAAAGGCCTTCAACAAAATTCAGCAGCCTTTCATGCTAAAAACTCTCAATAAACTAGGTATTGATGGAATGTATCTCAAAATAATAAGAACTATTTATGACAAACCCACAGCCAATATCATACTGAATGGGCAAAAACTGGAAGCATTCCCTTTGAAAACCGGCACAAGACAAGGATGCCCTCTCTCACCACTCCTATTCAACATAGTATTGGAAGTTCTGGCCAGGGCAATCAGGCAAGAGAAAGAAATAAAGGGTATTTAATTACAAAAAGAGGAATTCAAATTGTCCCTGTTTGCAGATGACATGATTGTATGTTCAGAAAACCCCGTCGTCTCAGCCCAAAATCTCCTTAAGCTGATAAGCAACTTCAGCAAAGTCTCAGGATACAAAATCAATGTGCAAAAATCACAAGCATTCCTATACACCAATAACACACAGAGAGCAAAATCATGAGTGAACTCCAATTCACAATTACTACAAAGAGAATAAAATAACTAGGAATCCAACTTACAAGGGATGTGAAGGACCTCTTCAAGGAGAACTGCAAACCACTGCTCAACGAAATAAAAAAGGACACAAACAAATGGAAGAATATTCCATGCTCATGGATAGGAAGAATCAGTATCGTGAAAATAGCCATACTGCCCAAGGTAATTTATAGGTTCAATGCCATCCCCATCAAGCTGCCAATGACTTGCTTCACAGAATTGGAAAAAACTACTTTAAACTTCATGTGAAACCAAAAAAAAAAGCCTGCATAGCCAAGACAATCCTAAGCAAAAAGAACAAAGCTGGAGGCATCACGCTACCTGACTTCAAACTATACTACAAGGCTACAGTAAGCAAAACAGCATGGTACTGGTACCAAAGCAGACATATAGACCAATGGAACAGAACAGAGGCCTCAGAAATAACACTACACATCTACAACCATCTGATCTTTGACAAACCTGACAAAAACAAGCAACGGGGAAAGGATTCCCTATTTAATAAATGGTGCTGGGAAAACTGGTTAGCAATATGTAGAAAGCTGAAACTGGATCCTTTCCTTACACCGTATACAAAAATTAACTCAAGATGGATTAAAGACTTAAATGTAAGACCTAAAACCATAAAAACCCTAGAAGAAAACGAAGTATCTGCTGTCTTCAAGAGACTCACGTAATACATAAGGACTCACACAAACTTAAAGTAAAAGGGTAGAAGAAGATATTCCATGCAAATGGTAACTAAAAGTGAGCAGGAGTAGCTATTCTTATATCAGACAAAACAGACTTTAAAGTAACAACAGTTAAAAAAGACAAAGAGGGATATTATAAAATGATAAAAAGTCTAGTTCAACAGGAAAATGTCACAATCCTAAATATATATGTACTTAATGCTGGAGCTCCTAAATTTTTAAAATAATTACTACTCTATGTAAGAAATGAGATAGATGACAACACAATAATAGTGGGGACTTCAGTACTCCACTGACAGCACTAGATAGGTCATCAAGACAGAAAGTCAACAAAGAAACAATGGACTTAAAATATACCCTAGAACAAATGGACTTAACAGATATTTACAGAACATTCTACCCCAAAACTGCAGGATATATTCTTTTCCTCAGCACATGGAACATTCTCCAAGATAGACTGTATGATAGGCCACAAAATATGTCTCGATAAATTTAAGACAATGGAAAGCATATCAAGTATCCTCTCAGACCACAGTGGAATAAAATTGGAAATCTACTCCAAAAGGAAACCTCAAAACCATGCAAATACATGGAAATTAAACAACCTGCTCCTGAATTATTATTGGATCAATAATGAAATCAGTATGGAAATTAAGCATTTCTTTGAACTGAACGATGATAGTGACACAAACCTATCAAAACCCCTAGGATACAGCAAAAGCAATGCTAAAAGGACAGTTTATAGCATTAAATGCCTACATCAAGAAGTCTGAAAGAGCATGATTAGACCATCTAAGGTCACACCTCAAGGAACTGGAGAAACAAGAATGAACCAAACACAAAACCAGCAGAAGGAAAGAAATAACAAAGATCAGAGCAGAACTAAATGAAATTGAAACCAAAAATACAAAAGATAAATGAAACACAACACTGGTTCTTTGAAAAGATAAACAAAATATATAGACCATTAGTGAGATTAACCAGGAAAGAAAGAAAGGTGATTCAAACAAGCTCAATTAGAAATGAAATGGGAGATATTACAACTGATACCACACAAATGCAAAAGAACATTCAATGCCACTGATACGGTTTGGCTGTGTCCCTACACAAATCTCACCTTCAATTGTAATAACCCCCACATGATAAGGGCAGGGCCAAGTGGAAATAAATGAATCGTGGGGGCAGTTTCCCTCATACTGTACTCGTATGTAGTGAATAAGTCTCATGATATTTGATGGTTTTATAAATGGGAGGTCCCCTGCACAAGATCTCTTGCCTGCCACCAGTTTTGTTATTTTTTTTTTTAAAGAGATTCTCACTCTGTCACCCAGGCTCTAGTGCAGTGGTATAATCACAGCTTACTAAAGCCTCAATTCCTGGACTCAGGTGATCCTCCCACCTCTGGAGTAGCTAGGACTACAGGCATGCATCCTTATACCAGGATAATGTTTTTGTATTTTTGGTAAAGACGAGGTTTACAAAGAAATCAGAACTTCATATACATCATATGTAAAAATCACAATATACAAAAATCAACTCAAGATGGATTAAAGACTTAAATGTAAAACCCAAAGCTACAAAAACTCTAGAAGAAAACCTAGGCTGTACCATTCAGGAATAGGCATGGGCAAAGATTTCATGATGAAGACACCAAAACAATTGCAACAAAAACAAAAATTGACGATTGAGATCTGATTAAACTAAAGAGCTTCTGCACAGCCAAAGAAACTATCAACAGAGTAAACAGACAACCTACAGAATGGGAGAAAATTTTAACAAACATGCATCTGACTAAGGTCTAATATCCAGCATCTATAAGGAATATAAATTTACAAGAATAAAAACAAACAACTCCATTAAAAAGTAGGCAAAGGACATGAACAGACACTTCTCAAAAGAAGACATACATGTGGTCCACAATCATATGAAAAAAGTCTCAACATCACTAATCATTAGAGAAATGCAAATCAAAACCGCAATGAGGTACTATTTCACATAAGTCACAATGGCTATTAAGAAGTCAAAAAATTACAGAAGCTGGTGAGGCTGTGGAGAAAAGGAACTCTTTTACACTCTTGGTGGGAGTATAAATTAGTTCAACCATTGTGGAAGACAGTGCGGTAATTCCTCAAAGACCTAGAGACTGAAATACCATTCAGCCTAGCAATCCTATTACTGGGTATATACCAAAGATAAACATCATCCAGTTATAAAGACACATGCACACATATGATCATTGCAGCATTATTCACAATAGCAAAGACATGGAATTGATCTAAATGCCCATCAATGATAGACTGGACAAAGAAAATGTGGTAAATATACACCAGGGAATACTATGCAGCCATAAAAAGGAACAAGATCATGTCCTTTGGAGGGATATGAATGGAGCCGGAGGCCATTATCCTTAGTAAACTAATGCAGGAATAGAAAACCAAATACCGTATATTTTCTCTTATAAATGGGAGCTAAATGATGAGAACACATAGATACATAGATAGGAAAAATAGCTGTGGCCTACTGGAGGGCAGAGGGTGGGGGGAGGAAAAGGATCAGAAAAAGCATCTAATTAATACTAGGCTTAATACCTGGTTGATGAAATAATCTGTAAAACAAACCCCTGACACACATTTACTTATTTAACAAACCTCCACATCCTGCGCTTATACCCATGAACTTAAAATAAAAGTTAAAAAGGAAAAAGAGAAGCCCAATACTAAATAATGTGAATATTCTGAGTTTCTGGTGGGGGAGGAATGGGTTTCTGCTGTATAGTAGAGACAGGCACAACTTTGTTTGAAATCCAGGGGATTTACTTGATTCTTAGTATTCACATTGTCCAGTAGTTCTCTTTAATGAATAACTGCCTCAACTCATTAAAGAAAATACCACTAAGGCTCAGATCTTATAGGAATGATAGTTTGGGTCACCTCACCAGGTGAAGTATTCTTTCCAACCAAGGTGCTAACTGAGGGTAAGGTATTCATATGATAGATGGTGAATGAAGGAAGATGTGATGGTAAACTCAGACCTTGTCACTACTAATGATGCAGGGACAGTAGCAACTAGGTTTTGTGTTAGTTTTCTTCTAATTTTTATTCTTCTAGGTTATATGATGATCCCTGGTAATGGTAACTGTTTTAGACATAATGCGTTTCTCTCAAGGTACTTGAGACAAAGAATTTGAGATAAATACATGAATGCACACTATTAATTTGAGAAATGATACTAGGAAGCATGATAGGGTAGTGGGGAAATAAGCATGGGAAGTTAAAGAAGACAATAAAGTGTTCATTATATTGAGCAATTTACTGCTTGGGGCAACTAGGACTCAATCCCACTGGAGAACTCTGGCGGACAGTGTAAGATATGAGTTATCCCAGATATATATATATATATATCCACTAACTCCTAGAAATTGTTGGTCAAGCGATGCTCCTGGGGTTATTATTAAGCCCTAGGTATTTCTGACCTGCTCTCTGAGAACTGGGCCAAGCATAAAGTTCCTGCTATTCAAAGTTAATCATTTGTTATATATGGGAGTGATGAATGTCTAGCTGACATAATACAAATGGGACACTAACAACATCTTCTACAACAGTGTTTTAGTTTTCAGTTGCAAATATATTTGAATTATTATAACCCAATAATTGTATAATAGCTAACAGGATTTGGTGTAGTTATCTCAAGAATTTTCTCACCCAAGATTTTTTTTTTCCAGCAAAGGGCACTAGCAGATTCTGAGGTACAAAAGTGATGGATTGTGTTGGATATCATCAGTTTGCTACTATAGTTCCACTCCCTACTTTTCTCCACTCTGCTCTGTACCTAAAGCGGTTGACCTATTATAGACAACATCAATGGTCTCCTTTACCATCTAGCTTAGTTTTAGGCTTGGCTTGTGAAGAGCACTGGCAAGAGATCTGAGAGCATCAGGAAACTTAAATCTGGATATTTATTCTTTCCTTTCCTTTCCTGATGAATCTCAATGGCTTGGTGGTGTCTCTTTAATAAAGGCTACATTTGTCTTATGACCCTCTGATACAACCACCTGTAGAGTTCACTTAACTTCTGTCTCCTCTTGCCTCTTCAGGCACCTTTTCAGGTGGTAATGGCTCTCTTCTGTTGCAAGACCCAGGATACCATCTCTTCCCATACAGATTTCTTTAAACTTTCCTTATGTCACTTAAACAGTCCCTTTTATTAAATTACTCAAAGAGAATGTATTATTAGGACTCAGTATGTATATTAACCTTCTGTATTTTTTTGAATTTGCTTCTTATTTCCTGTCTTATTTTTATATTGGTTCATTATTTCTTATAGATTTATAAAAATTCTTCACTTATTATGGATATTAATTGTTTGCTAGACCTATGACAAATAATTTCTCCCAATCTGTCCTTAAACTTTGTATATGGTATATTATAGAAACTTTAAAAGTTTTTTATCATCAAATATGTCAATATTTTTCTTTCCGTAAACTTTGAATGTTCTTTCTTGCGTAAGAAGTTCTGTTTTTTTATTTCGATAGTTTTTGGGGAACAGGTGTTTTTTTTTGTTACCTGAATAAGTTCTTTAGTGGTTATTTCTGAGATTTTGGTGCACCCACCACCTGAGAAGTGTACACTGTACGCAATGTGTAGTCTTTTATCCCTCACCCCCCATCCTACCCTTCCCTGCAAGTCCCCAAAGTCCATTACATTTCTTCTTATGCCTTTACATGCTCATAGCTTAGCTCCCACTAATGAGTGAGAACATGCGCAGTTCCATCCAGGTTGCTGCAAATGCCATTATTTTGTTCCTGTTTTTTTTTTTTTTTCTTCTTTTTTGAGACGGAGTTTCACTCTTGTCGCCCAGGCTGGAGTGCAATGGCGCAATCTCGACTCACTGCAACCTCCACCTCCTGGGTTTAAGCAATTCTCCTGCCTCAGCCTCCCCAGTAGCTGGGATTACAGGCATGCGCCATCACGCCCGGCTAATTTTGTGTTTTCAGTAGAGATGGGGTTTCTCCACTTTGGTCAGGCTGGTCTTGAACTCCCGAGCTCAGGTGATCCCCCCGCCTCGGCCTCCCAAAGTGCTGGGATTACAGGCATGAGCCACCGTGCCCGGCCTATTTTGTTCCTTTTTATGGTGGAGTAGTATTCCATGGTGTATATATACCACATTTTCTTTATCCACTCATTTGTTGATGGGCATTTAGTCTGGTTCCATATTTTTGCAATTGCAAGTTGTGCTGCTATAAACATGTATGTGCAAGTGTCTTTTTCATATGACGTATTTTGTTCTGGGTAGATACCCAGTAGTGAGATTGTTTGATCAAATGGTAGTTCTACTTTTAGTTCTTTAAGAAATCTCCATACTGTTTTCCATAGTGATCGTACTAGTTTACATTTCCACCAGCAGTGTAAAAGTATTCCCTTCTCACCACATCCACATCCACACCAACATCTAATTTTTATTTTTTAATTATGGCCATTCTTGCAGGAGTAAGGTAGTATCTCATTGTGGTTTTAACTTGCATTCCCTTGATAATCAGTGATATTGAGCATTTTTTCATATGTTTATTGGGCATTGTATATCTTCTTTTGAGAGTTGTCTATTGATGTTCTTTGCCCACTTTTTGATGGGATTGTTTTTTTCTTACTGATTTGTTTGAATTCCTAGTTGATTCTGGATATTAGTCCTGTGTCATATGCATAGTTTGCAAATATTTTCTCCCACACTGTGGGTTGTCTGTTTTCTCTGCTGATTATTTCTTTTGCTGTGCAGAAGCTTTTCTGTTTAATTAGGTCTCATCTTTATTTTTGCTTTAGGATTTGCTTTGGGATTCTTGTTCATTAACTCTTTGCCTAAGCCAACATCTAGAAGAGTTTCTATGATGTTATTTTCTAGAAGTTTTATGATGTCAGGTCTTAAATTTAAGTCTTTGATCCATCTTGAGTTGATTTTTGTATAAGGTAAGACAATAAGGTAAGACTTGAGTTGATTTTTGTATAAATGGACAATGAGGATCCAGTTTCTTTCTTCTACATGTTGCTTGCCAGTTATCCAAGCACCATTTGTTGAATAGGACGTCCTTTCCCCGATTAAAATTTTTGTTTGCTTTGTCAAAGTTCAGTTGGTTGCAAGTATTTGGCTTTATTTATGGGTTATCTATTCTGTCCCATTGGTCTGTGTGCCTATTTTTATACCAGTAGCATGCTGCTTTGCTGACTATAGCCTTGTAGTACATTTTGAAGTCAGGTAGTGTGATGCCTCTAGATTTGTTATTTTTACTTAGTCTTGCTTTGGCTATGCAGACTCTTTTTCAGTTCCATGTGAATTTTAGGATTGTTTTTTCTAGTTCTGTGAAGAATGATCTTGGTACTTTGATGGAAATTGCATTGAATCAATAGATTGCTTTTGGCAGTATGGTCATTTTCACAATATTGATTCTATCCATCCATGAGCATGGAATGTGCTTCCATTCATTTGTGTCACCTATGATTTATTTCAGCAGTGCTTTGTAGTTTTCCTGGTAGAGGTCTTTCACCTCCTTGGTTAGGTATGTTCCTAAGTATTTTTACTTTATTTTATTTTATTGCAGCTGTTGTAAAAGAGATTGAGTTCTTGATTTGTTTATCAGGTTGGATATTGTCGGTGTATAGCAGTGCTACTGATTTGTGTACATTGATACATTATCCTGAAACTTTACTGAATTCATTCATCAGTTCTTGGAGATTTTTGGATGGGTCTTTATGGTTTTCTAGCTATATAATCATATCATTGGTGAACAGTAACAGTTTGACTTCCTCTTTACTGATTTGGATGCCCTTTATTTCTTTCTCTTGTTTAATTGCTCTGGCTAGGACAAGAAGTTCTTATGCTCTATAAACTTGTTAAAATATTTGACTATATTTTCTCCAGTACTTTTGTAAATGTGTTTGTATGTTTATATTTAACATTCAATTTCAGTTTATTTTTGCATATAAGAGGCATGGGCCAAGCTTCTCTTTTTCCTTCAACAGGATATCTAATTGCACTGATGACATTTATGTATCATGATGGTATTTAATATCAATAAAAAACACATATTCATCATAAACTAAAGTTACCTGTATCCATAGATTTCCTTCTTGTCTCATTTAATCTATTCCCTGACAAACATTTCTATTCCCATGCCAATATTACAATATTTTAGTTACTAAAGCTTTATTGTATAGTTTTCTATTTGGTAAGAGAAGTACCCATTTATTATTGTTTTTCATCCAACATTGGGGCTATGTTTGCAAAATGACTCTTCAATCTAAATTTTATACTCTCAGGTTTTAATCAAAGCATTTTGATTTGAATTACTTGAATTTGTGGGCCACATTAGGACTGTTATCTTTTTATACATATGGTATGTTACACTATTTTCTCTGTTTTTCTTTTATACCCTTCAATAAAGATTTATAATTTCCTTTATTGAACATATTCCATTAAGCCTATTCCTAGGCATTTCATACATTTGTTAGTATTGTGAATGGAAGCTCTATATTTTATATATAACCATTATATTGTTTTTCCCAATTGATAGTTTTTTTAGTTGATTTCCCTACCTCTTCCGGGTACACAATTATACACACATATGTAATAATCACATGTAATATAATGTATATAGTTAGAATACATAGCTGGGTTCAAAAGTGAAAAAAACTCCTGACTATTATAATCAATGAGGAAACATGCAGCCCTAGTGACAATCTGGAATTGAAACTCCCTGAGTGTAGCATATGCAGATATATATATATATATATATATATATATATATATATATATATATATATATATATATGAGATAAGTGGGTAATGACAATCAAGACTGCAACCCTAGGAAAATTGGAATTTCTATTCCTTAATAATGCTAGCAGTAGACAAAGAGCTGTCCCATCAGTGAATAAGACAGTGTACATTCTCTACATTCCTATGAGAAACAAGGTCTGTAAGAAGTTGTTCACCAGATCTTGGTTGGCAACAGAAACACCCATGAAAAACCAGCACTTCCAAAACTATGGTTTCTGTGGATGTGAGCATTTTCCCACAATGACTGTTTGGAGGGGGTCTTAAATGTGTGTGAAGTAGAAGACAATGGCGTCTATGTATTAATCAACCTCCCCTAATCTCCTCCTTAAATGATAGAATAGCTTCACAACTATGAAAATTCTCCACAAATCCCTGGCTTCAGCATTAACTGAAGACAAAGTATGCTTAAACTGCAAAATAATTATGAGTAAAATGAGAATAATAACAAATCCCAGCATAGAATCCTCGACTTTCCAATATCACCTTCCCCACTGCAAGGCTTTATGGTGAACAAAGGCAGATGAAGAAAAATTGCAGAGAAGACAGAAGACAGCAAAGGGTCCTAAGGGTGATTTGGAATAATAACTAGAAGGATACATTCACACTAAATCTGAAAGTTCGGAGAAGGGACTAGAAGAAAGGGATTTCAAAATATTTGTAATTGAAAGGATTAAATGCCATAAAAAGCTTCAGTTCTGCAACATAAGGGGCCAAGCTTGTCATAAAGGTCTCAGTGCTTGATTTTTAAGAATGATTTTAAAGGAAAGGTAAGATTTAAAAAGGTAGTGTTCCAAATACATAGCTTCTGGTGGATAAAAAAAAGTTAAATAGGAAGAAACAAGTACTTTTTGCTACCTGAGTGGTGCCAAGAAAAAGAAGGAAAAGGGAAAATATTAGAATCCTGTAAGACAAAACAAGCACATAATTGGGGACTCACAATTATTCCCACTCAACAAAACAAACAATAGTAACAAATTAACAAAAAAAGTTCCATTTCTGTCTCACTCTCCAACCCTCCCTCTCTCACTCTCACTTTCTCCACTCTGTTTGATTATGGTTTTGTTGTAATCAAATACCTAAAGTTGCTTTTTTTTTTCACTTTTCTTTATTAAAGCACTACAGTCAATAATGGTAGTCCAGAATGGCTATGGACTTGGTGGATTAATTTTCTTTTTGCCGCTGTCGTTGCATGGTGTACATTAATACCATTGTCATGCTTTCCAAACAATATGCCAGGTGACTATAAAATGTAATTTATTAAATTGGAGGATAGTAGTTTCTTCCACCATGGTTCTTATTCTCATAGAATGACTGTATTACATTTTTAATAAAATGAGTATGCCTCTCGCTGTAGTGGTTTGTCATAGAGATACAGTGTCAAGTGCTAGTGTTATTTAAGCAAATAAAGCAGCATTACAGCCAAATATTATTTGATTTATGTACCAGAATTTCTTCTTCTTTGTATTTAGTTTTGAGACAGGGCCTTGCTCTGTCACTCAGGCTGAGTGCAGTGGTATGATCACAGATCACTGCAGACTCAAACTTCTGGGCTCAAGTCATCCTCCTGCCTCACCTCCAGAGTAGAATTGGACTACAGGTGCATGCCACCATGTTCAGCAAGTTTTTAAAATTTTTCCTTTTTGTTCTAGAGATGGAGTCTTGCTATGTTGTGCAGGCTAGTCTTAAACTCCTGGCCTCAAACTATCCTTCCACCTTAGCTTCACAACGCGTTGAGATTACAGGTGTAGGCCACCACACCTGGACCAGAATTTCATTAGAATTAGTGCATATTTTTGTTTCTCATTATTTCCTTTTAAAGATGCTTTATATCTAGAGTTCATACAGTGTCTTGAAAACAAGCATATTTAAATCTACTTACCTAGCATTTAATGTATTGACTACCTTAGAATTGTAAGATAAAATAATAACTGTTAAAATTTTCTTAGAAACACTGAAAAATACATGTAAAGTCAAAGAAATCAAATAACTCTCCTGATTATAGTACATTTCATTGGCACAAAATAGTTTTAGTTATATCAAAGATTATTCCCTCATATTTTAGGGCAAATCAAGTGTGGCTAAATTTTAAAATAAATTAAAATTTTATTTATTCAGTCATAGGAGCTACATTTCAAGTATTTAACAGCCATGTGTAGCTAGTGGCTACAGTATTGGACTGGGCAGATATGGAAAGTTTTCATTATCACAGAATGTTCTTCAGGACAACACTGTTTTAGAAGATTGTGTCTTTTAATTAATGAGATTGAGTTTAGCTTGTTCAAAAATAACTCATTTGCCATTTCAGGATTAATTGAATTTATTAGGGTGTGTATGTAGGTTTTATGTATGGGTTTTAGTTATTTGAATATGTCATAAGTTTTTTTACTTGTTTATATATAGGTTCAACAC
The DNA here is from genome assembly GCF_000001405.40 of Homo sapiens. Classification (NCBI taxonomy): domain Eukaryota; kingdom Metazoa; phylum Chordata; class Mammalia; order Primates; family Hominidae; genus Homo; species Homo sapiens. The sequence continues at coordinate 102,458,482 of NC_000005.10, read as the reverse complement.
GGATAAAAGCTAGGAAACGTAAACAGCTTCATTTTTTTGACAGCAGACTTAAAGATCTGAAACTTGGAACTAATATCAAGGATTTATGTGCTGCTCTTTGGGTAAAGTAAAATATTTTACTTGAACAATCCAACTAAGTTGACCTGTTTAATTTTCTAATAATGAACTTATGAAAATACCCATAAAGGGTTCAACCTAAATCTGGGTGAGACTTTTTTTTTCTTTTTTATTATTATACTTTAAGTTTTAGGGTACATGTGCACAACGTGCCGGTTAGTTACATATGTATACATGTGCCATGTTGGTGTGCTGAACCCAGTAACTCATTATTTAACATTAGGTATATCTCCAAATGCTATCCCTCCCCCCTCCACCCACCCCACAACAGGCCCCTGTGTGTGATGTTCCCCTTCCTGTGTCCATGTGTTCTTATTGTTCAATTCCCACCTATGAGTGAGAACGTGCAGTGTTTGGTTTTTTGTTCTTGCAATAGTTTGCTGAGAATGATGGTTTCCAGCTTCATCCATGTCCCTACAAAGGACATGGACTCATCATTTTTATGGCTGCATAGTATTCCATGGTGTATATATGCCACATTTTCTTAATACAGTCTATCATTGTTGGACATTTTGGTTGGTTCCAAGTCTTTGCTATTGTGAATAGTGCCACAGTAAACATACATGTGCATGTGTCTTTATAGCAGCATGATTTATAATCCTTTGGGTACATACCCAGTAATGGGATTGCTGGGTCAAATGGTATTTCTAGTTCTAGATCTCTGAGGAATCGCCACATTGACTTCCGCAATGGTTGAACTAGTTTACAGTCCCACCAGCAGTGTAAAAGTGTTCCTATTTCTCCACATCCTCTCCAGTACCTGTTGTTTCCTGACTTTTTAATGATCGCCATTCTAACTGGTGTGTGATGGTATCTAACTGTGGTTTTGATTTGCATTTCTCTGATGGCCAGTGATGATGAGCATTTTTTCATGTGTCTTTTGGCAGCATAAATATCTTTTTTTGAGAAGTGTCTGTTCATATCCTTTGCCCACTTTTTGATGGGGTTGTTTTTTTTTTCTTGTAAATTTGTTTGAGTTCATTGTAGATTCTGGATACTAGCCCTTTGTCAGATGAGTAGATTGCAAAAATATTCTCCCATTCTGTAGGTTGCCTGTTCACTCCAGTGGTAGTTTCTTTTGCTGTGGAGAAGCTCTTTAGTTTAATTAGATCCCATTTGTCAATTTTGGCTTTTGTTGCCATTGCTTTTCGTGCTTTAGACATGAAGTCCTTGCCCATGCCTATGTTCTGAATGGTATTGCCTAGGTTTTCTTCTAGGGTTTTTATGGTTTCAGGTCTAACATTTAAGTCTTTAATCCATCTTGAATTAATTTTTGTATAAGGTGTAAGGAAGGGATCCAGTTTCAGCTTTCTACACATGGCTAGCCAGTTTTCCCAGCACCATTTATTAAATAGGGAATCCTTTCCCCATTGCTTGTTTTTCTCAGGTTTGTCAAAGATCAGATGGTTGTAGATATGTGGCATTATTTCTGAGGGCTCTGTTCTGTTCCATTGGTCTATATCTCTGTTTTGGTACCAGTACCATGCTGTTTTGGTACTGTAGCCTTGTAGTATATTTTGAAGACAGGTAGCGTGATGCCTCCAGCTTTGTTCTTTTGGCTTAGGATTGTCTTGGCAATGAGGGCTCTTTTTTGGTTCCATATGAACTTTAAAGTAGTTTTTTCCAATTCTGTGAAGAAAGTCATTGGTAGCTTGATGGGAATGGCATTGAATCTATAAATTACCTTGGGCAGTATGGCCATTTTCACGATATTGATTCTTCCTACCCATGAGCATGGAATGTTCTTCCATTTGTTTGTATCCTCTTTTATTTCGTTGAGCAGTGGTTTGTAGTTCTCCTTGAAGAGGTTCTTCACAACCCTCGTAAGTTGGATTCCTAGGTATTTTATTCTCTCTGAAGCAATTGTGAATGGGAGTTCATTCATGGTTTGGCTGTTTGTCTGTTACTGGTGTATAAGAATGCTTGTGATTTTTGCACATTGATTTTGTATCCTGAGACTTTGCTGAAGTTGCTTATCAGCTTAAGGAGATTTTGGGCTGAGACAATGGGGTTTTCTAGATATACAATCATGTCATCTGCAAACAGGGACAATTTGACTTCCTCTTTTCCTGATTGAATACCCTTTATTTCATTCTCCTACCTGATTGCCCTGGCCAGAACTTCCAACACTATGTTGAATAGGAGTGGTGAGAGAGGGCATCCCTGTCTTGTGCCAGTTTTCAAAGGGACTGCTTCCAGTTTTTGCCCATTCAGTATGATATTGGCTGTGGTTTTGTTATAGATAGGTCTTATTATTTTGAGGTATATCCCATCAATACCTAATTTATTGACAGTTTTTAGCATGAAGGGTTATTGAATTTTGTCAAAGGCCTTTTCTGCATATATTGAGATAATCATATGGTTTTTGTCGTTGGTTCTCTTTATATGCTGGATTATGTTTATTGATTTGCATATGTTGTACCAGCCTTGCATCCCAGGGATGAAGCCCACTTGATCATGGTGGATAAGCTTTTTGATGTGCTAATGGATTCGGTTCACCAGTATTTTATTGAGGATTTTTGTATCAAGACTTTTGAAGTCTTTTAACTAACTTGTTCACTTTACAGATAATAAAAAATAGGGCTGGCTTTGCCAATAACTTGACTAGTGTCAGAGATTGGCACCAGGTATTTTCCTTCTGTTTCTTTTAGTTTTATATTATTTCGTGTTAATTTTTTCTCTGCAGAAGTAAATAAGGCATTTAATGGGATGACATGCATGTATCAATATTATCTTTTTTATTATGTTTAAGTAACTCAGAAGAGAACTCTAGAAGTTGAAAAATAGTCCCACAAGCATCATGTTTTGTGGAAAATATCTCAATATTAAATGAAGAAAATCTTTGTTTTTCTAAGTGAAACAAGGTCTACAATATAGACATTGTAGAGTTAAAAAACACCAACTTAAATAATGATTTGACTTTCCATTTGTTTTCTCTTCTGCTATTCATAACTTCATCCTTTCTGTTGTTTGCAAAATTGTATTTCTCATATACAGATTTTATCACGCCATTTCTCAGATTACTTGATAGATGAATTTCATACCCTTTAATAGGACTTTGAAGATCTTTCACAGTAGCATCAACTGAATTTTCCTATCCCATTTTCTTAGAATTTTATCCCTCTGTCCTCCACATTCCAGCCACTTGGTCTTTCCTGGACACATTAGGTAATTTTATAGTCCTGTATTTTGGTAGATGCTAATCTATCTATTTAAAATGTCATTGTCTCTCTTCTCTATTATAAAAAAACTCTTTGTCAAATCTCACCTTATATTCCCAGGCAAAATGAGTTTCTCCCTCCTTAATGTTTTCATAGATCTTTGTTATAACATAATTTATATATATATATATATATATTTATATATATTTTGTTATACTGGTTTAATCCTAAAACAAATGTGTATGTTGTATAAAATCAGAAATATGTTTACTTGTTTCTATTCTGTGTTTATCTTTTAATCAAATCATAAACCATCCCTCCTAATTGGTTACATTTAATTCAGATTTGTATTTAGTTTTAATTTTTATCAAAATATTACATGTACATATATTTTAACTATACAGAAGCCAATTAGTTATAATCTCTTTCATATTGCTAAAAATTAAGACACAATTATTAAAAACACTTCAGAAAATTTAAACATGAGTGTTTTAAGGTTTTTTTTGTTTGTTTTAAGTTTACTGCCAGAAAAGAAAAAAAAAAGCAAGCCAATTCCAATTCTTCTTACTTGGAAATGGAGGATTTTATTATTATTGTTAGACAGGATATAAAACCATATAATGCCTGGTAACAATCTTAGACTTCTGACTAACATCTATCTGAGTAGATAACTAGATGATATCTGATTTCTTTTTGAAGTTTATCAGAAGGTGGCACTTTTAGAATTGCAAAGAGAGAAACGTGGAAAATCCTGACCTCCAAAATGTGGTGGTAAAACTGGCAGAATTGTCAACAACTATTTTGAAACTCTGGAAATTAAGCAAAGGCATACAATAAATTGAAAGCATTTATTCAAGAATTATTGAGCATTGGTTAGAAGAGTAGGGTCTGTGGCATTTAAATTTGGGACTGCATCCATTGTCTTTTCTTTCCTCCCTACCCTCCATGTCTTGGTAACAGTGAAGGCTAACAGTCTTCCTGCCACTTGAGGTGGTTGATCTAGTTTTGAGCTCCATGGAAAAGTCCTGGGACATTGTAGTCAGCAATTACAATATTGGTGGCCAGTCTTTGGAAAAGGCCAGCATCGTAGCTACCAGAGGCAGCAATAGTTGTTAGGGGAAACAGTAAACCAGCCAAAAATGTAAAAGATATATCTGGCCAATGATATTAGGCTTTGAAAGCTTTAATATATTCATGGGGATCTGAAAGGGTTCACACACTCAGGAGAGGTCAGAGATGGCCCCAGTTATCTACTGGTTCCTGGCTGAGCACAAGTCCTTACATAAACAGAAAGTGAAAGTCAAAGTAGCTTGTAAACTGCCTGAAACTTGAATATGTGATCCAATCCATGTACAGATCCCCTCAGCAAAAAGTGGAAGCCCTACTGACTCAAGATATTTAAGTAAAACCCCTGCCCAATTATTGGGTGGCCATCAAGGTATGCTGACCCAGGGTGACTCCTGGGAAGCCAGGCTTAAAAATGAGGAAAATAATTAAAAATAGAACATAGGCTTCAGTGGCTGCATACTCCTAGGAAGATAGAATTTATTTAATTAGTCCTGAAAAGTAATAAACAAGAGACAGAAAACAGCAATAACGCAACTCCTGAGGGTGGGGAAGTCAGAATCCAGAAAAGCTACAACGTATTATTTAAAGTGTCCAATTTTCAACAAAACCTCATGAAAAATGCAAAGAAAGAAGAAAATGTGGCCCATATAAAGAAAAAGTCAGTACAAACTGTCTCTGAGGTGGCTCAGGTGTTGGATGTAGTAAACAAAGACTTCATGTAAACTATTATAAGAATGTTCAAAAGAATTTTTAAAATGTTTGCTTTTTTCCTTTCTTTCTTTCTTTTTTTTTTTTTTTTGAGGCAGGGTCTCACTCTGTCACCCAGGCTGAAACACAGCAGCATGATCATGGCTCACTGCAGCCTCAGTCTCCCTCAGCCCCCCTGAGTAGCTGGGACCGTAGGTGCACATCACCATACCCAGCTAATTTTTAAATTTTATGTAGAGAAATCTCACTATGTTGCCCAGGCTGGTCTTGAACTGGGCTTATGTGAGATATCTCTGATTTTAGATTAGGGGAAGAATTGCACAAAAAATTAGGGGGACTACATAACCAAAGTTTCCTTTTATCTTGATAAAAGAGTGGAAAACTGACTGGAAAATAATAAAACTAAAAAAGAGTATTTGGAGGAACTTAACTTGCTAAAGGCCAATTGTCTTTCTCTATTAATTCTATAGTTCTATCCCTCATGGTTCATGCCATTTGGTTTGGATCATTTTCTTGAAATCCAATGGCTGTTTAGAAACTCTTGACACAAGGACAACTAGAAAATCATTCCAACAAAGAAATCATATGTCACCATCATTATAAGACTTATTGATTGGGAGCTGGTTTAAATATACTTCTCCTGAGTGTCTAGGCATAGATTTTAAAAAATAGTCTTTTCTTGTAATGAATTTTTATAAAGTGAGACAAAAAACTAGCTATTTTTCGAATGGATTATCTACTCTTACCATGTTTCTTGCAGGTCATTATGTTTTTTAAAACATTTTTCCAAAAAGGAAAGGAAAGAGTTTATGAAAATGTCAGTAATTTTAATAGTTTTAAAGTAGACAAGATAGATGCAAGTAAAATAAAGTATAAAAGCTGAAACAAATACAAAATATTTAACATTTTTATGCAGTTATAATATCCACGAGGTTAAAAGTTATAAATGTAAAAGTAGTTGGAATTAGACTTTTAGAACAGAAGGTAGAACAGAGGATAAGAAAAAAGCTACCTCTCTATAGCTGTAAGAATAAAATGGATTAGAAATATTTAAAAAAAGAATAAAAACATAAAGTTTGGAGGTTAGGAAAGATCACAGAAAAGCAAAAAGCAAAAAAATAAATCCTGGATGGAATTTGGTAAGGAATAATATTTTATAGAGGAAAAGCTCCCTCTAAATGTGTGGAACAGAGAGCTCAACCCTCTTATCCTTTTTCTTCATCTCACGTGTAAGTTTCCTGCCTTATTACAGGGACTATATATTTGCATAATAGGACTCAGATGAATAAGGAAGTGTCAATGAATATTATGATATTAAACATATTGTGAACTGTAAAAGACAAAATGAATGTGAGCTATTATTGCTATATGACTGTTAATTGCTGACAAAATAAATCAAAGGAAGCTGCTGTCCAAATTATTTAGTCATCTTCCTATTGGTAGTTAAAACAATGAATTTCCTTTGAAAGCAAGTAAATGGCTATCATAGAAAGAAGAATCAATATAAATCCTATTTAAATAACATAATTTTCAAAACTATATTAGAGAGTGCCAAGATGTCTGACTAGAAGCAGCTAGTGTGTGCTGCTGTCATGGAGAGGAGACAGAGTGGCAAGTAAACACTAGCTTATCAACTGGCCTGTCCAGGAGGACACATTGGGATTCATCAAGGAAGCAACATGACCCATGGAGAAGAGGGAAGACTGAGACAGGACAGTTGCCCACCTGGGATTGGTATAGAACCATGGTAGGCTCCCCACGGAGGGGAAACAGCAAGTGAGTGAGAGCTCCCAAGGTCCCACACTTCTGCCACAGATCTTTGCAACCCTGGGCACAGGAGATTCCCCCAACCCACTCCATCCAGGGCCTCCAGAATGACATGAAGAGCTGCATGGAGCCTGTGCAGAGCTGCTGTTCAGGTACATGCCAAATCCCAGGGCAATGGACTCCTGAACACCCCTATGCTAGCAGCTGTGTTTCTGCCAATAAAGGAGGCCAGGTTCTCTCACATGCCCCCAGGATAGGGGCCATATCCACAGTGCTGATAAGCAAGATGGACTGAGGGCCTAGCCTCCACTACACCTTGCCAGACAAAGTTCACTGGCATGGGATGCTAGCACAGCCAACCCACCCCTGCCTGAGCTCTCAGGCTGGTAGCAGCTCTGTATATCCCTGGGATGGGGCTCCCAGAGGTAACGGACAGGCCTGCTATTTATGCCACTCTACTGCCCTCAGGCTCGATAGGGAGCAATGAGCTTAAGGACTATTGCAGGCCTCCTGCACAGTGTAGCTTCCTTATACAAAAGCGACCAGATTGTTTTCCACATGGAATCCTGCCCCTGTGACTCCTCACTGGGCAGGGCCTCTCCACTTGGGCACCCAGCACAGTCACCCTGCCCCAACCTGAACCCTTCAGTTGATGATGGCTCTGCATTTCTCTGGGAAGGAAATTCCAGAGACAACTCACAGCCCCTCTGCCCTTGCTGCTGTAGTGGTACCACGGTTACTATCCTTAGGCTGGCAAAGAGATAAAGGGTCTGAGTGCTGTACTCACACCTCCAGCATGCCATGGCTGCCCTGTGAAGAAAAGACCAGTCTTTCTTGCCTGTGAGCCCCCTGCTCACTACTAGGCAGGGCACCTCGGCTTGGGCCTGCAACACAGGTGCTTCACCCTGGGCTAATCATACCAATTGGTGTGCTTCTCTGGAGTGGAGCCCCAAGAGATTAGTGAAAGGCCCTCTGCCATTGCCACTGCCAAGATCCTTGCCCCTGGTGCCTCCAAGCCAGGGAGGGAAGAAAAGGCATCAGCTTGCCCCAGGGCTATGATGCGCAGCCCGGAAATGCCAAGCTGAGATCTGCAGCCAGTGCTAGTGGGAAAGGAGCCCACACTCTCAGAGCACTGAGAGAGCATGGCTGCAAATACAAGGAAATACAGAGGTGCTGCATGGCTGAGCAAGAGCCCACCTACTGGCCATGATGCTTAAGTGCCATCTACTGGATTGCAGCCCAAACTTCAACACTGAAAATACTTGGCTAATATATCCCGCTGTGAAACCAAGCACAGGAATTCTGTCACAAATAAAGATGCTGCACAAAGCCTTGGCCCTCTGAAAACATCCAGAAATGAAGTCAACTGACTCTAGTCAAATTACACCATGGTTAAAGGAACATAGCCCACACACATGAGTAAGAACCAGCACAAAAAGCCTGGCAACTCTAAAAGCCAGAATGTCTTTTTACTTCCAAACAACCTCACTAGCTCCCCAGCAATGCTTATTCACCAGGATGAAATGGTTGAAATGACAGAATTCAGAATCTGCATGGAAATGAAGATTTTAGATATTCAGAATAATGCTGAAACCCATCCCAAGGAATATAAGGAATCCAGTAAAATGATGAAAGTGATGAAAGCTTAAGTAGCCATTTTAAGAAAGAACCAAATCTAGATGATACAGCTGAAAAACGCACTACAAGAATTTCATGACATAATTGGGAGTATTATCGGTTGAGGAAAGAATCTCAGAGCTTGAAGACCAGTGGTTTGAATTAACTCAGACAAAAATAAAAAAGAATTTTACAAAATGGACAAAACCTCAAAGAAATATGAGATTATGTTAATAGACCAAGTCTATGACTCACTGGCATCCCTGAAAGACAGGGAGAAAGAGCAAGCAACTTGGAAAACATATTGGAGGATATTGTCCACAAAAATTTCCCCAATCTCACTAGAGAGGTCAATACAAAAATCAGGACGGTGGCTCACGCCTGTAATCCCAGCACTTTGGGGGGCCGAGGCGGGCGGATCACGAGGTCAGGAGATCAAGACCATCCTGGGTAACACGGTGAAACCCCATTTCTACTAAAAATACAAAAAATTAGCTGGGTGTGGTGGCGGGTGCCTGTAGTCTCAGCTACTTGGGAGGCTTAGGCAGGAGAATGGCATGAACCTGGGAGGCAGAGCTTGCAGTGAGCCGAGATTGTGCCACTGCACTCCAGCCTGGGCAACAGAGCGAGACTCTGTCTCAAAAAAAAAAAATCAGGAAATTCAAAGTACCCTTGTGAGATATTATACAAGATGACTATCCCCAAGAGACATAGTTATCAGATCTTCCAAGGTCAATGCAAAGTAAAAAACACTAAAGGCAGCTAGAGTGAAGGGAAAGGTCACCTACAAAGTCAACCCCATCAAGCTAACGGTAGACCTGTCAGCAGAAACTCTACAACCAGAAGAGATTGGGGGTCTATATTCTGGAATTTTAAAGAAAAGAAATTAGAACCAAGAATTTCATATCCAACCAAACTAAGCTTCATAATCCAAAGAGAAATAAAATACTTTTTAGACAAGCAAATGCTAAGGGAATTTGTTACCACCGAGCCTGCCTTATAAGAAGTTCCTAAGGGGATGCTAAACATGGAAATGAAACACCATTACTGACCACCACAAAAACACACTCAAGTACTATTGACACTATAAAGCAAATACACAATCAAGTCTACATAACAACCAGCTAACCACACAATGATAGGATCAAATCCACACATATGAATATTAACCTTGAACAGAAATGGGTTATAGCTCCCACTTAAAAGGCACAGACCGTCGAGTCGGATAATAAAGCAAGACCTAACTGTATGCTATCTTCAAGAGACCCATCTCGCATGCAAGGACACCCATAGGCTTAAAGTAAAAGGATGGAGAAATATCTATCAAGCAAGTGGAAAGCAATAAAGAGCAGGGATTGCTATTCTTATTTCAGACGAAACCAACTTTAAACCAACAATAATCAAAAAGGACAAAGGGGGGCATTATATAATGACAAAGGTTCAACTCAACAAGCAGAGCTAACTCCCCTAAATATATACGCAACCAACACTGGAATGCCCAGACTCATAAAACAAGTTCTTAGAGACTTATGAAGAGACTTAGATAACTACACAATAACAGTGGGAGACTTCAACACCCCACTGACAGTATTGGACAGATCACTGAGGCAGAATACTAACAGATATTTGGGACCTAAACTTGACACTTGACCAAATGTACCTAACAGTCATCTATGGAACACTCCATCTAACCAAAACAAAATATACATTCTTCTCATCTGCACATGGCACATCCTCTAAAATTGACCACGCAATCAGCCATAAAGCAATTCTTAACAAATTCAAATAAAATGAAATCATACCAACTGCACTCTCAAACAACAGTGCAATAAAAATAGAAATCGATATCAAGAAGATCTCTCAAAACCATACAATTACATGGAAATTAAATAGTCTGCTCCTGAGTGACTTTTGGGTAAACAATAAAATTAAGGCAGAAATCAAGAAATTCTTTGAAAGTAATGAAAACAAAGATACAACATACCAGAATCTCTGGAACACAGCTAAAGCATTGTTAAGAAGGAAGTTTATAGTGCTAAACACTCACATAAAAAAGTTACAAATGTCTCAAATTAACAATCTAACGTCACACCTAGGGAAACTAAAAACAAGAGCAAACCAACTCCAAAGGTAGCAGAAGAAAAGAAGGAAACAAAATCGGAGCTGAACTGAACAAAACGCAGATGAGAAAAACCATAAAAAGATCAATGAAATGAAACGTTTGTTCTTAGAAAGAATAAATAAGATTGATAGACCACTAGGTAGACAAATAAAGAAGAAAAGGGACAAGATACAAATAAACATAATCAGAAATGACAAAGGGGAAATTACCACTAACCTCACAGTTATACAAAAAACCCTCAGAGACTATTACAAGCACCACTATGCACGCAAACTAGAAAATCTGGAAGAAACGGATAAATTTCTGGAAGCATGCAACCTTCTAAGATTGAACCAGGAAGAAATTGAAACCCTGAACAGACAAGTATTGAGTTCCAAAATTGAATCAATTATAAGAAAAACGACCAACGAACCAGAAAAGACTCTGCATGAGACAGATTCACAGCCAAATTCTACTAGACACATAAAGAAGAGCTGATAACCAATCCTACTGAAACTATTCTAAAAAAATCAAGGGGGAGGTACTCCTCCTTAACATGTTCTATGAGGCCAACGTCATTCTGATACCAAAACCTGGCAGAGACACAAGTGAAATAAGAACGCTTCAGGCCAATATCCCTGATGAACATAAATGCAAACATTCTCAAAAAAATACTAGCAAACTGAATCCAGGTGCATGTCAAAAAACTAAACCACCACAATTGAGTAGGCTTTTATTTCTGGGATGCAAGGTTGGTTCAACATACACAAATCACTAAATGTGATTCACCACATAAACAGAACTAAAAACAAAAGCACATGATCATCTCGATAGATGCAGAAAATCCTTTTGATAAAATTCAATATCCTTTTTGGTTAAAAACTTTGAACAGGGCCGGGCGTGGTGGTTCACACCTGTAATCCCAGCACTCTGGGAGGCTGAGGTGGCAAATCACGAGGTCAGGAGCTTGAGACTGGTCTGGCCAACATGGTGAAACTCTGTCTCTACCAAAATACAAAAAATTAGCAGGGCATAGTGGTGGGTGCCTGTAATCCCAGCCACTTGGGAGGCTGAGGCAGAAGAATCACTTGAACCCAGGAGGCAGAGGTTGCGGTGAGCCGAGATCGCTCCACTGCACTCCAGCCTGGGCGACAGAGTGAGTCTCCATCTCAAAAACAAAAAACAAAAAACGTTTCAACAAACTAGGCATCGAAGGTACATACCTCAAAATAAGAGTCATCTATTACAAACCCATAACCAACATCATACTGAATGGGGAAAAGCTGGAAATATTCCCCTTTGAAAACTGGAACAAGACAAGGATGCCCTCTCTCACCACTCCTGTTCAACATAGTATTGGAAGTCCTGGCCAGAGCAAGAGAAAGAAAGCACATCCAAATAGGAAGAGAGGAAGTCAAACTTATTTTCTTTACAGACAATGTAATACTATACCTAGAAAGCCCCATAGTATCTTCCCAGTGGCTCCCAGATTTCATAAACAACTTCAGCAAAGTTTCAGGGTACAAAATCAATGTACAGAAATCAGTAGCATTTCTCTACACCAATAATGTCCAAGCTGAGAGCCAAATCAAGAATGCAATCCCATTCACGATAGCCACAAAAAGACTAAAATATAGGAATACAACTAACTAGGATGTTCAAAGATCCGTACAAGGAGAACTATAAAACACTGCTGAAAGAAATCAAAGACAACACAAACAAATGGAAAAATATTCCATACTCATGAATAGGAAGAATCAATATAGTTAAAATGGCCATTCTGCCCAAAGCTATTTACAGATTTAATACTATCCTAATGAACTACCAATGACATTTTTCACAGACTTAGTAAAAACCACCATTCTAGAATTCATTTGGAACATCATCAACAACAAAAACCCTCAAGAGCCAAAGCAATCCTAAGCAAAAAGAGCAAAGCTGGAGGATGCCACTACCCAACTTCAAAATGTACTACAAGGCTCCTAAAACAGCATGGTACTGGTACATAAACAGACACAGAGACCAATGGAACAGAATAGAGAACACAGAAATAAAGGTGCACACCTACAGCCATCTGATCTTCAACAAAGCCACCAAAAACAAGCAATAGGCAAATTACTCCCTATTCAATAAATGATGCTGGGATAACTGGCTAGCTATATGTGGAATTGAAACTGGACCCCTACCTTTCACCATATACAAAAATCAACTTAAGATGGATTAAATATTTAAAAGTAAAATCTAAAGTATAAAAACCATAGAAGACAATCTAGGAAATACCATTCTGGATGTTGGCCCAGGCAAAGACACGATGGAGACTCTGAAAACAATCATGACAAAAACAAAAATTGACAAGTGGGACTTAATTAAACTAAAGCGTTCTGCACAGCAAAAGAAACTATCAACAGAGTACACAGACAACCTACAGAATAGGAGAAAATATTTGCAAACTATACGTCTGACAAAGGTCGATAAATAACTCAAACAAATCAGCAAGCAAAACAACCCCAAACAACCCCACTATAAAATGGGCAAAGGACATAAACAGACACTTTTTCAAGAGTGTCTTTTCAAAAGAAAACATACATGTGGCCAAAAAACATATGAAAAATGCTCAGTGTCACTCATTATTAGGGAAATTCAAATCAAAACCACAATAAGATGTTATTGCACACCAGCAAAAATGGCTATTTTAAAAAGTGGAAAAATAACAGATGCTGGTGTGGTTGCAGAGAAAAGGAACTCTTAAACACCGCTGGAGGGAATGTAAATCACTTCAGCCATTGTGGAAAGCAGTGTGGCAATTCCTCAAAGAAGTTAAAACAGAACTACCATTTGACCCAGCAATCCATTACTGGATATAAACCCAAAGGAATATAAATTGTTCTATCATAAAGACACATGCATGCATATGTTCATAACAGTACTATTCACAATAGCAAATACATGGAATCCACCTAGATGCTCATTAGTGGTGAAATGGATAAAGAAAATGTAGTATATATACACCATGGAATACTATGCTGCTATACAAAAATGAAATTTTAGTTTTCACTGGAACATGGAAGTAGCTGGAGGCCATTATTCTGATTATCTGGGTGACAAAATTTTCTGAAACCACACCCCCTTATGACATGCAATTTACCCATGTAACAAACCTAAAATGAAAGTTGAAAACAAAATGAAAGAAAACAAAATTATAGTTCTCACTTGTATTTAGGTCAGAACATTTTGTAGTAGTTTTAGTCTCTGAATCATCTCCTAGGTGTGACTCTAAATAAACTGTTTTTTCTGAAAATAAAAGAGGTGAAATGCCAGCAGAGCTAGCAAAAAAAAATTTAAATTTGCAATTAGCAGCATTTTCTAGAGGAGATATTTTATTCTGATGGACAGATTGATGAGCCATTACTTATTTTCTATGGCTAATTATGGCTATTTAGCATAAAGAATCAAGAACAGATCAAATAAGAAGTTAAATCACAAAGTAAAACAGAGTGATTTATTGGTCTCCTCTTTAACTTATGTTTTCATCCTTTTTGTCTCTAGGGAAAGGTCTTTTACTGGCAGAATCAGTGTCTTCTGCCATGCAAACTTGATTAGGGTAGGGAGTAAATCAATGCTTGAAAGATAAAATTCTAGAAATTAGTTGGGACACTATATGTCCCACCTTCAATAAGCCCTGGTTGAGATTTTACAAACCCTTTCCTCCTTGCAACATTCCTCTGCCTTTATTTCCTCCTCATCATTTGTTTTTGACTTCTATTAGAGGACTATCCTTAGCTTAAAACTACTTTTCTGCAGCCTTTATACCTTATACTTTATATATTTGCAGATCCTACTCTTATTTCAGACTCTTACTAAGTAAGCACATGTAGGAGTACCTAGCCTAACTGGAAAGCAATCCTAGACCAGAATGAACCCCTTCTCGTGTGGAAAAAACCTTGGTTGTAGATAAATTCTGTGATTAACAAGGGCTACCTAATAGCCACAGTACTGCGAGATAGGGATGGTTGAATAGCACTGTCTGCTACTGTATAGCACTATTCTGATTTCTCCCTTTTTATGTCAACATCTGTCAGAATTGAGCCTGAGTTCACTGCATAAAACTCTTTGTATATTTATTTGTATATCTATCTGGCTTTCACCTTTCCCTGTCATATTTATTTTTAAGAAAAGAAATAGACTTTTTAAAATGCAGAAAATCCTGGGTATTTTATTGGAAGGAAATCTATGGCATTCTTAATATTTGCTATTCTCACAGTCCCTTTCAGAATACAGTGCCCAGAAATATTTCCTTGTGCATTGGTTACCATGCTCTGTATAATGTAATCCAAATGTTTTAGCCAAAACTGTTACAGTTTTTGGCATCAGCACTTGAGCTTAATAAAGCAATTTTTAGATTACCCCTAAACCTGGGAAATGTCCTAATTTGAGAACAATGTCCAGTAAGGACACCTTGTTGAAGAGTGACTAACTAATCTAGTCAGTTCCTCTTTTGGGGGAAAGTATGAATAAGAGGAAGAGTGGGAAACTCAAACAACACAACTTTGATATACTGACATAGCAAAAATAAAAGTACAAAGGGCCATTGAGAAAGAGAAGTAAATATGAAGAAAATAGTCACTAGCTAAAATAGACCTAGATGAATACACAATAAGGAGACAGAAGTAAGTTGAATATCTGGGTCTTTGAAGTAATTAAGACTTACTCTGAATGATGTCTCACTTCTTTTTTTCCGTCTTTTTTTGAGATGGAGTCTCGCTCTGTCTCCAGGCTTGGAGTGCAGTGGTGCCATCTCAGCTCATTGCAAGCTCCGCCTTCCAGGTTCACGCCATTCTCCTGCCTCAGCCTCCCGAGTAGCTGGGACAACAGGTGCCTGCCACTACGCCCGGCTAATTTTTTGTGTTTTTAGTAGAGATAGGGTTTCACCATGTTAGCCAGAATGGTCTTGATCTCCTGACCTTGTGATCCACCCGCCTTGACCTCTCAAAGTGTTGGGATTACAGGCGTGAGCCACTGCACCCAGCCTAATTTTTGTATTTTTAGTAGAGACGGGGTTTCACCATGTTGGCCAGGCTGGTCTCGAACTCCTGACCTCATGAGCCGCCCACCTCGGCCTCCCAAAGTGCTGGGAATACAGGCATGAGCCACTGCGCGCAACCCGTTGTCTCATTTCTTTATGAATGCTGAATTGTTTAGCTACTGAGAAAGTGTATTCGTTTTCTTACTTTTATGTTTAACCTTATGATAAATTGCATCAGTGGAATTAACAGCGTCTGTTCCTTTTAATCTGAAAGAGCTTAAACACATTCCAGATTCAGAAATCTGGAATAGGAGCTGCGATCTGTGTTTTATACCATGTAGATAATTCAAGGCACGCTAAAGTTTGCAAACAACAAATCTCGTAATCCCGTGCAATCCTTTAATTTTATAAATTAAGAAATTAATGTTTATTTTTACTGGACACTTGTTATGTGCCAGAAGTTGTATTAAACCATTACATGTATTCAATTATCATAACCACTCAAAAAAATAGACATTATTGTTTCTCGTTTACAGATAGTGAACCAGTAATTTAAAAAGAATGAGTAATTTTTCCAAAACAACATAGGTTATGCACACACATACACACACAAACACACATATCCATTACTTGTGGCTTAATTGAGGCTAAGAGCATAAGAATAAGTGTTGTATTTGACTCTAAATCCAGAAATCTGCCTAGTGTAATATAATACTTCCTAAAAACGAGATATGGAGAAACTGTGATTTGCTTATTGATGCTCCAAAAATCAGTTCCAGGGCCAAGATTAAAAACTAGATTTGTTTCTTATTCTGCCTGTTGCAGCTAGTACAGACCAATATTTTTATATAAAATCATAGGATATAGCTATAACTCTCTTTAGGGTAAATGTGCTTAATATTCAGTTCTCAATAATTATTTTAAAATAAATGAATAAATAACATTTGTGAGCTAGAAGAACGTATGAAAAAAGCTGTAATTCTCTAGTTAATCAATATTTGAATCTACTACATAAAATAAGTAAATAAAAAATAAAGGTAAAATAAAAAAACTATAGAATAAATAAAAAGAATAATCTACATTTAAAATTAGCTAATAAAGTAAAAGTAAAGTAAAAAGTAATCACAAAACTGTAATTCAGAAATTTATTTAACAGAGATGCTAAAAAAACTTCATGAAAAAATTAAAACTTTATGCAACATTATTAAAGATGACTGGGATAAATTGATAGCTAAACCATGTTAATGTTTGAAATGACAATATTCATGTATGTTAGTTTTTTCTTAAATAATCTATGAATCCAATGCAAGTATAATCAATACTATGGCAAAAATTTTATTTTTTTAGAAAATGAGAAACTGATTATACAATTTGTATGGCAGAATAAGGGAATGGATACCTAAAACAAAGAGCACTGGACCTATTTCCCATTAAGACTCACTAGAAAAACCACTGTAGTAAAAACAGTGTAGCATTTCCTTGATATAGATTAATAGATCAATGTAAGAGAACTGAGAATTCAGCAACAGACTAAATGTTACACATAAGAACTTGCTATGTAATAAAAGAGTCACTGAAAAGATAATTGTTCAGTAGATGTGATAGCCAATTGGGCTATTTGTGAAAAATGACCATGGATTTCTACCTCCTATTATGTATAAAAGTGATTTCCAGGTTAATAAAATGTGATTAGATAAAACACAGTTAATGTAAAAATGAAAGAAATACCTCTGTGGTATAGAGGTGGGAAAATGTTAAACAAGATTGCAATAATATTAAATATGAATTCGAACTTTATGGATTAGATATATCAAGTCAAGGATTTCTGTTCTATGAAAGAAACTGTAGACCACAATAATAGATGGGTGACAGATATCTAAATCCAAGTGATTAATGTTTAGAATACACAAGCAATTTTTAGAAAATCTACCCCCAAATTTCAGGAAGCCTAACAGAGATAGAAAGAGCCAGTTCATACACACAAAAAGAATCCCAATAGCTAAGAACTGTGTAAAGAAAGTTTCAATTAGATTTGAAATTAGAGAAATAGGAAACAAAGCATTGTGGTACTACTTTATACTTGTTACCAATGCAACATTTTGAAAGCCAGCTAATAATACCAAGTGTTTGTGATTATGTTATCTACTTCTGCATAATAAACTACCCCATAACTTAGTGGATTAAAACAATATAAAATATATTTTGCTTATGAGAATGCAATTTGGACAGGGCTTGTCCCTCTCAACTATACTTGGGGTCAACTAGAGCAGCAGTCCCCAACATTTTGACACCAGGGACCAGTTTTGTGGAAGAAATTTTTTCTGGGATGGAGGCGCTGGTTTTAGGATGATTCAAGCTCATGGCATTTATTGTGCACTTTATTTCTATTATTATTACACACTCACCATAAAGTAGAATCAGTGGGAGCCCTAAGCTTGTTTTCCTGCCACTAGACCATCCCATCTAGGGGTGATGGGAGATAGTGACAGATAAACAGGTATTAGATTCTCATGGGGATCGCACAACCTAAATCCCTCACATGTGCAGTTCACAATAGGGTTTGTGCTCCTATGATAATTTAATGCCGCTGCTGATCTAACAGGATGCAGAGCGCGCCTGCCACTCACCTCCTGCTGCACGGCTTGTTTCCTAACAGGCAATGGACTGGCCTCTTACTCTTTCTATAGAGGCTGGGGATCCCTGAGCTAGAGTGATCAAAGTCTGGAGAATGGAACCATCTGAAGGCTTGTTTGCTCTATAGTTTTTTGATACTGTCTGTTTGCTAGAATACCCATACATATCCTCTGCATCTCTCTTGGGCTTTTTTACAACATGGTGACTGAGTCCCAAGGCAAAAGTTCTGAGACTGTGAAAGATCCCAGCAAAAGTCATATTTTCATTTTACGACCCAACCTCAGAAGTCATGTAGCATTATTTGTTTCATTGTGACAATTAGAAAGCCTTTCCAAGTTTAATGACCTTTTTATGTGGAAATGACATAGTTCTGGATGGGCATGCTAAACCATAAATATTTCTTTGATAACTTTTAGAAAGTACAAGCTAAATGAAGAAAATGAAACACTACCATCATTGTGGTGGTATAGTCATTTTAGTGTAACCTGATACATTCTGGAGAACAATCTGGAGAAATGGTGGAATAAAGTATGCTAAATCCTTATGCCCTAGGAATTCCTTTCTAGGATATATGCTTCTAGAGACACTCTATCACTGGACCTTAAAGTACATGCACAGGGGTGTTTAATGTAGTGTAGTTTGTGATGGTAGAGAGTTGAAGGCAAGACAAGTATTTAATATTATGGGAATGAATAAATATGGCAGAATCACACTATGTAAAATCAGATAGCACTGAGAATTTGAACTAGTTGAGTTTGCAGACTATGATCATACCTAACAGGGATGTTTAGGGCCAGAAAAAGAAAATTTAAATAAATTAGAAATATGTAAACATAAAATAGCACTAAATATATTTTCAGTGAGATACGCATAACCAAGGAAATACAGAAACTAATTTGAAAGTTAATATTTTACTATCTTTTTAATTACTCTGTGTAGTATATTAGATAATAATAAACCATCACATCTTAGCCTTCTAAATAAGTTCCACAAGTTTACCAAAATGCAAAATTTAAATAACTTAATTATTTGTATAGGTAGATTTCCAGGAGTAAAATATAAAACATTTTCTGCAGTCCTACTGGTTTTTCTTGAGTATTGCTTAAATTTTCTTTGTTTGTGTTTTAGTTGAATAAAAAAGACTTGCTTAAAAAAATAAGTAGAGAAGCAAAAGTAAGGAGAAATTCTAGATATATGGTTAATAATTTACCTATTTTTCTCTAATCTTTACAAAAAAATTCCAAGCCCATAAATAAAAATTAAAGTAGTATGAAGAGCAAATCAAAATTTAAATGGTCAAAAACAAACTTTCTTTTATAGAATTTGTATATTGGTGAATCATAGATTGCTGTTTGGATCTGTCTGATCTATCTATCTATCTATCTATCATCTATCTATCAATTATCTTTTCAGTTTAGATTGGGAATGGTAAATTTTTGTAGACAGATCATTAGCATTTGGTTCTGTCTATTCCTCTTTATCTAACAAAATAAAATAATAGATATATAACTTATTTTTATTTCAGATTCTGATGAAGAATCCAGTGCTCATATGCCTAGCTCTGTCAAAAGCTACAGAATATTTAGTTATTATTGGAGCTTCTGAATTTTTGCCTATATATTTAGAAAATCAGTTTATATTAACACCCACTGTGGCAACTACACTTGCAGGTAGATTTACCTTCTTATTGTCATTTCAAAAATTTTGCACTGTCTTATTGTATGTACTTATGAAATACTTGAAATAAATAAAAATATAAAGAATTATATACCTAGATATGATTTGTGCAGATTTTACAAATATGAGCACTTTGCCATCATAGTGTCAATATTTTTAACATATAAATCCTTGTAAAAACTTCCGTGTTCCTCCTTTATCCCATTTATCTTCATTCCTTTTCACAGGTAATCACTCTTCTGAAGTCAGAGTGAATCATTCCCATGCATGTTTGTACATCTTTACTGCTTATGTGCTTGTCTATATACACCTATTTCTAAAATTTATGTATCACTTTATATATACTCTTCTGCAGCTTATTTTTTCATCAGAAATTATGTTCTTTAGATTTGTGTTGATCTATATCTATTTAATGCATTTCAGTTTGCTATTTTATTTTATGATCCTATTTTATGAGTATACTATTGTTTATGTATTATCCAATTAATGGATATGTTGTTGCCTCCCACTTTTTCTCTCTTCCAACCAGCGTAGTAATGAAAAGGTTTGTTGATATCTCCTTCTGTACATTTGTAAAAGTTGATGTAAGTTTAGACATTGAAGGGAAATTGCTATTGTGTACATTTACAATTTTATGAGATATTGAGAATTGGCTCTCCAAAAGAGGTTGCAAATGGAATTAAATGTTTTAAAGTTTTAGCATTAATAGGAAAGTTGTAAATGCAATGATTTATTTTAGGGTGTAAAAGGTCAAGGATGCATCCAGTAACTTTGAGGATAACCAATAAAGTAGTAGTAGTAAGAGACTATATTAATAGGAAACATTTAATTAATTAAAAAAAGAAAGGAATGACAGAAAACAAAAAGCATGTGGGCAAAATAGAAAGCAAATAAGATGTGCAGAAATCCTGAGTATAAATCTAAACCTTTTATGGAGTACATTTTTTATAAAAGGCTTGTCTGACTGCAAATTATCCAAAAAGCCAAAATAGATCAGCTTTCAATGGCCATAATGACAAATTTTTTCATGAGCACACCAGGTTTGGGGCACTCTGATTAATCAAATCAGCAGAATGTGAGGAGTAAATTCATTCCATTTGTTTCTTATTATATTTAATTAAGGCTATTATCAATGGATTCCAAGAACCAGGGTAAGGCTACATGCAGTATTGACTCCCTCAAGCTCCTGGATCTAGCCAGCTGAACAAATCCTTAAGCCATCAAGGTCTATCTTAAAAAATCAGGTGGCTTTCTCCTTAAGTTTCTCTACTGACCTTTCCACTTAGCCTGAGATATCAAAGTATAACAGAATACATTAGCAATTGCAAATTCTACCTTGGCAAGAATGAAATTTGGGGTAATTTTATCATCTGTAATAATGTTGATCAGTAAGTGAGGCTGAGCAGAGTGCTTTCCAGGAATGAGGTGGTGTCATTGATTATTTCAAGTCAAGTCACAGACAAATTTTGCCCTATAGTTTCTAATTGTATTACTCTCATCATAAAGATGGCTTCAGTAAGGCTGTGTATGAATAGCATACCACTAATCTTGCCAGGAAGCTCCCTTGAGTAACTGAGTGTAACTTCATTTTAGAGAAATTTCTAATCTTCTAAGAGCTATGTGATCTGCTGGTGGTGATATAAACACTTGATGATCTTTTATGACCACCCCTATGTTCTTGAATCTATCATTTCCATTTGACAAGTAAGGCTTGTCAAATAGTTATGAGGCTGGTTTAGTTCATCCCAAAATGAGAATATAAGTTCACAAAGTCAAAAGATTGCTGTAAGTTAGGACTTTGGTTTTGACAAGATGGCAGTGTAAGCTAGTAGTTGCTTTTCAAATGGTAGCTGTTTTAGGGAGTCAGTGAGTGTTATACAACAGCAGGTGTTTCTGAATGGAGCCTATATCTTTTATCTAGAGGCTGCAGTCCATGAAATTATCAGTCATGGAGATTTGTAGCTCATGGGGATCATTAAATTTCTAGCAGCTCAAAGAAGAGAGTATGCCACAGCTTGCTTATCAGCTTCAATGTAGGTTTGCGAATTACACTCCCTGTAAGTTAGCTGTTATAAAAGAATGCCCAAGACAGACATCTACCATCTCTGATACCCAGAGTCCAAAGTGACATTAGGTTCCCTTTTGGTTGGAGGGAAATGAGACATTTTTTTGCTTGACTTCCAGAGTAATTGAGCATTGTGAATCCATTTGCATAGTCCCCCAGAAACTTGATGTGCAGTCTTTGGGTTTTGTTGGGATTTATCAGTTACCCTTGCAGGTGAAGGTGTGATAATACCAAAGTTAGAGCCATTGAGTCTAAGGCTTGAGAGTCTCTAGCCAACTGCATATCATCTATCAGTGAAAGGTTTAGGCATCAGAAGGTAATGGGAATCACACTAAATTCTTATGCACCTTCTTGTAGCCAATGGCAGAGCTTTAGGTACTCCTGAGGAATAACTAAAGAATATTACAGTATTCTTACTGTAAAGGTATATTTGTGGTTTTTAAGCATGAATGAGAATTAGTCTTTGTCCTTGGGTGCCAATGGGATAGAAAAGAATGTCTTGGCAAAGTCTAATACAGTATATTAAATGTAATCAGTCTGTGTAGTAGATTTGGTTACATCACAATGCCTGGAACAGCCAGGGTTATAAGAGCAATAACTGAAATCAACAATAATCAATCCACTATAAACCTCCAGCTCCAGCTCCTGATAACTTTTTTTTTTTTTTTTGAGATGGAGTTTCACTCTTGTTGCCCAGGCTGGGGTGCAATGATGTAATCTAGGCTCACCACAACCTCCACCTCCCAGGTTCAAGCGATTCTCCTGCCTCAGCCTTCCGAGTAGCTGGGATTATAGGCATGCACCACCACGCCCAGCTAATTTTGTATTTTTTAGTAGAGACGGGGTTTCTCCATGTTGCTCAGGCAGGTCGCGAACTCCCGACATCAGGTGATCTGCCCGCCTTGGCCTCCCAAAGTGCTGGGATTAAAGGCGTGAGCCACCACACCTGGTCCTGATAACCTTTTACACTGGCCATGATGTGTGTTGAATGGAAATACTGCATTTCTTAGTACCCCTGCTACCTTATATACTCAAAGCTAGGACTTTCCTTTCTGCTTCTTGGATTCTACATTGTTTCTGTTAGACCGTGTGAGAGGAAACAGGGAGGCACGTTGGGTAACAATTCATGTGTTCCATTATCACTTCTGGAGTTTAACAGCAGTCATAGTATAATATTATAGAATATAAATACTAATTATATATTTAGAAATTGAAGCTACAGCATCAGTATATTGAGGCTACAACAAACATGCATTGAAATTGTCCAGAGTACCACCCACAAGCTTACTTCACATTCTTTTCAGGAATGATGAGAGTTCAAAATCTATTCAATGCCTCATCTATGATTTCACACAGGAATTTTATTTGTCTTAGGAAAATCTTCCTAAGAGGGTCACAGCAAAGCTACTTTATAGCAGTCAGGACACACTACAAAAAACTCTGAGGTCTTTTATTGTCTTAAAATGGATCCAAGATTGGCATGATAGACTGGAAGAGGAGCTGGACCTCCAGTCAACCCAGCTATTGGCTATTTTGTTTAAACAAGAAATTATGTACTGCACTTTATCATGTCCCAAGAAAATGAACTAAAATTCTGATAATTCACCTGGTCTCTGCTCATAGTGGCTATAATTTTTTTTCTTTTTACACTCAGGGTAATTGCACATTGCTGGAACTGTTATCTGTAACTTGAAAGCAGAAGGAATCTTCTGTCTAATAAGAAAAAAAAATAGTAATAGTTTTTACAGTGGGGCAGTCCTGAAGCTGATGGCCAGATTGACAAGGAAGTTTGCTTGCCTAGAGAAGAGTTGATAAGACCTATGGTACTTTCTATGGAGCTGTCTTTAAACCTACTTCAGCTTGCAGCTACAGAAAGCCACGTCTCTGTTAGCATCCCATCGTTGTTGCCAAGAGTGCTCAGATCTGTAATGGGTTTGAATTTCATCCTATCTGTAAGCTAACAAGTTAACCTAACTTAGTTTCATGTGTGCTGGAAGAAGACACCAAACTTCTTGGTCAGAGATGAAATAAAGTTTATGACTCACAGCAATAGCAGTAATGAGAGTTCCTGCTAGGTTTCTGAGCTCCAGTTTCCAAAGGGTGATGTGAAAAGAGGCCAGGTGATATCTGTACACACAATGAGTTGCATTACATGAAAGAAATCTTGAGGTTAGGGAACCCAGGTCTTTTATAGTGGGCAGTAATTATGCTTGTCTTTGGCTCCAGAGGGAGGCATTATACTTGATAAAGAGTGTCCAGAGGGGACACTCTCTCTGTCTTCCAAAATTCTAAGCAAAGTTGTCCTGTGCTCTACGTGGAAATACTATCCTTATTATTCAAGGCTACTCATCGTATAAATATCCTTGAAAAGATAGTGGAGAACAAAGAGCAGTCAGTGCTTCTGCTTGCAAGATATACAGAAAGTTTTCACCCAATAAATATATTAGTAGTTATGTTAAATATAAATAGTCTAAAGAATGTCAGATTGGGAAAAAAATTTCAATATATGTTACTAACAAGAGGCACTCCTTAAATATGGGGACATGAAAAGGTTGAAAGTGAAAGGATAGACGAAAGATACAAATGCTAACCAAAAGAGAAGCTTGTGCAACTATAATAATTTTAAATATTGTATCCTTTAAAGAACACAAGAACTACGACAACTCAAAAAGCTGGAATGTCTTTTTTCCTTCAAAAAACCTCACTAGCTCCCCCATGGAGGCTAGCACCCCAGTACCTGCCAGCACCCTGCCACAGCCAAAAAGCATGCACTCTGCCATGCTGCCGCTGCTGCTGTTGCTGGTATGTGCAAACAGGATGGATCCCATTGCCACTGCCCTACAAAGTGCTTTGGCTGCCACCGTCCATTGGAGTGTTGTGACCAGCAGTCCAGGAGCACCTTGACCCCTCCAGCACAGCATGTTTCTACCTTGAGGAGCCAGAGAACAAAGCCAGTGCCCAATACTGGTCCCCAGGAGTTAGGCCACACAGTCCAGGAGTCCTGAGCTGAGCCTTTGCCTTCTAAAATCTTCCAGAAACAAAGCCAGTTGAATGAACCCACCTTATACAACAAGCAAACCCTCAAGGTCATCAAATAGGATAAAAGAAAAAAAAATCCAAAGGACAGGAACTTCAAGGATTAAAGGAGCATCAGCCCACAAAGATAAAAAAGCAGCACGAGAACTCTGACAATTCAAAAGGCCATAAGGTCTTCTTTCCTTCAAACAACCTCACTAGTTCTCCAGCAAGGGTCCTTAACCAGTCTTAGATGGCTGAAGTGACTGAAATAGAATTCAGAATATGGATAGGAACAAAAATCAAGATTCAGGGGAACGTTGAAACTCATTCTAAGGAAGCTAGGAATCACAAAGTATACGGGATCTGGAAGATAAAGTAGCCAGTATAGAAAAGAACATAACTGACTTGATAGAGATAAAAACACACTATGAGAATTTCATAATGCAATCACAAGTATTAACAGCAGGATAGATCAAGCTGAAGAAATAATCTCAGAGCTTGAAGATTGGGTTTCTGAAACAAGACAGAAAGAAAACATGAAAGAGAAAAGAATAAAAAGGAACAAACAAAATGAACAAAAATATGCAATTATGTAAAGAGACCAAATCTACAATTCACTATCATCCCTGAAAGAGATAGGGAGGATGGAAGCAACTTAGAAAACATATTTCAGGATATCATCTATGAAAACTTTCACAACCTATGTAGAGAGGACAACATTCAAATTTAGAAAATGCAGGAAACTCTCACAAAGTGCTTCACAAAAACATCATCCCTAAGACATAATCATAGGATTCTCCAACTTCAAAATGAAAAAACAATGTCAAAGGCAGCTAGAGAGAAAGGACAGGCCATCTACAAAGGAAAGCTTATTAGAAGACCTATCAGCAGGAACCCTACAAGCTAGACCTCTTAGCAGAAACAGCAGACTTCTCAGCAGAAACCCTACAAGCCAGAAGAGACTGGGAGCCTATATTCAACATTCTAAAAGAAAAGAAATTCCAATCAAATTCATAGCCAGCCAAACTAAGCTTCATAAGTGAAGTAGAAATAAAATCATTTTCAAACAAGAAAATTATGAGGGAATTTTTTACCACCAGACCTGCCTTACAAGAGCTCCTGAAAGAAGCACTAAATATGGAAAGGAAAGACCATTACCAGCCACTACAAAAATGCACTTAAGTATGCAAACCATTGACACTATAAAGCAATCACACAAACAAGTCAGCATAATAAACAGCTAACAACATGATGACAGGATCAAATCCACATATAGCAATAGTAACCTTGAATGTAAATGGGTTAAATGCCCCAATGAAAAGACAGAGTGGCAAGCTGAATAGAAAAGCAAGACCGAATGATATGCTGTCTTCAAGAAATGTGTCTCACATACAATGACACCAATAGACTCAAAAATAGATGAAGAAAAATCTACCAAGCGAATGGAAACTGAAGGGGAAAATGAATGAAAAACTGAAGGGGTTGCAATTCTAATTTCAGACTTTAAATAAACAAATATTGTAAAAAACAAAGAGGGGCTTTACATAATGGTGAAAGGTTCAATTCAACAAGAAGACCTAACTATCCTAAATATATCTGCATTCAACACAGAAACAACCAGATTTATAAATTAAATTCTTAGAGACCTTCAAAGAGCCTTAGACCCCCACCAATTAATAGTGGAAGACTTCAACACCTCACCGAAAGTGTTAGAAAGGTTGTCAAGGCAGAAAATTAACAAAGATGTTCAGGACCTGAACTCAATGCTAGACCAAATAGACCTGAGAGGCATCAACAGACCTCTTCACCAAAAAAACAACAGAATATACATTCTTCTCATTGCCACATGGCACATACTCTAAAATCAACCACAAAATCAGATATATAACAATCCTCAGAAAATGTAAAAGAACTGAAATCATACCAACCACTCTCTTGGACCCCAGCACAATAAAAATAGAAATCAAGACTAATTAAATTGCTCAGAACCATACAATTAAGTGGAAATTAAATGACCCACCCTGAATGACTTTTGGGTAAGTAATGAAATTAAGACAGAATGAGAACAGAGATACAAAACACCAGAATCTCTGGGATATAGCTAAGGCAGTATGAAGAGGGAAATGTATAGCACCACATGCTCACATCAAAAAGTTAGAAAAACCCCAATTTAAAAACTAACATCACAACAAAAAGAACTAGAGAAGCAACAGCAAACCAATTCTAAAGCTAGAGGAGGAAAAGAAATAACCAAAATCAGAGCTGAACTGAAGGGGATGGAGACACAAAAAAACATTCAAAGGAACAATGAATCCAAGAGTTGGTTTTTTGAAAAATTAATAAGAGAGAAGATCCAAATAAACACAATTAGAAATGATAAGGAGGATATTACCACTGACCCCACAGAAACACAAATAACAATCAGAGACTACTATGAGCACCTTTACAAACATGAACTAGAAAATCTAGAAAAAATGAATAAATTCCTGGACACATAAAGCCTCTCAAGACTGATCTAGGAAGAAATTAAATTCCTGAACAGACTAATAATGAGCTCCAAAACTGAAATAGCAATAAATAGCCTACAAACCAAAAAAAGCCCAGGATTAGATGGATTCACAGTCAAACTCTACCAAATGTACAAAGAAGAGCTGGTGTCATTACTACTAAAACTATTCCAACAAATTGAGGAGGGGAGACTCCTGCCCATCTCATTCTATGAGGCCAGAATCATCCTGATACCAAAACCTGGAAGAGACCAACAAAAAAACAAAAATTCAGGCCAATATCCTTGATGGACATACATGCAAAAATCTTCAATACATACTAGCAAATAAATCCAGCAGTACATCAAAAGCTAATCCACCATGATCAAGTAGGTTTTATCCCTGTAATGCAAGATTGGTTAAACATACACACGTCAATAAACATGATTTATCACATAAATAGAACTAAAGTGAAAACCACATGATCATCTGAATAGATGAAGAAATGACTTTCAATAAAATTCAACATCCCTTCATGTTAAAAACTCTCAACAAACTAGGTACTGAAGGAACATACCTAAAAATAATAAGAGCCATCTATGACAAACCCACAGCCAACATTATACTGAATGGGGAAAAGCTGGAAGCATTCCCCTTGAAAACCAGAACAAGGATGCCCCCTCTCACCATTCCTATTCAACATAATATTAGAAGTCCAGCCCAGAACAATCAGACAAGAGAAAGAAATGAAGGGCATCTACATAAAAAGAGAGGAAGCCAAACTATCCCTGTTTGCAAACAACATGATTCTATATCTAGAAAACCCCATAGTCTTGGCCCAAAAGCTCCTTAAGCTGAGAAACAGCCATCAGCAAAGTTTCTGGATACAAAATCAACATACAAAAATCAATAATATTTCTATACACCAACAACAGCCAGCTGAGAGCCAAATTAGAAATGCAATTCTATTCACAGTTTCCACAAAAAGATTTAAATACCTAGGAATGCAGCTAACCCGGGAATTTACAGATCTTTACAATAAATTACAAAACACTGCTCAAAGAAATAAGAGATGACACAAACAAATGGGAAAACACTCCATGCTTATGAATAGGAAGAATCAATATCTTTAAAATGGCCACACTGCCCAAAGCAGTTTACAGATTCAGTGCTATTCCTATTAAACTACCAATGCAATTCTTCACAGAACTAGATAAAAACTATTTTAAAATTCATATGGATCCAAAAAAGAGCTCGAATAGCCAAGACAATCCTAAGCAAAAAGAACAAAGCTGGAGGCATCACATTACCCAACTTCAGACTATACTACGGGGCTACAGTAACCAAAACAGCATCATACTGGTACAAAAACAGACACATAGACCAATGGAACAGAATAGACAGCCCAGAAGTAAGGCCACACACCTACAACCATCTGATCTTCAACAAACCTGACTAAAACAAGCAATGAGGAAAGGATTCCCTATTCAGTAAATGGTGCTGGTATGACTGGCAAGCCGTATGCAGAAGGTTGAAACTGGACTCTCTCTTTATACCATATACAAAAATCAACTTGAGATGGATTAAAGACTTAAATGTAAAACCCAAAACTATAAAAACCCTAGAAGAAAACCTAGGGAATACCATTCTGCACATAGGAACTGGCAAAGATTTTAGGACGTAGACTCCAAAAGCCATTGCAACAAAAGTAAAAGTTTACAAATGGGATCTAATTAAACTTAAGAGCTTCTGCACAGCAAAAGAAACTATCAACAGAGTAAACTAGACAATCTACAGAATGGGAGAAAATATTTCCAAGGTAAGCATCTGACAAAGGTCTAAAATCCAGCATTTATAAGGAGCTTAAGCATTTATAAGGAGCTTAAACTTAGAAGAAAAAGAAAGCCCCATAATAAAGTGGGCATAGGACTTAAACAGACACCTCTCAAAAGAAGACATGTGGCCAACAGTCATATGAAAAAACCTCAGTATCACTTATCATTAGAGAAATGCAAATCAATACCACGAGATACCATCTCACACTATTCAGAATGGCTATTACTAAAAAGTCAAAAAATAACAAGTGCTGGCGAGGTTGCAGAGAAAAGAGAATGCTTATACACTGCTGGTGGGAGTGTAAATTAGTTCAGCCATTGTGGAAAGCAGTGTGGTGATTCCTCAAAGAGCTAAAGGCAAAACTACCATGTGATGCAGCAATCTCATTACTGGATATATACCCAGAGGAATATAAATTTTTCTATACAAAGACACATGCATGCATATGTTCATCGCAGCACTATTCACAATAGCAAAGACATGGAAGCTAAATAAGAACCTATAGATGCAAAGAGAACAACAGACACTGGAGCCTACCTGAGGGTGGAGGGTGGTAGGATGGAGAGGATCAGAAAAAATAACTATCAGGTACTAAGCTTTTTACCTGGGTAATGAGATAATCTGTATAACAAACCCTTGTGACACAAGTTTACCTATATAACTAACCTGCATATGTATCCCTGAATGTAAAATAAAAGTAATATGTCCTCTAGCAGCTTATACAATTTTTTTCTTTATTCTTGTTGTTATGAAGATTTCCTACCTTGTTATCTGTAAGGGTGACTTTTTGTTACTTCTCAGTAGTTGGAGTGTACATTTATTTCCAGGGCTAATATTTCATTAATTATGTAAATTTTTCATCCTCAGCTGCAATTTTTCAAACAATTGTTTTTCTGGTATTACTTGTATTGTTTTTTCACAACTGCTAGAAGCCTTTTTGTGGAGCTTCTTATTTATTTTTATTATCTTTTTTTCAAGAACTATTTTTTGAACAGTTTTAGATATCTTGAAGATAGAAATAATATTGAGAGTTTCTGGCCAGATATGGTGGTTCATGCCTATAATCTCAGCACTTTGGGAGGCTGAGGTGGGTGGATCACTTGTCAGGAGTTCAAGACCAGCTTGGCCAACAAGGTGAAACCCGGTCTCTACTAAAAATACAAAAATTAGTATGGTGGTATGGTGGTGCACAACTGTAATCCCAGCTACTTGGGAGGCTAAGGCAGGAGAATGGCTAGAACCCAGGAGGCAGAGGTTACAGTGAGCCAATACCATGCCACTGCACTCCAACCTAGTGACAGAGCAAGACTCGGTCTCAAAAAAAAAAAAAAAAAAAAAAATATATATATATATATATATGTATACATACACACACAGAGAGAGGGGGTTTCCACATACTGTACACCCAGTTTCCCCTTTTATAAACATCTTATATTAGCATGGTAGATTTGTCATAATTAATGAACCAAAATTAATACAATATTACTAACTAAAGTCAATAGTTTGTGCAGATTTTTTTCAATTTTTACCTAATGTCCTTTTTCTGTCCCAGGATCTCATTCAAGATACTACACTATATTTAGTTGTCATGTCTCTTTGAAGTTCTCTTGGCTATGACAATTTCTCAGTCTTTCCTTGTTTTTGATGACCTTACAGTTTTTAGGAGTACTGGCCAGTTGTTCTGTAAGATGTCCCACTATAGAAAATTGCCTAATATTTTTATCATGATTAGACTGGGATTATAGTTTTTGGAAGGAAGACCCAGAGGTAAAGTATCATTTTCAAAACATCATATCAAGGGAATATACTATCCATGTGAGTGACTGCTTTTGAATTTGACTTTGATCACCTGGCTGAGGTAGCATTTGCCAGGTTTCTCCCCTGTACTCATTGTCTTTTGTTTGTTTTGGTTATTCTTCTCTCACTCTTTTATCTTTTTTTAATACACACTGTAATAACACAGTGTACTTTATCAATTTGCTTATAATTGTCTCTAGTCTGAAGGTCATCCTGAGATTTGAGTTTTTAAGAATTATATTTTTTAATATCCAGGTTTCTTATTTATATTTTATTCACTTTTTTATCATCTCTTTTTATTTTTCTTCTTTATTTATATGAACACTTTCATTTTTATGTCATTGTTCAACTCCCACTTATGAGTAAGAATATGTGATGTTTTATTTCCTGTTCCTGTGTTAGTTTGTGGAGAATGATGGTTTCCAGTTTTATCCATGACCTGCAAAGGACATGAACTCAATCTTCTTTATGGCTGCATACTATTCTATGGTGTATATGTGCCACATTTTCTTTATCCCGTCTATCATGAATGGGCATTTGGGTTGCTTCCAAGCCTTTGCTATTGTAAATAGTGCTGCAATAAACATACTTGTGCATGTGTCTTTATTGTAGAATTATTTATAATCCTTTGGATATATAAGCAGTAATGGGATTGCTGGGCCAAATAGTATTTCTGGTGTAGACCCTTGAGGAAGCACCACACTGTTTTCCGCAATGATTGAACTAATTTACACTCCCACCAACAGTGTAAAAGTGTTTCTATTTCTCCACAATCTTGCCAGCATCTGTTGTTTCCTGACTTTTTAATGATTGCCTTTCTAACTGGCATGAGATGGTATCTCATTGTGGTTTTGATTTGCATTTCTCTAATAACCAGTGATGATGAGCTTTTTTTCATGTCTTTGTTGACCACATAAATGTCTTCTTTTGAGAAGTGTCTGTTCATATCCTTTGCCCAGTTTTTGATGGGGTTGTTTGTTTTTTTCTTGTAAATTTGTTTAAGTTCCTTGTAGATTCTGGATATTAGCCTTTGTCAGATGGATAGATTTCAAAAATTTTCTCCCATTCTGTAGGTTGCCCATTCACTCTGATGATAGTTTCTTTTGCTGTGCAGAAGCTCTTTAGTTTAATTAGATTCCATTTGTCAATTTTGGCTTTTATTGCCTTTGCTTTTAGTGTTTTAGTCACGAAGTCTTTGCCCATGCCTATGTCCTGAATGGTATTGCCTAGGTTTTCCTCTAGGGTTTTTATGGTTTTAGGTTTTACATTTAAGTCTTATATCTGTCTTGAGTTAATTTTTGTATAAGCTGTAAGGAAGGGGTCCAGTTTCAGTTTTCTGCATATGGCTAGCCAATCTTCCCAGCACCATTTATAAAATAGGGAACCATTTCCGCATTGCTTGTTTTTGTCAGGTTTGTCAAAGATCAGATAGTTGTAGATACACAGCATTATTTCTGAGGGCTGTGTTCTGTTCCATTGGTCTATATCTCTGTTTTGGTACCAGTACCATGCTGTTTTGGTTACTGTAGCCTTGTAGTATAATTTGAAGTCAGGTACCGTGATGCTTCCAGCTTTGTTCATTTGGCTTAGGATTGTCTTGGCTGTATGGGCTCTTTTTGGTTCCATATGAAGTTTAAAGTAGTTTTCTCTAATTCTGTGGATAAAGTCAATGGTAGTTTGATGGGAATAGCATAAATCTATAAATTACTTTGGGCAGTATGGCCATTTTCACGATATTGATTCTTCCTATCCATGAGCATGGAATGTTTTTCCATGTGCTTCTGTCCTCTCTTATTTCCTTGAGCAGTGGTTTGTAGTTCTCCTTGAAGAAGTTCTTCACATCCCTTGTAAATACCTTGTATTCCTAGGTATTTTATTCTCTTTGTAGCAGTTGTGAATGGGAATTCACTCATGATTTGGTACTCTGTCTACTAATGGTGTATAGGAATGCCTGTGATTTTTGCACATTGATTTTGTATCCTGAGACTTTGCCAAAGTTTCTTATCCTCTTAAGGAGATTTTGGGCTGAGATTATGGGGTTTTCTAAATATACAATCATGTTATCTGCAAACAGAGATAATTTGACTTCCTCTCTTCCTATTTGAATACGCTTTATTTCTTTCTCTTGCCTAATCACCCTGGGCAGAATTTCCAATACTATGTTGCATAGGAGTGGTGCGAGAGGGCATCCTTGTCTTGTGCCAGTTTTCAAAGGGAATGCTTCCTGCTTTTGCACATTCAGTATGATATTAGCTGTGGGTTTATCATAAATAGCTCTTATTATTTTGATATATGCTCCATCAATACCTAGTTTATTGAGTGTTTTTAGCATGAAGGGGTGTTAAATTTTATCGAAGGGATTTTCTGCATCTATTGAGATAATCATGTGGTTTTTGTCATTGGTTCTGTTTATGTGATGGATTATGTTTATTGATTTGTGTATGTTGAACCAGCCTTGCATCCCAGGAATGAAGATGACTTGATTATGGTGGATAAGCTTTCTAGTGTGCTGCTTGATTCGGTTTGCCAGTATTTTGTTGAGGATTTTCCCAACACTGTTCATCAGGAATATTAGTCTGAAATTTCTTTGTTGTTTTGTCTATGCCAGGTTTTGGTATCTGGATGATGCTGGCCTCATAAAATGAATTAAGGAGGAGTCCCTCTTTTTCTATTGTTTGGAATAGTTTCAGAAGGAATGGTACCAACTCTTCTTTGTACCTCTTGTAGAATTTGGCTGTCGATCCATCTGATCCTGGGCTTTTTTTCATTGGTAGCCT
The DNA here is from genome assembly GCF_000001405.40 of Homo sapiens. Lineage (NCBI taxonomy): Eukaryota > Metazoa > Chordata > Mammalia > Primates > Hominidae > Homo > Homo sapiens. The sequence goes on along the minus strand of NC_000005.10, from coordinate 102,424,630 downwards.
ACTAATTACTGCCTCAATTTCAGAACTTGTTACTGGCCTACTCAGGGATTCGACTTCTTCCTGGTTTAGTCTTGGGAGGGTGTATGTGTCCAGGAATTTATCAGTTTATTCTCGATTTTCTACTTTATTTGCATAGAAGTGTTTATAGTATTCTCTGATGGTAGTTTGTATTATTGTGAGATCAGTGGTGACACCCTTTTATTATTTTTTATTGTGTCTGTTTGATTCTTCCCTCTTTTCTTTTTTATTAGTCTGGCTAGCAGTGTATCTAGTTTGTTAATCTTTTCAAAAAACTAGCTCCTTGATTCATTGATTTTTTGAAGGGCTTTTTGTGTCTCTGTCTCCTTCAGTTCTGCTCTGATCTTAATTATGTCTTGTCTTCTGCTAGCTTTTGAATGTTTTTGCTCTTGCTTCTCTAGTTCTTTTCATTGCAATGTTATGGTGTCAATTTTAGATCTTTCCTGCTTTCTCCTGTGGGCATTTAGTGCTATAAATTTTCCTCTAAACACTGCTTTAGCTGTGTCCCAGAGATTCTGGTACCTTGTCTTAGTTCTCATTGGTTTTAAAGAACTTATTTATTTCTGCCTTAATTTTATTATTTACCCAGTAGTCATTCAGTAGCAAGTTGTTCAGTTTCAATGTAGTTATGCAGTTTTGAGTGTGTTTCTTAATCCTGAGATCTAATTTGGTTGCACTTTGGTCTGAGAGACTGTTTGTTATGATTTCCATTCTTTTGCATTTGCTAAGGAGTGTTTTACTTCTAGTTATGTGGTCAATTTTAGAATAAATGCTGTGTGGTGCTGAGAAGAATGTATATTCTGTTAATTTGGGGTGAAGAGTTCTGTAGTTGTCTATTAGATCAGCTTGGTCCAGAGCTGAGTTCAAGTCCTGAATATCCTTGTTAATTTTCTATCTCGTTGATCTGTCTAATATTGACAGTGGGGTGTTAAAGTGTCCCACTATTATTGTATGAGAGTCTAAGTCTCTTTGTAGGTTTCTAAGAACTTGCTTTATGAATCTTGGTGCTCTTGTATTGGGTGCATATATATTTAAGATAGCTAGCTCTTGTTGCATTGATCCCTTTACCAATATGTAATGCCCTTCTTTGGCTTTTTTGATCTTTGTTGGTTTAAAGTCTGTTTTATCAGAGACTAGGACTGCAACCACTGCTTTTTTTTCTTCTTTCCATTTGCTTGGTAAATATTCCTCTATCCCTTTATTTTGAGCCTATGTGTGTCTTTGCACATGAGATGGGTCTCCTGAATACAGCACAGTGAAGGGTCTTGACTGTTTTTCCAATTTGCCATTCTGTATCTATTAATTGGGGTATTTAGCCTATTTACATTTAAGGTTAATATTGTTATGTGCGAATTTGATCCTGTCATCATGAAGATAGCTGGATATTTTGCACAGTAGTTGATGGAGTTTCTTCATAGTGTTGTTGGTCATGATATTTTGGTGTTTTTGCAGTGGCTGGTACTAGTTTTTCCTTCCCATATTTAGTGTTTCCTGCAGGAGCTCTTGTAAGGCAGTCCTGGTGGTGACAAAATCCTTCAACATTTGCTTGTCTGTGAAGAATTTTATTTCTCCTTCACTTATGAAGCTTAGTTTGGTTGGATATGAAATTCTGGGTTTAAAATTATTTTCTTTAAGAATGTTGAATATTGGCCCCCACTATCTTCTGGCTTGTAGGGTTTCTGCAGAGAGATCTGCTCTTAGTCTGATGGGCTTCCCTTAGTAGGTAACCTGACCTTTCTCTCTAGCTGCCCTTAACATTTTTTGCTTTGTTTTAACCTTGATTAATCTGATGATTATGTGTCTTGGGGTTGCTCTTCTCATGGAGTATCTTAGTGGTGTTCTCTGTATTTCCTGAATTTGAATGTTGGCCTGTCTTGCTAGGTTGGGGAAGTTCTCCTGGATAATATCCTGCAGTGTGTTTTCCAACCTGGGTCCATTCTCCCCATCACTTTCAGGTACACCAATCAATCATAGGTTTGGTCTTTTCATAGAGTCCCATATATCTTTTAGGCTTTGTTCATTCCTTTTCATTCTTTTTTCTCTAATCTTGTCTTCATGCTTTATATCCTTAAGTTGATCTTTAATCTCTGATATCCTTTCTTCCACTTGATCGATTCAGCTATTGTTCCTTGTGTATGCTTCACAAAGTTCTTGTGCTGTGTTTTTCAGCTCCATCAGATCATTTGTGTTCTTTTCTAAACTGGTTATTCTAGTTAGCAGCTCCTGTAACCATTTATCAAGGTTTTTAGCTTCCTTGCATTGGGTTAGAATGTGCTCCTTTAGCTCAGAGGAGTTTGTTATTACCCACCTTCTGAAGCTTACTTCTGTCAATTTGTGAAACTCATTTTTTGTCCATTTGTGTTCCCTTGCTGGTGAGGAGTTGTGATCCTTTGGAGGAGAAGAGGCATTCTGGTTTTGGGAATTTTCAGCCTTTTTGCACTGGTTTTTCCTCATCTTTATGGATTTATCTACCTTTGATCTTTGATGCCGATGACCTTTGGATGGGGTTTTTGCATGGGCATCTTTTTTGTGGATGTTGATGTTATTGCTTTCTGTTTGTTAGTTTTTCTTCTAACAGTAAGGCTTCTCTTCTACAGGTCTGCTGGAGTTTGCTGGAGGTCCACTCCAGACCCTGTTTGCCTGGGTATCACCAGCAGAGACTGCAGAGCAGCAGAGATTGCTGCCTGCTCCTTTTCTGGAAGCTTTGTCCCAGATGGACACCTGCCAAATGCCAGCCGGAGCTCTCCTGTATGAAGTGTCTGCTGACCCCTGCTGGGAGGTGTCTTCCAGTCAGGAGGCATGGGAGTCAGGGACCCACTTGAGGAAGCAGTCATTCCCTTAGCAGAGCTCGAGCATTGTGCTGGGAGATGTGCTGCTCTCTTCAGAGGCAGCAGGCAGGAATGTTTAGGTCTGCTGAAGCTGCACCCGCAGCCACCCCTTCCCCCAGGTGCTCTGTCCCAGGGAGATGGGAGTTTCATCTATAAGCCCCAGACTGGGGCTGCTGCTTTTCTTTCAAGGATGCCCTGCCCAGTGAGGAGGAATCAAGAGAGGCAGTCTGGCTACACTGGCTTTGCCGTGCTGTTGGGGGTTCCACCAGTCCAAACTTCCCATCGGCTTTGTTTACACTGTGAGGGGAAAACTGCCTACTCAAGCCTCAGTAATGGCAGATGCCCCTCTCCCCACCAAGCTCGAGCATCTTAGGTTGACTTCAGACTGCTGTGTTGGCAGCAAGAATTTCAAGCCAGTGGATCTTAGCTTTCTCGGCTCCATGGGAGTGGAACCTGCTGAGCAAGACCACTTGGCTCCCTGGCTTCGGCTCCGTTTCCAGGGGAGTGAACAGTTCTGTCTCACTGGGGTTCCAGGTGCCACTGGGGTATGAAAAAAAAAAACTCCTGCAGCTAGCTCATTGTCTGCCCAACTGGCAGCCCAGTTTTGTGCTTGAAACCCAGGGCCCTGGTGGTGTAGGCACCCGAGGGAATCTCCTTATCTGTGGATTGCCAAAACCATGGGAAAAGCATAGTATCTGGGCCGGATAGCACCGTCCCTCATGGCACAGTCCCTCACAGCTTCCCTTGGCTAGGGGAGGGAGTTCCCCAGCCCCTTCTGCTTCTCGGGTGAGGTGATTCCCCACCCTGCTTCTGCTCGGCCTCCGTGGGCTACACCCGCTATCTAATGAGTCCCGGTGAGATGAACCGGGTACCTCAGTTGGAAATGCCGAAATCACTCACCTTCTGCATTGGTCTCTCTGGGAGCTGCAGACTGGAGCTCTTTATGTCATTTATCTTTCTAAGCATTCTAAAATTGTTTATTTTCAAGTCTTTGTCAGGCACTTCTATAAATTTAATCTAGTGTTAATGGGATTTTTTTTGTTGTTTTTTATCCTATGTTTTTCTTGTTAAATTCATATTTAGATGTAACAGTATTATATATTTGGATTACAGGGAGTTGCATCAATGTATGAATTTACTGTGCTATCTCATCTGATTGTCTTCTGACTATATTTCTCCTGCTCCTCCTCCTCCTCCCCCTCCTTTTTCTCTTTCTTTTGCTTACCTGTTTCTAATTCCTTACTCTTGGATAGAAAACAATGTCTTTTAATGGCTCTTCTAGAGTCCCACTTTGTTGTGAGATTATTAATATTGAACGTTCATTCATAGAACTAATGGGTGGCTTGGTTCAATTCTTGTTAACAAATCTCTGTGAACTTTTGTCAGTATAATCCTGTCTCTTGTGATAAGCTATAAATCCAGGAAGCTTGTTAATAATAGATCTCAATAAGACAGCTCTCGTCTTCCATTTTGCATGGACTAAGTTCCCGGTTTGTCCTTGATGGCATTACTATAAAGGACCAAAACTTCACCATCACTGCCCTGAAGTCAGTAGGCCTATGGCTTCAGCCCTGCTGACAGGTTTTTGTTTCTATTAAGGTTCGGGTTCGTCAAGCTATTTAGCATAACTGTACATTTTCTGTCTTTTAGTTTAAATACATGTTTGCTATATGTTTAGAGCAAAGGAAATTGTATCAATGTATGTATTATCTGTACTATCAGCTGATTATTTTTAACTGTGTTTTTCTCCTCCTTTTTTTTAGGACTTGTTTTAATTCCAGGAGGTGCACTTGGCCAGCTTCTGGGAGGTGTCATTGTTTCCACATTAGAAATGTCTTGTAAAGCCCTTATGAGATTTATAATGGTTACATCTGTGATATCACTTATACTGCTTGTGTTTATTATTTTTGTACGCTGTAATCCAGTGCAATTTGCTGGGATCAATGAAGATTATGATGGGTAAATGTAGTCTTGTATATTAGACTTTTACATCAAAATCCTACAGCATATTCCTCAGGCAATTAATAATTATCTATCCAGTAACCCTTATATGTTCATATAATTATTGGAATTATCAAACACATAAAAGAAATATAAAGTACAGTTTAAATTTTCATAGTAAGGCACAAATATTATAATGGTATCTTTTTATATGACTGTTTATGCATTCGTAAAGTAATGAAGAAAAAACACATTGAAGAGGTTTGGAACCTATAAATAAAGTTTTGTATTAGGGTGGGTAGCAACTAGGAGACAGTACTAACTGTGCAAAGCCAGTCTTACCTTGTGTTTCTGAATTGGTTTGTCTGCCTTCTTATAGACATCAAAGAATGAAACTAAAGTTCATCTGAAGGTATGCATGGGTAATATCTCATTTAAGCTAAACATGCCAAAATTCGAAGAATTGGGCAAAGCTTGATATTAAATACTAAATAACAAAACTGGAATTGGAAACCAAAGGACTGAACAAGTAAAATAAGAGTTTAAGACTTCTACTTTGAGCAACAATGGATTAGTTTATGGCAGATCAATCTTCTCACTGAGAATAACTAGAAAAGCTGAATACAGTTTTAAAAGATTTGGTTAAAGGAATCAAAGAGTTATTTAGGCAACTAGGAATTTAAAGGCCAAAATCCTGGGAAAAGGCAAACCATGGAGAGGAGGGGCAACTTTTTGCAGCCACTTTTTCCCTGAGAGTATTTGCTGATTCTGAACATTGGCAACAAGCTGAGAATTTGGGTGAAGAGTTTGGGCAAAAGCATCTAGTAAGATTACAAGAATTTTAATAGACATATGAGTCTAAAGAGAAAAAAATTAGTACATAGAAAGGCCATGGTATCAGAGAGCAGAGAGAGGTAAACAAATGATGCAACACTCTGCCGGCTTATAACTCAAGAAATTTGCTGTATTATGAAGCTAGGAGGCTAAAATCAAGCAGAAATCCCATGAAAATCAGGGAAGAATTCCAGCCATATTGTGATGCTCTGTAGATAGGAGATAGAGTTTAGAGTGTGCTGGGTAAAGGAATCCTGGTAAATCCTGGTTCTCAATTAACATCTGTGTAAGGCTAGGACCTAGGAGCCAGGAGCCTTTCTAAAGTACTATGGCCTGGCCAGGAGTTAATTTGGTCTCTTAATTGGATTAGTGTGGTCAGCCAACAAGCTGTGTCATAGAGAGATAATATGATCCAAAGCTATAAAATATAAATGATAAGTGAACTTCATATCAGTAGCAATAATTATCCAACAGAAAACAGAGAGAAAATAGAATTAATAAAAATTAACAAAATGTCAATGAATTGAACAGCTTCAGATGGCCATTGTATGTGTAACTGAAGTCCCCAAAGGAGGGCATCTGGAGAAAGAAAAATATATCAAGATATTATGGCCAAAATTTTTCAAATTTCATATAAAAATAAACTGTAAACATGTTAAAAACTCAGCAAAACTTTGGTACAAGAAACATGAAAAAAATTACACCATAACACATTGTAATCAAATTATTCAAAATAAATGATATAAAGCAAATCTTAAAATTAGCAAAAATTAGCAAAAAGTATATGTATATACATATACTTTATACATATACATATACTTTATGTATAAATGTCCAAAGATAAGGGTAATGGCATATTTTTATCAGAAACAAATGCAGGTAAGAAGACAGTGGAATAATATTTTTAAAGTCCTTAAAAAAAAGTCACCTTTAATTTTATATCAACCCAGAATATCTGTCAAAAAAATGAAGGAGAAATAATTTTAGACGAAAAAAGTAAGTAATTTTTTTTTTTTGACGGAGTTTCGCTCTTGTCACCCAAGCTGGAGTGCAGTGGCACAATCTCAGCCCACTGCAACCTCCACCTTCAGGGTTCAAGTGATTCTGCCACCTCAGCCTCCTAGTAGCTGGGATTACAGGCATGTAACCTCCACCACACCCAGCTAATTTTTGTATTTTTAGTAGAGACAGGGTTCACCATATTGGCCAGGCTGGTCTTAACTCCTGACCCACACTACATAAAATGTTAAAGGAAGTCTTTCAGTCAGAAATAAATGATACCAGATGTAAATATGAATCTACATAAAGGAAAGAAGAGCAATAAAAATGTTAACTATGTGGATAAATATACATTTTTAAAATTATTACTTGTCTCTTTGAAAATAATTATTTAAAACAGAAAAATATGTAATATGGGTTTACATGAAATGCTATAATAGCACATGTTGGTAGACTGTGTTAAGTTAAAAATGTATACTATAAATCTTGAAGCAATCACTAAAATAACAGAGTCACAACACATAAATCAACATAGTTAAAATGAAATTATTAAAAAATAGATATTTAATCCCAAATTAGGCAGAAAAAAAGGAAAAAGTGAACAAAAAGAGATAGGACAAATGGGAAGCAAGAAGAGGGTAGATTTAAACCTAACCATATTAGTAATCACATTAAATGTACATAGCTGAACATCTCAGTTAAAAGGGAGATAATCTTTATTTTGAAAAAAAAAAGAAGACCCAACTATATATGCTGTATTTTATAAATGCATTTCAAATATAGATAGTAGTATATTAAGCAGAAAGAATGGGAAAAGATGTATCTTATTAACAACAAGCAAAAGAAAGCTGGAGTATAACACCAGATCAAGTATTTTTGAGAGCAAAGAATATTAGCAGGAATAAAGAAGATCATTACATAATGATAAAATTACCAATTCATCAGGAATACATAGCAATCCTAAGTATGTATTAACTGCATGTAGAGCAAAAATGTGTACACTGCAAGGAGAAATGAAGACATTTACAGCTATAGTCAGATAATGGATAGAAGAAGGCTCAACAATAAATAGAAAAAGTAGACCAAAAAAATCAGTGGTCAGAAGTAGATCAAAAAATTCTGGTTTGAACCATACTGCCAACTGTCTTAATTGACATTTGTAGAAATGGCCCACATAACAATACACATTCTATTCATGCACGCATGTAATGGTTACCAAGTTGGAGCATATTCCGGATTGCAAAACCAATCTCAGTACATTTTTAATATATTTTTTATTTACATAAATTTGTGGGGTATGATTGCAATTTTGTTACAGGCATAGGTGAGATAAGTGGTCAAGTCAGGGCTTTTAGGGTATCTATCACCCAAATAATATACATTATACCCATTAAGTAATTTCTCATTATCTGTCACCTTCTCACCTCCTTACCTTTCTGAGTCTCCATGGTCTATCATTCCACTCTCTACAATTATGGGTACACAAGTTTTAGCTCCCAGTTGTGACTGAGAACATGTGATATTTGTCTGTCTGTGTCTGGCTTGTTTCACTTAAGATAATGACTTCCCGTTTCATCTATGTTGCCATAAAAGACATTATTTCATTTTTTTCTTATGACTAAATAGTATTCAACGTGTGTGTATATATATGTATATATAAATATTTATATATCACATTTTTTAATTCAATCATCTGTTGATGGATATTTAGGATGATTTCTTATCTTTGCTATTGTGAATATTGCTGCTATAAATAACTACAGATATCTTTTTGATATATTATTTTATTTTTCTCTGGTTAGATACCCAATAGTGAGAGTACTAGATTGAATGGTAGTTATATTTTTTAGTTTTTGAGAAAACATCTACTGTTTTTCATAGAAGTTGTACTAATTTACATTCCCACCAACCGTGTAGAAGCATTCCCTTTTCTCCATATCTTTTCTAACATCTGTTATCTTTTAACTTTTTAAAAATAGCCATTCTGACTAGGGTAACATCATACTTCGTTATGGTTTGGATTTGCATTTGTTTGATGATCAATGATGTTGAGCATTTGTCATACACCTGTTGGCTATTTGTATGTTTTCTTTTGAAAAATGTTTATTCATGTCATTTGCCCCCTTTCAGTGAAATTATTTGTGGGGGTTTTTGTTTAGCTGTTTGAGTTCCTTGTATATTCTGGATATTAGTCTTCGTTGGATGGATAGCTTGAAAATATTTTCTCCTAAACTTCAGGTTGTTTGTTCACTCTGTTGATTATATCTTTTGCTGTGCAAAAGCTTTTTAGTTTAATTAAGTCCCATTTGTCTATTTTTGTTTGGTTGCTGGTGCTTTTGAGGTATCAATCACGAATTCTTTGCCTAGACCAATGTCTGAAAGAATTTTTCCTATGTTTTCTTCTGGTATTTTTAGAGTTTGGAGAGTTATATTTAAGTCTTTAATCCATGTTGAGTGCTTTTTGTATATGGTGACAGACAGGGGTCCATTTTCATTCTCTTATACATAACAATCCAATTTTCCCAGCATCATATATTGAAAAGGGTGTCCTTTCTCTAAATGTATATCCCAGTTAACTTTGTCAAAGATCAGTTGGCTATAAATATGTGGCTTTTCTTCTGGGTTTTCTGTTCTATTTCATTGATATATGGGTCTATTTTTATACCACTACAATGCTGTTTTGGTTACTGTAGCCTTATAATGTAATTTGAAGTTGGATAATGTGATACCTCCAATTTTGTTCCTTTTGCTTAGAATTACATTTGCTATTTGGGCTTCTAGTTTTGTTTGTATATGCATTTTAGGATTTAAAAAATTCTATAAAAATGATGCTGATATTTTGATGGGGATTTTATTGAATATGTAGATTGCTTTGGGCAGTAAAATCATTTTAACAAGATTAATTCTTCTGATCCATGATCATGGAAAGTTTTTCCATTTGTTTGTGTTATCAACAATTACTTTCTTGTAGTTTTCTTTTCTTATAGAGATCTTTCACCTTGTTAGTTTAATATATTCCTAGGTATTTTACTTTTTGGACCTATTGTAAACAAGCTTGCCTTATTAATTAATTTATTTATTTATTTATTTATTTATTTATTTACTTACTTACTTTGAGATGGAGTTTCACTCTTTTTGCCCAGGCTGCAGTGCCGTGGTACAATCTCAGCTCACTGCAACCTCCACTTCCCTGGTTCAAGCAATTCTCCTGCCTCAGCCTGCTAAGTAGCTGGGAGTACAGGTGCATGCCACTACGCCTGGCTATTTTTTTGCATTTTAAGTAGAGATGGGGTTTCACTGTGTTGCCCAGGCCGGTCGGAAACTCCTGAGCTCAGACAATCCACCTGCCCCGACCTCCCAAAGTGCTAGCATTATAGGCATGAGCCATCGTGCCCGGCCTGGCTTGTTCTCAGCTAGATTTTTATTGGTGTATAAAAATGTTACTAATTTTGTATGTTAATTTTCTACACTGAAACTTTACTGGATTCATTTATCAAATCTAAGAGATTTTTATTGGCATCTTTAGGTTTTTCTAGGCCTAAGATTGTATCATCAATGATCAGGGATAATTTGACTTTCTCTTTTCCAATTTGGAAGCCTTTTATTCTCTTTCTCTTTCCTGGTTGCTCTGGCTAGGACTTCCAGTACTATTTTGAATAGGACTGCTAAAAGTGGGCAATTTTGTCTTGCTCCAATAATTTTAAGAAATTATGCTGGATAGATATCTATATGCAAATGAATGAATTTTAATTCACATCTTGCACCATATAAAATAATTAGTTCAAAATGAATTATAGATGTAAATATAAAATATAAAACTCCAAAAATATAAGAGAAAATATTTTTTATCTTGCATTAGGCAAGTATCTTTTAGATGTGACACCAAACACATAATCCAGAAAAAAATGAATTGATAAATTGAAACTTGTCAGAAATTTAAAAACTACTGTTTGAAAGAACTTGTTTATGGTATGAAAAAGCAAGCCATAGAATGTGAAAAACTATTGGAAAATAATATATCTAACAAAAAAATTACTTCCAGAATATTAAAAAATAAGCAATCCAACAAAATAGGCAAATGATTTGAACAGATATTTAATAAAAAATACAGTTTGAAAAGAAATATATGGAAAGATGATCGACATCATTTGTCACTAGCAAAATGCCTATTAAAACCCAAAATATGAAACTACTACACCCCGTTAAAATGTCTAACATTTTTTTAAAAAGAGACCATACCAAGTGTTGGTGAGGAGAACAAACGAAACTCTTATACACTGCTGATGGAAATGTAAAATATCACAACAGTTCTGAAAAACTGACAGTTTCTTAAAAAGTTAAGTGAACACCTACTGCATGATGCAAACATTCTATTTCTTAATATTTACCCAAGAGACATGGAAGCATATGACCATACAAAGACCAAATAAAGACCAGCTGCATGAAAGAAGCCAAAGAAACCAGACATATTCTATGATTCTATTTCATAAACACTTAGGAAATTCAAACAAGTGAATAGTAACAGAAAGTAGATCAGTGTATGCTAGGGAGTGGGGAAATTACCAAGGGGCACAAGGAAACTTTTGGGTTTTTTTTTTTATTATTATGTTTGTTATAAATAAACTTTTGATTATTATGTTTGTTGGCATGATTTTGGTGATGATTTCACAAGTGTATACACATATCAAAAATCTTCAAATTTTAGTCTAAGTATGTGCAGTCTATTGTACCTCAGACCTCAGTAAAGCTGTTAAAAAAAGAAATTATTTCAATAAGCATATTTTATGGATCTCACTGATATCTTGACATTTGCATCAATAATTATAAAACAATGGTAATATGATTACATTCAATCTTGTTTTTACAGAACAGGGAAGTTGGGAAACCTCACGGCTCCTTGCAATGAAAAATGTAGATGCTCATCTTCAATTTATTCTTCTATATGTGGAAGAGATGATATTGAATATTTTTCTCCCTGCTTTGCAGGGTGTACATATTCTAAAGCACAAAACCAAAAAAAGGTAATTATTTTTTATAATTATTATGTTTTGTTATACATTTATATTTTCATTATATTATAATTATTATTTTTATGCTTCTTCCTCTTTAGTGAAATGTTCAACTTGTAGATGCTATTAACATTTTTCTTCCAACTCTGTATAAAACCTATTTTTTCTTATTTTCCCCTTTTAAGTGTTAAAGACAAGAAAATAAAATTTGTTTTTTTTTTTTGGTGTGTGTTTATTTTTTGAGACAAGATCTGACTCTGTCACCCAGGCTGGAGTGCAGTGGAGAGATCCCAGCTCACTGCAACCTCCACCTCTTGGGCTCAAGCCATCCTCCCACCTCAGCCTACAGGATAGTTGAAACTACAGGCGCACACCACCGCACACAGCTAATTTTTGTAATTTTTTTAGAGATGGGTTTTTGCCATGCTGCCCAAGCTGGTCTTGAATGCCTAAGTTCAAGTGATCCACCTGCCTTGGTCTCACCTCCAAAACTGCTGGGATTATAGATGTGAGTCACCGTGCCTGGCAAAAATTTGTTTTATATTGCCACAATACAAAGAGCTTATGGAAATTGGGAGTGAAAGAGATATTCCTACATTAAAATGTCAATGAAAAGAGTCAAACTCTGTAAAATATTTGAAGAGACTTATTCTCAGCCAGATATGAGTGACCATGGCCTGTGACACCTTGGGAGGTCCTGAGAACGTGTGCTCAAGGTGGTCACAGTGAAGCTTTGTATTATACATTTTAGGGAGGCATGAGACATCAGTCAAATACATTTGAGAAATACATTGGTTTGATCCAGAAAGGCGGGACAATTTGAAGACAGGGGAGGGGAGGGTTGTAGCTGGGGTAGGGTTTTGGGGTAGGGCTTCCAGGCTGTAGGTAAATTTAAACATTTTCTGGTCGACAATTGGTTGAGTTTGTCTAAAGACTTGGGATCAATAGAAAGGAAATGTCCAGGTTAAGAAAAAAGATTGTGGAGACCAAGGTTCTTTTGAAGTCTCATAGTGGCTACCCTAAGAGACAACAGATGACAAATATTTCCTATTCAGACCTTTTAAAAGGTGGTTGACTCTCAGTGAACCTCTTCAGGATTGGAAAGACCTGAAAGAAATGTTACGTTATTTGCTATGCTAATAGAGATTCTTTACAGATGCACATTTCCCCCCCACAAAGGACTGCTTTGCAGGGCCATTTCAAAATATGACAAAGAAACATGTTTTGAGGTAAAATATTTTGATTTTCTTCTTTGTCACCTAATGTTATGCCAGAGTCAGATTAGAAAGTAAGTCATGATAAAGAGGGTTAAATAAAACCCATCTGATGAGAATTTATGGTTTGAAGGGCATGAGTCCCCAGATCCCTTAGATAGGAGTTTGGGCAAGATTTAAAAAAAAAAAAATCAGAGCTTAGTCCTCAATAACACATCTATGGGGCCAGGTGTAGTGGCTCATGCCTATAATCCCAGCACTTTGGGAGGCCTAAAAGGGTGGATCACTTGAGCCCAGGAGTTGGGGACCAGCCTGGGCAACATGGCGAAACCCTGTCTCTACAAAACATACAAAAATTAACTGTGCATGGTGGTGCATGACTGTAGTCCCAGGTACTTGGGAGGCTGAGGTGGGAGGATTGCCTGAGCCTGGGAGGTGAAGGCTATGGTGAGTCATGATTGTGCCACTGTGCTCCAGCCTGGGTGACAGAGTGAGAACATATCTCATAAAAACACAACAAAACACACACACACACACATACACACACAAACACACACACACATATATATATATTACATCATCCCAACTTTATTGTTTTAAAGCAGTGGGGAACTCTTATCTACCTCTTGCCATAGCAAAGTTGAACGAAACAGCCTGAGAGAACCTTCCCCTATGTAGTTTGTCTTAGCTCTATGCTACTTAACAGCGGCACCCAATCCCCTGAAACTTCAAGCCACAATCTTTTCCACACCTAGAGATTGACGAATACTATCCTTTTGGTCACCTTTCACTCAGTTTTTCCTTCTACTGAAGAATCCAAAGTGTTTACTCTCTACCTTTTTGCTGTTTCTCTTTCTGCTCCACATTAATTTAGATGTGGAAATTAGTCCTTCTATGGTTTATCAGAAGTCACCCTAACTTGTATGCTTTTGTTAGTACATCCAGGAAAGTGAGAGACTTAGTTAGAGGTTCATGGGGCAATAACACATGTGACTCGAATATATGTTATTTCTGTTTGTCCTTTGGCATTTATGTAAATTGAGGCTATTTAAAAATTCCCTCATGTGCTCATCTGTGGGGCCATTACCATCAGAATCCCTTATTTCTCTGGGAAAATGCTAACACATTTTCTTCTTCTGTCATGAAAAACAGTTGACCACTCTACCACTTGTTGAGGTTAATTTTTTAATATCCCAAGTTGCATAAATAAGCTTTTGGCTAAATGATGGACTATCTACTCCAACTTTCACCTTTTAAATAGCATAGAAGTATGGATCCATTCTTTGAAAATTCTCTTTCTCTTTCCTTGCTCTGGCTAGTCTTCGTGAATGGGAGAGAGCAACAAAGAGGTGTGGTGCCTTTTCTGGCCTGCCCATGGCCACCCATGGACAAATCAGCATGCACTACCTCCCCTCTGAGGTCCATAAAAGCCCTGGGATCAGCCAGAGCAGAGGAGAGGATGGAGCAATGAAGGATGACCAGCTACAGAGAGGAGCTACCCTCTCTGCTTAGAGCTGCAGACATGGGGATGACCAGTTGCAGAGAGGAGCAACCCTCTCGAGGGACTCCTCTCTGCTGAGAGCTGAACACTGGACAGGATGACCCGCCTACAGAGAGGAGCTACCCACTGCAGTTCTCCTTTGAGCTGTTGTAACACTCAGTAAAGCTCCTCTCCTTCTTGTTAACCTTCCACTTGTTTGCCTACCTCATTCTTCCTGGACACAGGATAAGAACTTGGGCAAAGGCACATTAGCCACAGAGATTTCCAGCCTCCAAAGTGACACCCCAAAGATCCCATAACACCACTTCCTCTCCTTCATTTTATTTTTAAATGCTCACCATGTCATCACAGTATACAGTAAAACTGTTTGACCTTGATGTTTTGATTCCCTGGAATATTCAAGAGCTGAACAGGCCATGAAGGATATAGCTGTAACCCCTGCGTCCTTTTTTTCTAGGGAATCTCTTTTAGAGACTTTATTTATTTCATGAAACTCTTCATAGTTTTCTTTATATTTCTCTAAGGAGTAATTAATTCATGAGGAATAACAGTGATAGAAATAATCCACAAAATAGTCACTCAAACTGTGTGATAACATTTGATACTTAATGAAAACTGAAAGAATAAAATCGATATGAAAGAAATTGCCTAATAGGACAATTAGCCTTGCTAGGAAAAATGGCTTTGATAGAAAATCTACCAAGTAGAAGCTTTTAGTAAAATGTGATATGGATGGAAACGATTAATGGATAGAATAAGCATCAATTTCAAATGGGAAAAGATCGATACCAATAAAAAAATCTTAACAAAATAAAAATTAAAATAAGATACACTATACAAAAAATGATCAAGTACCTATATGCTATTAATGGAATCCCCTTTAAAAAATATTTTCTCAATGAAAATATGTCAAGTATGAAAAAATTCTGATTAAATGTTACTATTCAAAATATGATCAGGGCCAACATAAGCTAGAATTAGATGCTCTTCAATGAAACTTATGCAAAAGTTTGTGAGAGGAGTAGTAGGAAATACTATACCTCTAACGATTTTTAGGTTTCTCTAGAAAAGTACAGCTGTACTAAAACTGAAAATAGATATCTGCTGTTGATATTGATAATATTCCTGGGCAGCTTTTCCTCACTGAGAACCACACGTATTCTTCTTATCCATGCTTCCAAAGATCTTCAAATTTCTTTATATAGATATTAAATAAATCTTGGGCTTTTTTTGTGATCTCCCCAAGACTGATTCCTTTCAGCCGCTGATATAGTTTTCATTATAAAATAGCAATATGGAATATTCTTCCAGAGGTTCAACAGAAACTTCATTCTATTTATCTCTGAAGAGGAAAGTAAATCACATCCAAAGGATTAAGGATTATAAGAAGCAAGGCTTCAGGTTTTCATTCAGCTTAAATATCATTGGAATATTTTAATTTTATTTACTGACCTCCTATCTTTGTGTTATTTTTAATATGTATTTTTATATGTTTTAAATGAAATATGCTATTATAATTTGGCTTTTGTACAATCAATATTGACTTTTATTTACCCTTTTCCTTGCATTTTCATTCTTTCATATGGGATTATTTTTCTTCTGCCTGAAGAACCTTATTTCACCTTCATTTTGAAAACGGTTTTCACTGGGTATGGAACTTTAGATTGGCAGTGATTCCCGCTACTCCTCATTCCCCCCACCACCAACATTTAAAAGATATCATATGTTGCCTTCTGTTTCTGGATGCTTTAGGATTTTCTCTTTGTTTTTGGTTATCAGAAGTTTTACTTTGATGTGGCTTTGATTATGTTTATTTTGCTTGGGTTTCACAGAGTATCTTCAGTCTGTGGATTCAGGTCTATCGGTTGAAAAATTCTTAGCTATTTAACCTCTCTCTCTCTTTCCTGTATTTTTGGGAACTATTAGTTTATTATTGCTACATAATAAATTACAGTAGCCCCTGCATCCATAATTTAAATGACCTGCAATCAACTGTGGTCTGAAAATATTAAGGTATTTTGGGAGACACAGAAAGAGAGAGAGAGAGAATCTTCACATAACTTTTATTACAGTATTGCTATAATTGTTCTATTTTATTAATAGTTATTGTTAATCTCTTACTGTGACTAATTTATTAATTAAACTTTATTATAGGTATGTATGTATAGGAAAAAAAGGAGTAGATATAGGGTTCAGTTCTATTCATGATTTCAGACATTCAGGGATCTTGGAATGTATTTCCCATGGATAAGGGGGGATTATTGTACCACAATTTTAGTGGTTTTGAATAACACTCATTTATTAGCTTTCAGTTCTAAGGTCAGCAATCCAGACATGCCATGCATGACTGGGTCCTCTGCTCCAAGTCTCACAGGCTGAAATCAGGGTAATAGCTGAGTTGTGCTCCTTTCTGGAGGGCCTTGGAAAGAGTTCACTTCTAAGTTTGTTCAGGTTATTGAACAAATTTGGTTCCTTTGGGTTAAAAAAAGAAGGCTCTAATTTTTTTGCTAGCTGTATGTTGGAGGCCAGTATTAGTTTTCACAGGCCTCACACATTCTTTCACATATAACCCACTCCGTCTTCAGTGTCAGCAACAGAGAATCTCCCTTATGTTACATATTTTGTATCTCTGATTTCAAGAGGAGCCCGGTACATTTTAAGGCTCACCTAATTAGATGAGGTTTATCCAAGATAGCCTTTCTTTCTTAAAGTAAACTATGCCATAGAATATAATTGAGTAAAACTGATTGATGCAGGCAGATGAGCTCCAATATTGGGGCTTAGCCCGGGAAGGTTCTTGGCCTTGCCCAGGAAAGAATTCAAGGGCATCATTCAAGGTTGGTATTACACAGCAACTTTTATTGAAGCACTGGTATACAGTAGCAGCAGAGAGGTATTGCTCCTTGTGCAGCAGTACCCAATAGGCAATGTGCCCACAGTAACAGCTCAGAGGCCGGTCTGCAGGTATATTTATATCCACTTTCATTACATGCAAATTAAGGGACAGATTATGCAGAAATTTCTAGGAAAAGGGCAGGGGGTAACTGGGTTGTTGGGTCATTGCCATGGAAAGGGGTGGTAACTACTACTGTCGCCATGGCAATGGCAAGCTGACATGGCACACTGGTGGACATGTCATGGAAAGCTGCTTCACCCTGTCCCTGTTTTAGCTAGTCCTCAATTTGGTCCAATGTTTGAGCCCCCATCTACGGAGTTGAGTCATGCCTTTTACTTCCTTATCAACTTACAGTCCTAGGGATTATGTAGGGATATACACAATAGAGGGACTCTTGGGTGTTGTTTTGGAATTCTGCTTAACGCAGACTACAAATAGTCATTTCTACTCCTGTTCCATAATCTTTTGCTACTTTTTCTCTTTTCTGTCCCCTTTCATCTGTTTATTTAAGTATAGATAGTTTCTGTTCATCTATCTTCCAGTTACTAAGCCTCTATTCCGCAGTGTCTGCTCTGCTGTTAAACCCATTTTCTGAGGTTCTAATTTCACTTGTATTTTTTAGTTCTAGTATTAATGTTTTTTTTTAGAATACAAATCTCTGGTGAAATTCTACATAATTTAAGCTATGTTATTCATTTGTCTCCTGTACTTTCTGGAACACATTAATCATAACTATTTTAACATTCTTACTATTAACTCTGCTATCTAGTTCACCTATGAATCTACTTATATTGTTTATTTTTCTCTAATTTTAAGCCAAATTTTCTTGTCACTTTGTATGGCTTATAATGTTGTATTAAATTCTGAACACTGTGTATGAAAAAGATCTAATATAATTGTATAATTGTCTATTTCTCTTTATTTTTGTGTTGTGTATTAACGTGTATATGCCTACATATTAATAATTGTCACATCTTTTTGATGAACTATTCATTTATCTTTCTAAAATGTCCCTTTTTGTCTCCGATAATAATATTCTTTTTCTTGAAGTGTATTTTGCATGATATTAAATCATTATTATAGCATTATTTTGCTATTTTTATGGTGTATTTTATTTCTATCCTTTTGTTTTCCTGTGTCTTTATGTTTAGACTGTCTCCTGTAGCCAGCATAGAGTAATGGATTTACCTTTTCTCCAGTCTGTTATTCTGTCTTTTAATTGGAGTTCCAAAATTATTTACATTTAATAGAGTTATCAGTATGGCTGAGTTTAGATCTAGCTGCTTATTTTATTATTGGAATTGAATACACTTTGCTATTTCACTTTAGTATACCTTGACATTTTGTTTTATCTCTTTGAATTGATTTTTAATTGAATGGCTCTTAGATTATATAACATTTCACAGTCTATTTAGAATTAATATTATAGCACATAGTGTAATATAAAACTCACCATATAGGTATAAAACTCACCATATATGTACCTTTACTTTTCCCCAGTAACATTTATGTTGCAGTTGTAACATGTCTTATAGCTATACATATATTCAAATTTGTGATAGATAATATTATGACTTGTTTAAAAAAATTGTACTTAAAATATCTTATGAAAATAATGTAGTCTTATATTTACCCAGAAATTTAATATTCATCATTCATGAAGATGTGAGTTTCGCTCAGCATCATCATTTACCTTAAGCTTGAAGAACTTATTTTGGCATTTCTTGTAAAGGAGGTAGGCTGGTGACATCCTTTTAGTATTCTTTCAACTTAAAATATCTTTGTCTTGCCTTCATTCCTGAAGGATATTTTCACTAGACATTGAATTCTGGGGTGATCATTATTTTCTTTCAACACTGTAAATATGATGCTTCTCTGTATTCCAGCATCCATGGTTTCTGATGATATATGTATGGTGATTCAAATAATTGATTTACTTGTATATAATATATATTGTTTTATCTAGCTATTTTCAGTATTTCTTTTTTTTTTAAATTTTGCTTTTCATTAGTGTGTTGGTTTGGTTTTCTTTGAGTTTATCCTGTTTGGAATTCACTGAACTTCTTGAATCCATAAATTTATATTTTCACCAAATTTGGGTAGTTTTCAGCAATTTTTAATTTAAATGCCTTTTTCTGCCCCAATATCTTTCTCTTCTCCTTCACAATTCAGCTGCTTTTCTTTCATTTAGAACTTCTACAGGTAGTTACTTTTTGCATATTTTAGCCAGAGTTTTTATTTGTAATCAGTTGGAGGGATGAGACTTGGAGGACTTAAATTATGTCAGAAAAGGGACTCTCACTAATTATTTTAAATGCTGTAAAATTGTATAACAAATAATAACATAATGAATATTTTGGCTTTTAAATTCATGTTCCTGTGTTGGAGAATTCTGTGAGATACCTCCAGTGTATGGAGGTATGTGTATTTTCTTTTAATTTAGGCACGATTTTTCATATGTTTTGAATTAAAGTTTTGGCTGTTTTATTGTTTCATCAAATGTAGAACTTACTTCTCTCTTCTCATCCTTGCTCTTTGGTTTAATTTCTGCGATGCCAGTTGAGTAGTTGCCTCTTTATAGGTAATAGAGCACAGGTATACATTCTCTAGTGTTCTCCCACAAAACTTGGATATTTTATGCCTCTATTAGTCTAACATTTCATACTAACATTGTGTACATAAATCCATTATAGTAATACCAAGTTTATGAAAATAACATTTCACTCTAAAATTAAAACATAAATAAAAACAACACAGAGATACCCTTTTCTCTTTTTAATTTGTTAAATTAAAAAATGTTGATAGTTCAAATTAACACATAATCTTATATGTTTCTGGTGTTATAAACTTTCAAAATATATTCTTTTTTTGTTTTTTGTTTTTTTGAGACAGAGTCTCTCTCCATCACCCAGGCTGGAGTACAGTGGCACAGCAGTGGCGAGATCTTGGCTCACTGCAAGCTCCGCCTCCCCGGTTCACGGCATTCTCCTGCCTCAGCCTCCCAAGTAGCTGGGACTACAGGTGCCTGTCACCACACCTGGCTAATTGTTTGTATTTTTAGTAGAGATGGGGTTTCACCATGTTAGCCAGGATGGTCTCGATCTCCTGACCTTGTGATCCACCTGCCTCAGTGTCCTAAAGTGCTGGGATTACAGGCGTGAGCCACCACACCCAGCCTAAAATATGTTCTTAAGCAATTTGAGAATACATATCAAACAACCTTTAAAATGCTGATGTTCTTAGATGCAGTATTTTCCATAGTGAGTCTCAATTCCAAGAAAATAAAATAGATATTGTACATCTAAGTAATATTTTAAAACTCAGAAGGGAATAAATTGGCAAGTTATAGGAATGAGTTTATGTAAATGGTGATGTATGTACTTGAAAGAATAATATAAACCTTTCAGAGATGACTAGTCAAAAAATAAGAAAAATAAAAAGTAGAAAAATAATTAGAAAAAATAAGTAGAAAAATAGGTAAAAAGTATATATATAATATAAAATTCAGTTAAAAAGCTTGATTATATGCTGTACTTGTTAGGAAATTTGTCTCTTTGGTTCACCATTATTTGCAGTATCTAGATTACTGCCTGTTTCTTTGCAGATGCTTAATAAATATTTGTCAGATGAATAATCATTAAAATGTTACTTTAAATTTACACCTTTTTTGGATAAAGTAGTAGTTTTTCATGGTAAATAATTCAAATAGTTTAAGCTGTACTGTTAAATATGTCTCCTTTCTATCACAGGCCATTGATACCTTGTGCTCATATTCAGAAGCAACAAATTTTACCATCTGTTTTTATGCATCATTATAGAAATATACATGTTAAAGCATATAAAGTCTTTTCTATACAAATGGGAGCATATTATACATATTTTATGCACTTTGTTCTTTTAACATGATATCTTAGAAAATAAAAACAAATACTTTAAGATAATATCCATCTTTGGGGACTTGACTATTTTTACTTTTTTCATTTTTCTATATCTTAAAAATATTTTCAGTGGTCATGAATTATTTTTATAATGAAAAGTAACAAAATTTAAGTTAGCACTGTACTTTCATTACCATTACTATGCTCTGGTAACTGTGTAGAGACTAATCATGTCCTCTCAGCTGAGACAGTACATTTGGGTAAGAAAAATACTCCTGTTCAAGGCTCACAAGCTTTTATCCAAAATTCTTGCATTCAAATATCTCAGTTGTTGGATTTTAAAAAGAAATATAGTACATAATCATTGTATATCATATTCCACACTCAGCAGAGCAGCAACTGTAATCAAACATTAATATTTCTATACCAACACTTATGATATTCTCATTTAGAGAGATAAATGAAAACATTAAATAGCTTTACATTATTCTAGGTCATATTTTTTCATCAAATAAGCTACAAAGAAAATTCTTTGGTTTTCAGAGTTCTCTGGACTTGAAAATTATGTGTAGAGGACTGTGGGCCTATATTAGTAACTTAGAAACTAACATTATATAGTAATTAACAATGGCTTGCAAGCCATTTGCAAAAGTTGATATTTTATAAATTTTATCATGGTGTTCCAATTTAAATGAGGAAAAAGTCATTGAAATGTAATGTCATTGTGATGGTATTAACAAGTGGGATCATTAAGTGGTGATTCAGCCGTGAAGACTTTGCCCTCATCAAGAGATTAATGTCATTATTGCAGGAGCAGGTTTGTTATTGTCATGGTGGGTTGCTATAAAAACAGTTTGGCCCTCTCTTGTGCTCCTGTTCTCTTACCATTTTGCCTTCTGCCATGAGATGATGCAGCATAAAGGCCCTCACTAGATGCCACCATCTTCATATTAGACTTGCCAGCCTTCAGAATTATGAGAAATAAGTTACTCAGTCTGTGGCATTCTGTTATAGCAACACAAAGTGAGCTAAGACACTCATTAGTACTTTTAGACCATTTTCCCTTTACTTTTTCCCAATTCTCCATTGAAACTTACTTGAGCAGGCATTACCTCTACTATCCTTTTTGTTACAGTCATTTTCAGACTCAAGAATACTTCCTCCCATTCCTTGAGGATTTTAGGCCCTGGTTCACTGGCATTCTTTCTAATACAGTGGTTAGTAATCTTGAAATTCATCTTGAGGCTCTTTCTAATACTCTAACCATATAATTCCTTGACATATTCTTTCCTGGTAATCTTGTTTGCACCCCACCTCATGCAATGTCCTTCGGTGGTCATACCCTAGGCCTTTACAATAACTTTACTCCTTCCATGATCTCAATTTCAATTATTCTGCTATTGATCTACAACTTCCTTTCTTTCAGCTCACTTTCTCTAATACATGGACTCCTTAGTTCTTCAACCCTTTTAGAGCCCAATGTCTTCTGATTCCATAATCTGTTCATGAACCCTTCGTTGTATTTTTTATTTCTCCTTTTAGCCATCTTGTATGGCTAAAAGGTTGTATGGCCTACAACTATTTATTGTGCTAAATATCTTTTGTCTGTCCTCCAGATTCATTTTTTACCTTTCTCTACCCTCCTCAATATAGGATGAAAGCTCCTTTGCCCTCTGGCTTTGGACTGGGTTAAGATGATAAGGAGTCCTAATAGGAAATCAGGAAGACAGGGAAAGCAAGTGAAATCATGGTGTTTATTTTCTTGGTTCTTTCCCTGAGCTGTGAATGACTGACTGCCTCCCTTGACTAAAAGTCATAGTTTCTCTTAGGAAGTCCTTCCCCATATGACCTTTTCTTTCTGGTGACCATTTTCACTCTAGAATCCTTCAGCAAATCCTTTCAAACCTATTTTCAAAGTAAACTCTGAATTTGGCCATTTTTATTTTCTCTGATTACCACCCTGGCCTCCCAAGCACTATTGTCTTGTACTTTATTTTATAGACTTTTAACTGTTTTATCTGCTTTTACCCTTGCCTACATATTTCAAAAGTCTCAATATAGCAGTCACAATGATCTTTTAAAATATATCATTTATATATCCATCCAATGACTTCACATCACTAAAAATAAAAACCAAAGTTCTTTACATTGCTCTTGCAATTGCCACCCGATAGCTGTTTAATCCTTCCTTTCCTACCACCCTGATTTTATTTTCTCTTAGTCTCCTTCATGTTCATTCTGATCCAGCATATTCTGTTCTTGTTTTTCTTTCAACTTTTCAAGCAAGCTCTACCACAAGGCTTTTCAATTACTGTTCCTTTTTTTTTACTTGAAACATTCTTTTAGATAACCATGTGGTCCACTCACTTACCTTTTTCAGATCTCAGCTCAAATATCACTTCATCATCAAAACATTCTCTGATCATGTTAAGTATTGTCCTATAACCCCCCCAATATTCCCTGTACTTTTCCTTGTTTTATTATTTTCTCCATAGCACTTATCATTAAATACTCAAGTTCCTTTTTTTTAAAATGTCCTGTCTCCCCAAATAGAAAGTTTTCTACATGGAATGGTGGTTTCTATATTATTGTTTACTGTGTTTTCCCAAAACCTAGATTGATGATTGGCATATAGGCACTCAAAAAAATATTTGGTGGAATGAAGGAATTGATATTTGGATATTTGGGTATTTATATTATTTAACATATTTATTAACCTCTCAGCAACTTCACCTATCAAACTGACATAAATTTGTCTGAATTATAATTTTCTGAATAACCCAGATTCAAGTTATGTTTAATTTCTCTTATTTTTTCACTAGTAAAATCTAATTCAATATTTCTGCTAAATTTATTGTATTGTTCTTTTCTTCTTATTTTTTAGTTTAGAATATTTCCAATAAATTAATAAATTGCGAACTGGTCTCTGCATCTTTAAACTCTGTTTAATTCTCCTTAGAAAATGTCACCAATTCATCTGCCTTAAATTATCCACCCTACAACCACAACTCCAAATTCTCATTGGCTTTCCATTCAGGACTGCAGTATGAATCTCATTGACTCTAGACACTTTTGCCTTCGTGCTCTCTTTTCTTCACTAAAAAATTAATAATGATAAAGAAATTATTTTATCTACACCACATTGGTGTGAAAAAATACAATCCAAGCTGGATTCATCATTATATATTCATTTTATATAATTTATTATTATACACTTTTTTCTTTGATTTTAAAATGCTTTAAAATTAAAATATTTTATGTGGTTCTGAATATGTTACAGATTCTAGGCATTGTGTCTGTTGTCCCAAATGGATAGCAGCCCTGTCATTATTACATACAAAATAAAGTCTTTTTAGTATGGTTTCAAAGCCTTTCACAATTGGGTAACTATCCATATTTTAAATCTCAGCTAAAATTCCATTTTTTGTTACATTATTTTTAATTTCCCTCAATTTATATATTTAACAATTTCTTATGAATTTGAATATAAATATTCTGAGGAAAATTTCTTAAATTAACAGAGCTTTTCCTAAGTAATTATAATTACACACACACACACACACACACAGATTTTTTGCCATGTAAAATACCTTGGATTTATCATTAATGTTTCATTTCTAAATAATACATAGCAGGCTTAATATAAAGACATTTTGAAATAAAACTAATGAGTCTCCTTGCAGTTATTGATTTAATTTTTATTTTATGATAAGAACTTTTGTTTATGACTATTTTTCTGAAAGATTGTTTCCTGTCTTCAATACTCACAGATGTACTACAATTGTTCTTGCATTAAAGAAGGATTAATAACTGCAGATGCAGAAGGTGATTTTATTGATGCCAGACCCGGGAAATGTGATGCAAAGTGCTATAAGTTACCTTTGTTCATTGCTTTTATCTTTTCTACACTTATATTTTCTGGTTTTTCTGGTGTACCAATCGTCTTGGCCATGACGCGGTATGTATATATTACTCATTATTATTGTTTATTTAATATATAAGAAAAGTAATTTTGGAAAGATTTTAGAATATTGTAGCAAATAATTTACTCTGTGTTTCATGGTAGCAAATGCAGAGGAAAAGTTGTTAAATTGACACAATTCATGTGTATAATTATTTCTCTTTTAGCTAACTTATTTGCATAGAGTATGTAAATATCACATTGTTTAACTTTAATTTAAAACAATGTATTTACCTAATTTAACACACATAGAAACATTATAAATATAGGAAAAAAATATTAATTTTAACAGATTTGATTATAATGTTAACTCATTATAATTGGTCATAGGAATTTATTAACTATTTACATCCATATTGCTTAATTTGACTATGAGAAAGCATGAGTGTCATCAACAAAGGAGCATAATAACTTTTAGAATTTCAGTATATAATTTTTATTATTATTCTAAACAAAACCAACATTTATTATTTATGCGTTCTTCCTAAATATATGAAATCCATTTAATATTCATTTGTATCATAGTGCA
This sequence comes from Homo sapiens, assembly GCF_000001405.40. Classification (NCBI taxonomy): domain Eukaryota; kingdom Metazoa; phylum Chordata; class Mammalia; order Primates; family Hominidae; genus Homo; species Homo sapiens. Next base: position 102,399,022 of record NC_000005.10, on the reverse strand, counting down.
GAATAATTGTTTTGTTATTTTCAATTTTTTTTTTCAAGACGCTAACAAAAAACTTTAAGGCGTGAAAAGCCTGCATAGGCTGACCAGGAAACAAAGAGAGGAAAATGGTAATTTCTATCTGAGTTGATTTGGAAGTACTATAAGATCTATTCCATAAAATGACTTATAAAGATAAATGATTTCTCATGATACAAGCAGGCGGGGGACAAGACCTTAGCAGGAAAAGTGAGCAGTGAAAGTGAAGCCAAAAAATGTATGAAATATCCTGGCAAAAAGTCTGCTATGACAGGATAGCATGATAATGAATGAGGCAAAGAGATTTGAGCTAGGTAAGGGCCCAATTCACATTAACACGACCTTCTTTGCCATGTTAACATGAATGTTGCTATTCTGTGTACACACCTGGGAACCACTGAAAACTGCAAACCTCAAGAGCGAAAGTGATCAGATGGCATTTTAGATAGAATGCTTTGAAAAGACTGTGAAAGATGGAGCTGAGGGGAAAACCTGGAGAAAACGGAAAGCCCTTAGAATTTAGTAGTGGTGGCCAGGCGCGGTGGCTCACTCCTATAATCCCAGCACTTTGGGAGGCCGTTGCGGATGGATCACTTGAGGTCAGGAATTCGAGACCAGCCTGGCCAACATGGTGAAACCCTGTCTCTACTAAAAATACAGAAATTAGCCAGGTGTGGTGAAGAGGGCCTGTAATCCCAGCTACTCAGAAGGCTGAGGCAGGAGAATCGCTTGAACTCGGGGCGGAGGCTGCAATGAGCCAAGATCCATGCCACTGCACTCCAGCCTGTGTGCCAGAGTGAGACTCTGAAAAAAAATAAATAAGAGGGTAAGATTTATTAATTTGATATGCCTGGTACAAAATATGGAGAAATCTATGATTATATCCAGACTTCCAGTTTGGAACTGAATGAATGATAATTCCATTAACTAAAATATGAAATACAAGGAGAAAAGAAACCTCAGACTGAAGATGATCAGTACAATATTGAACATTTATTAGTTAGTGTTCTTTGAAACATTCAATGTTTCCAGCAGTGAGATGAAAGAGATAATAGTAATATTCTAGAAGTTTAGTTCTGAATCTCACTTCTCTCAATAACAAGACAGAGATAAAGAGAATAAAACACACACACAGACACACACTATAGTTTCAGTACAATTATGACATAGAACAAAAAAATGACAAAGTTGAAATTGCATATAAGTGTTGCCAAAATTTAAGCAGGACTGGAAACCAGCTTGTAGGTTCAGAAGATGTTATAAGGAACAGAAAATATACAGAGGACCCAAGGACTGACAGATCACAGGTATCTCTAACATATATTTCTGCTCAGAAGGAGAGGGTTTGGTCTTGATACGGACCTTCTGGGAGCAGGACTTACATAGATAAGTTGAGGAAGAATCTCTCAGGAAAGAAGGAGAAGGAGGCTTGAAAATTTCCCAGGAGGTCCGGACATGGCCGACCTCAAAAAAAGCCAGGAAATACACCTTTTGCAAATGAATGCATATAACCTCTGAAAGCAAGAAATGTGAAAAGATTTTAAAAACCCTGGGCTGGCAGTAAAAGCTCTTTTGAACTAGGACATATTTGGAGAGGCAGAGGAAGTGTTACTACACATAGAAGTCATATTTAAGTCTACTATATCAATAGAAGAGATAACCTATAGGTTCAAAGCTTGGCCAATGCTCCACCCCTGGAAACTTCCTCAAGTTTAAGAAAATGTATTGCATTCAAAAATGAGTAAGTAGAAAAGGAAAGGATTCTGCCTATGGACAAAATTACAAGTAACTGCTACAAATGAAATGAAAATTATCAAACATTACTATAGACAATGAAAACTCACCAAAAAAAGTTACCATGTATCAGATAAAAATATAAATGTAACTACATATGAGTTTAAACTTAAAAAATGAAACAATCATGGCCACAGAACAGAAGAAAAGAACTAGATCCTCTCTGAAACTCGTGTTGCAACTTAATCCACACTGTAACAATATTAAGAGAGTAGGCAATCTGACTGCTGTATTTGAGAGGTGGAACTTTTGGGAAGTACTTAGGATTAGATGAGGTCATGAGGGTGAAGCATTCATGGCTCTGTAAGAGGAGAAAGAGAGACCTGAGCTAACACACTCAGCCCCTTGGACATGGGATACCCTGTACTGCCTCAGGACCCTGCAGAGTACCCACCAGCCAGAAGGTGTATATTGTGTTACATTTATATAAGATGTCACTATTGGAAGAAGTTGGGAGAAGATACACAGCATGCTTTGTACTATTTTTACAATTTCCTGTGGGGCTATAATACTGTCAAAATAAAAGTGAACAACAAACCCCACTCACCCACCCCCTACACACTCAAATATCACACAAAAGCAGTCTGACTTGAACAAAGAGCAAAGATGTGTCTTGTGTTATTGAATAGGAAAGCCAACACCACAAGTATATCAATTCTCCTTAAGTTAATTTATAATTTTAACATGATAATGAAAATACCAGGAGAACTGTGGAACTACATAGCCTGATTCTAAAGTTCTTATGGAAAAATAACAAGCAAGAGTAAGCTTGGGAATCTAAAACAGAGAAGCACAATAATTGATGCCTAGCCTCACAAGCTAAAAGGCACCCTAAAAGTCTCAGAAATAATGCCGCATATCTACAACCATCTGATCTTTGACAAACCTGACAAAAACAAGAAATGGGGAAAGGATTCCCTATTTAATAAATGGTGCTGGGAAAACTGGCTAGCCATATGTAGAAAGCTGAAACTGGATCCCTTCCTTACACCTTATACAAAAATTAATTCAAGATAGATTAAACACTTAAATGTTAGACCTAAAACCATAAAAACCCTAGAAGAAAACCTAGGCAATACCATTCAGCACATAGGCATGGGCAAGGACTTCATGTCTAAAACACTGAAAGCAATGGCAACAAAAGCCAAAATTGACAAATGGGATCTAATTAAACTAAAGAGCTTCTGCACAGCAAAAGAAACTACCATCAGAGTGAACAGGCAACCTACAGAATGGGAGAAAATTTTTGCAATCTACTCATCTGACAAAGGGCTAATATCCAGAATCTAAAATGAACTCCAACAAATTTACAAGAAAAAAACAAACAACCCCATCAAAAAGTGGGTGAAGGATATGAACAGACATTTCTCAAAAGAAGACATTTTTACAGCCAACAGACACATGAAAAAATGCTCATCATCACTGGCCATCAGAGAAATGCAAATCAAAACCACAGTGAGATACCATCTCACACCAGTTAGAATGGTGATCATTAAAAAGTCAGGAAACAGGAGGTGCTGGAGAGAATGTGGAGAAATAGCAACACTTTTACACTGTTGGTGGGTCTGTAAACTAGTTCAACCATTGTGGAAGTCAGTGTGGCGATTCCTTAGGGATCTAGAACTAGAAATACCATTTGACCCAGCCATCCCATTACTGGGTATATACCCAAAGGATTATAAATCATGCTGCTATAAAGACACATGCACATGTATGTTTACTGTGGCACTATTCACAATAGCAAAGACTTGGAACCAACCCAAATGTTCAACAATGATAGACTGGATTAAGAAAATGTGGCACATATACACCGTGGAATACTATGCAGCCATAAAAAAGGATGAGTTCATGTCCTTTGTAGGGACATGGATGAAGTTGGAAACCATCATTCTCAGCAAACTATCACAAGGACAGAAAACCAAACACCGCATGTTCTCACTCATAGGTGGGAATTGAACAATGAGAACACATGGACACAGGAAGGGGAACATCACACACCAGGGCCTGTTGTGGGGTCGGGGGAGGTGGGAGGGATAGCATTAGGAGATATACCTAATGCTAAATGACGAGTTAATGGGTGCATCACACCAACATGACACATATATATATATGTAACTAACCTGCACGTTGTGCACATGTACCCTAAAACTTAAAGTATAATAAAAACAAATTTTTTTAAGTCTCAATAATTAAAAAAAAGTAGTGACTTATAAACAAATAGTAAGTATAGAAATAAACCCCAACTCATGTGGGAATTTAGTATGCAATGAAAGTGTAATCTTAAATAAGTGCAGCAATGATGGACTGTTGAAAAATGGTTCTGTTGTAACTTGATATATTTTTTCCCAAAATTATTTCCATTTCTACCCATCTCCTAAAGGTTACTGTCTTTTTTATACTTTCAGTGTTTCTTTATGCACATACAAGTAACTATAAATGTATATCTCTATATTTTATCCTTTCATCACAGGAGGTAGCATACTATATTCACCATTCTCTATTTTGATTTTTAATGTAACAATATATTCTTAATATCTTTTTTCATGTAAACATAGAGATCCTCTCTATTTATTTTTTACAGTTGCATAATATTGCATTGCTCAGAAGTGCAATCACTTATTCAACCAATCTATTCCTTCTCATTTAGCTTTTTCTCAGGTTTTTATTATCCATATTATTATCTATATGATATTATATTGTATACTACATATAATATGATATTGTATGTAATATGATATAGGTAACCTTACAGAAATAAATTTACCTATTTGCAGATAAACAGAGGATAGGAGTATAAGCAAGCAAATTTCTCCAGTGTGCCTTCTTTACATTGTTTTGCTTTCCAAAGCATGTAACGATATTACAAATTCAAATTCAACAAAGTTTAATCTTTAAAAGTTCAATAAAAGTCAAAGCTAAAGACATTAAATATGAAATTATTGTTAAATAAGTGATAATTAAAGGCAAGGGAATGGGATAGCATTCAATGATTTGCAACAGGTCAATGCTCATATAGAGGACAACTAGAAAGACTGGGTTAAAGGATAAAAGTCAAAAAGAGGCAAAGGACTAAAGGGATCAAAATTCCGGAGAGAGCAGAAGCTTTCAGAGGTGAACTGGGCATCTAAAACTGCCCCTGAGGTACTTGCCAAATTCTTGATGCACGCTAGATGCTGGCAATCTGCACTAGGCCCAGGTTGGGGGTCACAACTGGAAGACAAGCAAACGGGCAGTTTTCAGTGATCACATGGGGCTAAGAATGACAAAATAATTTTTCTTCTTGAGAAATTTGCTGAAATCTGAAGCAGTGAAGGGCTTCAGTATAAACAGAAAAGAATCATGATGTATCTGTATCTTTCCATCAAGAGGCTCATTTAGAAAACTAGTTCTTCAACATTTTCCCTTCTGTCTTCGTTATTTTAACATATTTATGTCTCCTTAATTGTGGTAGTCACTGTGGATTCAAATAAGAGAGTGGAGGAGCACTTTAAGGAAAAAAGTGGAATAAAAGAGGAACACAAATGACCAGGTCTCTACTCCTCTGATGCATGTTAGATGTAACAAGGTAGACAGAAAAAAAAATGTAGTTTTACTAATAAATATTGAATTGTACTATTAAAATATACTCCAAACAAAATAGAAAAACACAATGAGAAAATTACATGATAGTCTAACTTATTCTGGGGATTCGGGGAGGGTATTCCTGAAGAAATTACATTTGAACCAAACCCTGAAGGATGGAAGATAAGTATTTCACACAGTGGGAACAACAGATGCAAAAAGTCTGGAGGGAGAAGTAGCTTTGTAAGCATGTCATATTACAGAATGTAATGAGCATGGAGGGTGATGGGGGCAAAAGTTGAGAAGTGGCATGAAATAACACTGATTAGATCAGGCTGACCATTTTAAATTTTCTTTGCAATTCTAGATTTAATTCTTAGAACAATGGGAAGCCATTGAAGGATCCTAATGTGAGGCATTAGAATAATCAGAATTTCATCTTAAAATATCACTTTCGTTCTTATATGGAGAATGCACAGAAGGGATAAGGGTGGTTATTGGGAGATAAATTGTTTCATTTATTTCATGAAGCTATACGCTTGAAATTGGGCAGTGGTATTAGAGATAAAAAAAGAGATATGAAAAAAATTTTTTAATGACAGTATTGGATCTACTGATTAGGTGTGGTGAATGAGAAAAAAAGGTCATTTTGAAAATGCCTTTTTCCAAGATTTGGGCTTGAGAAGTGCGTAAACAAATGTTCCATGTTTTTTTATTTTGAAACGGGGAGCTCTAGGGGAAGAATAAATTTTGTGCAAGACAGCAACTTATATTTAGAACCGATGTCTTATAAGAAAGATATGGATTAAAAATATAAATTTAGAGGCCATATAAAAAGAGTGAAAGCTTCCTTTTACATGTTGGGAGAGTATTGACAAGTTTTTTTTTTGTTGTTTATTTCATGAAATTCTTAACTATTCTATTATAGATTAGATTTTAAAAATGTTAATGCTTTTTTGTTAAAGCACAGTAGTTTTTCATTAAAATCTTAGTTGTGTATTCGTATTTCTTAGCTATTTTTGTGCTATTCACTGAAATAATTTTGGAAAATCCTGGAAATTATTTATCTTTTCATCTTGTTTTGTATGTTAGAAAGAGGGTGGCAATCAAACTGAAGATACATAAATACTGCTTAATGATTATACTTATGAATAATGGTCAGCTATATATGTGCTTCACATAGCTCCAATATCATATGACATAAAAGAAAATTACTTATGCTAAATAAAGGAGAACACTGAATTATAATTAGGCAACATTTCCACTTTTATATCAAAAACTACACTAAAGTGTGATTCTAAAACGTGACTTTTTAAACTCTCTTTAGTGAATCTGCTCATAATGAAAGTGTAAATTATTTTTTATTTAAAAATTTAGTTATCATTTGAGAATTGGTTAATTTGTTTTTATTTTTCTAATAGTAAATATATGAGGAAGACATATATATTTTTACCAGGTTGATATGGGTAGAATTATCTCACTTTTTGCAAAATATTACAAAATACTGTGTATGTGCTGTATTTTTATAAATAGAATCATGTTGGATGAAATATTGGTCATAATATAGTTTATTGTTCGAGTTTGAAGGCAAATAAACAAAAAGTAAGTATTGAGTTTATTTAAAATGCCCATTAATAATGTAGTTCTTATTTTTTAACTTTTTAAAATGTTCAAGGATTATTTTTAATTGTATTTTTATTTATTTTCCAAACTCCTAATATGTACGGTTATACATTTTTTTCTTTTTTAAACAAATGCTTGGTTTGATCAGTAGGAAAAACAGATCTTCATTCTTTATATTTGGAAAAGTTATTTTTCATTTATTTTAGCTTTTAAATAGTGAGTGTAGTAGTCACAGGTCAAACATGAAAGAGGGGGCACCCTCAAATTAGAACAATTTGAGTAAGGTTGAATTAAGTGACTATTTAAAATGTAGGTAAGGTGTAAGGAATCCCAAATAATAGTGCATTACCTCTGGTATCCTTCCACTCCAGGCCCGAAGAGAAACAAGGGCTGGGAAGAAAAAAGGAATCCTGTAGAGAGGACTCCTTCACCCATGGAACACTGTCACCCTGGGTAACTGCTGGGAGGGAACCTTTGAATACAAATCTTGACCTCACTTTCCTCACTCATTCAGAAGTGTCCCAATCAGTAGCCAGAAGACAAGAGAGCCCATTGATATAGTCCATTTACCTCAGCCTCCCGGGGCAGAAAGCAAGGTAGAAAAATGTGGAGAGTGAATCTCACAGGGGCAAAAAGAACTCTAAAATAATGAGTGTACATGATAGAATGAAAACCGGTAAGTATAAAATCTAGTGCTAAGTCTTTCCAGCAAAGGAATGGGAGCTGGGGAAGAGGATTTGGGCCATAAAAACCTTCTTCTTTGGGAAGACTAAGGACCTTTGGAAATGGCTGGCAAGGGGCAGGATATGGAGAAATGGGGAGTTGTAGTCCTTTAACAGGCCAGCTTAAACTCTGTCAATTGGCTAAAGATTCTTAGTACAATTGATGCACCAGAAAAAAAAAATGATTAGCCTTGAATCTAGCATACATTCTTAGTGCTAATAACAATGATGTGCTGATTATATCATTGCTATTTACTTTCAGGGTTGTACCTGACAAACTGCGTTCTCTGGCCTTGGGTGTAAGCTATGTGATTTTGAGAATATTTGGTATGGATTTTTGGCAATCTCTTATTACATCAAAATGTTTTTTGATATGTATATATGTCTACATGTGTATTTAGTATTACAAATAAATAATAGTAAATGACACAAAGCGAGTGAAAGGGGGAGCTGCTTTGCAGAATTTAGGAGACAATGTAAAGAGGGAATACCTAATGCAAAGCTCATTCTAATTATCAAATTATCAAATAAAATATGCATATTATATTTGATCAGAAGAGACAACAAATTTGATTTGAAATATAGTAATCATCTCATATGAGTGGTTTGGTAGGCTCATACAAAACTCTTGTAATACTTTACATTGCTTGCGTGTTTGGGAAGTTACTAACCTAGACTAACATTTTTAAATGTTTTCATCACCAAAGACATTGAATCTAATGTTTTCAAAGATTTATTTGTTTCTAAGAACAAATAAATGTTGGGAGGTAATGTACTATTTTCTTTGAATTTCTTAAATAGCAAAAACTAGATTTCAAATGCACATTATGACCATTTTAGAACCTCTGATTTACTAAATTCTTGGATTAAAGACTGAAAGGCATATAATTTAAAAATGTAGAAAAATCTAAGTGCGGCTCTGATAGAGATCAGAGAAATTCTATAGCTAGATCTACTTGTGTGATTAAAATTAGCTTTTTAACTGGGAAAAATTAGATAATATTTTTGTTTTGGACAATGATTCACTAGGTAAGAGATTTGTAATGGAAGAGGTAGCATAGGAAACAGTCAGTCAGTACACAGGAAGTTTCCTGCATCGGAAAGGGAGCCAGTAAGGCTGATGTATTTTTGAATGGGAGAGGGTAGAATAAGATGATATTAAATATTATAGACATAAACTGTCTATAGATATTTTAGGGTTTTTCTGCCAGATAATTTTAAGCATATGATAGATATTATTTGATTTACATTTAAAAGATAACCCCGGCTAGGCACAGTGCTCATATTTGTAATCCCAGCACTTGGGGAGGCTGAGTGAGGAGGGAGGATGGCTTGAGGCCAGGAGTTGGAGACCAGCCTTGGCAATATAACAAGACTGTGTCTCTAAAAATAATAATAATAACAGTTTTTAAAAATAAAAAGTAAAAGGTAACTCTGCTGATAGAAGAAAAAATACAGGAGATAAATGTGGAGGAAAAGAAAAGGGAGGCTTTTGCTGAAGTCTAACAGTTATATTAAAGTGGATTCTAGGGTTTGTAGTACAAATAGAGAGAAAACAACATATCCAAAATATGTTTGGAGTTAATGTTACAAAGATGTATGATGGATTGAAAAAAGATGGTAAAAAATGGAAAAAATGAATAGTAGTCAATTGTTTTTTAAACTTGAGTAATTAAAAATAGTACTATCACTCACCAAGAGGAGCGAATCTAGATAATGCACATTGGCAAGAATCAAGAGTCATTTAGGCAAGAAGGTCCTGATATTTGGTCAAGAAAGATGATCCACCATCAGAGTTTTTAGTTCTGAGAATCTGAGTCTGGTGTGTTTGGGGGCAACTCTGTGTGTGTGGGGGTGGGGGGCGGGGTGTGTGACTGTTCACTCACTTTTGGCTGAAAGTATCATTGCTGCTGTGGAGATTTTTGTCTGAGACTATGTAGAGGTTTCCCTCAGGCAGCACAGCTGGTCCTCTGGATCTGAGGTCATCTGAATCTGGGGCTACTATAAACATGCCAGTGTATTTGCATTTTCAGTTATTTTTCTCAATGTCTTGATAAATAACAGATATACATTTGCAAACTCATTTTTCAGTCGTTGAAAATTTTACAATTAAAGATATTTGAAGACATACTAACTTCACAGAATCAGTATTTGGTATCTCTGTTTTAAGTACTTTCTCCTAAGTTTTTCACATAAAAGCCAATAAAAGTATTGAGATGTCGTTTAAATAGCAACATGTACAACATTCTAAACAGAAGCAAAACTACTAATTGTTTCATACCTAGAGGGATATGGATTGTTTTTGAAAACTCACATTGTTTCCAGTGATTAACAATCCTATTTATAAATAAATTATTAGCTAATTTTAAGTGATATGTTTTGAATGATGAGTCGTCATTCATATATATTATCTGTGTGTGCATTACATGTTTAAGAGAATAGTGTTTTCACAAAGAATTTACAATCATTGCATTTTTCATAGGGACTATTCCTGGACCATCAATCTTTAAAATGTCAGGAGAAACTTCTTGTATTTTACGGGATGTTAATAAATGTGGACACACAGGACGTTGTTGGATATATAACAAGACAAAAATGGCTTTCTTATTGGTAGGAATATGTAAGTGATACTTATTAAAAAACTTAGAGAAATAAAATTATTTCTAAAAGTTATGGTTGTTAATAGTAATGTAGAATTATAATTTTAAACCATGAATTAAATAAGTACTTTGATGAGTAAAGGAGGCTTAACCTGCAAAATAGAGACCACATCTCTATAAGTAAAATTTTAAAAAATAAAAAAATAGCCGAGTATGGTGTCACATACTTGTAGTCCCAGCTATTCAGAAGGCTGAGGTGGGAGGGTCTCTTGAGCCTGAAAGGTCGAGGCTACAGTGAGTCATCATTGTCCCAGCCTGGGTGACAGAGTGAGACTCTTTCAAAAACAAAAGAAAAAACAAAAAATAAAAAAATAATAAAAGGATTATCTAGTTATATAGTAAAAATTTTAGAAACTAAAGTACCATAGAATTTATGTATTTGAGTCAGTGAGTTAAATATGTAATAGTTCCCAAATAAAGAATGATAATTAGCAGAATTTTAGTTTGGGAAATAATTTTGCCCAGGTACATATACAAAAAAATTTCTTGACCTTGTAACCCTTTCTACCTCCACAGTAAAAGTTGGTTAAATTTGAAGAAAATTTTTGCACCATTAGAGAACATCAAGCCACTCTTATTTCAGTTAAATCTACACTTCATATTTTCTCTTTTGTTCAATGATATAACAGTGCCTAGAACACAATAACCTTTCAATATTTGTTGAATAAATAAGAGATATAGGGACTTGAGATGCCGTGGTGGTATGAGATGTGGTCAAAGTGTTGGGAAAGTCTAGACATGTTTTTATAACTTTGGAAAACTTATCAGATCTTCCTGAATAATAATTTATTCATCTGTTAAATGAGGATATTGTACTGCCTAATTTCTGAAGTCTTAATCAGAGTAAACGTTAAATGATTTTATTGTATATTATGTTTTGTGTGATACATACTTTAAAGTGTTTATATGTTTTATGGTTTCACTGAGTAGATTCAGTAATTCAAAAAAACCATAATGATAGACTTTAATATTTAAGAGTAACAAATATCTGTTTGATAAAAGTATAGAGCAATGCCTTCTAATTCCGAAGTCAAGTATTCAGCAAGCTTGACCTACACTGGAAACTGAGTAAAATAAAACAAAATCAAAAAAGTCAAAATGACACTTGAGAAGTCAAAATTAACTTGTTAGAGGCAATTCAACAAAAATAAGAAATGTTCTTAAGGAAGTCTTAAAACTTTGCTGAGACTTTAAATTTTTATTTTAGATACAATTGTAACATGGTTACCTGTTTTCAAACACAGTATGTACTTGACAAAGTTGGTGAACTAGAAGAGATTCCAGTAGGGAGCTATTGAAAGGAGATACGAATAATTAAAAACATAAATAATTATAGTCAAATAGAAAAGGCAAAGATAGAGAACTGCAACATTATGCATGTGTGGCAATTTAGTGTAAGCCAGTATATTTTTAAATATATTTCATTGGTTATATGACTCAAAATCACTTGGTGTTCTTATTAAAAATATACATTCTGAGGCCCTGAATTAGAATTCCAGGGATTAGAAGACATCAGCAAAATAGAGGAATAGGAGTTTTCAGCACTTCTTCCCTCACAGAAACATTTATTTGACCATCCATGTGTGAAAATACCTTCAGGAGAGCTAGAGACATTACACTGAAAGAATATAGCACATGGAAGTAGCAGAGAAATAAGAAAAGACACATTGAAGAGGGTAGGAAGTATAATTTCACATGACCTGCATCACCCTTCCCCAAAGTCTGGCAGAACAGTGCAGAGAGATACCCTCCATGTGAAGGAATGAACTCTAAGCAAGAACCTGATTGCCATTGACTCGAAACCAAGTCTGTCTCAGTAAAATACAGCTCTAGGCTGACCCTCTTAGCATCAGGCTCTAGGCAGACACCTGTGGAGGAAACTCCAGGCCTGCTGCAACTACAGGTTGAGTCCCAAAGCCCTGCACTTCAGGCTGGCACCCACAGACTATGCCCCCAATCCTGTGTTACACAAGACTGGAACCCAAAAACCTTAGTTTCAGGCCAGCACCTGCAGCCCTAGGCACTGGGCTGGGAACTTGCAGCCTGAGGCACCAGGCTGATACTCACAGACCCAACTTCCAGGCCAGCCCTTGCAAATACAAGTTCCAGACCTGTCCCCTGTATTCCCAGGCTCCAGAGTAGTCCCCATAGCCCTAGGTTCCAATGGACGTAAGGTCCAGGCTCACTCCAGTAGACCCCAATGCAGTCCTGGCCCCTGCAGACCCATGCTTTAGAACCACCTCTGCAGATGCAGAAACAAGGCCCACCCCAAAAGTGCTCAAGGCCTGCCCCAGCACCATCTCAACCCCCATGAACATAGGCTTGAGGTTGGCCCCCACAAACTCAGGGTCCAGGCCTACTCTCATGGGCTCAGTCAAAAAGTCCATCTCAGTGGACCTTGGCACCAGGCTAGCCAAGGTGAACACAGGATCCAGGCCTATCACAGTGGATCCAGGCTTTAGGCCAGCTCCTGTAGACCCATGAATCAGGCCAGCCCATCTGCTGACCCAGGCACTGGGTTAGTCAAGTATGTAAGGACTGGAATAAATGTCTACTTCTTCAAAAGTGCAGATCCAATGCCTGGGCACAAGGATTACAAATAATCAGGAAAACATGACACCACCAAAGCAACGCAATAAAACACCAGTAACTGATTCTAAAGAAATGGAGACTCACCAGGTGTGGTGTTGTGTATTTGTAATTCCAGCTACTTGAGAGGCTTGGCAGGCTGAGGCAGTAGGATCATTTGAGCCCAGGAATTCAAGGCCAGCCTAGGCAACATAGTCAGAGGCCATCTCAATTAAAAAAAAAAAAAAAAAAAGGAAAAACAGGAGAAAAATGGAGACTTGTGAACTGCCTGACACATAATTCAAATTAGTCATCTTGAAGCTCAATAAGCTACACGAGTACACAGACAGCTAAACAAAATCAGAAAAATAACAAAAATAATACACAAACAAAATGAGAATACAATAGAGATACAAGCCATAAAAAAGAAATAAATTTTAGAGCTAAATAACACAATAATTAAACTGAAAAATTTCATAGAGAACTTCAACTGCAGAGTAGATCAAACAGAAGAAAGAATCAGTGAGCTTGAAGGCAGGGCATTCAAAATTACCCAGTCAGAAGAGTGAAAATAAAAAAGAATACAAAACAGTGAAGAAAGCCTATTGGAATTACAGAACACCATGAAGCAAACCAATCTATGCATTATGAGAGTCCCAGAAGGAACAGAGAAAGATAAAGGGGTAGAAAGCTTATTTAAAGAAATAATGACAGAAAGTTTCCCAAATCTGGAGAGAGAAATGAATATCCAGATCCATGAAGCATAAGTAACACCAAATAGATAAGATGTAAGGAAGTCTTCACTGAAAACACTACAATCAAATTCACAAAAGTCAAAGGCAAGAGAGAATTTTGAAAGCAGTAAGAGAAAAGCAATTCATCACTATAGGGGAACCTCTATAAGACTAGGAGCAGAAATTTTGCAGGCCAAGAGACAGTAGAATGATATATTTAACGTGCTGAAAGAAAGAAACTGCCAGCCAAGAATACTACACCTGAGAAGTCCATCCATCAGAAAAAAGAAAAAAGACTTTTCCAGAACAATAAAAGCTGAGGGAATTCACCACCACTAGACCTGACTTACAAGAAATGCTAAAGGGAAGATCTTAAGCCATTATGCTTAGGCCTGCTCCCACACTGTGGAGTGTACTTTCATTTTTAATAAATCTCTGCTTTTTTGCTTAAAAAGAGAGAGAAATGCTAAAGGGAGGTCTTAATGTTGAATTGAAAGGTTGCTAACTAACCACATGAAAACATATGAAAGTATAAAACTCAGTGGTAAAAGTAAATACGTGGTCAAATACATAGTCAAATTTGGAATACTCTATTACTATAATAGTGATGATTAAATCATTTTTAAATGTACTATACAACTCAACAAAAGTATGAAAAAATAACTATAGCTACAGTAATATGTTAAGTAAATGTGGGATGAAGAGAAGTTAAAATCTAGAGTTTCCATATGCAATGGAAGTTAAGTGGTTATCAGCATAAAACAAATAGTTATACCTGTAAAATATTTTATGTACACCCTATGGTAACCAGAAACTGTAACAAATAAGGAGTATCTGATCAAAATATAAAAAAGTTAAAAGGATTTAGAAAAGCGTACTGCCACTACAAAAAAAAATTCAAACCACAAAGGAAGACAGCAAAGAAAAAAGAATGGAATGTAGGAAAACAACAGAGTCAGAAAACAGTCAGAGAGCAATTTAAAAATGGCAGTTGTGAGTCCTTAACTATCAATAATTACTTTAAATGTAAATAGGTTAAAATCTCTAATCAAACATTACTGACTGACTGAATCTAATGTTACACCTCAAGGGGCAAGGGAAACAAAAGAACAAACTAAGCCCAAAGTCAGCAGAATAAAAGAAATAATAAAAATCAGAGCAAATGTCAGTGAAATAGAGATTAGAAAAATAATAGAAAAAAATAACAAAATAAAGAGTTGGATTTTTGCTAAAATAAATTAAACTGGCAAGCCCTTAGCTAGACTAAGAAAAACAGAGAGAAGACTCAAATAAATAAAATTATAAATGAAAGATAACACATTGAAAGTTATGCAACAGAAATAAAAAGGATCATGAGACTATTATGAAAAATTATACATCAAATTGGATGACCTAGGTAATATGAACAAATTCCTATAAACATAAAACTTCATAAAGACATAATCATGAATAAGTAGAAAATCTGACCAGACCAATAATGAATTAAGAGTTGAATTAGCAATCAAAATCAAGAAAAGCATAGGAGTCGATGACTTCACTGATGAATTCTGCTAAACATTTAAAGATGAAATAATACTAACCTTTCTCAAACTTTTTAAAAAATTGAAGAGAAAGGAACATTTCTAAACTCATTTTATGAGACCAGAATTACCCTGATGCCAAAGTTAGATGAAAACACTCCAAAGAAGATAAAATTAAGGGCCAATATCCCTGATGAACACAAATGCTGAAATCCTCAAGAAAATACTAGCAAACTGAATTCAACAGTACATTTAAAAGGATCATATATTATGATCAAGAGGGATTTATCCCTAAGGTGCAAGGATGGCTCAACATACACAAATCAGTTAATGTGATATTCCATAATAAAATAAAGGATAAAAATAATACGATAATTTCAATAGGTGAAGGAAAAGTATTTACAAAACTTAGCATCATTTCATGATAAAAATCCTTTAAAAATTAGATATAGAGGAATGTATCTTAACACAATAAAGCAAATATATTACTTACTCAGACCTAATATCATGGTTGTGAAAAGCTGAAAGCTTTCTCTTTATGATCAGGAAAAAGACAGAGATGTCTATCTGCTCTATCCACTTCTATTCAATATGTGTGGGAAGTCCTAAACAGAACAATTAGGCAAGAAAAAGGAAACATGGCATCCTAAAATTAGAAAGCAGGAAGCAAAATAGTTTCTCTTTGCAAATGACATTATTTATGTATATAAAACACTATATATATATATATTCACACACATATACATACACTATATATAGTTTTTGGTAGAGTGTCATATATATACATGTATGTGTACACCATATATATACAATAGACTTTTCATATATATACACATATATATATCTCTCATATATATACACATATATATATCTCTCATATATATACACACACGTATATATCTCATGTATATATATGTATATACGAACACACATATATGTATGAATCTCCACCAAAAAACTGTTAAAACTAGTAAGTGATTTCAGTAAAGTTTCAGGATAAAATCGGCATTTAAAAACCAGTAGTAGTTCTACAACTAACAAGAACTATCTAAAAGAGAATCAAAAAAAATTCCCATTTATGGTAGTGTCAAAAAAGAGATAGACAGAAATAAATTTAACTGAGGAGGTAAAAGATCTGTATGTTGAAAATCATAAGAGATTGATGAAAGAAATAAAAGAGGAGACACTAATAGATGGAAATATCCTATGTTCATAGATTGGGAGAATTAAAATTGTTAACATGTTCATAGTACCCAGAGTGACCTACAGATTCCAAGCAGTACCTATCAAAATCCCAATGACATTTTTCACAGCAATAGAAAAAAAAAAAATCCTAAAATTTGCATGAAATCACAAAAGACCTTCAATGGCCAATACAATCTTTGGCAAAATGAACAAAGCTGAAAGCGTAACCCTATCTAATTTCAACATATACTACAAAGCTATAGTAACCAAAACAGCATGGTCCTGGCATAAAACAGACATAGGCCATTGAAATGGAATAGAGAACAAAGAAATAAACTATGCATTTATAGACAATTGATCTTTAACATGTGCCAAGAACACACAATGGGACAGTCTTTTCAATAAATGGCACAGAGAAAACAGGATAGCCATATGCAGAATAATGAAATTGAACTCATGCTATATACAAAAATCAATTCAAAATGAATTAAAGCCTTAAATGTAATATATGTAACTGTAAAAAGCATAGGCAACAAAAGCAAAAATAGACAATAGGATTACATTAAACAAACAAAAAAGCTACTTTTTGCACAGCAATGGAAACAGTCAACAGAGTAAAGAGATAACCTATGGAATAAGAGAAATATTTGCAACCCATATATCTGATAAGGGGCTAATATTCAAAATATATAAGGAACTCAAACACTTATTAGTAAGTAAAGAAATAACCTGATTAAAAAATGAACAAAGGACATGAAAGGATATTTCTTAAAAGATGACATAAAAATGGCCAACAATTATATTTCTGAATGCCTAAATCACTAATCATCAGGAAAATGCAAGTGAAAATTGCAATGAGATATCACCTCACATCTGTTAGAATGTGTATTACCAAAAAAAAAAAAAAAAGATAAATATTGGTGAGGATGTGGAAAAAAGGGAACCCTGCAAACTGCTGATGGGAATGCAAATTAGTACAGCCATTACTGAAAACAAGTTCTCAAAAAATTAGAAATAGAACTACCACATGATCCAGCAATCTCACTACTGGGTGTATATCCAAAGGTAATGAAATCAATATGTTTAAGAGATATCTGCATTCCCTTGTTTACTGCAGCATTATTCACAATAGTCAAGGTATGGAAATAACCTAGGTGCTCATTGACAGATAAATAGACAATGGAAATATGAGAGACATACATACAATGGAATACTATTCATCCTTAAAAAGGAAGAAAATTCTGTCTTTTGCAACAATGTGGGTGAAACTACAGGACATCATGTTAAGCAAAATAAGCTAGGCATAGAAAAACAAATACAGCATGCTCTCACTTATACATGGAATCTAAAAAAATCAAACAGAAGCAGAGAATAGAATAGTTGTTGACAGGGGCTGGTGATGGAAATGGGAAATGAGAGATATTGGTCAAAGGATATAAAATTTTAGTTAGACAGAAGTAATAAATTCTTGACATCTATTGTTCAATGTGGTGACTTTAGTTAATGTATTGTATACTTGAAAATTGCCAAGGGAATAGAACTTAAGTATTCTCACCCCCAAAAAAATAACCGAATAATGTGATAAATATATTAAATACATTGATTTAATCATTTTAAAGTGTATAGTCATCAAAAACTAATGCTTTATACTATAAATATATACCCTTTTTATTTATTTGTCAATTAAACCATTATAAAGCTTAGGGAGAAAAGAATTCCATGGACTGGTGGTTGGCATGCTTACTCTAAATAAAGTACTCAGGTGATTTCAACCATAGTAAACTGCTGAAGATAGCTCTTAATACGTTAGAGGAGCTAGAGTTGTACTGTCCAATATGAAGGACATTTGCCACATGTGGCTATTTAAATTTACATTTACATTAACTGAAATTCAATTCAATTACAAATTTAGTTCCTTAGTCACAGTAGGCAAATTTTACATCTTTAATGATCACATTTGGCTAGTGGCTACTTTATTGAATAGTGCAGATGTAGAAGACTGCCTTCATTGCTAAAGGTTTTATGCCTAGCACTACTCTAGAGCATGGGTTACTCAACAGTGATCTGTGAAATCTTAAGTGCTAAGAATGAACTCCAGTATATTTGAAATGGAAAATTTGGCACACATATTTTTATGTTCAATTTTTTCCTCCTGGGGAAAAGGCTGTGACATTCATCAGATTCTCAAAATATTAATAAAAATTAGTTGCATTAGTTCTTTTTGTTGGCAAGGAAGTCTATCTGATCTTTCTTTTTCAAATCTTAAGTTTTAATTAGGATGACTCATCTAATGCTTTTACCTCAAATGAAGGATTCCATCAGCTCTAGTTCATTTGCAGTAGAGTAGATAAGCCTTTTGCAAACATTTTGTTTCTTAGTTTGCCATTTTTACCACTTCACATGGTTTCTTTGGTAGAATTTTTATTGAAATATAATATATACATATATAAGAAAGAGCACATATAAATATATGGCTCAACACTTTTTTTATAAATTGAACACACCTGTAATTAGCACCCATATCAGGGAACACAATGTATTAGAATTAATAAATGAATTCAGCAAAGTTGCTAAATATATAATCATTGTACCAAATCAATTTTGTTTCCAAATACCAGATGCAACCAAATTAAAATACAATATGATAAATACAATAACACCAAAAAATCAAATAGCAATAAAAAATTTAAGTTGTACAAAACGTCTACACTGACAACTACAAAATCAATTTGAGAAAAATTAAATAAAATCTAAATAAATGGGAAAAAGTTCACAGATAAGAACATTAATAAATGCCATTTATCCTAAATTAATCTACAGCATGTGATCACAAATTAATCCCAAGAGAAATTTTTTTTTTTTTTTTTGAAATTGACAAAATAACTAAAATTCATATGGAAAGCTAAAGGGTAAGAATTACTATGAGAATATTGAAGTTGAAACAAAATTGAGGAATATATGCTAACATATAAAAACCTATTATAGAGCTATAATAATTAATACAATGTGGTATTGGTGCAAGCATCAACACATTGATTAATGGAACAGAATAGAAAAATCAGAAACAAACCTTCATATGCACACTCAACTAATTTACGATGAAGGGGACCCTGCAATGGTTAAACAAACAAAAAGGTTATTGGCCATTTTATGCATGTCTAATAAAATGTGTTTTGATCCCTATCTCACATCTTATACAAACATCAGTTCCAGACGCATTACATATCTAAATATGAAAGATAAAACCATAAAGCCTTTTGAGAAAAATGGGAGAATATTTTCATGACCTTGGAGTAGGAAGAACATAAACAGGACACATGAAGCACTACCTAGAAAATAAATCAGACTGTAGTAAAATTAACAAATTATTACCAAAAAAATTAAGATAAAAGATAACAATGTGGAATACAGTGAACCAAAGTGAAAAAGAACTAATTATCAGAATAAATAAAGCACTCCCACAAATCAATAAATAAAGGATAACCTTACAAAAAAGTGGATAAAAGACTTGAAAAAATTCTTCACAAAAGTAGATATCAAATACCCAAAAACAATTGAAGGACTGGGTGCAGTTGCTCATGCCTGTAATCTCAGCACTTTGGGAGGCCGAGGTGGGCAGATTGCCTGAGGTCATGTGTTCGAGACCATCCTGGCTAACATGGTGAAACCCCATCTCTACTAAAAACACAAAAATTAGCTAGGCGTAGTGGCGGGCACCTGTAACCCCAGCTAAATGGAGGTTGAGGCAGGAGAATCTCTTGAACCCAGGAGGCAGAGGTTGCAGTGAGCCAAGGTCATGCCACTGCACTCCCGCCTGGGTGACAAGCGTGAAACTCTGTCTCAAAAAAAACCACAAACAAACAAACAAAAACAACAATAGAATGGATAATATATTGTGGTAAATTCAACAATGGCATTTTGTACAACAATGAAAATGAAAAGAACACAACTACATAAAATATGGATGAATCACACAAACATTATGTTGAATGAAAGAAACCAGACACAAATGAGTATGTAGGCCCTATATAATTCCACTTACATAATTTTGGTTTGCTATATAAATATATTCAAGAGCAAACAAAACTAACTTTTATCAGTTAGTGACCCTGAGGAATCATAAGTAGGGTTGCCAGGGTGCTAACAATATTTCATTCATGATTCAAGTGATGGTCACACTGTTTGGTTTGTAAAAAATATATCAAATGGCCAGGCATGGTGGCTTATGACTGTAATCCCAGCACTTTGGGAAGCCTGAGTTGGGCAGATAGCTTGAGCTCAAGAGTTTAAGACCTATGAGTGAGAACATGCAGTGTTTGGTTTTTTGTCCTTGTGATAGATTGCTGAGAATGATGGTTTCCAGCTTCATCCATGTCCCTACAAAGGACATGAACTAATCATTTTTTATGGCTGCATAGTATTCCATGGTGTATATGTGCCACATTTTCTTATGTACCCTAAAACTTAAAGTATAATTTAAAAAAAAAGAAAATTACTTTGCAAATCACTATGAGCCAGGGCAAGATAATTATTCTAATTTCTACAAAATTCCATTTGGTACACTTATATATTGTATAATAAAAATTAATACCTTGTTTATTAAAAGAAAATAAATATTAAAATTTGAAATTATATAAATATTCAATAAGCAGAAAATTACTTATACATTAAATTTATATGCTAGAGTTTACCAGTTAATAAATTGCCAAACTATTTTGTTCTTTATTAAAAAAAAAAAAAAGAGTTTAAGACCAGCCTGGGCAATATGGCAAAACCCTGTCTGTACAAAAAATATGCAAAAATTAGCTGGATGTGGTGGCTCACACCTATAGTCCCAGATACTCGGGAAGCTGAGGTAAGAGACTCACTTGAGCCTGGGAGGTGGAGATTGCGGTGAGATGAGATTGTGCCCCTGCACTCCAGCCTGGGTGACAGAGTGAGATTGTTTCTATATCTATCTATATCTATATATATGTCTATGTCTATATCTATAGATATATATATATATCAAACAATACTCTTTTTATTAAAAAAAACTGAGGTGTAATTAATAAAATTAACATAGATTTTAGAAGTTCAACTTGATGGCTTTTGATAATTGAGTACCCTTGTGGAAACACCCAAAACCAAATATGGAAATTTTTCCCATAACCTTTTCCAGTCATTTTCCCTCCTTTTCAGATAGACTCCTTTCAGATTTTTAAAAAATATTTTAGTTTTATTTGGTCTAGAAATTTATATAAGTAGAAGACTGTACTCTTCTACGTGTGTATCTTGCTTAATTTTATGCTCTTGGAAGATTCATTAATGTTCTTTCTACAGCATTAGCTTGTGCTTTATAGAAATTGCTGAGTACTAAGTACTATTTCAATTTGTGAATATGCTACAGTTTATCCTTTCTCTTATTAATTAACAATACTTGGAGTGTTTACAGTGTTTGGTTATTATAAATGAGGCTTCTGTGTATATATATTTTTGAGACAATGTCTTGCTCTGTCACCCAGGCTGGAGTGAAGTGGAGAGATCATGGGTCATTGTAACCTCGAACTCATGTCCTCAAGTAATCCTCCTGCCTCAGTCTCCAGAGCAGCTAGAATTACAGGTCCATGCCACCATGCCCGGCTAATTTATTTACTTTTAATACAGAGGAAGTCTCACTGTGTTGCCCAGGCTGATCTTGAACTCCTGGCCTCAAGTGATCCTCCTGCCTCGCCTCCCAAGGTTTTGGAATTACAGGTGCTAGCCACTGTGCCCAGCTCACATTTTTGTACAAATGTTTTCATAGTCATATGTTTTTGTTTTATTGGGTAAATCCCCAAAAGTGGAATTGGTGGGTCACAGAAGTTGAAATTCATTGAAACGTCTCTTATGACCTATCAGATGCTCTATCTCATGAATTATTCATGTACACCTAGAAATGCATATTTTGCAGTTATTTGGTATTGTCTTTTGATAATATCAATTAGCTCATTTTGTATTATTCAGATCATGTTCAGATTGTATCATTGTATTTGTGTTCTATTATTGACTTGAGGGATGCTAAAATTTGTAGGTTGGTTAATACATCCATTTCTATTTTTAATTTTTCCATTTTTTTCTTTAGATATTTTGAAGCCCTATTGTTTGGCACACACACATAGGATTTTTATGTCTTTTTGATGAATTGTTATTTTTATTATTACTTAATGCCCATTTCTCCCCCTCCATTGGTGATCTTTTTCTTAAAATCTATCTTGTCTTTAATATTAATATGATGTATGTGTATGTGTACGTGTACATATATTCTTTTAGGTTCATCTAAATATGTGCCCTTTCTGCAGATCTGCAATATTCTCTCTAGTATAGGCACCTGAAGAACATCTTTTTTAGCATTTCTTTTATACAGGAGATGAATTATTTTACATTTTTGTTTAATGAGACTGTATTTTGGCTATGTTTATTTTTGAAAGATATTTTTGCTTAATATAGAATCCTGTAACTCTCGGAATTTTAAAGGCATTACATCACTTTCTGGTCTCCATTGTTTCTGGCGAGAAGTTAGCTGTCATTAGTGATGTTGCTTTCCAACATGTAATATGTCTTTTTATTTGGATTTTATTCAAGATTTTCTCTTTGATTTTGTCTGACTCTTGTTAAATTGACTACAATGTGCCTAAGTATGGTTTTCTGTGTATCATTGCTTTTTTTCCCTCTTTTGTGTATGCTGAGCTCCTTGGATCCATGGGTTGATGTCTTCTACATTTTTGGAAAGTATTTGGACATCACCATTCAAAATATTTATTTTATCTCATTTTTCCTACTCTCTCCTTCTGGGGCTCTATTTAATATATGTGTGATCACTTGATACTATTTCATGTATCTTGGACGCTCTGTTATCTTTGCTTTTTTAATTTCTAGTTATTTTACGAAGTTCATTTTGTAGTTTGTATTTCTATACTGAAAATTTCTCATTTCTTCATGCACCCTGTCGGCCTTTTCTGGTAGATAAATAAACATAAATATGTTTCACCATAACTATTATTATTTTAAAGTTTCCACCTGTTGATTCCAACTGCTAGAAACTCTCTGAGTTTTTATTGACTGCTTTCACTTTTAATGGGAAATAGTATTTCCTGGCTTTTTCATATGTCTTGCAACATATGATTGCATTCCAGACCTTTTGTGTAATAGAATAATACAGACTGAAATAAATATGTGCCTTCAGAAACAGACATTTTCCTTCTTCTGTTATTCTACCTAAGTGGAGGGTAAGTTAATTAAATTTCTGACTCAACTGGTGGCTAGTTTGCAGCTTTAGTTTGAGTTGGTTCCCTACTGGCTTCAAATTTTCGAGGGGTAAGTGACTAGAACTTTGTCTTATAGTAGTGCTTTAGAATGGCAAAATTGTGTAGACCTGCCTGTGCTTCACAACTAGGCTACATATCTTTGAGTGTCCTGACCCTCTTGGCTTTTGATATCCAGCATATGTCTTGCTATTTGTTTGAAAGCTTTGCTGTCTTCAACTTTGTCACTTCAGCCCTGTTAGACCAAATGAATCTTTGTTCTTCAGCAGCATCTTTTGCCAGAGTAAAGGTTTGTATTTTAGCCCCTTGCCCCCATCCAATATAGAAAATAACCACAGAGAAAAAGCTGTTGCAAAAGTCGGATCACCTCCACTTAAGTTCTGCCCTGCCTTGGATATTAATCTATCTCTTTCTCATTTCTTCATCAGCTCTATCAAGTCTTTAAACAGAAGATTTTAATCTAGCTTTTCCTATCATTTTCAGATAATTTGCCTGCTGCAATAATTCCCTTTTTCTTGGAAGCATTACTGGCTTGTTGTTCAAAATTGCTCAATTTTTCTTCACAAGCTATACCCTAAAGAGAATAATTTACTATAATTATTTACTGTGTTATTTACTATGTTACAATTGTTTAATGTTACAACTATGTCAGATATAACTACCATTTAAAAATGGTATTTTTCCCTGTAAAATGTATAAAATGTTATTGTATCATTATAAATGGCATAGAATCATTAATGTTTCCTTTTTATCTTGAAACCATTATGTCAGATAATTGATATTGTGACTGTAAAATATTTTACACTTAGAGAGGCCAAGGCGAGATGATCACTTGAGGCCAGGAGTTCAAGACCAGCCTGGGCAAACTAGCAAGATCCCATTTCTAAAAAATTAGCCAGGTGTGGTGTCACCACCTGTAGTCCCAGCTACTCAGGAGGCTGAGGCCAGAGAATCACTTGAGCCCAGCAGTTCAGGTTGCAGTAAGCTATGTTAGGGGTACCCCTGCCTGAGCAATAAAGGGAGGTCCTGTTTCAAGAAAAAGAAAAATAGGCCAAGCATGGTGGTGGCTCCTGTCTGTAATCCCAGTACTTTGGGATTTGAAGGCAAGGAGATCGCCTGAGCTCACAAGTTTGAGAGAGCAACATGGCAAAACCCCGTCTCTACAAAAACTATAAAAATTAGACAGGTGTGGTGGCACATGCTGAAGTGGGAGGATCGCTTGAGCCGGGAAGGTCAAGGCTGCAGTAAGCCAAGATCGTGCCACTGCACTCCAGCCTGGGTGACAGAGTGAGACCCTGTCTCAAAAGAAAAAAAAAAAAGAATTAATTTAAAAAAATTGAAAAAGAATTAATTAAATATTGCATCCAATATTCAAGTACATTTGTATAATGCTTGTAATGTTGTAATGTATTAACTTTCTGCAGCTTGAAACATGAAAATGAAAAAACCTGCAAAATTAATGAACTTTTCTGTAATATTTGTTTTATTTGAAAAATGATGAATATTTCAAAAAGAGCAAAGCTGCATGAAATGACTTAGCTCTGGTTCCTATTGATAGCTAAGTTTTGAAAGTCAGAATTTATATTTCATGTTTCAGAATTAACACAGTCTATGAGGTAATAGCACACCTTGCACTTGGGAAGGGGGTAATATGTCTAAGAAATCTAAAACATATTATAAACATTTAAAAATCTCCTTTAAGTAACTTAATATAATTTTATGGCATTAATTGCATTCTAAAATTGGGAAATTTATACCTTTATAGGTGAAATATGCTTACCTTTCTTTGGTAAATAGCATTTTTGCCTACATTTTTGTTCTAAATACATGGACATATCTGATCATTGCATTTTTTAAATTTAGGTTTTCTTTGCAAACTATGCACTATCATCTTCACTACTATTGCATTTTTCATATACAAACGTCGTCTAAATGAGAACACTGACTTCCCAGATGTAACTGTGAAGAATCCAAAAGTTAAGAAAAAAGAAGAAACTGACTTGTAACTGGATCATCATTGTGTAAGAATTACACATTGTCAATCTATCAATGAAATATTAATATTAATAAAATTTAAAGTAATAATAATGTAATTACATGTTTAACAAATGTGCTTCATATAATTCTATATATTTTATTATATTTTGAGTGCAAATATAATAATATAGTCTGTGTTTAAAATTTTTAAAAATATAAAATACACATTTAATACTTTCAATGAAAGATAATACTTTGATTGAAAGAGATTGAGTGAAAATAGGAAAATACACCTAGGTTAATTTTAACTGACGTGATAGCCCATTAGTTGTTGGCCTTTGCTATTTGGAATTAATTAGGTTCCCTTTTTAGCTTATTCTTAGTACTTTTGATTTGGGCAGTAGATATTTATTTCTCCATTTTTCTAAATAAAAGTATATTTGCCACTTAAGTTCATATAATTAAAGTTGAAATTAAAGTTATATTTATTTTCCAAAAAGGACTATTTTAAACCTTTTAAAAATTAACATTTTATTTATCTATGATTTGACATACAGAGGTTTCCTCAGAAAATTTCTTTGGTTAATTGACCAGTTTATAATAAATATTTTGATGTTTCGTTAATCTTAGTAAACATAAAATTCAATATACTCATATACTTCTACCTGTTTTTTGTTACCTTTTTCCTTTTTTTTTTTACCTTCACTTGGATTTTATTGATAAAGACTAGCTGATAATCTGAGTTGAAACCCACTTTTCTGCTTGCTTTTACACTTCATTTTATAATTAATCGTAATTATTTAATGTGAAGAAATATTTAAATGTAGAAAATGTGTCAACTATTTATAGATTTTTTAAGCTAAAATGCATTTGTATAGAGATTTTGTTATAATTTTTTATACATTATTGTACATCAATCGAAATTAGATTTTCCAAATATTGTATAAAAATCAGATTGTTGTGGAACAAGGTTCTCTACAATGTTTCTTTGTTTTCTTGGGAGAAGTGATAATAGCTGACAAAATTTCTCCTCTGTTATTAACATTAGTCAATGACCCTATGTGGATGGGTAGACATTGCCCTATTCATGGTCGTGGCTAGCAGAAGAAAATGTGAAGCAGGGAATATTCATATCTTACTACACATTTTTATTTCCTGTTGTATATTTTATTTCAACATGCATTTTAAAAACCTATAAACTAGTCTTCATGTAAAACTCTACTTGATTGCTTGACTCTTCTCTGTTTGAACCAGCAGGATTGCAGATCATTTGAGGATCAGAGTGTGAAAACGAGTTTCTCTTTTACAGATTCTCCAAGATTTGTTTCTGTGCCCAACTTTCAGAAGAGGAAAATCACACATTATGTTTACATAAGTAGCAAAAATATATTTATGGTGATCTGCATTTTCATAATAAAGTGTCCTATTGTGAAACATTTCTGATAATGTTTTTAATGTATGTAGAATTTTTAGGATTTACTGGGAGAATTAAAGTTTAATAATTTTAGATTATTTACATTTCTTCTTAATATTCTGCTGTCTAGAAATATTAAAAATTATACAACTAGGAAATAAAGTAAAATAATAACATTCAAAGCCACTTTGAACATGCTTGTACAGTGTGTTTGTGGGGTGTTTGTGTGTGTGTGTGTGTGTGTATAGATACATATTACCTGTTTATGTTTCTCTTGCTTTCTTTTTTTTCAGAAAATAAATCAGTGAAGGTATAATAAAAATTATGGATTGGGAAGTACTGTTGAAACTT
The DNA here is from genome assembly GCF_000001405.40 of Homo sapiens. NCBI lineage: Eukaryota > Metazoa > Chordata > Mammalia > Primates > Hominidae > Homo > Homo sapiens. Next base: position 102,371,615 of record NC_000005.10, on the reverse strand, counting down.
TAAATTTAAATATAGATTTTTGCTATTACAGAGTACGTGTTTCTGTATCACAAACTAATTCATGGAGGATTGATAAACAGGGAAGTAATGTAAATATAACTCAGAAGTTCTATTGGTTAATTCCAATTTAATACCTCTTTAAGTAATCAGGGGAAGTTTTTCACTATTATAGAGAAGATCTTAGCAATAAATTAAATCTTAAAAAATGCTAAAAATCCCACAGAAGTGCCTTCCTTTGGAGTCAATTTTGAATGAGTTAATGCCATCAAGGTTCATTATACTTTTGAGAGTATTAATGTACCTAAGGATACTGTAAGTGCAGGTGAAGAAGCTGCAAAGATACTTCTAAATATTGGAATTCTAACTTTGATGAAACTGGCCTCTTTTTGGAGTTCATATCCTCAAGGACCTACATTTTAAAGGAGGAAGGTGAGCCCCAGCATTTAATACTACAAAGGACTGACTATGGTGGTGGGTAAAAATGCTAGTGGAGGTTTAACTGTGCTAAGGTGTGTTAAGATTCTGATTGTTTTTGTTAGAGCTCTGGTTACAAAGTTGAATATTTTTGAATGGTTTAACCTTAACAATATTTTCTCCATAAGCCTACTCAGTCCTGGTGCTTAATTTTGCCTAAAGGGACACTGTAAATGAATGCATATGGAAATGCTCATATTTTAAAATTGATGATAATTTATTTGTGCTCTTCAAGTTGCACTTGTTCTGAGTTCTTAAAATGATTGCTATAAAAATCTCAGGTTCTTACTCTTTTTCTTTTTGGATTCTTTTTTTATATCAGATTGAAATTTTACTGCTTGTAACATCTAGCAGTTAATCTAGTGTTAAATGTAGTCCAGAAATGCAATATGTAGCTAGGAAAATGTCAATTTGGGGTTTATTAATGGCGTATTTCTCCGTTTTCAGCACTATAAAGAGTTTGCTCCCATTTTTATATTTATTTGGTTCTTTCAGTCTGGCAGACACAGAGAAGTAAAGGTGTGTTCAATTTAATATTTTTTAAAGCACTCTTTATATTTTTAACATTGTCTATATATAATATAGACAATATAATATTTTATTTGGGTATCATATATAGCACAATATGGGTTTTCAAACTCTAATGTGAGACTACTTTCTGAGGATCTGAATATCTGCTATTGAAAGTGCTGGTGATGAATTTATTAATCTATTGTTGACTCTTGATATAGGAGGTTTCTACTAGCTATAAACATTAATTATAGTCCTTCCCTGTTGATTACATATATATATGTAATCAACATATATTACATGTTTCTCTTTGTGTGTATATATATATATATACACATATATATATATATATATACTCTGAAGCAACAAACTCTACTCTCTCTCTCTGTCTCTCTCTCTCTCTCTCTATATATATATATGTACCTTTTATTTTAAGTTCGGGGTACATATGCAGGTTTGTAATATAGGTAAATTGTATGTCATGAGAGTTTGCTGTACAGATTATTTTGTCACCCAGGTAATAAGCATAGTAACCAATAGGTAGTTTTTCCATCCTCACCCTCCTCTCCCCCTCCACCTTCAAGTAGGCCCTGATGTCTGTTGCTCCCCTCTTTGTGTCCATGTGTTCTCATAATTTAGCTTCCACTTGTGAGAACATGTATTTGGTTTTCTGTTCCTGTGTTAGTTAGCTTAGGATAATGGCCTCCAGCTCCATCCATGTTGCTGCAAAGGAGATAATCTCATTCTTTTTATGGCTGTGTAGTATTTTATGGTGTATATGTACCACATTGTCTTCATCCAGTCTACTATTGATGGGCATTCAGGTTGATTTCATATCTTTGTTATTGTGAATAGGGCTGCAATGCACATCTCTGTCCATGTGTTGTTATGGCAGGTTGAATTATATTCCTTTGGATATATACCCAATAATGACATCACTGGGTTAAATGGTAATTCTGTTAGAAGTTCTTTGGGAAATTGCCACATTGCTTTCCACAATGGCAGAACTAATTTACATTCCTACCAGCAGTGTATAAGCATATCTTTTTCTTCACAACCTTGTCAGCATCTACTATTTTTGGCCTTTTTATAATTGCCATCCTTACTGGTATGAGATGGTATCTCATTGTGGTTTTGATTTGCATTTCTCTAATGACAATAGTGTTGAAATTTTAATATTTGCAAGCTATGCATCTGACAAGAGTCTAATATCCAGAATATATAACAAACTTAAACAAATTTGTAAGCAAGAAACAAATAACCTCACTAAAAACTGGGCAAAAGACATGATAACATATTTTAATCAACCCCAACCTCTAATTCAGTCAGCTATTTTCCAACTTGAAAATCCTAGATTAAAAAAAAATAGAAAACCTAAACTTGTTTCTATCTAAATGCAAGACATAACACAAAGAAGTTGCATTTTAGAATAATTATTTGAAAAGAAATATCTAGTATTTTGTATTTACAGTCATTGGCTGCATAATGATGTTTCAGTTAATGACAGATTGCATATACAAAGGTGATTTACCCTTATACAATCTGTAAGACTATAATGGGCCAATGATAGAATGTCATAGTGCAACACATTACTCATGTGTTCGTGGTGATGCAGCTGTTAATAAATCCACTGTGCTGCCAGTCATATAAAAGTATAGCACGTACAATTATTATATATACAGTATATAATATTTGATAAAAAATGTAAATGACTATGTTACTAGTTTATGTATTTACAATACCATACTATAATTTTTATTGTTATTTTATAGAGTACTCCTTCTACTCATAAAAAAGTTTACTTTAAAACAATATGCACCTTCACATCGTGATGCATGAGCATCAGCTTCCTGATTGCATTATTTTCTCTTGTGCTTGATTGAATCTTGTGTTATTTTGTTCAAGATGGCCTCTAAGCACACAAAATCCACAGCTTATATGGTCAGTAAGGGGCTACAAGTGATTGGAGAGGATGCACAATGACAATATACTCTAGTTTGTGTAAGTATGATATTTGCACACCAACAAAATTGCTAACAATGCATTTCTCAAAATGAATGTATCCCCATCATTAAGTGACACATGACTATTTGTTCAAATCAAAATTCAGTTATGTTTTCAATTATGTGTTAGCACAGCATACATTTTTCTAATAGGTATTGTTCTGTTATTCATCCAAAGTAGAATATTGGATTTATAAAAAGGTAAAGTTTTGGTATACCTCCTTATATAGTCATATGTCAACTCAAACCGGGGATACATTTTGAGAAATGTTGTGCAAGCATCATAGAGTGTACTTATACAAACCTAGGTGGCACAGCTTAGGCTATACCAACCTAGGCTATATGGTATATAAAGGAACAGTAAGAATATGGCATATAACATTTTAAAAATCATACCCTTGTATAGAATAATTACCATGAATACAATTTGCAGGACTGGAAGTTGCTCTGGATAAATCAGTGAGTGACTGCTGAGTGAATGTGAAGGTCTAGGACATTACATTACTGTAGACTTTATAAGCACTGTACATTTAGGCTACACTGAATTTATAGAAGATATTTTTCTTCAATAGTAAATTAATCTTAGCTCAATGTAACTCTTTTACTTTATAAAATTTAAAATTTTTAAAAATATTGACTTTTGTAATAATTTAAAACAAAATGAATATTCTCAGGGAATTAAGAGAAACAACAAAAATTCCTTCTTTATAACCTTATTGTATAAGCTTTTTTCTGTTTTTAAAATTTTTTATGTTTTTTTTACTTTTGAAACTTTTATGTTAAAAAGTAAGACACAAAAATTCACATTAATCTAGTCCTTCACAGGGTCAGGATCATTGATATCACTGTCTTCCACCATCACAACTTGTCCCACTGGAAGGTCTTCAGGGGTGATGACAGGCATAGAGTTGTCATCTTTTATGATAATAATGCCTTTTTCTGGAATAACTTCTGAGGGACCTGCCTGAGGCTTTTCTTGAGAAAGTGGCATTTTTTCAGAAATATGTCCATGATGGTTTGCTTAGTTTACTTTTTTCTTTTCTTTTCTCTCTTTCTTTCTCTTTCCCCTTCCCCTTCCCCTTCCCTCCTCTCTCTTTCTTTCTCTCTTTCTTTTTTTCTCCCTTTTTCTTTCTCTTGCTCTTTCTTTTCTTTTCTTTCTTTCTTTCCTTTCTTTTTTTGACAAAGTCTCACTCTGTCATCCAGGATGGGGTGCAATGGAGGGATCTCAGCTCACTGCAACCTCCACCTACCAGGTTCAAGTGGTTCTCCTGTTCCAGCCTCCAGAGTAGCCGGGATTACAGGCATGCATCACCAAGCCTGACGGGGTTTTGCCATGTTGGCCAGGCTGGTCTTGAACTCCTGATCTCATAGGATCCACCCATCTCGGCCTCCCAAAGTGCTGGTATTAAAAGCGTGAGCCACCACGCCCAGCCTGTTTATTTTTTTCATGATAAATTTGCTTTTAAGCAAATAATGAACCATGAATTTTGTTCTCTGTTAATGAAAAACTTTCGGTGTTGGGGCCCATGTTTTCAAGCTTTTTAAGGAGTCTACTGAGGTCTGCAAAAGCTTCTGCTAAACCTTTCACTATTAATTTTCTTGGGGAAATTTTTCAGCTACATTATAATCTTATAGGACCACCATCTTAGGTTTTCATTATTAGCTAAAATGTCATTGCGCAGTGCATAACTGTATTACATATATTATAATCTAAATAGCTTAAGAATAAAACTATTTACCCAAATGTAAGGAAATATAAATATCTTAAAGCTATCAATTCAATCTTTTTTAAAAGTATTTTTGTCTTTTTCTATAGAAGTATTATATTTTGAGAAGGAAAGATTTCTCTGCAATCTTTTTTCCTTGTGTTCAAATAATACTTAAAAACTTTGACAAATGGAGAAATTACTCATATGATAATAAACATGCAGGGAAAGATCATATACTTACTGTTTTGTAAACCTATAGTCACAATACTCATCTATGAATTGGGGCATTCAGTCCATTGCACCTTGAGAAAAACTTTAGGATTGTTTGTATTTCTCTATTTCTTGATTTAGCTATACACAATGCCCATACACACAAATATAAGATTTATTTTTTGAAAATGTTCAATTATTGAAATATTCAACATTTGTTTTCTTTGTTTTTGCTAACTCCTATTATGCAAATTCTACATCATTTGCCTGTGTATTCTATTATTTTATATCTAATTCTTTTTCACTTTATTTCTGATTCAGTTGCTCACTTTTTGATTTCTTCCATTTGATTATCAGGTTGATTTCTAGACGACTATTCTTACCTTTGCTTCCTCCATGTTCATCTTTTTTCCTTTTCTGTGATGGTTTTGTTTTCCCCCTAAATTCTCTCAGTTCTATCATTCCATCTTCTCTTGATATCTTATAATTGCTCCTCTTAGTTATTATATTTATTATTTTTAGTCCTCTTAAAGAGGCAATTGTTTTAATATCCTATTTCTTAAACTAACGTGTTTTTCATTTGTTCTATTAGTACATTTTACTGCTGTTTCCTGCATTTCTTATTATATTACTGATTCCCTGCGTTGAGTTTCAGTTGATTACTTGCAGGAAGTTCCTTTAAGGGAGAGATCAGAATAGCATTCTAAGTTTTATAAGCTCTCTTTCAAAATTTACCCAGGCTGCTTCCTGCTAACATGGTCACTCTGTTTGATTCAAAGTATAGACAGTTCCTGACTATCGATAGTTTGACTTAAAATTTTTTGACTTTACCATGGTGTGAAAGTGATATGCATTCAGTACAAACCATACTGTAAGTACCACAATTCTGTTTTTCATGTTCAGTGTAGTATTCAATAAATTACATAAAATATTCAATACTTTATTACAAAATAGGCCTGTGTTAGATGACTATTCCCAACTGGAGGTGAATGTAAGTGCTTTGAGCACATTTAAGGCGGCCTACGCTTGGCTGTAATGTTTGATAGGTCAGGAGCAGTAAATGCATTTTTGATTTACAGTATTTTCAAATTATGATGGGTTTTTCAAGATATAATCCCATGGTAAGTTGAGGACTATCTGTATATTCCTATTTTCTCTGCTTTAGTGAATCAAACCGGGTATAAGTGTACTTTCATATATATTCATTTTACTTCAACTTGAGTCTATAACTTTCAAGGTATGCATATTTTGCTTGTAGTTCATGAGGCCTCGTTCTGCAGGCCATGCCACCATGTCTCTTTGCATTTCTTTCCTTGAAGTTTTTGCCTGATCTGTGCCCTATCTTGAATAGGTCCTCAACAATGTCATAATATATAGTTTTAGTTACACACACACACATACACACACTCAGTCACATACATATATGTATGTATGTGTGCTTTCAACCATTGTTACTGGCTCATAACTTCCATATATTTTGTTACAGCAAAAAGATTGTCTCTCTGTGACCTTCTCCTAACCTCCTTTCACTTGCCCAGTAGGCAAGACTATACTCTGACAGTGGGTCATAAGACCTTCATCCCAGAGAGGGTCCTGCCTCATACCCTAGAGGAGGGAATGCTGCACAGAAAGACCCAGAAGAATCTGAACAGACAGGCCTTGCTGGGATTAGATTATACCCTTTTTGTCCAATCACATTCGGACATGGTTATCAATTATGCCTATCCAATGAAGTTTTCCTCAAAATTACAAAAGGACAGGGTTCAGGGGGCTTTCAGATAGTGAAACGTGGAGTTTCTTGGAGAGTGGTGTGCTCAGGAAGAACATGGAAGCTCTATGCCCTTTCGCATATGCCTCACCCTATATGTCTCTTCATCTATACATATCTTTTGTAATGTGCCTTATAATACACTGGTAAATGTGTTTTCCTGAGTTTTGTGAGCTGCTCTAGCAAACTAATCAACTCAAAAGGGGGTTGTGGAAACTCCAATTTGGAGCCTGTCGGTGAGAAGTTCCAGAGGCCCAGTCTTGTGACTGGTGTCTGAAACAGGGACAGTTTTGGGGACAGATCTCTAAACTTGTGGGATTTGACACTGATATGGTTTGGCTCTGTGTCCCCACCCAAATCTCATCTTGAATTGTATTCCATAATTCCCACGTGTTGTAGGAGGTACCCGGTTGGAGATAATTTGAATCATGGGGGCACTTTCTCCCATACTATTCTTGTGGTAGTGAATAAGTCTCACAAGATCTGATGGTTTTATCAGGGATTTCCACATTTGCATTCCTCTCATTTTCTCTTGCCATCGCAACGTAAGAAGTGCCTTTACCTCCCGTCATGATTCTGATGCCTTCCCAGCCATATGGAACTGTAAGTTCAATTAAACCTTTTTTTCTTCCCAGTCTCAGGTATGTCTTTATTGGCAGTGTGAAAATGACTAATACAGTAAATTGGTACCAGGAGTGGGTGCTGCTGAAAAGATGCCCAAAAATGTGGAAGGGCCTTTGAGCTGGGTAACAGACAGAGGTTGGAACAGTTTGGGGGGCTCAGAAGAAGACAGAAAAATGTGGGAAAGTTTGGAACTTCCTAGAGGCTTGTTGAATGGTTTTGCCCAAAAGGCTGATAGTGATATGGACGATAAGGTCCAGGCTGAGGTGGTCTCAGATGGAGATGAGGAACTTTTGGGGAACTGGAGCAAAGGCGACTCTTGTTATATTTTAGCAGAGACTGGTGACATTTTGCCCCTGCCCTAGAGATTGATTTTTGGAACTTTGAACTTGAGAGAGATGGTGTAGGGTATCCAGTGGGATAAATTTCTAAGCACAAAGCATTCAAGAGGTGACTTAGGTGATGTTAAAGGCATTCAGTTTTATAAGAGAAGCAGAACACAAAAGTTCAAAAAAATGGCAGCCTTATAATGTGATAGAAAAGAAAAATCCATTTTCTGAGAAGATATTCAAGCTGGCTGTAGAAAGTTGCATAAAAGATGAGGAGCTGAATGTTAATCTCCAAGACACTGGGGAAAATATCTCCAGGGCATGTCAGAGGTGTTCACAGAAACCACTCCCATCGCAGGCCTGGAGGCCTAGGAGAAAATGGTTTCTTGGGCCTGGCCCAGGGTCCCTGTGCTGTGTGCAGTCTAGTGACTTGGTGCCCTGCATCCCACCCACTCCAGCCATGACTAAAAAGGGCCAAGGTATAGCTTGGGCTGTTGCTTCAGAGGGTAGAAGCCCCACATCTTGGCAGCTTCCACGTGGTGTTGAGCCTGTGAGTGCACAGAAGTCAAGAACTGAGGTTTGGGAAACTCCCTAGATTTCAGAAGATGTATGGAAATGCCTGGATGCCCAGGCAAAAGTGTGCTGCAGGGGCGGGCCCTCGGGGAGAACCTCTGCTAGGGCAATGCAGAAGGGAAATGTGGGGTCGGAACCCCTACACAGAGTCCTTACTGGGGGACCACCTAGTGGAGCTGTGAGAAGAGGGCCACTGTCCTCCAGACCCCAGAATGGTAGATCCACCAACAGCTTGCACCGTATGCCTTGAAAAGCTGCAGACATCAATGCCAGCTCATGAAAGCAGCCAGGAGAGGGCCTATATCCTGCAAAGCCACAGGGGTGGAGCTGCCCAAGACCATAAGAACCCACCTCTTGTATCAGCAAGACGTGGATGCAAGACCTGGAGTTGAAGGAGATCATTTTGGATCTTTAAAATTTGACCACTCCACTGGATTTTGGACTTGCATGGGCCCTGTAACCCCTTCGTTTTGGCCAATTTTTCCCCTTTGGAACAACTGTATTTACCCAATACCTGTACTCCCATTGTATCTAGGAAGTAACTAGGTTGCTTTTGATTTTTCAGGCTCATAGGTAGAAGGGCCTTGTCTCAGATGAGACTTTGGACTGTGGACTTTTGGGTCCATGCTGAAATGAGTTAAAACTTTGGGGGACTGTTGGGGAGACATGATTGGTTTTGAAATGTGAGGACATGAAATTTGGAAGGGCCAGGGGTGGAATGATATGGTTGGGCTCTGTGTCCCCACCCAAATCTCATTTTGAATTGTACTCCCATAATTCCCACATGTTGTGAGTGGGACTCAGTGGGAGATAATTTGAATCATGGGTGTGGTTTCCTCCATACTGTTCTCATGGTAGTGAACAAATTTCACAAGATCTGATGGTTTTATCAGGGGTTTCCACTTCTGTATTCCTCTTATTTTCTCTTGCCACTGTCAGGTAAGAAGTGCCTTTTACCTCCTGCCATGATTCTGAGGCCTCCCCAGCTACCATGTGGAACTGTAAGTCCAATTAAACCTCTTTTTCATCCAGCTCTTTGGTATGTTTATCAGCAGTGTGAAATGGACTAATACACACACTATCTTCAGGAAAATAGTGTCAAAATTGAATTGAATAGGGCACCCAGATTGTTTCCACTGCAGAATTTATTGCTTACTTGGTGGTGGGGAGAAACTCCTCACATTTGGTCACAGAAGTCTTTTGCCTGTGTGGATTGTTGTGATTTGAGAGCTGAGGAAAAACAGTTTGAGGTTTTTTTCACTTTTACATTGGTATATAGGCTTAATGCTTTAAAGTGAACCCTTAAACTCAAGGTGTATATTTTAGAAGTGCATTTCTGTTATCATCTTCCATTGGAATTTCTCATTATTAAGCCTAATCTCAGCTTCTTTTGTCAAGCATTTCATATTTTTTTAAGCCTATAAGAATTTTTTTCTATTCATCTTGGCTTTCTAAAAAACTTTGTTTCCAGAAAAAGAAGTTGTCAGTACTACTGTAAAGAAGTGTATTACATCTTCTATTTGTATAGTGACTACTGTGTGCTTTTTCTATTCTATATTTTTTCTAACTGGAAATTTTTATTAAGGTTTTGTGACTATGTAGGAATTATTTTATTCTATCTAGCAATATGCCAACACAATAAGCCACATTTAGACCAAATGGTAGTGATAGAAGACCTGTGCTTGGAGCTGAATGATGTAATTTGATGAAACTTTGAAATTGCCTCATTATGTACAGGAGATGTTTTATTTTTAATGCAGTTTTCAGCAATTTTCTAATTTTTTATTTTGCTAAAATACACACAACATAAAATTTGCCATCATAACCATTGTAAAGTTTTCATTTCAGTAGTATTAAATACATTCATAATATTGTGCAACCTTCAGCAACATGTATCTCCATAACTCTTTTTATCTCATAAAACCGAAACTCTATACTTATTAAACAATAGCTTTTTATCCCTTTCCCCCAGCCCCTAACAACCAGCTTTATAGTTTTTGTCTCTATGATTTTGACTTTTCTAAGTGCCTCATGTAAGTGGAATCATGCAGTATTTGTCTTTCTTTTTTTTAATCACTGGCTTATTTAACTTAGCAAGTTATGTCCATGTTGTAGCATGCATCAGGCTGAATAATATTCCATTGCATGAATATACAAACACAGGTGTACAAATATCTCTTCAAAATCCTGCTTTCAATCATTCAATAATTTAGATATATAGCCAGATTTTAAATTTCTGGATTATAGAGTAATTGTATTTTTAACTTTTTGAGGAATTGCTGCACTGCCTTATATATTGGCTGCACCATTGTATATTCCTACCAATAGATTACAAGCTTTCAAATTTCTTCATATCCAAACCAACACTTGTTATTTTGTGGTTTTGTTTTTGTTTGTTGGTTTATACTAGCCATACTAATGGATATGAGGAAGATATCTCATTATAGATTTGATATGCATTTCCCTAATGAGTGGTGGTATTGAACATCCTTTCATATGCTGGTTGGCTATTTGTATATTTTATTTTATTAAATGTCTATTTAAGTCTTTTGCTCATTTTGGAATCAGGTTATTTATTTTTTTGTTGATGATTTTAGGAGCTCTCTAAATTCTGGATATTAATCTCTTCTTATATGTATGATTTGTAAATATTTTCTCCGATTCTGTGTGTTGTTGTTTTACCCTGTTCATATGGTCTTTTGATGCATAAAATTATTTGATTTTCATGAAGTCCAGTTTGGTATTTTGTTGGTGTTGCTACCTGTTCTGTTGGTGTTATATTATTGCCGAATGCATTATCATTAAGGTATCGCCTTTATTTTCTTCTTAGAATTTTATATTTTAAGTCTTACATTTAGGTATTTAATCCATTTTGAGTTATTTTTTGTATGTGGTGACAGATAAGGATTCAACTTCATTATCTTCCATGTGGATATCCAGTTTTCCCAGCAGGTTTTGTTGAAAAGGCTGTCTTCAAAGGGAATGCTTCCAGTTTTTGCCCATTCAGTATGATATTGGCTGTGGGTTTGTCATAGATAACTCTTATTATTTTGAGGTATGTCCCATCAATACCTAATTTATTGAGAGTTTTTAGCATGAAGCGTTGTTGAATTTTGTCAAAGGCCTTTTCTGCATCTATTGAGATAACCATGTGGTTTTTGGCTTTGGTTCTGTTTATATGCTGGATTACATTTATTGATTTGCGTATATTGAACCAGCCTTGCATCCCAGGGATGAAGCCCACTTAATCATGGTGGATAAGCTTTTTGATATGCTGCTGGATTCAGTTTGCCAGTATTTTATTGAGAATTTTTGCATCAATGTTCATCAAGCATATTGGTCTAAAATTCTCTTTTTTGGTTGTGTTTCTGCCCGGCTTTGGTATCAGGATGATGCTGGCCTCATAAAATGAGTTAGAGAGGATTCCCTCTTTTTCTATTGATTGGAATAGTTACAGAAGGAATGGTACCAGTTCCTCCTTATAAGAGCTATCTATGACAAACCAACAGCCAATATCATACTGAATGGGCAAAAACTGGAAGCATTCCCTTTGAAAACTGGCACAAGACAGGGATGCCCTCTCTCACCACTCCTATTCAACATAGTGTTGGAAGTTCTGGCCAGGGCAATTAGGCAGGAGAAGGAAATAAAGGGTATTCAATTAAGAAAAGAGGAAGTCAAATTGTCCCTGTTTGCAGACGACATGATTGTATATCTAGAAAACCCCATTGTCTCAGCCCAAAATCTCCTTAAGCTGATAAGCAACTTCAGCAAAGTCTCAGGATACAAAATCAATGTACAAAACTCACAAGCATTCTTATACACCAATAACAGACAAACAGAGAGTGAAATCATGAGTGAATTCCCATTCACAATTGCTTCAAAGAGAATAAAATACCTAGGAATCCACCTTACAAGGGACGTGAAGGACCTCTTCAAGGAGAACTACAAACCACTGCTCAAGGAAATAAAAGAGGATACAAACAAATGGAAGAACATTCCGTGCTCATGGGTAGGAAGAATCAATATCGTGAAAATGGCCATACTGCCCAAGGTAATTGATAGATTCAATGCCATCCCCATCAAGCTACCAATGACTTTCTTCACAGAATTGGAAAAAACTACTTTAAAGTTCATATGGAGCCAAAAAAGAGCCCGCATCGCCAAGTCAATCCTAAGCCAAAAGAACAAAGCTGGAGGCATCATGCTACCTGACTTCAAATTATATTACAAGGCTACGGTAACCAAAACAACATGGTACTTGTACCAAAACAGAGATATAGATCAATGGAACAGAACAGAGCCCTCAGAAATAATGCTGCATATCTACAACTATCTGATCTTTGACAAACCTGAGAAAAACAAACAATGGGGAAAGGATTCCCTGCTTAATAAATGGTGCTGGGAAAACTGGCTAGCCATATGGAGAAAGCTGAAACTGGATCCCTTCCTTACACCTTATACAAAAATCAATTCAAGATGGATTAAAAACTTAAACGTTAGACCTAAAACCATAAAAACCCTAGAAGAAAACCTAGGCATTACCATTCAGGACATAGGCATGGGCAAGGACTTCATGTCTAAAACACCAAAAGCAATGGCAACAAAAGACAAAAGTGACAAATGGGATCTAATTAAACTAAAGAGCTTCTGCACAGCAAAAGAAACTACCATCAGAGTGAACAGGCAACCCACAAAATGGGAGAAAATTTTCACAACCTACTCATCTGACAAAGAGCTAATATCCAGAATCTACAATGAATGCCAATAAATTTACAAGAAAAAAACAACCCCATCAAAAAGTGGGCAAAGGACATGAAGAGACACTTCTCAAAAGAAGACATTTATGCAGCCAAAAAACACATGAAAAAATGCTCACCATCACTGGCCATCAGAGAAATGCAAATCAAAACCACAATGAGATATCATCTCACACCAGTTAGAATGGCAATCATTCAAAATTCAGGAAACAACAGGTGCTGGAGAGGATGTGGAGAAATAGGAACACTTTTACACTGTTGGTGAGACTGTAAACTAGTTCAACCATTGTGGAAGTCAGTGTGGCGATTCCTCAGGGATCTAGAACTAGAAATACCATTTGACCCAGCCATCCCATTACTGGGTATATACCCAAAGGACTATAAATCATGCTGCTATAAAGACACATGCACACGTATGTTTATTGTGGCACTATTCACAATAGCAAAGACTTGGAACCAACCCAAATGTCCAACAATGATAGACTGGATTAAGAAAATGTGGCACATATACACCATGGAATACTATGCAGCCATAAAAAATGGTGAGTTCATGTCCTTTGTAGGGACATGGATGAAATTGGAAATCATCATTCTCAGTAAACTATCGCAAGAACAAAAAACCGAACACCGCATATTCTCACTCATAGGTGGGAATTGAACAATGAGAACACATGGACACGGGAAGAGGAACATCACACTCTGGGGACTGTTGTGGGGTGGGGGGAGGGGGGACGGATAGCACTGGGAGATATACCTAATGCTAGATGACGAGTTAGTGGTTGCAGCGCACCAGCATGTCACATGTATACATATGTAACTAACCTGCACATTGTGCACATGTACCCTAAAACTTAAAGTATAATAATAAAAAAAAAAGAAAAGGCTGTCTTTTCTCCATTAAATTGTCTTATCACACTTTTTAAGAATCATTTGACTATATATTTAAGGGTTTATTTCTGGGCTATCTATTCTATTACATTGATATACATATAATATATATATATATATGTTTTTATGCCAGTATCACACTGCTTTGATTGCTGCAGTTTTGTAAATCAGGAAGTGTCATTCTTCCAGCTTTGTTCAAGGTGATTTTGACAATTCATTGTCTCTTAAAATTTCATATGAATTTTGGTATGGGATTCTCTATTTTTGCACAAAATGTCTTTGGATTTTTGAGAGGGAATACAATCTGTAGGCTACTTTCGGTAGTATTGACATTTTAACAATGTTAAATTTTCCAATCCATGAACAGAGATGTATTTGTATTTATTTCTGTCTTCTCAAATTTATTTCTGCAAAGTTTTATAGTTTTCTTGCAAAAGAATCACGTCTTTGGTTAAGTTAATTCATATGTATTTGATTATTTTTGATGCTATTGTAAGTGAAATTGTTTTTGTAATTTTTCTTTCCAGTTTGTTCATTGTTAGTGATAAAAATGCAACTGATATTTAATGTATCTTCTTTTACCTTCAGTAGTTTTGGCAGAACAGGTGGTTTTTGGTTACGTGGATAAGTTCTTTAGTGGTGATTTCTGAGATTTTGGAGCAACCATCACCTGATCAGTGTACTCTGTATTAAATGGTAGTATTTCATCCTTCACCCTCCCTCCCATGCTTCCCCCTAAGTCCCCAAACCCCACTCTATCATTCTTTTATTATTATTATTACTATACTTTAAGTTCTAGGGTACATGTGCACAACGTGCAGGTTTGTTACATAGGTATACATGTGCCATGTTGGTTTACTGCACTCATTAACTCACCATTTACATCAGTCATTTCTCCTAATGCTATCCCTCCTCTAGACCCCCTACCCTATGACAGGCCCCCGTGTGTGATGTTCCCCGCCCTGTGTCCAAGTGTTTTCATTGTTCAGTTCCCACCTATGAGTGAGAATATGCAGTGTTTCATTTTCTGTCCTTGTGATAGTTTGCTCAGAATGATGGTTTCCAGCTTCATCCATGTCCCTACAAAGGACAGGAACTCATCCTTTTTTATGGCTACATATTATTCCATGGTGTATATGCGCCACATTTTCTTAATCCAGTATATCAGTGATGGACATTTGGGTTGGTTCCAAGTCTTTGCTATTGTGAATAGTGCCACAATAAACATATGTGTGCATTTGTCTTCCAAAATTTTCTCCCATTCTGTAGATTGCCTATTCACTCTGATGGTGTTTTCCTTTGTTGTGCAGAAGCTCTTCAGTTTAATTAGATCCCATTTGTCTATTTTGGCTTTTGTTGCCATTGCTTTTGGTGTTTTAGTCGTGAAGTCCTTGCCCAAGCCTGTGTCCTGAATGGTATTGCCTAGGTTTTCTTCTAGGGTTTTTATGGCCTTAGATCTAACATTGAAGTCTTTAATCCATCTTGAATTAATTTTTGTATAAGGTGTAAGGAATGGATCCAGTTTCAGCTTTCTACATATGGCTAGCCAGTTTTCCCAGCACCATTTATTAAATAGGGAATCTTTTTTCCTATTTCTTGTTTTTGTCAGGATTGTCAAAGACCAGATGGTTGTAGATGTGTGGTGTTATTTCTGAGGCCTCTGTTTTGTTCCATTGGTCTATCTCTGTGTTTTGGTTCCAGTACCATGTAGCCTTGTAGGGTAATTTGAAGTCAGGTAGCATGATGCCTCCAGCTTTGTTCTTTTGGCTTAGGATTGTCTTGGCATTGAGGGCTCTTTTTTGGTTCCATATGAACTTTAAAGTAGTTTTTTCCAATTCTGTGAAGAAAGTCATTGGTAGCTTGATGGGAATGGCATTGAATCTATAAATTACCTTGGGCAGTATGGCCATTTTCACAATATTAATTCTTCCTATCCACGAGCATGGAATGTTCTTCCATTTGTTTGTGTCCTCCTTTATTTCATTGAGCAGTGGTTTGTAGTTCTCCTTGAAGAGGTCCTTCACATCCCTTGTAAGTTGGATTCCTAGGTATTTTATTCTCTTTGTAGCAATTGTGAATGGGAGTTCACTCATGATTTGGCTCTCTGTTTGTCTGTTATTGGTGTATAGGAATGCTTGTGATTTTTGCACATTGATTTTGTATCCTGAGACTTTGCTGAAGTTGCTTATCAGCTTAAGGAGATTTGGGGCTGAGATGATGGGGTTTTCTAAATATACAATCATGTCATCTGCAAACAGGAACATTTTGAATACCTCTTTTCTTAATCGAATACCCTTTATTTCTTTCTCTTGCCTGATTGCCCTGGCCAGAACTTCCAACACTATGTTGAATAGGAGTGGTGAGAGAGGGCATCCCTGTCTTGTGCCAGTTTTCAAAGGGAATGCTTCCAGTTTTTGCACATTCAGTATGATATTGGCTGTGGATTTGTCATAAATAGTTCTTATTATTTTGATATACATTCCATAAATACCTAGTTTATTGAGCATTTCTAGCATGAAGGGCTGTTGAATTTTGTCAAAGGCCTTTTCTTCATCTATTGAGATAATCATGTGGTTTTTGTCATTGGTTCTGTTTATTCGATGGATTATGTTTATTGATTTGCATATGTTGAACCAGCCTTGCATCCCAGGGATGAAGCCCACTTGATCATGGTGGATAAGCTTTTTGATGTGCTGCTGGATTTGGTTTGTCAGTACTTTATTGAAGATTTCCGCATCAGTGTTCATCAGGGATATTAGTCTAAAATTATCTCTTTTTTTGTCTTGTCTCTACCAGGCTTTGGTATCAGGGTGATGCTGGCCTCCTAAAATGTGTTAGGGAGGATTCTCTCTTTTTCTATTGATTGTAATAGTTCCAGAAGGGACGGTACCAGCTCCTCTTTGTACCTCTGGTAGATTTCAGCAGTGAATCCGTCTGGTCCTGGACTTTTTTTGGTTGGTAGGCTATTGATTATGGCCTCAATTTCAGAGCCTGTTATTGGTCTATTCAGAGATTCAACTTCTTCCTGGTTTAGTCTTGGGAGGGTGTATGTTTCCAGGAATTCATCCATTTCTTCTAGATTTTTCAGTCTATTTGCATAGAAGTGTTTATAGAATTCTCTGATGGTAGTTTGTATTTCTGTGGGATCGGTGGTGATATCCCCTTTATCATTTTTTATTATGTCTATTTGATTCTTCTCTATTTTCTTCTTTATTAGTCTTGCTAGCGGTCTATCAATTTTGTTGATCTTTTCAAAAAACCAGCTCCTGGATTCATTGATTTTTTGAAGGGTTTTTTGTGTCTCTATCTCCTTCAGTTCTGCTCTGATCTTAGTTATTTCTTGCCTTCTGCTAGCTTTTGAATGTGTTTGCTCTTGCTTCTCCAGTTCTTTTAATTGTGATGTTAGGGTGTGAATTTTAGATCTTTCCTGCTTTCTCTTGTGGGCATTTAGTGCTATAAATTTCCCTCTAAACACTGCTTTAAATGTGTCCCGGAGATTATGGTACGTTGTGTCTTTGTTCTCATTGGTTTCAAAGAACATTGTTATTTCTGCCTTCATTTCGTTATGTACCCAGTAGTCATTCAGGAGCAGGTTGTTCAGTTTCCATGTAGTTGTGCAGTTTTGAGCGAGTTTCTTAATCCTGCATTCTAATTGTATTGCACTGTGGTCTGAGAGACAGTTGTTGTGATTTCTGTTCTTTTACATTTGCTGAGCAGTGTTTTACTTCTAACTATGTGGTCATTTTTAGAATAAGTGTGATGTGGTGCTGAGAAGAATGTATATTCTGTTGATTTGGGGTGGAGAGTTCTATAGATGTCTATTAGGTGCAGAGCTGAGTTCCTGTGCTGGATATCCTTGTTAACCTTCTGTCTCATTGATCTGTCTAATACTGAGAGTGGAGTGTTAAAGTCTCCCCTTATTATTGTGTGGGAGTCTAAGTCTCTTTTTAGGTCTCTAAGAACTTGCATTATGAATCTAGATGCTCCTGTATTGGGTGCATATATATTTAGGATAGTTAGCTCTTCTTATTGAATTGATCCCTTTACCATTATGTGATGGCCTTCTTTGTCTCTTTTGATCTTTGTTGGTTTAAAGTCTGTTTTATCAGAGACTAGGATTGCAACCCCTGCTTTTTTTTTTCTGGGCTTTCCATTTGCTTGGTAAACCTTCCTCCATCCCTTTATTTTGAGCCTATGTGTGTCTCTGCAGTGAGATGGGTCTCCTAAATACAGCATACGGATGGCTCTTGACTCTTTATCCAATTTGCCAGTCTGTGTCTTTTAATTGGGGCATTTAGGCCATTTACATTTAAAGTTAATATTGTTATATGTGAATTTCATCCTGACATTATGATGTTAGCTGATTATTTTGCTCGTTAGTTGATGCAGTTTCTTCCTAGTATCGATGGTCTTTACAATCTGGCATGTTTTTGCAGTGGCTGGTACTGGTTATTCCTTTCCATGTTTAATTCTTCCTTCAGGAGCTCTTGTAAGGGAGGCATGGTGATTACAAAATCTCTCAGCATTTTCTCATCTGTAAAGGATTTTATTTCTCCTTCACTTAGGAAGCTTAGTTTGGCTGGATATAAAATTCTGGGTTGAAAATTCTTTTCTTTAAGAATGTTGAATATTGGCTCCCACTGTCTTCTGGCTTGTAGAGTTTCTGCCAGGAGATCTGCTGTTAGTTTAATGGGCTTCCCTTTGTGGGTAACCCGACTTTCTCTCTGTCTGCCCTTAACATTTTTTCCCTCATTTCAACCTTGGTGAATCTGACAATTATGTGTCTTGGGGTTGCTCTTCTCGAGGAGTATCTTTGTGGTGTTCTCTGTCTTTCCTGAATTTGAATGTTGGCCTGCCTTGCTAGGTTGGGGAAGTTCTCCTGGATAATATCCTGAAGAGTGTTTTCCAATTTGGTTCAATTCTCCCTGTCACTTTCAGGTACACCAATCAAACGTAGATTTGGTCTTTTCCTGTACTCCCATATTTCTTGGAGGCTTTGTTTGTTTCTTTTTACTCTTTTTTCTCTAAACTTCTCCTCTTGCTTTATTTCACTAATTTGATCTTCAATCATTGATATCCTTTCTTCCACTTGATCAAATTGGCTACTGAAGCTTGTGCATGCATGACATAGTTCTCGTGCCATGGTTTTCATTTCCATCAGGTCATTTAAGGTCATCTCTACACTGTTTATTCTAGTTAGCCATTCATCTAATCTTTTTTTCAAGGTTTTTACCTTCCTTGCAATGGGTTCGAACATCTTCCTTTAGCTCGGAGAACTTTGTTATTACCAACCTTCTGAAGCCTACTTCTGTCAAATTGTCAGGTCATTTTTCATCCAGCTTTGTTCTGTTGCTGGCAATGAGCTGTGATCCTTTGGAGGAGAAGAAACGCTCTAGTTTTTAGAATTTTCAGCTTTTCTTCTCTGGTTTCTCCCCATCTTTGTGGTTTTATCTGCTTTTGGTCTTTGATGTTGGTGACCTACAGATGGGGTTTTGGTGTGGATGTCCTTTTTGTTGATGTTGATGCTATTCCTTTCTGTTTGTTAGTTTTCCTTCTAACAGTCAGGTCCCTCAGCTGCATGTCTGTTGGAGTTTGCTGGAGGTCCACTCCAGACTCTGTCTGCCTGGGTATCACCAGCAGAGGCTGCAGAACAGCAAATATTCCTGCCTGATCCTTCCTCTGGAAGCTTCATCCCAGAGGGGCACCCACCTGTATGAGGTGTCAGTCAGCCCCTACTGAGAGATGTCTCTCAGTTAGGCAACACGGGGGTCAGAGATCCACTTGAGGAGGCAGTCTGTCCATTCTCAGAGCTCAAACAGCATGCTGGGAGAACCACTGCTTCTTCAGAGCTGTCAGACAGGGAAGTTTAAGTCTGTAGAAGTTTCTGTTGCCTTTCGTTCACCTATGCCCTGCCCTCAGAGGTGGAGTCAATAGAGGCAGTAGGCCTTGCTGAGCTGTGGTGGGCTTCTCCCAGTTCAAACTTCTAAGCTGTGTTGTTTGCCTACTCAAGCCTCAGCAATGGTGGATGCCCCTTCCCCTGCCAGGCTGCTACCTGGCAGGTCCATCTCAGACTGTGTGCTAGCAGAGAGCAAGGCTCTGTGGGCATGGGACCCACCTAGCCAGGTGCGGGAGAGAATCTCCTGGTCTCCCGTTTGCTAAGACCATTGGAAAAGTGCAGTATTTAGGTGGGAATGTCCCATTTTTCCAGGTACAGTCTGTCATGGCTTCCCTTGGCTAGGAAGGGGAAATCCCCGGACCCCTTGTACTTCCCAGGTGAGGTGATGCTCCGCCCTGCTTCAGCTCACCTTCCATGGGCTGCACCCACTGTCCAACCAGTCCCAATGAGATGAACCAGGTACCTCAGTTGGAAATGCAGAAATCACCTGTCTTCTGCATTGATCACGCTGGGAGCTGCAGACTGGAGCTCTTTCTATTCAGCTGTCTTGGAACACCTACCCCATTGTATCATTCTTATGCTTTTGCATCCTCATAGCTTAGCTCCCACTTACAAGTTAGAATATATGATATTTGGTTTCCAATCCTGAGTTACTTCACTTAGAATAATGGTCTCCAACTCCCTCCAGGTTGCTGCAAATGCCATTATTTCATTTCTTTTTATGGCTGAGTAGTATTCCATGGTGTATTTGTAGCACATTTTCTTTATCCACATGTTGGTTGACAGGAATTTAGGCTCATTCTGTATTTTCGCAATTGCGAATTGTGCTATAAACTTGCGTGTGCAAATATCTTTTTAATATAATGACTTCTTTTCCTTTGGGTGGATACCCAATAGTGAGACTACTGGATCAAATGGTAGTTCTACTTTTAGTTCTTTAAGGAATCTCCTTTCTGTTTTCCACAGGGGTGGTGCTAGGTTACATTCTCACCAGCAGTGTAAAAGTGTTCCCTTTTAACCAAATCCATGACAATATCTGTTATTTTTTTACTTTTTGATTATGGTCATTCTTGCAGGAGTGAGGTGGTATCTCACTGTAGCTTTAATTTGCATTTCCCTGATAATTAATAATGTTGAATTCTTTTCATATGTTTGTTGGCTATTTTATGTCTTCTTTTGAGAATTGTCTATTCATGTCCTCAGACCACTTTATGATGGTATTATTTCTTTTTTCTTGCTGATTGGAGTTCCTTGTAGATTTGGAAATTAGTCTCTTGTCAGATGCATAATTTGTGAATGTTTTCTCTCACTCTTTGAGTTGTCTGTTTACTCTGCTATTTATTTCTTTTGCTGTGCAGAAACTGTTTAGTTTAATTAGGTCCCATCTATTTATTTATTTATTTGTTGCATTTGCTTTTGTGTTCTTGGTCATGAAGTCTTTGCCTAAGCCAACATCAGTTTTTCCAATGTTATCTCTGGAATTTTTATGGCTTCAGATCTTAGATTTAAGTTTTTTATCCATCTTGAGTTGATTTTTGTATAAGGTGAAAGATGAGCATCCAGTTTAATTTGTCTATGTGTGGCTTGCCAATTATCCCAGCACTATTTGTTAAATAGGGTGTTTTTTCCCCAATTTATATTTTTGTTTGCTTTGTTGAAGATCAGTTGGTTGTAAGTAATTGACCCTGTTTCTGGGTTCTCTATTCTGTTCCATTGGTCTATGTGCCTGTTTTTATATTAGTACCATGCTATTTGGTAACTATAGCCTTGTAGTATAGTTTGAAGTTGGGTAATGTAATACCTCCTGAATTGTTCTTTTTGCTTAGTCTTGCTTTGGCTATTCAGGCTCTTTTTTTTTGTTTCATATGAATTTTAGGATTTTTTTTCCTAGTTATGTGATGAATAATGATGGTATTTTGATGGGAATTGCACTGAATCTGTAGATTTCTTTTGGCAATATAGTCATTTTCACAATGTTGATTCTACCCATCCATGAGCATATGTTTCCATTTGTTTGTGTCATCTGTGATTTCTTTCAGCAGTGTTTTGTAGTTTTCTTTATAGAGATCTTTCCCCTCTTTGGTTAGGTATATTCCTAAGTGTTTTTTCATTTTGCAGCTGTTGTAAAAGGGATTGAGTTCTTGCTTTGTTTCTCAGCTTTATCATTGTTGGTGTATAGCAGTTCTACTGATTTGTGTATATTGATTTTTGCATCCTGAAAGTATACAGAATTTATCTGTCAGATCTAGGAGCTTTTTGGATAAGTCTTCAGAGTTTTCCAGATATATAATTATATCATTGGCAAACAGCAACAGTTTGACTTCCGTTTTACTGATTTGGATGCCCTTTACTTCTTTATCTTGTCTGATTGCTCTGGCTATTACTTCTAGTACTGGATTGAATAGAAGTGGTGAAAGTGGGCATCTTTGTCTTATTCCCGTTCTCAGGGGGAATGCTTTCAACTTTTCCCTGTTCAGGATGATGTTGGCTGTGGATTTGTCATAGATACCTTTTATTACCTTGTGGTTTGCCCCTTATATGTCAATTTTGTTGAGAGTTTTTATTACAAATTGATGCTGGATTTTGTCAAATGCATTTTCTGCATCTATTGAGGTAATTGTATAATTTTTGTTTTTAATTCTATTTATGTGATGCATCACATTTATTGACTTGAGCATGTTAAACCATCCCTGCATTCTTGATATGAAACCCACTTGATCATGATGTGTCATCTTTTTGATATGCTATTGAATTCGGTTAGCTAGCATTTTTTTGAGGATTTCTGCATCTATGTTCATCAGGGATATTGGTCTGTAGTTTTCTTTTTTGTTATGTCCTTTCCTGGTTTTAGTATTATGGTGATACTGGCTTCACAGAATGATTTAGGGAGAATTGCCTCTTTCTCTCTCTTTTGGAATAATTTCAATAGGATTGGTATCAATTCTTCTTTGAATGTCTGACAGAATTTAGCTGTGAATTAATCTGGTCCTAGACATTTTTTTGTGGGCAATTTTTCTATCACTGTTTCAATCTCACTACTTGCTGTTGGTCTGTTCAGAGTTTTTATTTCTTCCTTATTTAATCTAGGAGGGCTGTATATTTCCAGGATTTATTCATCTCCTCTAGATTTTCTAGTTTGGGTACATAATAGTGTTCATAGTAGCCTTAAATTCTCTTTTATATTTCTGCAGTATTGGTGGTAATATCTCCCCCTTTCATTTCTAATTGAGCTTATTTGTATCTTCTCTCTTCTTTTCTTGGTTAATCTCACTAATGATCTATCAATTTTATGTTCTTCAAAACACCAGCTTTTTGTGTTATTTACCTTTTGTATTGTTTTTTGTTTGTTTCGATTTCATTTAGTTCTGCTCTGATCTTTGTTATTTCTTTTCTTCTGCTGGTTTTGGATTTGGTTTGTTCTTGTTTCTCTAGTTCCTTGAGGTGTGACCTTAGATTGTCTATTTGTATTCTTTCAGACCTTTTGATATAGGCATTTAATCCTATAAACTTTTCTCTTAGCACCACTTTTGCTATATCCCAGAGGTTTTGGTAAGTTGTGTCACTATTACCATTCAGTTTAAAGAATGTATTAATTGTCATCTTCATTTTACTGTTGACCCAAAAATCATTCAAGAGCAGATTAATTTCCATGTGTTTGTATTGTTTTGAGGGTTCCTTTTGGAGTTAATTTCCAGTTTTATTCCACTGTGGTCTGAGAGAATACTTGATATGACTTCGATTGTCTTACATTTATTGAGACTTGTTTTGTGGCCTATCATATGATCTATCTTGAAGAATGTTCCATGTGCCAATGAAAAGAATGTATATCCTGCAGTTGTTGGGTAGAATGTTCTGGAAATATCTGTTAAGTTCATTTGTTCTAGGATATAGTTTAAGTCCATTTTTTCTTTGTTGACTTTCTGTCTAGGTGACCTATCTAGTACTGTCTGTGGAGTATTGAAATCTCCCACTATTATTGTGTTGTTGTTTATCTGATTTCCTAGGTCTAGTTGTAATTGTTTTATGAACTTGGGAGCTCCAGTGTTAGGTGCACATATTTAAAATTGTGATATTTTCTTTTTTGATGAATCCTTTTATCATTGTATAATGTCCTTCTCGGTCTTTTTTTTTTTTTTTTTTACTGTTGTTGCTATAAAGCGTGTTTTATCTGATATAAGAATAGCTACTCCTGCTTGCTTTTGGTTTCCATTTGCATGGAATATCTTTCTTCAGTTTTTTACCTTAAGTTTATGTGAGTCCTCATGTGTCAGGTCAGTCTCTTGAAGACAGAAGACACTTGGTTGGTGGATTTTTATCCATTCTGCCAGTCTGTATCTTTACACTGGAGCATTTAGGCCACTCACTTTCAACATTAGTATTGAGATGTGAGCTACTATTCTATTCATCATGTTAACTGTTGCCTAAATAGTTTGGTTTTTTTAAATTTTATTATTGTTTTATTGGCCTTGTGAGATTTATGTCCTAAGAAGATTCTATTTTGCTATATTTTAAGATTTTGTTTCAAGATTTCGAACTTCTTTTAGCATTTCTTGTAGTGCTGGCCTGGTAGTGATTAATTCTCTCAGCATTTGTTTGAAAAAAGACTATCTCTCCTTCATTTATGAAGCTTAGTTTCACTGGATACAAAATTCTTGTCTGACAATTATTTTGTTTCAGGAGACTAAAGATAGGATCACAGTACCTTCTGGCTTGAGAGGTTTCTGCTGAGATATCAGCTGTAAATCTCATAGGTTTTCCTTCATATGTTGCCTGATGTTTTTGTCACAGCTTTTAAGATTTTTTTCTTCACCTTAATTTTAGATAACATCATGACTTATCTGTCTGGATGATAATCTTTTCGTGAAAAATTTTCAGGAATTTTTGAGCTTCTTGTATTTGGATGTCTAGATCTCTAGCAAGGCTGGGAAGTTTTCTTCAATTTTTCCCTCAACTAAGTTTTCCAAACATTTAGATTTCTCTTTTTCCCCAGCCCAGAGCCTGGTAGCCCCGCTGGGTGGTTAGACCTAGAAGAGTAATAAACAATCACTGCAGTCTGGCTCTTAGGAAGCTTAATCCCTAGGGAAGGTGGAGAGTACCACATCAAGGGATCACACCATGGGATAAAAGAATCTGAACAGCAGGCCATGAGTTTCAGACCTTTCCAATTTTGAGTAGTTTTTCACAGCATAGACACAATTGCAGTGTTGGGTGCAGTAGGGAAAGTCCACACTTATACCCCAACAGGCAGGCGTCTCTGATCATGAAGGCTCTTGGAGAGGGGGTTCTTGTTTCCCCTGGCACTCCAGAGCAGACACAGCTGGGGCTTCCCCCATAGGAATTTAGTGTGGAGGCACCTGTAGACAGCCTTTCTAGAACAATCCAGAGTGAGTGCAGCCCCACAGAAGGTGCATACTCCGGATTCTAACCCCTTTCTGGCCACATCTTTCTGGTGAACCTTGGAAGGGATGATACTGAAGAAACCCCTCTAACTCAAAGGAAATGGACTGCGACACTGATTTGCTGACTTTGGATAAGTGTCAGGGTAACTGGGTAAAGGATGGGATTGGGTTAGAGACCCAACTTAGAGGAGTTAGACCCTCTCCTAAGACAGAGAGGGTTAAAAAGACTATTCTCATTTAAGGCAAGGACACTGGACTGACCTTGGGTTTGAGGCCCAATTTGGGAAGGTTAGAGTCCTTACTAAGATTTAGGGGGATAGAGGCCCCGCTCAGTAAAGTCCCTTTCGCCTAAGAAAGGGTTTGGCACCATGGGGTGTTAACTGTTATGCTCTTTGTATTAATCTGCCTTGTCCTCTGTTGCATGAGTCGATTACTTGGTTGCCGTCTCAGTTTCACTGTCATTTTCAGAAGACTTCATTTAGCTGGTCTTAGGAACTTTAAATTACTATTTCCCTATGTGCCTCCTAATTTCTGTCCATTTGCTTGTGAAACATTGGGAACAAAAAGCATTGAAGTCTCTGTCTCTAAAATTACTGACTGAGATTTGGTATTTAACAGCTATGAGCAATAAGATTAGATAGATGTGGTTATGTTTTGTTGCAGCTATGCCCACTATGTGTGATTAAGAGGCATTAGGATAGAAATCAGGGAACTTTTCTCTTTGCTATTTCATTTCATTTATACGCTATAAATAAATAAATAAATAAATAAATAAATAAATAATTTTTAAAGCACTTCTTTCCTGTCTTCGATTCAGGCAAATCAGCTTTGCTTATCCAATCCATGCTGCCGCTATTGCGCAGAACCTGTTTGTTCTGGTCATTCCCATCTAAATCCTCTTCATTTCCTTTACTTCATTCAACATTTCTTTTGTTGGATTCCATGTTGTGGTTTATGAGATTCATGGCTCAGCTCATTTATATTATTCAGATAGTGTGAATAAGAGAATTCAATTTTCGTCAGGGATCCCCTCATTACTGTAGCTGGCCTTTAAAACCTCTTTTATCGTTTTTAGTGGAACTTGGCCAGTGGCAATACGATCTCACAGGTTTGGAACTATTTTTTTTAACATCACCTGCCTCCTTCATGGGAAACACAGCATTGATCCCAAAGGACTCACAGCTAGGATGTATTCTTGAATATTTGGAACAGTTTAAACTAAATAGGCTTAAGAAGAGAAAACTGGTGTTTCTATGTAATACTGTTTAGTCTCAGTATTATTTGGAAAAACAAGAGAAATGACCTACTGGAACTACAGCCTTTAATACTATTCTTAAACTTGATTCGTTTTGTAAGTGGGAGAGAAAATGGGATAAAATACCATATGTTCAAGCATTTTTGTTGCTCAATCAGGATAAAACCTGGCAGCAGACATGTGCATGTTTGATGAAAGGAAAGGAAGAAAAAAAACTAGACATATTAGATGATCCCTTGGTGCAATCACCCGCCGTTCAATGTGCATTTTTCAGTGGAGCAGAACCTCCTTCTGTCAGCTTTGAAGGTTCAGATGTGTTGGTCCTTTCTCCCTCTAGTCCACCTGAAAGTTCTATTGAGAAACTTTTATCCCCTCCTCACTTGTCTAATTCCGCTCTATACCCACCACTCCCTGAGAAACCTAGCCTTGTGAGTACTACTTATAGTAGAGCCTCATATCAACCTCCAGGAGGAGATCTTTGTCCACTTAGAGAGGTGGTAAATGAGGAAAAAGGCACTGTAAGAATACATGTCCCCTTTTCTATGTCTGATGTTGTTATATGTAAAGAGAAGTTTGGTCATTTCTCTGAAAATCCAGGAAAATTTGTAGATGAATTTGAGAAATTAACTCTGACCTATAGTTTAACTTGGCAGGATCCGCATGTTTTGTTGCCTCTGTGTTGTACAGTGGAAGAGAAACAACACATTTTGGGGACGGCTAAGACCCATGCAGATCAAGTATTGGCTCACAACCCTAATCATAATATATATTAGGCAGGAGGTATAGCAGTTCCAGACCAAGATCTAGAATGAAACTATCAAAGGTACAGGGGACTTGGGGAGGAGAGACCATATCATTGCTTGTTTGTTGGAAGGGATGAAGAAATGCATGAAAAAACCTGTTAACTATGAAGAGGTTAAGGAAGTTTCTCAGGGTAAATATGAGAATCCAGCTTTGTTTCAAGAGTGGTTAGTTGAGGCAATTAGGAAATATACTAACACGATCCTGCCTCAAAGGAAGGAAAGACCCTTTTGGGAGTACCTCTTATAAGCCAGTGTGCCCCTTATATCAGTAGGAAATTGCAAAAAGCAATGATCAGTCCCCAGACCCCTATGGAACAGCTTTTGGATATGGCGTTTTTAGTTTTTAATAACAGGGACAGAGCAGAAAGAGCAAGAAGGACATCCAACAAGGTGCAGCTCTTGGCTTCAGCCTTAAGCTCACCTCCCACATGGAGTTGCCCTCCTGAGTCTTGGCCTAAATAAGGGATGCAGAAAGGTGGAAAGCCCAAAGCTGGGCATCCAAGTCACCGTGCCTTGGGTATAAATCAATGTGCATACTGCAAATAAACTGGCCATTGGAAGAGAGACTGCCTAGTACTCTTAAGAGAGCCATCAGCACCCGAACCAATAATGGCTGAAATAGCCAGTCAAGCCCAAGAGTGACAGGGCCTGGGACCTTCTGCCACAGCTCCCATTGGACAACTAGTCATATCTCGGGAGGAGCCTTAGGTAACCCTTGACATGGCAAGTAAGAATATTAACTTCCTTCTGGATATAGGAGCTGTTTACTCTGTTTTGATCCATTATAATGGGCCTCTGTCACCCAAAAACTGAATGGTCACAGAGTTAGATGGACAAGCTCATGGAAGCCATTTTGCCTATTCTTTAAGCTGGTCTTCAGGGTCCTCGGTTTACTCATATGCCTTCCTTATTATGCCTGAATGCACGACGCCTTTGTTGGAAAGGGATTTGTTGATTCAGCTGCTAACAGTGCTATATTTTGGAAATCATAAAGCAGATGAGGGATTGCTCCTTTTCCTTTTCTGTGATAAGGGAGGTAAGTCAATATGGGATTTGTCTAGTTTACCTATTGAAGTAACGTCCCAAGTAAATCCTATAGTATGAGATACTGAGATTCCAGGCAATGTGTTAAACATTCCCCCAGTTTGCATCTAACTTAGGCCTAGTGTCCCATACCCCTGGTAAGAGACACTACCCCTTAAAGCCAGAGGCACAAAGAGGGATCAAACCATTAATAGCTAAGTTTTTGCAATTTGGGTTGTTAAGTCCCCATGAATCTCCTCAAAATATGCCAATCTTGCTAGTTAAAAAGCCAGATGGAGACTTTAGATTTGTTCAAGATCTTCAAGCTGTCAAAGAGGCTGTTGTTTCCTTACATTTTATAGTCCCCAATCCCTACATGCTGTTAGTCCAGGTCCCTAGGGATGCCGATTGGTTTATGGTCTTAGATCTTAAGGATGCCGTTTTTTTGTTTTTTTTTTTGTTTTTTGTTTGTTTGTTTGTTTTGAGATGGAGTCTCGCTCTGTCACCCAGGCTGGAGTGCAGTGGCGCGATCTCAGCTCACTGCAAGCTGCGCCTCCAGGGTTCATGCCATTCTCCTGCCTCAGCCTCCTGAGTAGCTGGAACTACAGGCGCCTGCCACCATGCCAGGCTAATTTTTTGTATTTTTAGTAGAGACGGGGTTTCACCATGTTAGCCAGGATGGTCTCGATCTCCTGACCTCGTGATCTGCCTGCCTCGGCCTCCCAAAGTGCTGGGATTACAGGCGTGAGCGACTGAGCCCGGCCAAGGATGCCGTTTTTTTTGCATTCCAGTACACCCTGATTCACAATTCATCTTTGCTTTTGAATAGACTGATTCTGGTAGTCATTAACTTGGACGGTTCTTCCCCAAGGGTTTAGGGATAGCCCTCATTTGTCTGGAAATGCATTGGCTAGAGAATTAAGAATGTTACAATTAAATAAGACACTATTATCCAACACATGGATGACTTATTGGTAACTAGCTCCACCAAAAGAGATTCAGATGAAAATACCATTAAGATGCTAAATTTTCTGGGAACTAATGAGTATAGGCTTTTGCTGCATAAGGCCCAGATTTCAACTCAAAGGGTTAAATACTTAGGATATGTCCTAACCCTTGGCACCCAGGCAATAGCACCAGAAAGGAAAGCTACCTTGGGCATTCCAGAATACCAAAATAGAAAGCAGCTGTGGGTTTTCCTAGGGATGGCAAGCTTTTGCAATTTGAGTGCCTGGATTTGGGCTTATAGCCAAGCCTTTATAGGAGGCCCTGAAAGGAGCAGATGTAGATCCTTTTGAATCAGATAGTAATTGTAAACAAGCTTTTAATGCTCTCAAAAGATAATTAGGATTAGCTCCTGCCCTAGGAATTCCTAATCTTGACTAGTCATTTTTACTTTATGCAGCTGAAAAACAAGGAACAGCCCTAGGTGTCCTTGTCCAGAAGCTGGGAGATATCCCCCAAGCAGTGGCATATTTTTCTAAACAATTAGACCACGTCATTTCAGGATGGCCTGGATGCGTCAGGGTAGTTGCAGCAACTGCTCTTTTAGTAAATGAAACTAATAAACTGGCTTTAGGACAACATCTGGAGGTTTTAACCCCACACCAAGTACAAGGGTCCAAGTTTAAGTCATCCACATATTGGATAAGAGTGCCTTATTTAACTGTAACATTCTTAATTCTCTATCCAATGCATTTCCAAACAGAAGCTAAAGGACACCAGTGGATGACAGGGGGATGCTTACTGAAATATCAGGCTTTGCTGCTAGACACTCCTGATGTAACTCTTAAAGTATGCCAGACTTTGAATCCAGCTGCCTTTTAGCCTGAACACACAGGTACCCTAGATCATTCTTGTATACAAGTCATGGAGCAAGTTTACTGCAGCCAGCCAGGTTTAAAGGATGAGCCTCTAGATAATCCTGAGGTAGAATGGTTTACGATAGAAGTAGCTTTGTTCACCAGGGAAACAGGAAAGCTGGGCATGCTGTTGTCAGTTAACACAAGGTATTTGAATCTCAGGCCTTACCAGCTTCAACCTTGGTTTAAAAGGCTGAATTAATAGCTCTTAGTAGAGCCCTGGAATAGGGAAAGGACTTGAGAATCAACATTTACACTGATTCTGAGTATGCCTTTCTGATACTTCATGTTCATGCTGCTATCTGGAAAGAATGGGAACTCCTAACTGCTAAGGGTTCCCCAGTAAAACATTATTTGGAAATTCTGAATCTATTGGATGCTGTTTTGCTGTCCAAGGAAATAGCTGTAATTCATTGCAGAGGGCATCAAAAAGGAGACTGTAGTGTGGCCAAAGGGAAACTTCTTTGCAGATGTGGCAGCTAAGGCAGCTGCATTAAAGGAGCCAGTTGGACTTGTAGGCATATTAGTGTCGTCTGCCCCAGTAATGACAGAACCAAGATATACTAAAGAGGAACAAGAATGGGCTAAAGGTCAGGGTTTAATTCAAGAGTCTTCTGGATGGCTTATGAATGACAACAAACTGTTGATACCAGGTGCTAATCAGTGGGAAATAGTTAAGCATTTGCATGACTCCACTCACTTGGGAAGAGATTTCCTGTTTCAATTGATGTCTTGGCTTTTTATAGGAAAAGGCTTACAACAGTAAAGCAGGTAAGTCAGGCCTGTGAACTCTGTGCCCAGAATAACCCAAATAACCAATCTTTACCTCTTCCTTTAGTAGGTCCTGTTCAGCATAGGGGGGTGTTTCCTGGTGAAGATTGGCAAGTAGATTATACTCAGATGCCCCAGTGTAAAGAGTTTAATTATTTATTAGTATTCTCAACACCTTTACCTGTTGGATCTAGGCTTTTCCTACCAGGTGTGAAAAGGAAATTGAATTTCTAACCTCCTATTAAAGGAAATAATTCCTAGATTTGGGCTGCCTAAGAGCTTGAAGAGTAATAATGGCTCATCTTTCACAGCAACAATTACCCAAAACATATCTTCACCCCTAGAAATTCAGTGCTGTCTTCACTTGGCATGGAGGCCACCGTCTTCAGGGAAAGTAGAAAGAGCCCATGAAACTCTAAAAAGGACTCGTGCTAAACTATGCCAGGAGTCGTCAGAAACCTGGCTGTCTTTATCGCTTGTAGCCTTGTTGCATGTTTGAGTGGCTTCCAGAGCAATCTCCAGCCCAGCCCTTTCAAAATAATGTATGGAAGCCTTTTCTTAACCACAAACTTCCTAATAGACATAGATACTTTCAAGCTACAAAATTCTGTAATCAGCGTAGGACAAGTACAAAAGGCACTCCTTGAATATGGAGATCAAAGACTCCCTTCCTCTAATAAGGAAGATAATCTTTTTATAACCCAGCAGGGAAATTGGCTCCTATTAAAAACTTGGAAATATCCCCAGCAGGCCAACTTTCCCTCAAATGGAAGGTACCCTATCAAGTTGTCCATGGTACCCCAACTGCCGTTAAACTTCCGGGAATAAACAACTGGGTCCACTTATCTCGAGTTAAACCTGTCTCTGAGGAGGTCTCACAAGCCGACAGAACAAAAGAGACTGATCCCACATATTGCTGTGAGCCAAGCAGGGACCTCCAGCTCCGGTTCAGAAGAAATGAAAGGGATGGGTAACATAGAGATATAGATTAACATTCTACTTTTGGGTATAAGTTGAAATCACACAGAAAGTAACTTATTTGCTGAATGGGCACAGACTTTAGCCTCTCTACATAATCAGACAAACTGTTGAGTATGTGGAGAACTGCAACTTTCCTCCACTTCCGGATTGCTCTGGCATATTCAACTGGCCAACCTAAGTTTGTGGGGATTTTATTATGATTGAGAAACTGAACATTGTAAAAATAGCCCCTCTTTTCCCATGTATCATAGCCACGCAGGCCTTAGCCTATTCCTCTCCTACTGTGAGACAAGAAGGCACCTTTTCATCTAATTAGGAAACAGCTAAACTCCACCCCAACTTTAGGTTCTACTGTTCACGATGGACTTGGGCAAATGACAGCTGTTCAAGTACAGGTACCAAGAAAAGAGTCTCTGTTTACAAAGTCACAATAGTAGTCACCACCAGACTAGAACTCATGATATGGGATGGTTATCACCTCAACAATGTAATTAGATCCTTCTTTCAACAAGGCAGATGTGGATGGGATGGCAACATAATTTGCCAAAAATGGGTGTCTACCCTTCTCGCTGGGAGTGGTTATGGGCTTGTGGAACTCATGGCTGGCCATACTCACCTTATAACTGGACTGGAAGGTGTACGTGGGGTTGTCCTTATCTCCTGGGATGAAACTTCGACCTCACTAAATAGGACTCTCCCATCTAACCGGGAAATTGTAAAGGCTCTCCATAGGTGACAAAAATGGGCATTTTGGTGGTTCTACCCAATGGCTATATTTTCCCCACAGGCAGCTACAATCAGTATTGAGTTACAAGTTGAAGCCTTAGCCAAGCACATGGCTGCAACTTTCAATAATAATGCCATGCCCTTACCCTCCTAACTGAGGAAATTTCTCAGTAGCCTTACAAAATCATATGGCTTTGGACATTTTAACAGCAGCCCAAGGAGGAACATGTGTTTGATCAAACCCAAATGTTGTGTGTATGTTCCAGATTATTCACATAATATTACCCAGGCTATGAAAGCTTTAGACACTCATATTTCTGCCATTGATTTACTGTCAATAGACCCTGTATCTGCTTGGTTCCAACAACTAACCAGTTCTTGGAAAGCCTTCCTGTTTAGTTTATGGAATGATTTTACTTATTTTGCTTTGCTATTGTGGAGTATATTGTGGTTGTACTCTGTGGAGGAATGCAAGACAAGCTTACTCAATGTTTTCTTAAATTGGACACATTAATTTTCCAGATATCACCTTTTGTTGAAACTCAGAGTTCTAAACAACCCTCACCATACTGACACTTTCTGACTGTGCTCCTCTCTACCCACTTCTGGGCTGCATTCCTAGAAAGTTAGGCATTCCTAGTCTCTAGATGTTTATGGCTAAGGGAACAGACAGATAACATTTACTAAACAGACCCAGACTTAGGAGTGTCCTGATATCTTGATATCCTGAGAATAGAAGCATTCCTAATTTTGCTTTAAAGATAACAATATCAATTCTTACAAAATATAGTAATTAAGAAAATTAATTTTTAAATTGTTCTTTTCTCTTTTATTAATTCCTATGAAATAGTAGGATGACTCATAGTGTCTCATACCATTTGTATTTTGTACCATGAACACAAACTACCTATGCAACAAACTGACTTAATTTTTAAAATTCTGTATTTTCCTTCACATATAAAAAATAAGGAAAATCAATTTTTTATCACAAACCCTTGTAGTAGAGCACATCTCTCCATGATCTTTTTTTAATCCTATATATAAACAAGTATCATACCTAGGGTGGGCATGTTCCTCCTCTTACTTTTGGGAACACCCTACTCTGTCTATGGAGTAGCTGTTCTTCCACCACTTTACTTTCTTAATAAACTTGCTTTTGCTTTTCACTACGTACTCACCCTGAATTCTTTCTTGCATGAGATCCAAGAACCCTCTCTTAGAGTCTGGATCAGGACCCCTTTCCAGTGCCAATGGTATTTTTAATATGCTGTTGAGTTTTATTTGCTAGTATTTTCTTGAGGATTTTTGCCTCAATATTTATGAGGGATATTGGTCTGTAGTTTCATCTTCTTGTAGTTTTTTGACTTAGTATCAGAGTCCTGCTGGTCTCATAGAATGAGTGAGAAAGTGTTCCTTCCTCTTCAATTTTTTTGGAAAATTTCAGAAGCATTGGTGTTAATCATTCTTTAAATGTTTGATATAAATTACCATTGAAGGCACCAGGTCCAGAGCTTTTCTGAGTTGAGAGAGTATTGATTACTAATTCAATCTCCTTACTAATTACAAATCTACTAAGATTTTCTAGTTATTTGTGATTAAACTTAGCAGGTTTTGTGTTTCTAACAATTTATTTCATTCACATTATCCAATTTGTTAGCATATAATTGTTCACAGTACTGTCTTATAACCCTTTTTCCCTGTAGAACTGGTAGTAAGGTCTCTTTTCATTTCTGATTTTAGTTTTTATTAGGTTATCTAGCTAAAGTTTTGTCAGTTTTGTTGATCTTTTCAAAGAAACAACTTTTGGTTTAATTGATCTTCTGTATTACTTTTCTATTCTCTATTTTGTTTATCTCTGTTCCAGTTTTTATAATTTCCTTTCTTTGGCTAGCTTTGAATTTAGTTTGTTCTTTTTTTACTTGCTTATGTTGTAAAGTTAGGTTGCTGATTTGAGTTCTTTTTTAATAAAAAAATTATAGTTATAAATTTCCCCTCTAAGCACTGCTTTTGCTTTGCCCCATAAGTTTTGGTAAGTTATGTTTTTAATTTCATTCATCTCTAAGTATTTTCTAATTTCTCTTGTAATTAAAAAAAAATTCATTGGTTGTTTAAGGCTGTGCTGTTTTGTTTCTATAATTTTGTGCATTTTCCAGTTTTGCTTCTGTTTTTAATTTCTAACTTTATTCTGTTGCCATTAGAGAGAAAAAGATTGTATGATATCTATATTTTTAAATTTATTAAGACTTAATTTGTGGTCTAATAGATGGTCTATCCTGGAAAATGTCCATATGGATTTGAAAAAAATGTGTATGCTGTCATTGTGTTCTGTATTTGTCTGTTAGATCTAGTTGGTTTGTTGTGTTAAGTTCTCTATTTCTCATTTGTCTCTGCCTGGTTGTTCTACTTGTTATTGAGAATGGCATATTAAATTCTCCATCTATTATTGTAAAACTTTATGTTTCTCCCTCAATTCTGTAGTTTTTGCTTTATATATTTTGATAGTCTGTTATTAGATACATAAATTTTTATAATTGTGATATCTTTTTGCAGTATTGAAACTTTTATTAATATATAATGTCCCTTTTGTCTCTTGTAAACTTTTTAAAGTCTATTTTGTCTAATATTAGCATAGCCACTCCTACTCATTTGGTTATTATTTGCATGGAATATATTTTTCTATCATTTTGCTTTTAATCTGTATCTGGATCTAAAGTAAATCTCTTGTAGACAGCATATATGAATGCTTGACTTACACTGAAGCTACATTCCAATAAACCCATAGTAAGATAAAAATAATGCAAATGAAAAAATACATTTAATACACCTAATTTATCTAACATCATAGTTTAGCTTAGCCTACCTTAAAGGTGCTGAGAACACTTACATTAGCCTCCAGTTGGGCAAAATATTCTAATACAAAGCCTATTTTATAATAGTGTTAAATATCTTATATAATTTTTTGAACACAGTGCATTATTGTTGTTTACTCTCATGATTTTGTGGATTACTGGAAACATCGCAGGAGAATATGAGAGAGTATTGTACCACATATTGCTAGCCTAGGAAAAAAAAATCAAAATTCAAAGTACAATTGCCACTTAATGCATGTCACTTTCACACTGTCGTAAAGTTCAAAAATCATAAATCGAACCATTTTAAACCAGGGGCTGTCTGTAACTGGATCATGATTTTTATCCACTTTCCCAATCTCTATCTTTTGATTAAAGAGTTTGTTACTTTTACAGTTAAAGTAATTAAGGAAGGATTAACTTCTGTCATTTTATGATTTCTTTTCCATATGTGTTATAGCTTTTTTGTCTCTCATTTCCTGCATTATTATTCTGTTTTGTGTTTAGCTTTTTTTTGTAGTGAAACATTTAAATTCCTTTATTTATCTATTTATCTATGTATCATCTATCTATCTATTGCTGTTTCCTTTGTGTTTACCATGGAAATAGCACTTAAAATCCTAAAGTTACAACACTCTAATTTGAAGTTATACCAGCTTAACATCAATAATATACAAAAACTTTGCTCCTTTAATGAATTCATCTCCTACCTTTGTGGTTGTTGGTGTCACAAAATTACATCTTTATACATTGTGTACTCCAAAACATAAACTAATAATTCTTTCTAAATTTATTAGTCTCTAAAATTATGTAGAAAACAAAATGTAAAGTTACAAATCAAAGTTACAATAATAATAATTTTTAGATTAATAGTTGTTTTTAAAAATGTATGTCTGTTAAATCTAGTAGAAAACAAAAGGAGGAGGTTTAAACTGTTGTTACAATAACACTAGATTTAAAATTTTTTCATTTATTTTGCTTTATTGACATTTATTTCTTACTACAGTTTTTAGTTACAGTTAGTGTGTTTTCATTTCATTCTGCAGGACTTTCTTGCAGAGCACGACTACTGGTAATGAATGAGCTCTCTCTGCTTTTGTTTATTTGGGAATGCCTTAATTTCTCCCTCACTTGTGAAGGTCAATTTTGCTGGATATAGAATTCATAGTTGACTTTTTTCTTTTAGCATTTTGAGTATATCAGCCCATTGCCTTCAGGCTTTTAAAGTTTCTGATTTTAAAAAAAAATCAATTTATAAGCATATTGAGAAGCCCTCGTATGTAATGAGTTGTTTCTGTCTTCCTGATGTCAAGATTCTCTCTTCATCTTTGTCTTTTTAAAGTTTGATAAAAATGTATCTCAATGTGCATCTTTTTCAGAGTTCATCTTTCTTGGAGTTGACTTTTTTCTTCTAGTATTTTGAATATATCAGCCCATTGCCTTCTGGCTTTTAAAGTTTCTGTTTAAAAAAAAATGGATTTATAAGCATATTGAGAAGCCCTCATATGTAACGAGTTGTTTCTGTCTTCCTGATGTCAAGATTCTCTCGTCATCTTTGTCTTTTTAAAGTTTGATAAAAATGTGTCTCAATGTGCATCTGTTTCAGAGC
This sequence comes from Homo sapiens, assembly GCF_000001405.40. Lineage (NCBI taxonomy): Eukaryota > Metazoa > Chordata > Mammalia > Primates > Hominidae > Homo > Homo sapiens. Next base: position 102,334,596 of record NC_000005.10, on the reverse strand, counting down.
TCATCTTTCTTGGAGTTCATCAGGCTTCTTGAATGCTTATATTTATGCCTTTCATCAAATTTGAAAACTTTTCAGCCAATGTTTTTTCAAATATTCTCTCTGCTCCTTTCTCCCTGTCTTCTCCTTCTGAGAGTCTCACCATCTGTACATTGGTCCACTTGATGGTTTCCCATAGGTCCCTTTGGCTCTGTTCACTTTTCTTCAATCTTTTTATCTTTCTATTCTTTAGAATCCATATTTTTAGTGTCCTATTTTCAAGTTTACTGATACTTTATTCTGCCTGCTCAAATCTGTTTTGGAATTCTTCTAGTAAATTTTTATTTTAGTTATAATTTTCAGCTCTAGAATTTCTTTTTGGTTTCTTATAGGTTTTCTATCTTTTTATTGATATTTTCATTTTTTTCACATATTGCCTTTTTTTGTTTTGCTTTCTTTACATCTTTTTTTTTCTCTTTAAGCATCTCTATGAGATTTGCTTTAAAGTTTTTTTTTTTTAGTAGCTCTGCCATCACATGTTTTTTTTCAGGGAAAATTTCTACCAATCTACTTTTTTCCTTGGAATGGGTCTTGATGTCCTATTCTTTTGTATGATTTGTAATTTTTTAGTTGAAAACTGGACAATTTAATAATGTGGTAACCCTGGAGATCAGGTTCTGCACCTTACCCTAAGCTTTATTTTTATTGATTGTCATTTTTATTTATTGTTGTAAAAATTGTTTTAGGCTCTCTGTGCAAAGAACCTGCCTGAGGTATAAACTTAAGGCCTCCTCAGGTCTTTTCTGAGCCTGCCTCATTCCCTGGACATATGCAGCCACTTTCTAATTTTCTCTGTTTATGCAGTTGCTTTTGAATGTTTTACTCTCTAATGCCTTGCTACCAAAAGGGAGTAAGAAGAGAAAACTGAAGAGGAAAAAGAGTTCCAAACATTTAAATTTTATAAAAGACACTTCAGCTAGAAAAAGAGGAGCTTGAAACAATATGGCAGGAGGTGTAACAACCACGGTTACCTGCCTCTTTGTCTACACCTCTGTGATTAGAAGCAGTAATGAGGGGTAAGAGCACAGGTCCCACATATTTATAGGAATTGGTGGTTTTTTTTCTCACCATGGTTCCTGGTAACTGTGTGCATGTTTTTCCAGGAACACATGCACAGGTGCCTGACCTAGGGTTGGAAGTGAGGGATGAGTTGCTGCTACTATGCTAAGAGATGAAATTGAACAAAATCAACTGCAATGTACTGTCCAAGTCTTCGCCCAAGCCTACTTAATAGCCTTTTACTCAATTCCTTATTTTTGGTGGCATAGCCCCCAATTAATTGTTCATCTTCTCATACAGGGAAGCAACACAATAAATAAAATATTGGAATTTAACTTAAATAACCTTAACATAGAGCACAAGGGAATCTGAGCTGTGCAAGGGGTAAACTTTATCACATGTCTATGTGTTACCAATATATTCTCGATGTTCACTGTTCTACTGCATGTTGAAAGCATCCTAGCACAAGCTCCTATGATTCTCCATCTGAGAGGTTTCTTTCAACCTGTGAATGAAGGTAGGCCAAAAATATCAGAAAATTCGTTATTTGATATGACTCCATGAGCGTACTTTAGTTTTGGGGAATTGGAGAATAAACACAAAATATTCTTTGTCATTCAGATGAGAAAATTTGGAGGCATGCTTCACATGGTCTCCCATAGGTTTTCAGAAGAATTAGGCCCCATGTACCTTTAGTAATAATCTATTCATTAGCACACTATCTATGGGCTTCGTTCCATTCCCTATTTCACTTTCCATTCCTCCTTTAGTACATCTTCCAAAATAAACCACTTGCACTCAATTCCTTATCCCAGGCTCTGTTTCTAGGGGAATGTGTATAACAAAGCCACAGGAAAATTACTTAAAGTGGTAATAAAATTGAACTGTTTGCCAAACTCTGAACTCTGTAAGCAATTGTATATAATATGCTTTTAAAAGATATTCTTTATTTTTGAGTTAGAGTGAGAAGAAGGGGTGACTTCAAATAAAACTTCTAGGCTAAATAATCTGAAAAATATGAAAAAGCATCTCAATATTTTGGTTTAAATACAACAAATATTCCATTAAGTGTATAAATGGGCTTACAATAATATAAAGGAATCCATGACAAGGCTTTGGACTAGCACAATATTTGTAGATAGAATGGAAATTTCCTTATCTCTGTAAAGCCAGAATCACCGAAGGGCAATAACATCAGTGAAAAGCTGGTCAGCATTTTTTAATCCTGTCTTCTAGCAAAGGGAGAGGGCACAGTAACTTGCCTTTTTGGCCTTACATTCTTGTGAAGAATAAAATATCCCCTTTAGATGTGGTCCTCATAGTCCTCCTATCATGTGGAATTGTGATCAGAATTTACATTACCTATATGTTCCAGAAATTCTAAGCCAACCCATTAATTTAAAGTATTTGCAGATATCAAACTAAGCTGCCAGTCATAAGCAAAACAAATCCTCATGGGCCTTCAATCCAGGCTTCTTAGATCCCCACAGATTTGAACCAAATAAACATTCATGTACAATAAAAAAATTACAAAACACATGATGAGATAAGCCATCATAAGTGAGAGTCAGCAGAAACAATTAACAGCAGAATTGTATAATACCTCCTTCTAACATCTAACATCATTAAATATTAGAACTATGTAAAATTTTAAAGAAACAAAAAGATAACTAAATAAATGAGTAAAGAATAAAAGTATCAAAATATCTAGGAAGATTTGAAAGTAACTAAAAACAAATTTGCAGTAGAAAGGAAAAATAGTATAATTAAAATAAAAAATTCAGTGCATGGGTTAAAGAACTGCCAAGACACAGTTAATGAGAGAATCAATGAACAGGAGAAGAGATTGAAAGAAATTACCCAAGAATCATAGAAAAGAAAAAAAGGGACAAATATTAAACAGAGTAAAAAAATGTGGAAGCTTGAAGTAAAAGAACAAACATAGGAAAAATTTTAGTTTCAGAATTAAATAATATAAAGAATGAGATAAAATATTAAGACAGTTAATGATTGAAATTTTTCATTTAATCATAAAAGACATGAATCCCAAAATTCAAATTTATGCCTACATACCTTAAAATAGAATTGCATAATATAAAAATAAAAATGTTCTTTAAGTATGAGAGATAGAAAGACAGATTAGATACAAATGAATGAAAAATTTGATTACAATAGGCTTTTCAAAGTGAAAGCCAAAAAATGGTGGAATGTGATCTTCAAATTTATGGTTAAAAAATAACTGTCTTCAAAACTATTTGACTTCAAAAAAAAAAAAAACTGTCAACCTGAAATTACATACTAAGCAAAAAATACCTTTCGGGTATGAGGATAAAAAAATACTTTTTCAGACAAACAAAAATTGAGAGATTTTACTTAAAAATGACTGTCACTTAACTTCTGAAAATGTACTTCCGGAATAGGAAAATAATTCCAGGACAGTATAAGAGGCAAGAACAGATTATGAACAAAGGAAAACCTGGCTCGATCTCAGAAAACCTGGCTGATTGAAGAGTAGTAGTAATAGTTACAGTAATTGCAGTGCTGTCATTAGTAGCAGTAATACAACAATAATAATAGTGGAGGAAAAAATTATAAAACCTTACATTTTTACATCACATATAGTATTCTTTGCTTTCAATTATCTTTTGTCTTGCAATATTTTATAATTAATAGAGCTTTTTTAAATATTTGCCTGCTATAACTTTTTCCATATTTTAATTTCAATATTTTCTGTCTTAATATTCTAAATATATTTGTCTATACCATGTAATTAATGTCTGTATTGTACAAATTTAACCCAAATACTTTCAACATAATTATTGATATATTTTTAATAATTTTTACTACCTTGATGTTGTTCTTTATGTATTCCGAATTTTCTACTTTTTTTAAATTTTATTTTATTATTAATATACTTTCAGTTTTGGGGTACATGTGCACAATGTGCAGGTTAGTTACATATGTATACATGTGCCATGCTGGTGTGCTGCACCCATTAACTCGTCATTTAGCATTAGGTATATCTCGTAAAGCTATCCCTCCCTCGTCCCCCCACCCCACAACAGTCCCCAGAGTGTGATGTTCCCCTTCCTGTGTCCATGTGTTCTCATTGTTCAATTCCCACCTATGAGTGAGAATATGCGGTGTTTGGTTTTTTGTTCTTGTGATAGTTTACTGAGAATGATGATTTCCAATTTCATCCATGTCCCTACAAAGGACATGAACTCATCATTTTTTATGGCTGCATAGTATTCCATGGTGTATATGTGCCACATTTTCTTAAACCAGTCTATCATTGTTGGACATTTGGGTTGGTTCCAAGTCTTTGCTATTGTGAATAGTGCCACAATAAACATACGTGTGCATGTGTCTTTATAGCAGCATGATTTATAATCCTTTGGGTATATACCCAGTAATGGGATGGCTGGGTCAAATGGTATTTCTAGTTCTAGATCCCTGAGGAATTGCCACACTGACTTCCACAATGGTTGAACTAGTTTACAGTCCCACCAACAGTGTAAAAGTGTCCCTATTTCTCCACATCCTCTCCAGCACCTGTTGTTTGCTGACTTTTTAACGATTGCCATTCTAAGTGGTGTGAGATGGTATCTCATTGTGGTTTTGATTTGCATTTCTCTGATGGCTAGTGATGGTGAGCATTTTTTCATGTGTTTTTTGGCTGCATAAATGTCTTCTTTTGAGAAGTGTCTGTTCATGTCCTTCGCCCACTTTTTGATGGGTTTGTTTGTTTTTTTCTTGTGAATTTGTTGGAGTTCATTGTAGATTCTGGATATTAGCCCTTTGTCAGATGAGTAGGTTGCAAAAATTTTCTCCCATTTTGTAGGTTGCCTGTTCACTCTGATGGTAGTTTCTTTTGCTGTGCAGAAGCTCTTGAGTTTAATTAGATCCCATTTGTCAATTTTGGCTTTTGTTGCCATTGCTTTTGGTGTTTTAGACATGAAGTCCTTGCCCATGCCTATGTCCTGAATGGTAATGCCTAGGTTTTCTTCTAGGGTTTTTATGGTTTTAGGTCTAACGTTTAAGTTTTTAATCCATCTTGAATTAATTTTTGTGTAAGGTGTAAGGAAGGGGTCCAGTTTCAGCTTTCTACATATGGCTAGCCAGTTTTCCCAGCACCATTTATTAAATAGGGAATCCTTTCCCCATTGCTGGAATTTTCTACTTTTTTAAAGTAAAATGTTGGCTTAAGTGTTTTCTGCACTGTGTGTAGTTATGGGCACATCAGTCCTCATGTCAACTGTCTCTTGTGTAGCCCCCACCTTCTCTAGGTTGTCCCTTGGCCACCCCGTGGGATTAAGAGTGTGCACACTAGAGATGTGGCATAACCTCCAGCCGATGAATCTAGGGAAGAGGAAAAGGCCAGTGTGGGTTAAAGAAGCAGGCTTGGAGCTGCTTGGTCAGAAAACTCTGAGTTCCTGGAGGTGTTGGTGTAGCCTCCTGGCCTAATGGGCTCCTCATCCAGTGGTAAAGGGTGAAGCTGGAGTATAGCTAGAGTAAGTTGGGCCTTATAAAGCACGAATATGGAGACAATGGTACTCCTTCCCTGAGTCTAGGGCAATACCAAATATATTAATATAAATAAAATAATAAAACTTTTAAGTTTACTAAGCAAAAGACAAACCCCAAAAGAAAAAAAGGGGGGGCATTTTATAGGAAAAGAAACATAATTGTCTAAGAATAATATGAAAAGATGTTCAAGCTAATTAGCAATTATGAAGATATGCAAATCTAAATATACCACAAAGATATGATTTCATATTCATTAAAATGACAAAAAGTAAAATGGCATGACAAAATTTATCATTTAGAATTTGGCAGAACAAGACTTCTCTTAGACTTCTAGTGGAAGTGTAAAATGAAGCAGGCATTTTGAACAGCCATTCAGTTTTATCTTCTAAGTTGAAAGAGTCTTTCTCATAATTCAGCAATTCCATTCATGGGAATTTATGTCTTGGAAAATTCTCACGTTAAGTCCAAGAAGAGACATGTTCAGAAATGTTTATAAAAGCATTTGGTTTGTATTGGCAAGTAAGGGAAACAATACACATAATAATAAATAAGATAATACATAAATACATTGTTTCTATTTTTTGCAATGGAAACAATACCAATATGAAAATGAATGATACTGAAGTGTAGCTATTAAAATGAATAAATCTTTAAATAAAATTTTGAGAAAAAATGTCAAATTGCAGATCATATATATAAACATATGTAACATCTAATAAACCTCTAAATATCATTTATAGGCATTCTAGTACAAATGTATGTAAATATGATCTATATAATAAAAATTATAAAGAAGCTTAAGAGAATAATAAAACATCTATTTGCAACAGAAGCAACATGCTGCGTTGCTTACAGTGGGAGATAAATAATTTTCTTCCTAACTCTGAAAACGAAATTTGTTTTTGCCTCAGTCTGGTTGGACAAATTTTGGTTACCTGCCCACTCCATAACAATAATAATTATGGATGTAATAACCAGATTGACTTAAATTTGTGCTTCTAAATTAATAATTGCCAAGGGGGACATGATTGCTATAACTGGATGATTTAATTAGATCTTATCTCTAGAGGTAAAGATAGAGTCAGCTTCCTTTAGGTCACCTGGCAGTTTTCGAGAGACAGAAATAAGATAGGATTCTTTTTTAGGAAAAAGAAATTTGCAGGAGTTAGTATTGTAGTGCCCAGGACTATACTAGCAACAGTGGGATTAGGGGTAGAATATGGATGATATGAGAGAGAGAAAGAGAAGATAAGAGGGAAGAGGATAGAAAAAGAGAAAAAGAGAGGAATTAAGTCTGATACTCTGGTAGCTGGATTGTATGTTTTCATAGAGAATGTTACCAAGTATTAAATATGGGGAACACAGGAGGAACAGAAGATTTAAAGAAGATGAGTTCAGTTTTGCACATACTAAGTTTGTGGTAGCAATGAGCAGCCAAGTAGCATTTGGCAGTTAAAAATACATATATGAGGGCGTGGTGGCTCATGCCTGTAATCCTAGCACTTTAGGAGGCCTAGGCAAGCGGATCATGAGATCAGGAAATTCAGACGATCCTGGATAACACAGTGAAACCCCGTCTCTACTAAAATTACAAAAAATTAGCCAGGCGTGGTGGTGGGCACCTATAGTCTCAGCTACTCGGGAGGCTGAGGCAGGAGAATGGCGTGAACCTGGGAGGTGGAGCTTGCAGTGAGCTGAGATCATGCCACTGCACTCCAGCCTGGGCAACAGAGCAAGACTCCATCTCAAAAAAAAAAAAAAGGCATATATGAAGTTCAAGAGAGAACTCAATGGAGCAGTAATTAGGGATCATATGTATAAAAATGATAATTTGAGACATGGAAAAAGATACATTTGCCTAAGAAGAGAAAAGGGCCTAGTATAAAGTGATTTTGAGGAGCATAGCGTATAACAAATGGTCAGAGGGAAGAAGTAAGAACGTGAAGAAAGAAAGAAAGACAGAGAGAGAGAGAGAGAGAGAGAAAGAAAGAGAAAGAAAGAAAGAAAGAAAGAAAGAAAAAGAAAGAAAAAGAGAAAGAAAAAGGAAGGAAGGAAGGAAGGATTAAAATGGATACACTAAAAGCCAAGGCAAAACAGTATATGAAGAAAGTGAGAGTAGTCAAAATTGTCACATGTTGCTGAGCATCAGGGGGAAGTAAGTGATCTACTAGATTTATGAACAAAATGGTTGTTGTAAAAACAGGATAAAAGCAATTTTCGAGGAATTGTAGTTGCAGAAGCCAAATGGCAGTGGATCAGTGGATCAAGGAATGCATTTGAGAAGAGCAATTGGAGATATCAAGTGTAAACAACTTCTATAAATATGGCTGTCAACAGAAAATATAAGACTAACTGGCTGGAGTACTGATGTTTGTAAAGGGTGGTAGATATGAGGGCTGTTGCTATTACTGTTGTGATGAGCTTGAGCATGTTCAGAGGTTGGTGTCAGGGAGCAAATAGGAGGTTGTTGTTTATGAGAAAAAATATAACTTAATAGAGCTAGATTTCTCAGAAGACAGAGGGGATAAGGTGGAGTCCAAAACACAGGGAGATAAATTCGCTGTAGTAAAGAGAAAAGATTTCGTCCATTGCCACAGAATCACTGCACTAGATAATTTTTGTGTTTAAGCTCTTTCAGATTAAAAGGAACAGACACTGTTAATTCCACTGATGCAATTTATCATAAGGTTAAACATGAAAGTAAGAAAACTAATATACTTTCTCAGTAGCTAAACAATTCAGCATTCATAAAGAAATGATACAACAGTCTGGGCGCAGTGGCTCACACCTGTAATCCCAGCACTTAGGGAGGCCGAGGCAGGTGGATCACGAGGTCAGGAGTTCGAGACCAGCCTGGCCAACATGATGAAACCCTGTCTCTACTAAAAATACAAAATTAGGCTGGGCGCGGTGGCTCACGCCTGTAATCCCAACACTTTGAGAGGTCAAGGCGGGTGGATCACGAGGTCAGGAGATCGAGACCATCCTGGCTAACACGGTGAAACCCCGTCTCTACTAAAAATACAAAACGTTAGCCAGGCGTGATGGCGGATTCCTGTAGTCCCAGCTACTCGGGAGGCTGAGGCAGGAGAATGGTGTGAACCTGGGAGGCGGAGCTTGCAGTAAGCCGAGATCGCGCCACTGCACTCCAGCCTGGGAGACAGCAACACTCCGTCTCAAAAAAAAAAAAAAAAAAAAAAAAAAAAAACACTCTTGAAATAAAAAATGAGTGCAAATTCAAAACATGCATGCTTAGGAAGCAACTTATTGGAATTTAAACAAGATTTTCACTCTTAGAAGAAATATATAATGTTTTCCTACATTGTAATAAAAATCCATCTCAAGACCATCTAGAAATGTAATTTATGAACTAGCAGTATCTTTGATGAGACAGACTGAGTTTAGTAACTGCTTACATGAGCAGAGCTTTCAATAGTCTTCTTCCTAGAATATTCAAGTGCTAACTAACCAATAATGTTGATTTTATTTTCTTTTTTCTCATGTGGTCTGTAATTTGGAAAGATTTTTTGTTCAAAAACTAGACTGCATTTATTAAAGAAAATCTTACATAGTTTCGTTGGGGCCAAATATGCTGTTTTTATTAGTCTTTCTGGCATATTGTACATAGCTTTGGTATCTCCATTACTGTCTATGAAGATCCCAGATAGTGTACAACAGATCTAAAAAATTACCTTCCTCCCTGCCCCCATAAACATATAAATACCTCTTTTATACACATGAAAAGTGTGTCTCTCCTAGTATAAAGCACAGATAATGTACATTGGAGCAGTGACTATGAGAAGAATCATTGCTTTTTGTTTCAGAAGTGTGAGTAAAGAGAGAGATATATTTTTAAAATCCTAGTTTAGAAATTAAAACTAATTTCTTATTGGAAAAGAGCCCATGAGAAAACCAAGGCAATAGTGTAGTGAAGGATTCCTAAAACATTTAACACCTGTTTAGGCATATGAATGTCTTTGGGGTATCAGTCTCAAACAAGAATTTGGGAACAGTGGCTATTTTCTTTAGGACAACTACTAATTACATACTGGTGATTCTATGAACTAACTGAAAACATCTGGTCCAGCTGGGAGCAAAGCCAGGAGCCCGCTTTCTGTAAATGAAATTTGATTAAAGAGAACATAGGATGTATATGATCCTAAAATGAAAAGGTCAGACAGAGAATGGTGATGACGACAAAATGGCACCAATTAGGGGCTGACTTTTCTCACAAAGCAGAAAGTCTTGAGTAGAGAGTTTGGAGTTGGTTCAGAGGCTCAAAAAAATAAGGACCCAGTTTTTTTCTGTCTTTCTCCTCTGCCATCCTCAACATTTGACTTCCCTTGTCATAGTCATGGATGCTCCAGGCTTTTTCTCCTTATTATAGGCATAAAGAAAGGGAGAAAGGAGAAGAGCAAAGACAAGCATGAAAAAAGTCACATGTTAAAAGTCCCATCCAGTGGCTTTGTTTACATACTTAAACTCATTGTCCTAAACTGTCACTTGAAGTTCCCTAGTGACAATTAAACTAGAAATGTAATTTTGAAGTGCATGTGTCATCAATGTAAAACAACAACAACAACAACAACAAAAACACTGGGGTTACTTTTAAAAGAAAAGGGAATACATGGTGGATAACCAACAAACAATTATCTGCCACAATTATAGAAATTTTGTTTTCTAAAAGTTGGTTAGAAATAGGCATATTGGTCACATGACAGGCATTTAAAAAGTTTGTAAGTTTCAGGGACAGAAGAAAAAATTTTTGCTTGAAAGAAAATGTGTGGTGCAGAGAGAAGGAACACTTAATTTCAAAATGCTTAGTTACCAAAGAATTAAGGATCAATCCTAGCACTTTGTGAGGCCAAGGCAGATGTTTGAATCCAGGATTCAAGGGCAATATGGCAAAACCCAGACTGTACAAAAAAACTACAAAAATTAACTGGGAATCGTGGCTCCTGCCTGTAGTCCTAGCTGCTTGGGAGGCTGAGATGGGAGGATCACTTGAGCCTGGAAGGTCGAGACTACAGTGAGCTGTGATTGTGCTACTGCACTCCAGCCTGGGCAACAGAGTGAGACTCCATCTCAAAAAATAAAAAAATTGGCAAGTTCAAAAGGAAGTGTTTACTTGTAATAGAGTAGCCCTTGGAGTAGTAGGAAAAAATATTTGTTTATTTACTCAATTTATAACATCATCTTACTAGAAAATAATTTGTTATCAAAATTCCAAACTTCAACAAGAAGTAATAAAAGGAAGAAATTCAAATGATTTTATCTTTGACATCATATATCCTTTCTAGATAGAAGCTAGTGCAAAAGTATTATAGTTAATCAGGTGATTATAGAACAACTACTATATGTGAAAATGCACAACTATTTCTGATACTTAGACTTGAGAAAAGAAATTCCCATTTATTATTAAAGAAAATAATATTAATAATAATACTGAGTGCTTGCTGACTGTTAAAAATTGTTTTATGCATTTCATATGAATTAGCACAATTAATTTTAACATCAATCATATTATATAAATACTCTCATTTCTTTCATTTGTACAAATAAGTAATGATGCACACATCAACGTCACCAAGCTAGAAACCATGCAATTTAAAGAAACACTTCAGCAGCAATGGTCTTATAATAAATAGGAGTTTCATTCCCCAATGTGTACTGATAACGTACCTCTAGAGAGTAGTTCGATAAAACCAATTCTATATCATGTGAAAGCAATGTCTTCGGGTCCACAGTTTCTGATGGTCTGGCCTAATGCACTTTAAAGTCTTTAAAGGAATAAATGAATCCATATCTGGCAAGCATGCCAGATACACAATTCTTTCAAACAAGTTTCAAGTAAATATTGATGCACAGTGATTTTGAAGACATACCTTCAGAAATATTCCTGTTCTGCCTATGTTGCCGATTAAGTATAGATTCATATCCTTTGTTAGCTATCTAGGCTAATGAAGCATGATGTAGATGAGTGGTCGACAACCTGGCAGCTGGGAGACCCCTGATGAACTGAGATGTGAGGCACAGATGTTCCCTGAGGTTTGAGAAATCCATGTACTCACTAAGCATTTTCATTTGACTTTTAAATTTAGATCCCCTAATATTGAAGCATAAAAAACTCATGTGGATACTATTTTAATTAATAAAATAAAAATATTTTAAAATGTTGAATTAACAGCAGGTTCTTAATAATGATAAATTTTCCCAATGAAAGTTGTCAACAAAGTTGATGATATTAGTTTTTGTATTTAAAAAGATAAGGAACTACTGATATTAACATCTAGATTTCAATCAAGTTGACATCTTAGAGTATCCATATATAGTCAGGACAATAAGCAAATTGTTTTATTTCTCAGAATTTGAGACATATAAAATTTTTTAAAAATATTAATCTTTATATATAAAATAAGTAACCATTTGTTCACCACTTAAAGAAATTACATTTTACTGATACCCATTCCTCTTAGCTCAGAGATACTCACTGTTCTGAATTTGTTGAGTATATTGTCTATTACTTTAAACTTTTACCATATATGTTTGTATCTTTAGGTAACAGATGAAATGTTGCACGTTCTTAAATATTACATAAGTGATATCAGATGAATCATGTTTTGGAATTTGTCAGTAAACATTTCTTTGACATACATCCATTTTGATATGTGTAGCTCTAGTTTATTAATTTTGATTGTTGTATTTCCACTTTATAAATTTAAAATTACTTATGTATTTTCTGTTGATGCACATTTAAATTCTATTTTTTTTTTTTTTGAAATGGAGTCTCGCTCTGTCCCCCAGGCTGGAGTGCAGTGGCGCCATCTCGGCTCACTGCAAGCTCCGCCTCCCGGGTTCATGCCATTCTCCTGCCTCAGCCTCCCGAGTAGCTAGGACTACAGGCGCCTGCCACCACGCCCGGCTAATTTTTTGTATTTTTAGTAGAGACGGGGTTTCACCATGTTAGCCAGGATGGTCTCGATCTCCTGACCTTGTGATCCACCCGCCTCGGCCTCCAAAAGTGCTGGGATTACAAGCATGAGCCACCACGCCTGGCCATTTTTAAAAATATCTTGCTGTAACAAACAATTCTGTTATGAATTTTCTCCTACAACTCTTGAAATTCATGAGTGAATGCTTTGAGAGAAAACACATCCAGTCATACATCCATGCACAAATACATACATACTACATGCATACGTATATTCATATAAGAGTTGCTGTGTAATAAGATATGCATCTCTTCAATGTTATAAACTATTTCCGAAATGCTCTTGAAAATTGAATTATCAGGGGAGGAATATCAAGATGAGGAAACAGAAAACTCCACCAATTGTTCCTCCTGCAAGTACACCAAGTTAACTATCTACACAGAAGAAAACATGCTGATAAGAACCAAAAATCAGGTCAGCACTCATAGTACCTTGTTTTAACTTCACATTCACCAAAAGAGTCACTGAACAGATAGAAAAAACAATCCTGAATCCTGGACACCACCCCTCCCCAACCTCGGGCAGTGGCCACATTATGCAGAGAGCATCTCAGTGCTGGGGGAGGGAGAACACAAGAAACTAGACCAAACTCATCTGACACTCACCCAGGGAAGGGTCATTTAAACCAGCACTAGCCAGAGGGGAATCATCAATCCCACCTGTCCAAACTTGATTGCCTGCAAGGCCTACAGCATTCTGTGTCCCAAAGTAAACTTTAAAGGCAGTCTAGGCCATAAGAACTGCAACTGTTAGGCCCGTCCTAGGGCTGAACTAAGCCCAAAGACAGTGGACTGAGTGGGCACAGGACATATTGAGACACCAGCTGGGGCAGACAAGGAAGTGCTGGCATCACCCCTCCACCAATCCCAGGCTGCACAGCTCCAGGTTCCAAAGAGACTCATTCTTGCCACTTGAGGAGAGGAGAGGGAAGAGTGGGGAGGATTTTGTCTTGCATCTAGGATAACAACTCAGCTACAGGAGGATAGAGCACCAGTCAGAATTTTGAGGCCTTCCCATTCCAGGCCCAAGGACCTAGGCAACATTTCTAGACACACTGGGCCAGTAAGGAGCCCACTATCTTGAAGGAAAGAATCCAGTCCTGACAGCATTCATCACCTGTTAACTGAAGACCCCTTGGGCCTGAATAACCAGCACCAATACCCAGGTACTACACTGAGGGCCTTGGTTGAGACTGTGAGATTTGCTGGCTTCAGAAAAGACTCAGCACATTACTAGCTGTGGTGGCTACAGGGCAAAACTCACTCTGCTTCAGAAAAGCAGAGGGAAAAGTAAAGGGGACTTTGTCTTGCACCTTAGGTACCAGCACTGCCACAGGGGGCGAATCACCAAGCAGGCTTTTGGGGTCCCCAGTTCCAAAACTTGACTCTTGGACAGCATTTCTGGAACTACCCTGGGTCAGATGGGAGTCGACTACCCTGCAGCTTGAGTCCCAGGCCAGGCAGCATTCATGACAAGCTGACTTAAGAGACCTTGGGCCTTAAGGGAACATTAGTGGTAGTCTGTCAATATTCCTCATGGCCTGGGATAGTGGTGTCTACAGAGTGAGGCTCCTTTGCCTTTGGAAAAAGGAGGGAAGAATGGTAAAGACTGTGTCCTGCAGTTTCAGGGCCAGCTCAGCTGAAACACAATTTGACTCTAGTCCCTGAATCCTGGATGGCACTTCTGAACTCACCCAGGGCCTGAGGGACCTCACTGCCCTGAAGGGTAGAATGCAGGCCTGGCTGACTTTGCCATCTGGTGATTGCAGTACCCCAGACCCTTGAACAAAAATAGGCAGTAGCCAGGGAGTGGTTACAACAGACCTTGAATGAGACTCAGTGCTGTGCTGGCTGCAGGTCTGACCCAGTTCAGTCTTAGCAGTGGTAGCCACAAGGGTCCTTGTGTCACTCTGCCACTAGCTTTAGGTTGCTCAGAACAGAGAGAGAGAGACTCTGTTATGTTTGGGAGAAAGTAAGAGAAGAGAACAAGAGGCTCTTCCTGGTAATCCAGAAAATTCTCCCAGATCTAGTAAAGACCATCAAGCCAGTATACTTACGAGTTAACAAGAACCACAGTGTTAACTGGGGTTGGAGTGCCCTCTAAAGTAGATACAGTTTAGATCACAACACCCAAGACTTTCCAAATATCTTGAAAGCCTTCCCAAGAAAGACGGATGCAAAAAAGACCAGACAGTGAAGACTAGAATCTCTAACACTTCAATGTCCAGACATTGAAGAACATCTACTAGCATCAACACCATCCAGGAAAACATGAACTGAAAAAATGAACCAATTCTAGAGAAACAGAGATGTGCAAATTTTCAGACAGAGAATTCAAAATAGCTCTGTTGAGCAAACTCAAAGAAATTCAAGAAACCAGAGAAGAAATTCAGAATTCTATCAGATGTATTTAACAAAAAGATTGAAATAATTAAAAAGAACGAAGCAGAAATTCTCTCGCTGAAAAATGCAATTGGCATACCAATTAACGTATCAGAGTCCTTTAATAGCAGAATCAATCAACAAGAAGAAAGAAATATTGAGCTTGAAAACAGGCTACTGGAAAATATACAGTTAGAAAAGACAAAAGAGTAAAAAAAGAAAAAACAATGAAGCCCACCTACCGGATCTGCAAAATAGCCTCAAAGGGGCAAATCTAAGAGTTATTGGCCTTAAAAAGGTAGTAGAAAGAGAGATAGGGGTAGAAGTTTCCCTCAAAGGGATAATTACAGAAAACTTCCCAAACCTAGAGAAAGAAACTCCCAAAGGTCAAGGATAAAAAAAGGATCCTAGGCCAGGCATGGTGGCTCATGCCGGTCATCCTAGCACTTTGGGAGGCTGAGGGGGGAGATCACCTGAGGTCAGAAGTTCGAGACCAGCCTGGCCAACATGGTGAAACCCTATCTCTACTAAAAACACAAAAATTAGCTGGGTGTGGTGGCAGGCACCTTAACCCCAGCTACTCAGGAGACTAAGGCAACAGGATTGCTTAAACCCGGGAGGCTGAGGCTGCAGTGAGCTAAGATCGCATCACTGCACTCCAGCTTGGGTGACAGAGCAAGACTTTGTCTCCAAAAAAAAAAAAAAAAAAAAAAAAGAAGAAGGAAAAAAACCCCTTGCACAAAGTCATTTCACAAGTCATTTCACAATGGCAAGAATACAAACTCAACATCTTCCCTGGCGAAAGAAAAAAGTTTCCTTGGGGGCTCAGCAAACTCAAAATAACACACCTACAAACTCAAAAAAAAAAAATCCTAAAAGTAGAAACAAATAGCATACAATGGAGCTCCAAAGTCTGGCTGCAGACTTTTTAAGTGGAAACCTTACAGAATGGCATGGCATATTTAAAGTACTGAAGGAATAGCATATCTGATTAAAATATCCTTTATACATGAGAAAGAAATAAAGACTTTTCCAGACAAACCAAAGCTAAGGGATTTCATCAATGCCAGGCCTGTCCTACAAGCAATGCTAAAGGGAGTAAGTATTTCAGTGGAAAAGCAAAGGACATTAATGCGCAGTAAGTAATCACCTGAAGGTACAAAACTCACTGGTAATAGAAAGTACACAGAAAAACAAAGACTATTATAACACTGTAATTGTGATGCATCAACTACTCTTATTCTAAGTAGAAAGACTAAATGATGAATAAATCAAAAATAATAACTACAACAGCTTTTTAAAAACAGTACAGTAAGAAATAAATGGAAACAACAAAAAGTTAAAAAGTGGAGGGATGAAGGTAAGCAAAGATTTTTCATTAGTTTTCCTTTTGCTTGTTTTTTGATACAAATTGTGTAAGTTGTTATCAGGTTAAAATAATGGGTTATAAAATAATATTTGCAAGCCTCATGGTAACTTCAAACCAAAAAACAGAGTGGATATATAAAAAATAAAAATACAATGGATATACAACAAACAAAAAGCAAGAAACTAAATCATACCACCAGAGAAAAATCACCTTATCTAGAGGAAGACAGGAAGGAAAGAAAGAAGAAGGGTAAAACCATAAAACAACTGGAAAAACAAATAACAAAATGGCAGAAGTAAGTCCTTACTTATCAATAATAACATTGAATCTAAATGGACTAAACTCTCCAGTCAAAAAACATACCCTGGCTGATTGTATAAAAAAACAAGACTCGTAGATCTGTTGTCTACAAGAAACACACTTCATCTATAAAGAAACACATAGACTGAAAATAAAAGGATGGTAAGACATATCCCATGCCAATGGAAACTGAAAAAGAGTAGGAGTCATTATACCTAGACAAAACAGATTTCAAGACAAAAGCTCTAAGAAGAGACAAAGAAGGTCACTATATAACAATAAAGTGATCAATTCAGAAAGAAGATACAACAATTTTAAATATATATGTACCAAAAATTGGAGCACCCAGATATATAAAGCAAGTATTATTAGAGCTATGGAGAGAGATAGACCCTGATACCATAATAGCTGGAGACTTCAACACCCTACATTCAGCATTGGACAGATCCTCCAAACAGAATATCAAGAAAGAAATGTCAGACTTAATCTGCACTATAGACCATATGGATCTAACAGATATTTACACAACATTTCATCCAAGAGCTGCTGAATACACATTCTTTTATTCAGTATATGGATCTTTCTCAAGTATAGATCATATGTTAGGTTACAAAACAAGTTTTAAAACATTCAGAAAAATTGAAATAATATCAAGCGTCTTCCCTGATCACAATAAAATAAAATTGAAAATGAATACTAAGAGGAATTTTGGAAACTATACAAATAAATGGAAATTAATCAATATGCTTCTGAATGACCAGTGGGGTCACTGAAGAAATTAAGAAGAAAATTGAAAAATTTCTTGAAACAAATAATAATAGAAACACTACATACTCAAACCTATGGGATACAGCATAAGTGGGAAGTTTATAGCTATAAGTGCCTACATCAAAAAGGTGAAAAACCTTCAAATGAACAATCCAATGATGCATCTTAAAGAACTAGAAAAACAAGAGCAAACCAAATCCAAATTTAGTAGAAGAAAAGAAATAATAAAGATCGGAGCAGAAATAAGTGAAATTGAAATTAAAAAATGCAACAGGTGAATGAAACAAAAAGTTTTTTTTTTTAACAGTTAAACAAAATTGACAAACTTGAAAAAAGAACAAAACTGGAGGAATCACATTACCTGACATCAAATTACACTACAGAGCTGTAGTAACCAAAACAGCATCATACTGGAATAAAAACAGACACATAGACCGATGGAACAGACTAGAGAACCCAGAAACAAATTCATACATCTGCAGCAAACTCATTTTTAACAAAGGTGACAAGAACATAAGCTGGGGAAAAGACAGTCTGTTCAATAAACAGTACTGGGAATACTGGATATCCATATACAGAAGAATAAAACTAGATCCGTACCTTTCACCATACACAAAAATCAAATCAAGATGGATTAAAGACTTAAATCTAAGACCTCAAACTATGAAACTACTATAGGAAAGCATTGGGAAAAATCTCCAAGACACTGGTATGGGCAAAGATTTCTCGAGCAATACCCCACCAGCACAGGCAACCAAAGCAAACATGTACAAATGGGATCACATCAAGTTAAAAAGCTTTTGCACAGCAAAAGATACAATCAACAAAGTGAAGAGACAACCCACAAATGGGAGAAAATATTTGCCAGCTACTCAACTCTTATAGCATTTATTTATAGGACACTTTTCTGCTTATTTCCTGCTAGATGTAGCTAGTTATGCCTTTATTATATGTTTTTGTCACCTGAGATAAATATTATGCTCCTTGAGGGAGGGAACACTATTTTATTCCTCTGACTATTCTCTCCTTCAACTACATATGTGCCTTTCTCTTTGTTGTAAATAAAAGATCAAGTTTATTCTGCAGAATAATGTTCAATATTTATTTTTCCTTTCACTTTGCATCCAGTATTCTATGATTTTGTCTGATTCCATAGTGCCAATATTAATATTCTATTTTTTTATGAATATTTTACAATACCTTTTGTTTCTAACAGCATTGGAAATAGCAGGGAACTTTTTTTTTTTAAATGGTGAAAGAAATTGGATGACCTAGGGAAACAGGATTTACTTGTTCCAGAAGCTGATACTGAATCGCCTATTGCATTATTGAATTTGTTTTTCTTCTTCCTTGTCTCTAAGACAAAAGGAAAACAGATTGTGTTACTTCTTTCCCATGAACTGACGAAAGGAAGCTTATCAGTTCTTACAGTTTTTTAAATGTGAATTTTATAGGAAAGCAATTGCAAAACATAATAAGCATTATCCTTAATAGGTATGCAGAAGCTGTACAAAGGTTTTTCATACAATATTGTAGTTGGCAAAAAAAAAATGGCCCCCCAAATGTGTCTGTGCCTTAATTCCCAGAACCAATGAATATGTTATGTTAAATGGCAAAAAACATTTCTGCCTTTGAAGATAGAAGAGGTCTAGGAGCCAAGTAATGGTGACACCTTGATTTTAGTACAGTGAGACACATTTGGATTTCTGACCGTCAGAACTGTAAGGTAATAAATTTATTTATTTATTTTTTTAAAGTCACTAGTTTGTGGTCATTTGCTAAAGCAGCAATAAGAAACCAATACAATTGTCATATTTGTTTTACAAAATTTAGGGAAATGGCACTGTCACAGAGATAGTATTCATCAAATACTCTATTCGCATCCTCCACATAACATTTTCCAGTCCTTTTGAAGTAAGGTATTACTAATTCTGGCCAAGGAAATGTGACAGAAGTGAAATGGGTCACTCTTCAGATTCACTTTTTCTGCTACTACATCTGTAATGTTTCAGATAGTACATCTGTAATGTACATCAGATACTATATCTGTAATGTCTCAGATAGTACAGCTCAGATAGATCCTTACTCAACCTGAGCTTCTAAGTGAAAATATATAGCATACCAAACACCCTTAAATCCTTATTGAACATGCACTGGAGCTAGAAATAGGTTTTTTTTTTTTCATTATTATGTTAAGGCACCACAATTTGAGGAGTAATGTGTTACCGTAATGTGACATAATATAGCATGTCCTAAAAAATACAGATGCTAAATTATAGCTTAGTAAAGATATTTTACTCAGGAGCTGATTTCTCTCATTTCTAGAGTTCTGGCTTGGAGACAGGGCTTAAAAAATTTAGAATACTTCATGGCGATCATTCCCTTTAAACTGCTATATTTCATCTGCATTTATAGCACACAGATTAGTAATTCTAAATTGTGTTTTCTGGTTCCTACCTGAAGTTAAAAATGTGTATCTGATTTATAATAAAAGAGTTTTTTAAAAAATAGAAGATGCAACTGTATGCATTTTTTTATTATACTTTAAGTTCTCGGGTACATGTGCACAATGTGCAGGTTTGTTACATATGTATACATGATGCAACTATATGTATTAAAAAGGTTGTTTATTTTTGTCTAGAGGTAATCCCACCTCCTCTTGGAAGTTCCCAGGGCAGTCTACAACAATGCCTGGCAATAGGCCAATAATTTTCTGTTTTGAGCCTCTCATGCCTAAACAAATACTTATTTGACAATTCAGTTACCTGCCAGAGAACTAAAAGTTATTCTTGTATATCAGGCTAGCTTTTAAAGGTAAGTTGTTGTCATTTGACCAAGTCAATTGTAGATGAACTTTAGTGTGAATCTGTTACATGAATGAGTAAAAGATGACCCTTAGCTGGTTTATTTCTTCACAGCAGTCTACAATATGTGAGCTCAAAAGCCTACCAGTGGCAAACTCAAATTTTTACATATCCAGTTGTTTTCAACATAGCCCAAATAAATGTTTAGCCAATTAGAGCCTGCCTGCTTTGTATATCACAGGAAACTGCCCAACATCTGCTAGCCATAGATAAGATCAACCCTGTAGCTATGAAATATCCCAAGCTGCTTCTGCCTTTTGTAGCTCTCTGACCCAGACTCACTGCTGGAGTGCTGCGTAACATTACCTACACACAATACCTCTCTATGATCCCCTCTCCCCTCTGAGTTCCCTTGCCCTCATCCCTTACCCTCGCAAGTGCTATATAGCCTTTGGATGGTATCATGCTGTGGGGGACTTTGCCCACATGCATTCCTGTCAAAATGTTGCCTAAATAAAGCTCATGTCATATCATTTGCCTTGATCAGCCCTGAAATTCCTCTAAATCACTACCGACTCTTATAGAATGATTTTATCTATCATTATTAGGCCCACTAAATGCTATTTTCAAAAGTACCTTAAAGTAGCTGAAAGAATTTACTAGTTAAATAAGATTACTTAATATTATTATTTGGATTATGGTGAATAACCACTCCCCAAAACATAGTATTACTTTGACACAGATGTTAAGAAGTATTTTTTCTTTATTATTTTATTTTTATTCTTTTTTAAAGATGGGGTCCCTGTCACCTAGGCTGAAGCGCAATGGCATGATCGTAGCTCACTGCAGCCTCAAACTCCTGGATGCAAACAATCCTCCTGCCTCAGCCTTTTGAGTAGCTGGGACCACAGGCGTGAGCCACTGCACCTGGCTAATTTATTTTTATTTTTACTTATGTAGAGTGGGGTCTTGATTAGTTGCCCAGGCTGGTCTCAAACTCTTGGCTTCAAGAGATCCTTCCTTGTTGGTCTTCCAAAGGGTTGGGATTACAGGTGTGAGCCATTGTGCCCAGCTGCATTTTTTTCTTAAATTTATTTGGCAATAGGTTCAGATGCTTTGTAAAAGTTTATCCTGGCTTAGAACAATTTCATTAGTAAAAATATAACTACTATTGTACAGGGCCTTGTGAGTGCATTATAATGCAGTGACTCGGACCATAAACGGTCTCTGAGAGCCCAGGTTTAAATTCCAGTTTGTCGCTTAATTAAGTAACTTTGGACTAGTTATCTAACTTCTTTAAACCACTTGCCTCATTGTAAAAATAGAGACAATAATTATACAGAACCATGTGTGTTAGTTATCTATTACTGTATAACAAATTAATCTAAAACTTAGTAGCTTAAAACAACAACTATTAATGTGTAACAAGTTAACCCAAAATTTAGTGACTTAAAACAACATTTATCATCCCAGATTCTGTGGATTAGGAATCTGGATGCAGTCTGTCTGAGTTCTGTGGCTCAGGGTGTCCCAGGAATGGAATCAATGTGTCAGCTATAAATGTAGTCATCTTAATGTTTAAGTAGGGAAGAATCTTCTTCCTCGCCCACTAATAAGGTGGTTGGAAGGATTCAGTTCCTCAGTCACTGAATCCTTTGGTTCTTTGCCATGTGGGCCTCTCCACAGGACAGCTCATATGGAAGTTGCTTCATCAGAGCAGTAAGCAAGAAGAGCCAGAGGCCAGGAGCAGTGGCTCATGCCTGTAATCCTAGCACTTTGGAATATCAAGGTAGGAAGATCGCTTGAGCCCAGGAGAGCCAAGATCACACAACTGTACTCCAGCCTGGATGACAGAGTGAGACCTTGTCTCAAAAAAAAAAAAAAAAAAAAAAAAAAGGAAATTGACTTCCTGTAACTTTTTTTTATAAAACTAAATTACAACTTTACTCAGGTTTCACCATTTTCTCTACCAGTGGAAACATTTTTTCTGTTCCAAGGATCTAATCCCCCACATCACATTGCATTTAGTTGTCATGTCTTCCTAGTCTTTTTGATCTATGACCATTCCTAAAGTTTTTTTGTGTTTCAAAATCTTGATAATTTTGAGAAGGACTGGTAGTTACTTTGTAAAATGCCTCTCAATTTAGGTTTGCTTTATATTTTTTCAGAGTTAGGCTGAAATTTTGCATTACAGGAGGGATAACACAGAAGTGGTTTGCCCTTTGTATCATATCATGGAGTACATGATGTCAGTATGTATTACTAGTGCTGTTGACTTTGATGATGGTCAAGGTCATATCTACCCATTTTCACTTCAATAAAGTTACTATTTTTTTTTGTCATCTCACCACTTTTGACATATTCTGTTTGTTACAAATAAGTTACTAGGTCCAGTCATCACACACAAGGGGAGAGGATGACACAGGGCATGAGTGCCAGGAGGCATGTTTCATTGACAGCCATTTTAGAAGCTGTTTGCCACATCATGGAAGGTGTGGGGTGAAGGTTAGGACACAATAACATGCTAAGATAAAGGACTTAGCATGTTACTGTTGAAATAAACGGTAGCTATCATAATGATTCGTACAATGATACCTATTTTGTGGATCACTTTCACACTGATTCATTTTATTTAACACATGTTTATTGCACCCTAACTGTGCTAGAACTGGAAGTATAAAGCTATTCTGGTTTAGGAAAGAGATAATGATAAATAAGTAAAAAAATATCTAAATTATTTTAAAAGATACAAGAAAAGTAAGCAGGACAAGATGACAGAGAATGTGTGTGTGTGTGTGTGTGTCTGTATGGGTATGACCATTTCAATCAAGTCAGAGAAAGCCTCTGTGAGATAACATTTATCCTGAGGTTGGATTTGAGAAAACATCAGTTTTACAAGATCCTGAGAGAATAGCAAATTCAAAGGCTAAAGATAGCAAAGAGTTTGTCATGTTGAAGGAAGGAACAGAACATCCTTATAATAAAGTATATTGAGAAAAGGGTAAAGTAGTATGAGATAAGGTTGGAGAGGTAGGCAAGGGCTAAATATATAGGGCTTTGTGGGCCATGGGAATGGCATTTTATTTTATTCTGTGTATGATGGAAAGAACTGGATGGTTTTATGAAAGGTCCTTTTTTTTCAAATTTTATATTTTCAAATTTTGGTCTAATTGAAAAATTACAGAAAAGTTACAAGAATAGTACAAGGAAATTTCACATATCATTTACTTGGTCTTTCCAATTATTTATATTTTGTCACATTTACAGTTTCCTATTCTTTACCAATATATTAAAAGTAAATTTGAGATATCACATCTCTTTACTTAAAAAACTTCAGTATGTGTTTCCTAATAATATAAACATTCTCTTACATTATCACAATATAATTATCAAAATCAGAAAATTTAATATTATAATTCTATTACTTAATCCACTGCCTATATTCAAATTTTGTCAATTTTCCCACTAATATATTTTATATCTGTTTTTCCTGGTTCAGCATTCATAATAGAATTCTGGTTTTGGATTTAGCTGTGATGTTTCTTTAGCTGCCTTCAATCTGAACAGTTTTTCAGTCTTTTTTTGCCTTTCCTTGACCTAAACAATTTTGAAGAATACAGGACAGTTATTTTGTAGAATGCCTCTTAATTTGAGTTTGATAATTTCTTATTATTTGATTCAGGCTATGCGTTTTTGTCAAGAATGCCACACAGAGGCACGGTATCCTTCTCAGTGCATATTAAGACTCATCAATATCAGTTTGTTCCAATACTGTGATATTAGTTTTGATAACTTGATTAAGATAATCACTATAGTATTCTTCCACTTTTTTTTATAATTAGTATATAATTTGTGGAGGGATATTTTGAGATTATGTAATATCCTGTTCATCAATCTTTCACCCACTAGTTTTAGCATCTTCTAAGTCCATTTTTTTTTCTGTATTATTAATTGGCATTTTATTGTGCGGAAGGGCTTTCCCTTTTCCTTCATTTATTGTTTATTTACTTATTTATATTGGTATATATTCACATATTTTATTTTTTATTGAATTATAACCCATTCTTAGAATTTTTATATTGATATTTAAATGTTTCTCATGTTTTAAAGGACTCACTATGGTTCTATGTGCAAAAACAAAAAACAAAACACAAAAAAACAAAAAAAACCTGTAGAATTTAAGGAGCCATAAAAGGCTATTAGAGTAGTTTAAACAGAAGACAGGTAACTTAAAGAGTTTAATGGCAGTAAGGAACAAAGTATATGGATACAGGACATACCTTGGAGCTAGTATAAAAAGTGCTTGTTGATGGATTAATATATTAGGGTTCTCTAGACAAACAAAACCAATAGGATCTCTCTCTCTCTCTTTCTTTCTTTCTTTCTATCTCTCTCTTTATCACTGTGTGTGTGTGTGTGCGTGTGTGTAGAAAGAAGTTTATTAACAGGAACTGGCTCACACATTATGGAGACTGGCACGTCCCACATCTGCAGGGTGGGTTCAGCAGGCTGGAGACCCAGGAGAGCTGATGTCCAGTTCAAGTCCAAAGGCAGTCTACTGGAGAATTCTCTGTTGCTTGCAGATAGGACAGTCTTTTTGTTCTATTCAGGCCTTCATCTGATTGGACTAGGCCCACCCACATTGGGAATGACAATCCGCTTTACTCAGTCTACTGATTCAAATGTTAATCTCATCCAGAAACAGTTTCACAGACACACTAGAATATGTTTTTCCAAATATTTTGGCACTCCTTGGCCCAGTCAAATTAGGACATGGAGCCTCATAAAATTAACCATCACATATGAGATATGAGGAAACACGAATAGTCAAGGGTTTTTTTTTTTTTTTTAAATCAGCATTCTGGCTTTAGTGAGGCCATTTACTGAGATGAGGCTACTGAGGGAAGACTTCACCAAAGTGACTGTTCAGCTGAAGCTCTTTTCTTATTGAAATGGGAAATGTAAAGAAGATGTGATTTTAAAATAAAGTGCCTAATAAATATTAGTTAAATTTTCTTGATTTTTATGAGACTGAATTTATGGCTCTTTAGGCCTGACCTTTATTCATGTATTTAAAAGCTAAATACTGAGTGTCCTTTTCTAGGAGTTTTAGTTCATGGGCCCAAATCATTTGCACATCTGTACCCCTGGTTTCACACTATTTTGGTTGGGGCATACTGTAAAACCTTAAGAACCTGATAGAAAAAGGCAAGTATCCAAAGGAGTTCTTTCACCTGGAGGCAACATTTCCCTTCTTTGTTCTTTCTTTCCTTCTTCGAAATGATGTTTTGGATGAGAACATTTAGCAAAAAGCCTTTGGGGTTTTGAAGTATCTTCCTCTTGAGAAATCTCAGAAATCCAGAATGAGATACAGAAAAGTTTGATTATATCTCAAAACTGGTTCTAAACCAGTAAATATTAACTTTTGGGGGGTAGAGATATAATCAAACTTTTCTGTATCTCATTCTGGATTTCAAAACTTCAAAGTTTTGATGATAGGTACAAACCTGTTTTGAAGAAATTCACATAAATACTAAGTTTTTTATGTGACTTCAGGTATTTCCCAGACTTCTTGAATGCCTCTATGTACCTTGGTTACATGAGTCCATCAAAAGAAGGTGGAAGGCCTTGGAGCTAGGGTCAGCAGGAGGGCTTCTCCACTAGGAAGCCTGAAGGGTAATAGAGGCAGTAGTGGTAGAAACCTGCTAGAGCATTTAGCTGTTAGAAGGGCTAGCAATAGGAACTGCATCCTTGGGTAGAGAATCATAAGCACGGTGGCTTATGGCTGTCCCAACACTTTGAAAGACGGAGACAGGCAGATCACTTGAGCCCAGGAATTCGAGATTTGCCTGGGCAACATGGTGAAACCCCATTTCTACAAAAAAAAATTAAAAATTAGCTGGGCGTGGTGGTACAGACTTCTAGTCTCAGCTACTCGGGAGGCTGAGGTGGGAGGATCACCTGAGCCTGGGGTGGATGAGGCCACAGTGGGCAGAGATTATGCCACTACACTCCAGCCTGGGCACAGAATGAGACCCTGTCTCAAAAAAAAAAAAAAAAAGAAGGAAAAGTGTGGGGGGGTGGGAGCAATCTGCTGTATAACACTATACAATCCCAAAGGAGAAATCTGCACACTACAGCATAGTTCCATTAGAAAGAAGAGGCCCACCCAGCAATCTTTCTTTCACCACCACTGTGAATCCTCCTCTTTTAGTCTAAGTTATTGTTATTTACCACCATCTTCCAAATATAATTTATCCTTTCTTCCTTTGTAATTCAAATCTAGATTATTACTGAGCCACATGGCTGCTTATAATAAACACTACCTTACAGGCTTTCCTTTAGCCAGGTGTGACTGATTTCTGGCTTAAGCGATGTAAACAAATGTGGCGTGTGCAACTTCCAGGTAGTGTCCTTTTTCATTCTTTTCCTTCTTCCTATTGGATGAAATTCAGATGTAATTTAATAGCAGGAGCTTCAGGAGTCATTTTGCACCAAAAATTAATTTGGCAAGTGGAAACCCCATATGGTAGAACAATAGAGTAGAAGGAGCATGAATCTCTGACTCCTTGGACTACCATAACACCATGAACTGGTTACATCTGGACCTCTTGAAAAGAAAATAAACTTATATTGTGTTTCAAAATAATATGATTTTGTTTCTTTTCTGTAACTCACAGCTGAACCTAATACAATTTCCTGATAGGTTCTTGGGCTTCCCAAATCCAGTGCCACGCAGGAGCCATGTTAGTATTTTAAAGCATGAATTAAATAGTCATTTATCTGCTTAAAAGTTTCCAAATGTTCCTGTGACCCTAATGGACAAAAGCACAGTTTGCCTTGGCTAACAAATCCCTTCAGGTTTGTGCAGCCTGTCTTTAAATTTTCCCCATTCAGATCTCAGTTTCAATGTTAGTTCCTAGACAGACCTTTCCTTACCACTCCAACTAAAGAAACCATCTGGTCTCTCTCTACCATGTGCACCTGTTTTGATTGCTTGCCTAGCAGATACAGTTATCTTCAGGTACTTTCATTTTTACTATGAATAGTTTTCCCCCAAGCTAGGATATAGAGCTCCATAAGTGCAAGGATGTTATCTATTTTATCCTCCACTGTATACCAAGGCCTTGGTAAAACAATTTCCATGTAGTAGATCATGAATTTAAGAGTGTATGAATAACTGAATGGAGTCCTTCTTATGTGCCAGACATTCTGCCACGCATATTAATGAATTAACTCACTTAATTGTCACACCACGGTCCTATACCACAGCTGCTATTTTCTCCATTTTACAGAAAAGGAAATTAAGAGAAGTGGAATAATTTGCCCGATGTCACAAAGCCAGCAAATGGCAAGGCATCAATAGTGTAGATATTGAGATAATGCATTAAGACCTTTTGAAATATATGGTGCCTAGTTTGCCTTTTTACTAAATTCAAACAGATTTTTAAAAATCTGTTTTATTTAGGTGTAATTTACACACAAAGCTCACCAATTTTATGGGTATAATTTGATGAAATTTGCAAGAATACAGCAGATCTTTGAATAATGTCACTTTGTTCACCATCATTTTGTTATGACATTGATGAGAAAAAAAGAAAAAAATAACTCCCTGCTGGAGCCCCTGTGTGGAGTTTGCACTTTCTCTCCATGTCTGTGTGAGTTTTCTCTGGATACCTCGGTTTTCTTCCACATCAGAAAGCCATGCTGGTTAGGTGAACTGCAGTGTCTCAGTGGTGCCTGTCTGAGTGAGTGTGAATGAACCTGCAAGCGCATTCTGCGGGGGTATGGGATCCTGTCCAGGGCTGCTTCCTGCTTTGCCCCTGTGCTGCCAGGACAGGCTCTGACCACTCACTACCCTGAACTGGAATAAGCTATAAATAATTATCTTTTGTTTTTATTAATCTTTCTTATACATATGTATAACTCACTTTTTTTCAGTATTTAACATTAGAAATATTTTGGTCTTTGTTTAGAAGTTTGTTGATGTTTCTGTAATCAGAAACATGGGCAGGAACTTATCACTTGTTTATATCAACTAGCCTAAGGCAAAACTGGTTTCCTTATACCTCGTTTGGCTTACAGTCACGGTTTCCAAGGGCCCATGGACAACCCTAAGTGAGGATTTACTGTATAGTCATGTAACCACAATTATGACACAGAACATTTCCAACACCTAAGTGTATTGGTGAGTATTGATAAGTGTATAACTGCTAAATAAGTGTGTATTATTGAATAGCTGGGTACAAAGACATGAAATTTCTTTCCTTCTTCTTTCTTTATTGTTTAATTTTATTTATTTTAAGTTGAAAATCAGTGAAATTGCTATTTGAGTGGTATATTTTACGTTCCTTGTGCAAGTAGACCTGAGATTAAAAGAAAATTTTATTTATTAAGGTTTTTAAGTATTTGTGTTTTGCCTTCTATCAAAACAGCCGTATTTTAAAAATCTTGACATTTTTATGTGAGGTTCAAATTATATGACAATGCCAAGTTTGTGTTATTCTCTTTGTTCAATCCGTTCTCTTAAAAATATCCAAACTGGTATTCTGGTCTTTGCTGTTTTAGGACTCAAAAAACCCCACAACATTTCTGTATCTACTACGTAAGAAGCAGGGATCAGAATAAATGGGTCCTTTTCTTTCTAAATATCCAGATACTAATTGCAAAAATGTTTGGAGATTATTGAAATTTTCTCCAGGGCACCTACTGGCAGTAGGAAACCAACTTCCAGATCAGCCTCTCCTGGCTGCTATCATCTCAAATATCCAGTAGGCAGTTTTATTTTGCTGCCTTAATTTCACTTCAGAATTTTGGCTATAGCCTTGATTTTTTTTTTTTCCCAAAGAAATACAGGTATAAACTTCTGAACCATGAAAATCTTAAAACAATATGTAATTGATTCCAAAACATTGACACAACAATCATGCTTGAATATTATGACAAATACATCACAGCAACTAATTAATGTCCATGCTTACAACATTTTTTGTGCTCATAAAATTCTATACTCACTGATTTCTTTAGGAAGTCTTGCAGGACATCCATTTAGTATACCTTTTATATTCAGGCCTGTTATTTGGGAAATTATTTGTTGGTGTCCAATTGTATGTGCCTTAGTGTTTTATGACATCTCATCCAATAGTTCGGGGTCCCCAACTCCAGACCAGGGACTAGTACTGGGCCATGGCCTATTAGGAACAGGACTGCACAGGAGGTGGTAGTGGTGGGAGACCTAGCATTACTGCCTGAGCTCCACCTCCTGTCAGATCAGTGGGGCATTAGATTCTCATAACAGCGGGAACCCTGAACCCTGTTGTGAACTGCATGTGAGATTGTGCGCTCCTTATGAGAATCTAATGCCTGATGATC
Organism: Homo sapiens; assembly: GCF_000001405.40. NCBI lineage: Eukaryota > Metazoa > Chordata > Mammalia > Primates > Hominidae > Homo > Homo sapiens. Next base: position 102,305,045 of record NC_000005.10, on the reverse strand, counting down.
TGAGGTGGAACAGTTTCATCCTCAAACCATCATCTGCACCCCCATCCCTGCCCACGTTCATGGAAAAATTGTCTTCCACAAAACTGGTCCCTGGTGCCAAAAAGATTGGGGACTTGGGGACCGCTGCCATAGATGATCTCAAAATTAGGTATTGTTTTCATTTGCTTCATTCTTGTTTTCTTACTTCCCACCCACATCCCAGGACTGAATCTTTGTCTTTCTTTGCTAATATATACTTTGAATGCCTTGGACATACATAGAGAGCAAGAGTCAAGGTAAACAAACAGCACATCAGAAGACTGAGAGGTCTATGTTTGATTCAGTCAAGGAGTGCTGAGAAAGGAAGGTGATGGAAACCAACAAACATCTTAGATGCTGAGCTCATGAATGGTTCCAGTTAGGACAGAACAGTCTATTTGTTTGCCTGGCCAAGGCCTAGAGGTAGATGTAAGGTTGATAACTAAAGGAATAAGATTTGGGGAAGGAATAAAAGTGGTGTAGTGGAAAGACAAGAGAATTCTAATTATGGCTCTGACACAGTAGATTTTTGACAAAAATTTTAACTAACTTTATGTTCTTATCAGTATTTTATAAAATTAATCAATGATTACAGAGTTTAAGCATCATTAAATTTTAGTTTTGGAGTAGGCTTCAGTGGGTTTCCAACCCAATTCCTGTGGTTTGCATGCCTCACACAATACCTCTAATAACTGACCAGCTAGCTACTCTAGTGATAGACAACTCATTATGTATTAAGGCAGTCAATCCTATTTTGTATAGCTCTACTTCGCTGGATCTTAGACTTTTTGGTCTCCATACCCCTTTTTACTCTTAGAACTTACTGAGTCTTTCCTAGCTCATGTTTTGTAAAGAAAAAACAAAACAAAACAAAACCAAAACTTATTGAAGATCCCAAAGAACTTTTATTTAACGGAGTATAGCCATTGATACTTATTATATTAGAAATTAAATGAGTTGTTTTAATACTAAATTAATTACCAATAATAAACCCATTATATATGAACACTTTTTAAATTAAAAAATTATATTTTCAAAAATTATAGTGAGAAGAATGGAATGGTTTATCTCTTTAAAAAATCTTTTTAATTTCTATCTTAATAAAGGGTTTTTATGTTTTCTTTTTTGTGACACAACATGTCAGGTAGCCTCTGGAAAACTCCACTGCACACTTGTAAGAAAATGATTGTTTTGTTGTTTCTTAAAAATTTTTTTATTGCAGATACTACAGTGACTTATGTAAGAAAATGAGAGTCTAAAAGGCAAATAACATCTTAGTATTATTTTTAATATAGTTATGAACTTGCAGACCCCTTGAAAGTCTTAGTTGCCTTGGGGGTTCCTGGATCACATTTTGAGAACAATTGCTCTATTTATAAAGGAATTTTCTTTATATTGAGCCCATATTTTCCTTCTATATACAAGGCACTTGTACTAATCTTAAGATTCATAAAAAATAAGTCTGATAACTGTATTAAACGATGCCCCTACTCAAATATTTTACGAAAACTATCATGTTAACCACTACATATTTTCTTTAGGATAAAATTTCAAGTTATTTCAACTAATTTTCATATGACAAATTTCAATTTTTTTTCATTTTTACTACGTTATTATTGGACTTGCTCCCATTAGTCAATGGTTCTTTTAGTGCAACATTTATAATTCTATATAATATTTTGGGATAGTCTGAATGGCACAGATAGAGAGAAAAATATTAACCTGGATTCAATACTTTAATTAATGTCCTTCACATTTATTTATTTTTGACCTATGTTTTAATTTGCTGATGTTTAGATAAATCTCTCTTATCTTACAGTTTTGATTTAAGTTGATTTGTAAAAATTTTTTTAACCTATATCAGCTTGTTAGATATGAATCATGGTTTTAGCCTGTTTGGTCCTGATGCTCTTATACAAAGTATTTATAATATTTATGGCAGATACATTGCTATGTGTTGACCAAGTTATTTTATTTTCCTCCTGGCATACAGGACAACTACATAACCAACCCCTCTAATATCTTGGTAGGGCAAGGGACTAAGTTTTGGTCAGTGGCATATGGGCAAAAATACCATATGATATATTTCAGTGCTGGGCAGAAACATCTAGCATGAAGATCTTCACCCTGTCCCCAATTTACTTGCAGGGAGAAAATAACTCTGAAATGAGAGAATCAGAAAACGGGAGGAAGATGGATCCATGAATTCATAATTTGAAGGAAAACGTTCCAGGAGAGCCATTATTTATTGTTTTTACCACATGGGATTGTTTGATAGCCTGTCCTTGAGAGCTTGTTTGGAGGTCCTAGCAGGGAAGCACAGCTACTCCTATATTCTTGAGGGAAGACCCGCCCTCTTCTGCTAGAGATGGTTGTCCTCTTAGACCCAGGACACAGCTTCCAGAGCAACGCACATGGAGCGGTGAGGAGGGAAGGGGACACCCCCCTAGCCAGCCACATCAGCCAAATCAACCCTGATGATCAATGGGGTGAAAGATGTTGCAGCCAGATGGCCCTCACATTCTTGATAGCTTATCCTAATACATGTTCTCGGCATTTATTACAGTTCTTTCTCTATGTTGACACTAATGTGTTATTCAGTCATTGTTTTGTTATAGTCATTCAATCAAAAAGAATTATCTGTCTCAACTATACTAATAGTTACCATCAATTAACACACATTTATTTATCATAATCACAAGGATAAAAGGTAATTTGGGGTGGATACTATGATGAGGTCCAGATAAATGATGAGTAATTCTGGCACCATAGAATGAGTTGGAATCACTTCTGATTTTCTGAAAGAATTTGTTTAGAATTGGTATTAGTTCTTATATGCTTGGTAGAATTCACCACTTTTTCTTTATGGGAAGGTTTTAAACGGAAAGTTCAATTTCTTTAGTAGATAAAGTCTTGTTTAGATTCTATATTACCTCGAGAGATCTTTGTGATTTTTTTATAAGAAATTTGTCCATTTCATCTAACTATCAAATTTCTAGGCCATTTTTAGTGTAAGCATGATTTCCCACTTTCTTTTACTTTTAGTCTATTAACCTTTATATGTAAAATGTGTTGTTGTTGTTGTTGTTGTTTTGTAATGGAGTCTGGCTCTGTCATCCAGCTGGAGTGCAGTGGTGCCATATTGGCTCATTGCAACCTCAGCCTCCAGGGTTCATGCAATTTTCCTGCCTCAGACTCCTGAGTACCTGGGATTACGGGCATGTGCCACCACCCTGGCTAATTTTTGTATTTTTAGTAGAGACAAGGTTTCACCATGTTGGCCAGGCTGGTCTCAAACTCCTGACCTTAAGCAATCCACCCGCCTCAGCCTCCCAAAGTGCTGGAATTGCAGGTATGAGCCACTGTGCCTGGCCTAAAATGTGTTTCTTATTGGTAGTATTTAACTGGTTCTTGCATGTTATATCAGATCTGGCAATCCTTTCTGTTTAAATAAAATGTTTACAGTGTTTACATTTAGTGTGATTATTAATATGGTTAGGCCCAACTTATTGTCTTGCTGATTTTCTTTTTTTTCCAATACAGTTTTTGTTTCCTTTGTCCTCTTTCGCTGCCTTCTTTTGGATTACCTGAATATTTTCCATTACTCCACTTTATCTCCTTTTCTGACTGTTTTTTATTGTAGCCATTTTAGAGGTTTCTCTAAGGCTTATAGTATCAATCATTATCATATTCTACCTTTGATATTACATCACTTCACTTCTGAGACACACATATCACTTTCTGTAAAAGACATTTACAATAGCATACTTCTATTTCTCTTTTCCTGGCCTTTGCACTATTGTTGTCACACATTTTACCTTTACATATCTTATAAACCCTGTAATAGTTTATTATTATTTTTAAACAGTGAATTATCTTTTAAAGAGATGGAAATAATAAGAAAAAAATCTCACATATTTATCTATGCATCTTAAGCTCCATCTCCTCATTTCTGGTGCTCTTCATTCCTTCATATAGAAAAATATTTCTACCTGGTATCATTTTCCTTCTGCCTGAAGGACTTCTTTTTAACATTTCTTGGTTGTAGGTGCTTTTGGTTATTTCAGTTTTTTTTTCAATGTCTGAAAACTTCTTTATTCCACCTTCCTAAGGCCCTATGTGAGCAAGCACTAGCCACTATTCCTCTAATCCCTTAAGATGATTCTTTCCTTGGACTAGAACAGTTTCTTCACACCCACACGCTATCCAAATCTGCTGAATACAGGAGGGGACACTGCACATCCCTCTATACAGCTTTCTCCTTTTTGGTACTCTGCTTTGCAAATTCCAGTTGTCTTAGTGTTGTTGGACTTTCAGCTCTGTATCCTCAACTCGGAGAGTCTTCTGGGCCTTCTGTAATTTTTACACTAGTGTTTTACTATCTACTTTGTTTGCTTTCTTATAGGATTACTGTTTTAAATGTTGACATGTTTTTTTTTCAAATAATTATTATCAGCCATGTTTATGTATGTATTTCTTTTTCTTTCTTTCTTTTTTTTTTAAGCGATCAAGTCTTGCTGTGTCACCCAGGCTGGAGTGCAGTGGTGCAGTGGCGTGATCTTGGCTCACTGCAACCTCCCTCTCCCAGGTTCTAGCAATTCTGCTGCCTCAGCCTCCTGAGTAGCTGGGACTACAGGCACATGCCACCACTAATTTCTTGTATTTTAGTAGATACGGGTTTTCACCGTGTTGCCCCGGCTGGTCTCGAACTCCTGAGCTCAGGCAATCCTCCTGCCTTGGCCTCCCAAAATGCTGGGATTACAGGCATGGGCCACCGTGCCTGGCTTATGTATGTATTTCTTAATGATTTATGATGAATAAGATGAAAAGAAAAAGTACAGTTGCATTTCTTCTCAATATGATTATATATTTATGTGTAATTGCAATTTAAAACAGTATTAAAAACAATACAGTTCAGTGTTAATTTTTTTCTTAGATTTAACTTATTATTTTTAACTATATGTTTTGTGAAACATTTAAAACTGAAAAGATAAATCAATAATACTAAGATGGTCACTTAGATTGTCTGGTTGCTTTTATTCAGTTAATATAAGATGCTGTGATATTAATAAACCGTTAATACTAGGATTTGTAATTAACCTCAACGATATTCACATTTGACCATGTTTGTAATCAGCCACTGTCAAGATCCCTCTAATTTTAATATTCTATGAGCTCATAGTGTTATACTGCTAAAGGGTTCACATTTAGTCTAAAACCAGAAGGGAACTAATAAAGCATTAACAACACAGAGGGGAAAATGATAAAGTACTCAAGATAGGCATATCAATACATTTTCATCCAGTATACATATCTACATGGAAGGCCCAAATCATAAGATCGCTCTTAAGCATGGAATCAGAGCAAGGGGAGTTAGTAGGACAATCTTGATAACTTCTGTCATTAAGCCACTTCACCTTGTTTCATCCAATTCCTGAAAGGAAAGACCTACTGCACATCCCAGAGAATGATATCCAGAGGCAGGGACTGCTTCTGTTTACAGTGTGGGAGCCTTACCATAAATTTTGGACATTCTCTTTCTCCCATTCTCCACCCTTTAAAAACATAGCAAATAAAATGTACTATAAGAAGAGTAAAGTATCAATTACCTTCTGAAATTTAAGATGGTATATTTTGACTGTGTTCATTAGAGGCAGATTTAACCTAGATTGACCAAACAATTAATTTTAAAATGGACGTTTTTCCATAGAATTATCAGGGATGAAAACTAACAATTTTTCTTTCCTATTTTTGTTTTTTGGTTTTTGTTGCAAACCGAAGCCCCTTCCATCACTGCAGCATAAAGAATGTAAGGGAACAGGAAATTGAAACTTTCAGTAAGAGCAAGATGTATTTAAGATGAAGCAATAGTAATTTTGCTAATCTTTAACCAAAATTCTCTCTCTAACACTGTGAGAGTGGAGATTTCTCCTTAGTATGAATTTAAGTGCACGATGATTATGCTACTCTGATTTTGATAGTATAGCATGGATTTATTAAGTCACAGCTGCAAAATAGTCTTAAGCCATGATTGTATGTAATCACATCCCATCAAAACAAAATTTTCTGGTTGTGTAAATTACTTCGTATTCCATAGATAAAATGGTGATCAAAATAGTTACCTACTTTGAGTCCATTTTTGTAGAAAGCAAGCCCAGGAAGATTACATACCATGCTTAATTTGAATACCTCCAAAATCTAGGTTTTCAGAGCAGCATTAATCTTCTAAGCCTCACGAATATCACAGAATTTTGAATTTTGATCTCTTAAAATTGCTATGCAATAATTTAACCTGATGGAGATACACTGTAGTTATTAAAAGACAGAAAATGCAAAGTTTAGGGAAGACTTCTGGCTAAGAGAGCCGAGTTCAGATCCTTAAGTGGCAGTTCACTTATTAGCTATGTGACTTTGGGACAGTTACTAATTCTTTATGGGATATGGTTTCCTCAATATGTAAACTATATATAACAGTGCAGCTGCTTTTGTAAAGATTTTAATAATGGGGCATATAGCAGACATTTTAAATGTTAGCTCCTACTTCTACTCTTTCCCCATGTTTTAGGCCAATCTAGAATTTATTTTTATTTTTAATTCTTATTTTTTTGAGACAAGGTCTGGCTCTATGGCACAGCTGGAGTACTCATTGCAACCTCACCCTCCCAGGTTGTAAGCGACCCTCCCACCTCAGCCTCCCAAGTATCTGGAACTACAGGCGTGCACCACCATGCCAGGCTAAGTTTTGCATTTTTGGTAGAGACAGGGTTTTGTCGTGTTGCCCAGGCTGGTCTCAAACTCCTGGACTCAAGGCACCCACCTTGGCCTCCCAAAGTACTGGGATTACAGGCCTGCACCTCTGCGCCCGGCTGGCCAGTCTAGAGTTTTCTCGATTGTGAGGAAACAGGTAACAGAATGTACCTCTGTCCAAAGTAAGATACATATTTTATATCTGTCTCTCAACCCAGTAAACACAGCATATATAATTGAAACAAAAGTTTCACAAAATAGTATTTATCATATTATGTGCCATGTACTATGTATTATTACTGTCTGTTTCCTATTAAAACATAAGCACCATAAGGGTAGGGGTATTTGCCAGTCTTTGTTCACTTGTGTACCCCCAGAACTTAGAACAATGTTTGGCACCTAGGACACAAGAATTTTTTGTGTCTGTGTTAAGTGAAAGAATGAATGACTAAATTGTACCTACCATGACACAATGGTGTTAAGCTCTTCGAAGTGTTTTTCTTATTTATTCCACAGTTAGACATGTATTATTATTATTATTATTATTATTAAGAGACAGAGTTTCACTCTTTCACCCAGACTGGATTGAAGTGGCACAATCTCGGTTCACTGTACCCTCCACCTTCCGAGTTCAAATGATTCTCCTGCCTCAGCCTCCCAAGTAGCTGGGATTACAGGCCTGCACCACCACACCTGGCTAATTTTTGTATTTTTAGTAAAGACAGTGTTTCACCATGTTGGCCAGGCTAATCTTGAACTCCTGACCTCAGGTAATCCACCCGCCTCAGCCTCCCAAAGTGCTAGGATTACAGGCGTGAGCCACCGCGCCTGGCCCGGTAGAAATTATTTACATGATTGTCATCACTGTATATCTTACATATGCAATATACAGCAGAGAGACAATTTCTGGTCCTTCAGTTTCGGAGAAGGAAAAGCAAAGCAGTGGTTATGCTGTGATGTTCATCCTGGTGGTGATGGGGGTGGGGTGGGGTGGATTTCTTTTTCTAAGGAGGACTGAGGCAGGAAAATAGGGTCTGGAGGCAGGAAACATAAGGCCTATTCACACTTCAGCTGTAACAGGAAATATCCTCTCCATAGGGCGTAGGCCATAAATGACTTTGTAACTTTACTTCATCTTCTCCCTTTACATAGGGCATACCCAAAGTAACCAATGGAATCCTCTAGGGGGTATTTAAACTCCCCAAAATTCTGTAACCGGGCCTTTGAGCCCCTATGCTCGCCCGTTCCCACACTGTGGAGTGTACTTTCATTTTCAATAAACCCCTTCATTCCTTCCTTGCTTTGTTTGTGCGTTTTCTTCAATTCTTTCTTCAAGATGCCAAGAACCTGGACACCTTCTACCAGTAACAGGATGACAGGCAAGAGTCTTATCAAGATGCTCATGAACCAAAGTATACCTCTGACGTCTTGATTCTTGGAGTCCAAGCCTAGACTGCTTTGGTAAGCAGCAAAGGAAGAAAACGCAAGATAGTTTCCTGAACAATCTCCTGATGCAACTGTTTACAGGTTTCATGTCAGCACCCAAGGGGAGCTTATGGCCAGAGACTCCCACAGTCTCTGTGTGTTCCCAGTGCTTGGGCTCAAGGGAGGCGCGCTGCGGGCTGAAGGCTCAGGTCAGAACCGCAGGGGCTTGGGCGGAGGCGGACTCCGGTCGAAGGCTGTGGGGTGAGAACTCTCGCCCCCTCTACTCGGCCGCCGCCGGGTGGCACGCCCACGCCGCGCCTTCCGGTTGGTCCTTGAGGCGACGGGTGAGGCACAGCTGAGCGCCAAAGCCACAGGCTGGGGCGCTAACGCCCCCGCTCAGCGCTCTGCGCTCCAGACAGCTGCGAGCTGGAGTAGGAAGGTTCAGGCGGTGGCGGAGAGTGCGCTGGAGGCTGGAGGGCCAGGAGGCGGGAAGCTTCCCGCACGGGGGCGCTGTCACCTGCCTGTGGGAGGAGCCAGAGAGGGACCTGGCTCTGCTGCTCTGAAGCACCGGAGTCGGGAGAACCCATCCAGACATGAAGAGCGCCAAAGGTATTGAGAACTTGGCTTTTGTCCCCTCCAGCCCAGACATCCTGCGCCGCTTGTCTGCGTCGCCCTCCCAAATCGAAGTCTCTGCCTTGTCCTCTGACCCCCAAAGAGAGAATTCTCAGCCACAGGAGCTTCAGAAGCCCCAGGAGCCCCAGAAGTCACCAGAGCCATCTCTGCCTTCAGCCCCTCCCAATGTCTCCGAAGAGAAGCTCCGGTCACTGTCGCTGTCCGAGTTTGAGGAGGGGTCTTACGGCTGGAGGAACTTCCATCCTCAATGTCTCCAGCGCTGCAACACACCTGGAGGCTTTCTGCTTCACTACTGCCTCTTGGCCGTCACGCAAGGTAAAGTCCAGCGCCCGCTTGAGGCTCGGGCCAGTGGAGAGCGAGGTGGGCACGGCGAGCCAGCCGGGGGAGAGGGCAGGTGCGCGGGGTCCGTGGGACGGTGGACGCGCCCTGCAAGGTGGCCCCGGGTTTGGAACTTGCTTGCGCTCTCACCAAGGTCAACCTACCGGCCCCCAGCCAGCCTTCCAAAGTTCAGCTTCTCCTTTATCACTACAGTTCAAACTTGCAATACAAGCCTTTTTCTCTTTTGTGTTTTACCTCAGTTTAGCGGATTCAAGACTTACAGGGAAGATTACAAGAACCTTCCTTTGGGAAAGGTATACCCTGGGGAGTTTATTTTACATTATAAAGACAAAAATTTACCTAGGCACTCTTTAAAGGTATTTTACTTTTACATTTGTTTCATTGCCTCAGGGGAAGGAGTAATACGTTTGCAGGTGGGAGTGGGATGCCTTACAAGGAAGAAAGCTATGAAAAATCTATCGTATAAATTAGATACAGACATTCATGTTTTGTGAGTGTATTTAGTTTGAGAGTATGTGGTCACCAGAGGAGCCCAGTGAGTAAATTAGCAAAGGCTCCCGACGTTGTTGAGCCTTAATCTTCATTGTGTTACATTAGTTATCCAGCATCTGTTTTGTTCTAGGATCTCTTTTAGGTTCTCTTGGGAGTTACAGATTCAGTTCAGATTTATACCCTCAGGGGCTTGCAATCTAAGCTCAGTTTGGAGGAGTGATATCCTGGAGGGAGAACAGCTCCCTTGAAAGAAGGCACAGGGAAGGTTAAAGCTGCTTCTGGTGTGTTCAATACAGAGGTTGAAGGAAAATAGGAAGTTAACCTGAGTTGACTTTGAGGAAGGGTGGAGAAGAGGTGGAGAGGAGTCAAGAAGGACATGCCGAAGCTTAGCTGAATTGGAATGTAGATATTTTTTGGTCACTTGAGTCATAGTCCGAGAATATTTTCTGTATAATCAGTCAAGGATTAATTGGAAGAAATACAACCTTAGAAATATAGATTTTAGAGGGTTGGAAACAGCTCATTTTTTAAGTTAATAGAAAACTAAGTCAAAGCCTAAGTATACTTTTTGTTCTTATTCTTCCTCTTCAAGGAACCCAGGGCCCCTTGCTTTGCGCATTAGATGCTAAGTAACCATTTATTGATTGCAAGTCCGCTGCAGCTCTTCTACTGAAGGTAGATTTGTGTTGAAGAATTATTTCCCTGTCCACTTTTCTTGTCCCTACCAAAGTTCCCCTCCATTAATGTCTTGATCATAGTTTTACAAAATTGGTAATTGTGAAGCATCTCAGTGTCAAAGGAATGCGAAGATAAAAAAGTTGGACACAAGTAAAAAATGTCTTATCTTGTGTATTATCTTAAAATTCCTCTGAAATTTCTATATTATTCCAAAATATAACATTTTATATTTAATATAAAATATTGCCTAAAATTGTTATCAAATGTAATTGTCACTCCTAGAAAATTTGTCAGGTTTAGTCTGGAGCAGCATCTACCCAGAGGTCCCCAATTTAAGAAGCTTAATCTGAGATAATAGTGACCCAATAGGCTGGGCATGGTGGCTCACGCCTGTAATCCCAGCACTTTGGGAGGCCGAGGCGGGCGGATCAGTTGAGGTCAGAACTTGGATACCAGCCTGGCCAACATGGTGAAACCCGTCTCTACTAAAAATACAAAAAATTATGGCCGGGCGCCGTGGCTCACGCCTGTAATTGCAGCACTTTGGGAGGCTGAGGCAGGCAGATCAACTGAGGTCAGGAGTTCGAGACCAGCCTGGCCAACACGGTGAAACCCCGTCTCTACCAAAAATACAAAAACTAGTTGGGCATTGTGGCGCATGCCTGCAATCCCAGCTACTTGGAGGGCTGAGGTGGGAAAAACACTTGAACCCAGGAGGCGGAGTTTGAAGTGGACCGAGATCGTGTCATTGCACTCCGGCCTAGGCAACAGAGGGAAACTCTGTCTCAAAACAAAACAAAACACCACAAAAATTAGCCGGGTGCGGTGGCACACGCCTGTAGTCCCAGCTATTCAGGAGGCTGAGGCACGAGAATGGCTGGAACCCGGGAGGTGGAGGTTGCAGTGAGCCGAGATGGCGCCACTGCACTCCAGCCTGGTGACAGAGCGAGGCAAGGTCTCAAAAAAAAGTATAATAATAAAAAGTGTGACCCAATAAATTACTAGTTTACGTTTCAGTTTAAGTTTGAATGCCTGAAAACTTTATTGCCATGTTTCTCAAACATGATCCTTAAGATCATTTCCATGGTATATTTAAATATACATTTAATTGGAAAGAAAAACAAAATTTCTCGAATGAGTTTATTTAACCCAGCATTTCTCAAAGACAAACAGGGATTCTCTAAGTACTTAATTTTCTAATGTGCTTCCTATTGTCATTCATTTACAACAGAGAGATGTAGTATGGAGCGTTTCCTGATTTTTTTGTTTTTGTTTTTTTAAGTAGTGTTCTTGGAACTTGTATAGCATAGAATTCACTTTAAGAGTCATTGGATTAATGTGCTATCCTTCCTGAGGAGTTTACAAATTTTTTTTTCAAAGAGAAGTTTTACCATAAAGACAATTCTTTCTATTAACTAATTTTTAATCAGTATGGCAAGTGATAGGGAAGTTGATTTTATTGGATGCGGAAAATTTTGTATTATTAGATAACGTATAAAAATGTCATCCTAAGATACTTTAGGTACTTTATTTTGAAATCCTAAGAATTGTAAATTGGCTTATAGTCTTATGAAATGGGTATAAAAGTAAAAAATATGTCATGAGTTTTGAAACTTATTAAATTTGTTGAATTTATTTTTTTTGAAATATATTTTCAGCTACGGTCTTAATCAAAATTTAAAGAGATTTGTGGAGATCATGACTTGTATGTATATACTCATTCTGGTATTGAATGAAAACAATTTATCATACCTAAGTAAAAAGGATACCTAGTTAATTCAATCAGATGTTTTTTATTTTCAACTTATAGTAATGTTTAAACTCCTGTAAGTTTAATCTATATCTGGACTGTTAATGAATGAAAACAATTTATCATACCTAAGTAAAAGGAATCTCTAGTTAATTCAATCAGATTTTTAAAATTTTCAATTTATAGTTATGTTTAAAACTCCTGTAAGTTTAATCTATATCTGGACAGGACATTTTTAAGTAAGTCAAAATTTTCAGATTTTCAGTCTTACCTTGTTTACCTTCTATTCCTTCACTATAGTTATAATAAATATATGTTTTTTTCTTTTACTTTGCATACAATTTAGAATGCAAGTGGTTGAAAGACTTATGTTTACTTTTGCTCTAGAATCCTTTACATGGTAACTTTAATATCTGTAAGAATGTTAGAAAAATATAGGGGTTTGAGAGCTCAATTTCTTCTTCCTAAGACTAAATCAAGGTTATCTCTTTTTTTGGAGTTGGGGAGAGGAGGGAAGAGATAAAGTAATAGTCAAAGTTATCTCTTGTCATAGATAAATATGTTTAAGGATTGAATAATTTGGGAAGCAATTGAGCCTAACTGTAGTGGCCTATGGGGTCTCTTGTGCCTTTTGTAGTCTTCTGAGTGAGGTCCATGGGAGTATGATATATTAATACTTGGAAACTCTATCAAACTGGCTTCACGGGACTTTACCAGTTTGACTTCATCATTTAAAGAAAAATGAATTAAGGCTAGTTAACTATAATTTAGTACGTAGCAAGCATCAGTCTTGTTGGACACCTGAAAATTCACAAGTGTACAATTTAAAAAGCAAACTGGGCCAGGCGCGTTGGCTCACACCTGTAATCCCAGCACTTTGGGAGTCCGAGGCGGGTGGATCACCTGAGGTCAGGATTTCAAGACCAGCCTGGCCAACATGGTGAAACCCCATCTCTACTAACAAGATACAAAAAATTAGCCAGGTGTGGTGGTGCATGCGTGTAATCCCATCTACTCCAGAGCCTGAGGCAGGAGAATCACTTGAACCCTGGAGGTGGAGGTGGCGGTGAGCCGAGATCGCGCCATTGCAGTCCAGCCTGGGCAATGAAAGTGAAACTCTGTCTCAAAAAAATAAATAAATAAAATAAAAATAAAAAATAAATAAACAAAAATAAAAAGCAAACTGATTTTCAAGGAAATATGTTTAGGTTGCCTAACTTTGAAACTTTGAGGCTTTGAAAACTGGTACATTTTAAGAAAAAAAAGAAATGAATAATCAAACTCTACTTCATTGTGTTAATAATCTTAATCGTATGGTAAAATATTAATGATGCACATCAACTTTTCTGTTTTTTAGGTATTGTAGTTAATGGCCTAGTAAATATTAGCATTTCCACTGTTGAGAAGCGTTATGAAATGAAGAGTTCCCTGACTGGCCTGATTTCATCAAGCTACGATATTTCATTCTGTTTGTTGTCTTTATTTGTATCATTCTTTGGTGAAAGAGGACATAAGCCGAGATGGCTTGCATTTGCAGCCTTTATGATTGGACTGGGAGCACTTGTATTCTCATTGCCACAATTTTTCAGTGGAGAATATAAATTGGGGTCTCTTTTTGAAGGTAAGTTTCTATTGTGTTTATGTTTGTTTTAATCTGAAGAAGTGGATAAAACTAGGTCATTAACTTTATATTGCAATTCACTTACACAGTATGGTAAGGGTTTACATCTCTTCCACACCTCACTGGTTTGTTCATTGTGTGAACTGTATGAGATAGGAGATTAGAGAGACTGTACATTATTCATCGTTTCAGTGGTTCTCCAAGTTTTTAAGCCTCTAATTCTTATTCCCCATATTATACACAGTCCTCCTCAAGAAGAGATGACTTGTTTTCCTTTGCAGGTTGTGACCTCATTGGAGTTCTGAGATCTTTAGTTTTTCCCTTTTGTACTTTTATTTGCTGTGTTTACAGCTCTGCACCCTGGACATGTTGATTCCTGATTTGAGACAAAGAGAGGTGACATTTAGAAAAGTGGAAATTTTCCTAAGAAATGAAACTAGCTCTACTTTTGGACCTAGATAAGAAACATAGAACTTCAGAGCAACCTACAGTTGCTCTCGTTAGATGGAGAAATATATTATTCAAAGGCTCAGAAAGGAAATTTAATTATATACATATTTTTTCCCAATGACATTTTTAATAAAAAAACAAATATAGTAGAGCCAGAACGGTGGACAAATGAAAGTAGACCTTAACATTTTAATGTCCTTCCTGGGACTTCTAATAGCAAATATTGAAATAATTAGAAATAAAATCAGATGGTTATAAATTCAGAGGCTTTATTCACTTACTTAACCCCTGCAAATAAAAGACAAAGGATAATTGGAGTCTGTTATGCTATAGGAATTATTTTTAAGAAGTTAAGATTGTTAGATTTGTTTGTTAATATTGAAAATTAGTATTTGCTATAGTGTGGATGTTTGTCCCCCTAAACCTCATATTGGAGGGAGGTGTTTGGGTCATGGAGATGGATCATTCATGAATACATTAATGCCCTGGGAATGGGGTCAGTGAGTTCTGTTTGTTCCCAACAAAACTGTTTGTTAAAGAGAGTTTGAGCTAGGCGTGGGGGCTCACGCCTAAAATCATTTCGGAAGACTGAGGCAGAAGAATCCCTTGAGCTCAGGAGTTAGAGACCAGCCTGGGCAATATAGTGAGACTCTACAAACAAAAAAAGATTCTGGCCCCTCCCCTGTAGCTCTCTTGCTTCCTCTCTCCCCATGTGATCTCTGTGATCTCTGGCTAGCTGCCCTTTGCCTTCTGCCCTGAGTGGAAGCAGCTAGAGGCCCTCACTAGAAGCAGGTGCTGGCAGTATGTTCTTGTACAGTAGAACTGTGAGCCAAATCAATTTCTTTTCTATATAAATACCTCAGGTGTTCCTTTTTAGCAATGCAAATGGACTAAGACAATATTAAAGTATTAATCTTTCCCAAGATCAATTTTCCAATTCTAGAATGATAACAAACAGGAAAATATTCTCAATAACAAATTATATATTACACAGCATGGTTTTAGAAGTGCACTTATTAGGTAAGTAGGCTTCATTTTAGAAGTAAAAATAGAATATGTAAGCGGATGAATGGAGAGTATTTTTAAAATGTGGTAGAGTTTGGAATGAATAAGATAAGGAGAATAAGTTATCAGCAGAGAGAGCACTTACATAGATTCTAGCACATTATCTGAGATTGGACAAGACTGCACAAGGCAACTTGACATAATTTCACTGGGAATAGTTTTAGGAACAAGCCACATATTGCAGCGTAGGCTTTAGTATAACACTATTGAAATCTAAATCGTAAGGGAATATCTAAATTTTCATCTGCCACACAAGAAAACATAATACTGATTCTATGATAGTTATTTGTTCATAGCATTTAGGTGGTAATCTTTGTGCTGTTTCTGGGCCCTCAACCTTTCAGTTGCTCAGATGCCTTGCTTGTTCTTAAGTAAACAAACCTTGCTCGAAAATCTATGACTCTCTAAACTGAAACGTAAATACTTCTTCCAGTACAAAGCCTGATCTGTCTTCCACGATCTTCTCAGCTTCCTCTCTTGCCATTTATACCTGGAGTTATAGCCATTGTGAAGAACTTATTTTCCTAAAGGAAAATTGCCACAAATTAAGGTGTTTGTGTGTGACCAGAGGTGAAGCTAAGATTGCTGAAGCCAGATCATAAACTTTTAGTAGTGTACTGTGCAGGTTTTCACCAAGTTCTTATTGATCTAATTAACATTTTTCATTATTTTAGTAGATTATTGAAATAGGTTAGAGGAATTGGCTGATCTAAGATTTTTACTGTAAATTGACTCATAATTTAAATAATAGCTTAAATGTGGCAAATGAAAGCAAAAACTCAGCTTGCCCTCCTGTTATTCTGCCATTCATACAATATATATTTATTGATATGGACTACACATGGTGTTGAGATAACACCAGTAAAACAGTTCCATGCCATCTGGATTTTATGTACTAGTGGGAAGAAATATGCAATTAATAAACAAATGAACAAGATAATTGAAAATTGAGGTGAGTGGGTAAAGAGACAAATAGAATGAAGTAATACTGTGTTAAAGGTTAAGTATGATTGCCAGGAAAGGCTACAGTGATAATATCTGGATAGTGAAGAGCTAACCTTGAAAGATAATTTCCAGGCTGGAGAAAAATATGGTTAAGGGCTTTGGAGCAGAGGAGGGCTTGGTAGGTTTTAGGAATAGTCCGTTTTGGTCAGCATTGTCAAAGCAAGGGAGGCTGTTTTGGAGAGGCAGGTAGACACTAGGGAGGCATTTAGATTGTGCTTGAAATGCAATGCAAAGTTGTGGAAGAGTTTTATACAGGGAAGTGCATGATCTTACTGGAGTTTAAGAGACAAGAGTAAATGGGAGCCAATCACTCTGGAAATTTTTATTGTAGTCCAGGTGGGAGATAAATGTGGCTGAGACTGGGGTGGTAGCAGCAGAGATCCAGAAGATGAATGATTCTCAGTGTGTTTTATAGGAAAAAGAAATAGGACTCTGTTGGATATATTGTGAAGGAGGAATGAAGGAGTCCTTGGTATTTGGCTTGATCAGCTGGGGCCGTTTTTACTAGAAGGTGGAAGACTAGGTAGAACAGAATTAGAATGAAATTAAGAATTCGGGTTTGGAGTTTTTTAGTATGAACTGCATATTATATATCCAGTGTTGCAGTGTATATCCCCAAAATACGTGTTTACATAAATGTGCAAGTCATTCACTTGGTTTGATTCCTAGAAGTGCAAATACTGAATTTGAAGGCCTTCCTCATTCTAGTTTTTGATAGATAATGTCACACTGACTTTCAGGAAGGGATATATTAGTTACTCTCCCATTGTTGGTGAATGAAAATGCATCACTGTTGTGTTGAATTTTTGCATTTTTTTCCCCTGTGATTTTTCTTAACAGAAGTGTCATTGTGGTATGTGTAGGTGTTTATAATATGACAGACACAAAATTCAGGATTGAAATTGCATTACACATTTAAAGGAATTCAGACATTTAGAAACGGAAGGGATGTTAGAAATGATAAAACCTGGCCGGGCGCAATGACTCATGCCTGTAATCCCAGCACTTTTGGAGGCCAAGGTGGGCGGATCACAAGGTCAGGAGTTCGAAACCAGCCTGGCCAACACAGTGAAACCCCGTCTCTACTAAAAATACAAAAAGAAAAAAAAAATTAGCCATGTGTGGTGGCATATGCCTGTAGTCCCAGCTACTTGGGAGCCTGAGGCAGGAGAAATGCTTGAAGCAGGGAGGCCGAGGTTGCAGTGAGCTGAAACCGTACCATTGCACTCCATCCAGCCTGGGTGACAGAGCAGAGACTCCATCTCAAAAAAAAAAAAAAAAAAAAAAAGAAGTGAAAAAACCTCTTCTTTTTATAGTGTAAGCCTTAGGGCAAGAGGTGAATTGATTTCACAGATGGTTAACAACAACTAAAACTAATCCTAATTTTTATGGTTTGTTTATTGTTTTTCAAAAGTGTATGCTTATTACTCATACTAAGTTATTAACTATATTGAATGATTTTAATATTTTTTATGAATTTCAAGCATTTCTTCCCCAACTTCTAGTAGTCAGGTACAGTGGTCTATATTAATCTACTTTTGCAAGTATGGGAATCTATAACGAAAAATCTGAATTATTTGTCAAACTTTAGGGAGAGTAGAGAAGAAAACTTAGGAAAAGGAAACTGCAAAAAGAAAACAGATTAGTTGAAAGCTTCCTGTAAATTAATTAGAGGCAAGGGGATGTGTAATCTTCTTAAGTAACTTAACATAACATAGAGCATAATATTAATAAATGATTTTATTAATTGAAATTATACATGTAATTTAATTTAAGATGGACAGTGAGGAAATTAACATACCCTTCTGTGCTTTTTCTGTTGTTCTTAAGGGAAATCAAAATCAGGGCTCACTTTGGATGGGATAATCTCTGTAAGAGGAAACTAAAGTAATATAGCTAGTAAGTAGAAAAAAACATAAAATATGATAAACATGTATGATTTCTACAGGTGTGAGAATAACACAAAAGAACGTTAAGAACAAAAGTTAAGAAGATATATTTTGAAACAGCGTGGACTTTCTATTGTGTTGTAAACAATAAATTTAAGTAGGTTGGAGAGAAAGTGTTTTTTTAAGGGAAGCTTTTAGAAAGACATAAGCATTAGAGGTGATTAACTTTGAATGGAGATGATCAAAGGGAAGTTGTGGTTGTTACTGGACTAAAAAAAGAGGTAGTATTAAAATTAAGAGGAACAAATACATGCTATTAAGGGCTAATTTTTTGTACAAGTTAACCCAAACATAGTGTCAAAACACTTTTAAATAAGTCATATTTGACATTCATTTTGACTTACTTCAACATAATATTAATATGACACAACATATTGTAGTATGACTTTAAAATATTTAAAATGCGATAAGTAAATCTTTACCACGTAACATTTTTTTCATCTAAGCAATCTTAATTTCTTTTAGATGAGTGTTATTTTAATGTTACCATGCAAAATAATCTTTATGTCTCTTTGAGACTTTGGGAGAGAGGCATTATTAAATACTGAGGAATTGTAGAAAAGTAGTTACTTAGCCTAGTAAAGCTCTTTTTATTTATTGACCAATAATTAGATAATTTTTCCTACGTTGCACTATATCTTTGTTTCTCTTTTCCATCTCCTTTCCCTCAAAGAAACCTTAAATGATAAAAATTCACATTAGCTGTAGCACTAAATTTCTAATTTTTTTTTTATTGGCATTTGAGAGAGAATGCTTCATCAAAGGACTTTGGTTATGCTTGGTAACTACTTACAAAAGCTGTGCTAGGAAAATGATTACAGTAGGACTCAAAGTGGACTTTACTTCTGGTTACTATTTTATCTTTTTTTCTTAGAATACTTTTTTCTTTAATGGAATGCTTGCCTAGATTTGAGAAGACCTAGGGCAAAGAATTTTAGAGGTTTTCAAGCACAAATTCAATACAGGAAGCTTTAATTTTGCTTGGCCTCTGAGTGTTTTTCCTTTTTTGATATTATTTTTTACTTTACGGAAGTCACTTATTTTTCTTAAATTTTACTTCTTTGTAACTGAAATGAATAAAGGAGTAATAAGAAGAGGTGATTTTTTTAGATTAGAAGCTATAATGGTGTAATAAAACAAATGATTCAATTTTAAATTTAATACATACAGTAAAAGGCCTAGAGCTACCTTTTAGCAATAGTTAATGCTCTAGATAAAACTATCACAATTTTTTATATCAGAGGCTTTTCAGTCTTTCTCATACTTCCTAGATAATATGAATTACCCTGAGCCAGGCTCAATGGCTCACACCTGTAATCCCAGCACTTTGGGAGGCTGAGGTGGGTGGATTACTTGAGGCCAGGAGTTTGAGACCAGCCTGGCCAACATGGTGAAACCCTGTCCCTACTAAAAACACAAAAATTAGCCGGGCATGGTGGCAGGCACCTGTAATCCCAGATACTTGGGAGGCTGAGGCAGGAGAATCACTTGAACCCAGGAGGCGGAGGTTGCAGGGAGCTGAGATCGGGACACTGCACTCCAGCCTGGGCAACAGTGTGAGACTTCGTCTCAAAAACAAACAAACAAAAAAAAATATATATGTGTGTGTGTGTGTATATATGTGTGTATATATTTGTGTGTGTGTGTGTGTGTGTGTGTGTATGTATATATATGAATTATCCTGGATGGTTGCTATTCCTGTTTAATACTGCCTCTTGGAAATCCTGATTCAGTAAGTTTGGAGTAGGACTCAATCAATATTTTTAAAAAATTACCCAGGTTATCTTAGTCTAATTTAGGACATACATGTCCATTTTAGTGTCTGATTACTTTGTAAAGCTTCTAACTGTGGATATAGAGAGAAAGGTTTCTTTTCCTTTCCAGATTATTGCTTTATGTCTTCCTTTAAAATAGGAGTTTCACAATCATCATGAAATGCTAGGTGCTCTAATGCAGCCAGTTTTGTTGAAATGCAAATGACCAAACTTCTGAAATAGAGGAAACTTACAGAGAAAAATAAGTAGGAAAAAAATGTGTCAATGAAATTTTAGCACAAACTCATTCTCATTACAAGCTATAGTTTGCTGGTAGGTAGAGGTTTAAAAAATCCATGTCCTTTAGCAAGAGAAAAACATGTCCAAACATTTCTGAAAGTACTATCTGCAGAGAACAGTTTCTAGAGGCATTAGGAATATGTTAAAAATGTGTTCAATGGTTGAATGAGTTTGGAAAAAAAAAAAAGAAGAACGCTAAGCAGTTGTCTTTATTGCAGCACTATAAAGCAAATGCATTCTGTGAATCTTTAGTTAGGGGTATGATATGTAGAGTTGATGAAGAGGCTCCGTTGTTATACTTGTCCCCTTCATCCTGCTTTCGCCCCTTACTTTGTCTTCCTCTAGGTAAATGAGGCAGTGAACACACTTTGGTAAAATCTGCTCTATCTGCTTTAGGTTTAACTATGTGAATTTGAAAGCCCTTGTTGAGTTTAGAAACTTTATTATGATCAGCACCTAGAACAGCATGTGATATAGACTAGGTCCTTAAGAACTATTTGTTGAGTTGTCACATATATTAATGAATGGAGTCCTTTGATGAGGTATATTAAGAGCCTAATGCCTTGTCCTTCCACAGAAGACAGTAAGAGTAGGTAATGGCAGATAAAGGCAATTTGGGATTCTCTGTCCACATTTTCCATAAACTTGGGCTAAAAAAATAGGGTAACATTTAAAGAGAATTTTCTCTTTCTCTCTCTTCTTCATCATATTTTTTTCTGGCGACCGAATTAGGACAAATTATGTTGTTAGAGGCAAAAATTATTTTCCGTAATCTTTTTGAGTAAGATTTGAGATCTGAAAAATTTGCAGTGTGAAAAGGAAGCTAAAATGAGAAGCATATTCAGAAATAGTAGCAGAATGCTTTGATATTCTACTTTTGGTTTTTGTCTTAATGACTTGCTAAGATGTTGATTTCACTTCAGTGCTTCTAAGAAAATTCTCTTTTAATGTTCCATTTTTTTAGCCCAAGTTTATGGAAAATGTGGACAGAGAATCCCAAATTGCCTTTATCTGCCATTACCTACTCTTACTGTCTTCTGTGGAAGGACAAGGCATTAGGCTCTTAATGTTAAAATGTTAGCAATTCTCTTTTCATGGACTTTTAAAAATCTTAATATATAAAATGAAGTGCTCTGATAGGGCATTCAAGTGGCCATAGGCGTAGTTGTGTCTAACCAGATATATTGTGTGGAAGGTAATGATTAAGCAATGTCTTTTTTTTTTTTTTTTTGTAGCTTCCTTAGAAAGGTTGGTGGTTTGTGGCAGGAAATAAATGAGGAAATTCTATTTTCTTAGTCACTATTCTTAAAAACGCACAAATTTGCCAGTGTGTGTTTTAATATATTTTTTCTGTTTCATTTTAATGCTATTAGTTCATCCTATTTAATGAAAGTATTCAGCACTTTAGCAGAGATATGAGAGTCAGAAATAAGTGAGTTTAAGTTTTTGCTCACACACTGTGATAGAACTACAGTGATCCTGGAGATAAGTTTCTTTGACTATAAATTATGTTGATAATAATCAATACCACATAGAAGAGTATACATATGTGGTGATAAGGCAGTGCCTGGTGTGTGGTGAGTGCTCATTAAATAGTAGCAATGAATAATAAAGTCTTTTTTTTTTTGTGGATGTCACTTGGTGTTGACATATCCCCAAAGTCTGACCAAACACTTTTGAACTAGTACATTAGAAAGGGTTTTAATTAGATATATTTCTAAGATCATATTGTTACGAGATAAGAAAATAATTCATTTGGTGTAGCTCAGCTTAATTGGGTCCACTTAGAATAACACATTAAAATATTGCCTTTTAAATAGCCAAGTTGCCATTTGAAAATATCTTGAATTTTTTGACTTTGAACATGATATGTACTTTGTAAAATGTTCAGAAAATAGGAACACACAAACAAAAATGGAATAAAGAAAGAAAGAAAGAGTTTTCATGGTAACACACCTTGGTTATTCACCGTTAACACTGTTCAGTCTTTTAAAAATGTATATACACATTCATACGTATATTGTCATACATAAACTACACTACACAGTCATTAACACACATTCATGCACACATTCACACTCACATAATTTTATTAACATTCACACATCTTTACATCACATTCTCACAAACACATTCAAAATCCTTGTTTGAAGGAAACAAGATTTTTAATCTAGGAACGTTGACTTCTTTTTACTTGGAAGATGTGTTGGACACATTTTATATTAGTAAAGATGGAGTTGCAGAATCTTTTTGCTTTTCTATTATTTCATTTTATAAATGACTTATTTAACCAACCCTCCTTTGTTATATTTTTTATTAATACATTTAATTTTTCTGGTTAGAGAGGTTCTATGGGTCATGCAGACAATTTGGGTAATACTAAGAAGTGGAAAGAGAAAAAAACTCAATTCACTGTTTTTCTTTTCTCAAGGAAAACAGCTTCGGAATTGTCGTACTGTTTTTCTGTGCCTATTTTTAATACAGTTAATAAAATATGTTGCAACCTGTGAGCATTTTCTTGCATAGCATTCTGTTTTACATTTTAAACATTCTCATAGAACTGAATTTTTACATATAAAAAGTTTTTTATTATAAATTAACTCATGATGAACATTTCTATGTTTAAAGGTTTTACTATATTTCAATAATTATACGGTATATAATATTTTGGAATTGACTTTTTTTAGTCTGAGTAATTTTCTGAATACTCATCATGTTGTTGTACATATCAATTGTTCTGTTCTTTCTACTGCTGATTAGTAATCCATGGTATGGATGTACCATAGTTTGTTTAACCATTTGCCTATTAAAGAACATCTGGTTTGTTCCCAGATTTTGGTTATTACAAATAAAGCTACAAACATTAGTGTGCAGATTTTTGTGTGAACATAGTTTTCATTTTTCTGGAATAGATGCCCAGGAGTAAAACTGCTGGGTCATATGAAAATTCTATGTTTAGTTTTTTGAGAAACTGCCAAACTGTTTTCCAGATTCACTGTATCACTTTATATTCCCATCAGCAATGTATGAGTGACTCGGTTTATTTGAATCCTTGCCAGCATTTGGTGTAGCCATTCTAATAGGTGTACAGTGAAATCTCGTTGTGTTTTAATTTGTATTTCTTTAATGGCTGATAACATTGAGCATCTTTGCTTGTGTGAATTTGCTATCTGCATATCATCTTTGGTGAAATGTCTTTTCATGTCTTTGGATATTTGTTTCTTTACTGTTGAGTTTAGAGAGACATTTATGTTTTCCGAGTACTAGGTCTTGTCACATGCTAGTTTGCAAATATTTTCATCCAGTCTGTAGCATGTCTTTTCATCCTCTTAACAGGGTCTTTCAGAGAGTGAAAATTTTCAATTTAAATAAAGTCGAATTTATCAGTTTTTTCCTTTTATAGATTATGCTTTTATTGTGAAGACTAAAAACCCTTTGCCTAGCTCTGATCCCTAAGATTTTCTTCTATTTTTAAAAAAAGTTTTATAGTTTTCTATTTTACATTTAAGTCTGTGATATATTTTGAGTTAATTTGTATAAAAGATGTGAGGTTTAAAGTTTGATTTTTGTTTATAAGTGTCCATTTGCTCTAGCTCCATTTGAAAAGTCTGTCCTTCAACCATTGAATTACTTTTGTAGCTTTTCAAAAATCAGTTGGGCATATTTGTATAGCTATATTTCTGGGATCTCTACTCTGCTCCATTGATATATGTATCACTTCACCAATATCACATTCTTGACTATTATACTTATATAAGTCTTGAAATCCTATAGACATTGCTCTCACTTCATTGTTATTTTTCCATATTGGTTTGCCTCATTCCTTTTTATTTCTATATAAATTTTAGAATAATCTTGTCTATATCTACAAAATATCGTAATAGGATTTTGAGAGGAATTGTATTAAACCTTGATATGGTTTGGTTTTGTGTCCCCACTCAAATCTCATCTCAAATTCTAATCCCCATGATCCCCACATGTCAAGGGAGGGACCTGGTGGGAGGTTATTTGATCATGGGGGTGGTTTCCCCCATGCTGTTCTCCTGATAGTGAGTGAGTTCTCATGAGAGCTGATGGTTTTATAAGTGTTTGACAGTTCTTCCTTCACATGCTCTCTCGCCTGCGACCATGTAAGATGTACCTGCTTCCCCTTCAGCCGTGATTGTAAGTTTCCTGAGGCCTAAATTTTTTTCTTTATAAATTACCCAGTTTCAGGTAGTATCTTTATAGCAGTGTGAAAATGAACTAATACAACCTGTATATTAATTGGGATATTAATTGGGATTAAACTGATATAGTTACTATGTTGGGTCTTCCAATCCATGAATATATATGGATTTATACTCCATTTATTTAGATTTTCTTTAATTTTTTTCATCAGTATTTTATATTTTTAGCATGCAAGTTATGTATATATATTTTGTTAGATTAACATCTAAGTATTTCTTTTTGCTTTTTTTTGAATGATTGTAAATAGTACTGTATTTTAAATTTCAGTTTCCATATGTTCATTGCCAGTATATGGAAATACGGTAGATTTTTGTATGTTTTATTGTGTATTCTGCAATGTTACTGAATTAATTGGTTCTTGATATTATTTTGTGGATTCCTTGGTGTATTCTATGTAGACAGTCATGTTTTCTGCACATAGGAACAGTTTTATTACTTCCTGTACCTTCTGTATGGCACTAATTTTCTTTCTCTTTTTTTTTTTTTTTTTTTTTTTTTTGCCTTATTGCACTGGTTAGAACTTCCAGTACTATTTTGAGTAAGAATGGTGAGAGTGATTGTTCTTACCTTCTTCCCTATATTAGGCAAGAAAGCTTTCAGTCTTTCACTACTGCTGCATGTTTTTATAAATACTCTTTATCAAGTTGGGAAAGTTCTACTCTATTCCTCTTTTTCTGAGAATTTTTATCAGGAATCATTGTTGAATGTTGCCAAACACTTGTTCTGCATCAATTGTTCATGTGATTTCTGATCATGTGATCATGATCATGCGATTTTTTTCTTCTTCAATCTGTTAATACAGTAGTTAACATTTTTTGATTTTTTTGATGCCAGCCTTGCATCCCAGAATAAACCTCACCTGGCAATGGTGTACAATTCTTTGGATATATTTGTGAATTCTGTTTGGTACTATTTTGTTAAGCATTTTTGTGTCTATATTCATAAGGGATATTAGTTTTTATTTTCTTTTATGTACTGTCTCTATTTGGCTTTGTAGTTTTTGTGGATTTTAGGGGATTATAAACTTCATACAATAAATTGAGAAATGTTCCTCCTCTACTATTTTCTGAAATTGATTTTAATTTTTCTTTATATGTTTGTTAGAATTCTGCAAGTGAAACTATTTGAGCCTATAGATTTCTGTTTGGGGAGTTTCTTAATTAAAAAAGTTAATACTCTTAATAGTTATCTTTAATAGTAATTCAAATCTATTAGGTTGGTGCAAGAGTAATTGTGATTTTTGTCATTACTTTTAATGGCAAAAACTGCAGTTACTTCTGCACCAACCTTATACTTCGTTTTGGGTGAGTAGATATAATTTATGCTTTTTATGTAATTGACCCATTTCATCTAAGTTGTCAAATTTATGTATATAAAGCTAACTGTTCCTAGTATTTATTTATTATATTTTCTTTGTCTGCTGGATCTGTTGTGAAATCCTTTGCTTGATTCCTGATATTGATAGTATTTGTCTACTTTTTCTTATTCTTTGTCAGTCTTGCTAGATGTAGCCAATTAAATTCATCTTTTCAGAAAATGAACTTTTAGTTTCATTGATTTTTCTCTATAGTTTTCTATTTTCCAATTTATTGATTTCTGCTCTTTATTTTCTTCCTTCTACTTATTTTAAATTTATTCTATTATTATTTTTCTCTAGGTGGGTGACATGGAAGCTTAGATTATTGATTTTATTTTTATTTTTTCTAATGTATGCATTTTAGTGCTATAAAATTTTCTTTCAGTACTGCTTGAGTTGTATTTCACTATTGTTATATATTGTGTTTTCATTTTTACTTAATTCAGTGAATTTTTTTATTTCCTTAGAGACTTCCTTTTTGACCCATAGATTATTTGAAAGTGTGAGAGCATGTTGTTTAGTTTCCAATATTTGGAGATATTTTTGTTATCATTTTGTTAATGATGTTTCATTAGATTCCATTGTAGTCAGAAAACATACTATGTAGGATTTGAATTTTTAAAAATTTATTAAGGTTTACTCTATGGCGCAGGATGTGATCTGCCTTGGCATATGTTCTGTGGGCGTTTGAAAAGAAAATGTATTTTGCTATTGTTTGGCAGAGTGCTTAAAAAATGTTGGTTAGATCCTGTTGGTAGATGTGGTTGATAAGTTAGTTTATATCCTTGCTAATTTTCTGTTCTATCAGTTGCTCAGAGAGGGGTTTTGAAATCTTTTATTGTAATTGTGGGTTTGTCTGTTCCTCCTTTCATTCTATAAATTTCTGCTTCATGTTTTACAGCTCTATGATGGTGAAAACATGTTACTCTTCTTGGTAAATTGACTATTTTTTCATTATGTAATGTCTCTCTGTGTCAAGTAAATTTTTTTGCTCTAAAGTCAGTTTCAGCTGATATTAATATGGCTACTCCTACATTATTTTGATTAATGCTTGGATGATATGTTTTTTCCCCCAATCTTTAAATTTCAGCCTGCCCACATTACTGCATTTGAAGTGAATTTCTTGTAGATGGCATAGTTGGGTTGTTTTTTTTATTCACTATGTCAATATCCTTTAATTGTAATATTCAGACCATTTACATGTAATGTAAATACTAGTATGTTAAAGTTTAAACCTGTACTTTTAATATTTTGTTTTGTGTTTGTTCTTTGTTTTTTGTTTCTCTATTATCTGCTTCTTGCTTTCCTGAATGTGAGTTGCTTGAACAGTTTTAGAATTCCATTTTGATTTATCTGTAGTGTTTTGAGTATATTTCTTTGTATAACTTTTTGAGTGTTTTTTTCTAGGTACTGCATTACATGTATGTAAGTATAGTCTTTGTATTATATTATTAGACTCTGGTTCTTATTTAAATCTTCTGTCTTAACTACTTGACGCTGTTCTGATGGCTTTGAGGTGGGGGTGGGTGAGG
Source organism: Homo sapiens (assembly GCF_000001405.40). Lineage (NCBI taxonomy): Eukaryota > Metazoa > Chordata > Mammalia > Primates > Hominidae > Homo > Homo sapiens. The sequence goes on along the minus strand of NC_000005.10, from coordinate 102,277,700 downwards.
CCTTATTTGCCGAGTGGCATCGAAGTCCAAGTTCACCTCTTGGCCTCAATTGACACCTAGTAGGAAGACAGGCTCCTTGTTACTGTTGGGTGGTGGTGGCAGTCCTGGATCTCCACTAGAACTCCACTGATATCATTCTCTCTGGGAATGGTAGAAGTGACTTGCTACTCTTCTACTGACACCACAGAGAAGAAGTATGGCCTAATTCCAACTAGACTACAGTGTAAGTTCTGACTCTTCACTAGGCTTCCTCTTGTACTAGCAGAGAGGGAGTGGGGGTGCTTCTGTTGCTACATAGAGCTGGAAACCCAGGCTACCAGTGTAGATTTCACTGGCACGAGGGGTGAGGATCATTACCTCTTGATGGAGGTAGAAGTCCCGGATCCCTTCTCATCCTTCTCTGACACCACCCTGGAAGGGGGATGGGGCACCTTGTTACACCATATATTGCAGGGGTGAGTGTGGGTGAGATTGCAGTTTTTCTCTGTGGTATTTGACTAGAGTAGCATGTTTACTGTATAATTTTTCTGCCTTGCCAAGCTGCTTCTTTCTTGATCTTTTGGCTAGAATGATGATAATTTTCTTGTGCCTCTTTTTTTTGTTTTGTATGCAGCCTTTGGCATTTGTGGGTTGCTAACTTATTCAGCTGAAAATCTGGGATAGATTAAGCAAAAATAAAACCCAGGAAACTCACCACTATGTTCGTTGGGTACTGTCTAGGGAACTAAGGAGCGGCAATGGATTGGTGCCTCTCACTACTATAGCTAATAATCCACTTAATGGAATTCTTACACCCTGCCTTGTTGAATTCTAGTACCCAAGGGATTTAAGTTTCCATCAAGGCACACAGTCATTATTCCCTTAAATCCAAAGCTTAACAATAACTGTTCGCTAATCCTTTTTGATCTCTTCATAGTAAATATTCAACAGGGAGAGTTCACTAAATTGACAGAGCTAATGGATCCTAGTTACCAAGGGAAAATTGAGTTGTTCCTTTCCAGTTGCAAGGAACAGTATATTTTTGGACTGCAAGATTCACTTAGGTGCCGCTTAACACTCCTATACCCAATAGTACTTGTTAAAAGAAAACTTCAGTAACTCAATAGGGAAAGAAGAGCTGGAGACTTGTAAAAGACGGTAAAATACCTGACTAGTTAAGGTATAGGCAGTGGTAAAGGGAACAAGAACTGCATGATAGAAGGAAGCTATGCTTGTCAGTTGGGCCCTCTGACCAACTATAGAAAGAGAACTATGGAGCTGGTTAATTGTCGCCCTGCTCTTGTTTTCGTCTGCCACCTTCGATGCAGACCACCGCTGGGGCTAACACTTCAGTGTTGCTTTCAGGTGGGAGAATAACTGAATGCATGTTATCTCATGATGATATTTTGCAGATAGCTTTTTGTGGGTTTCTTATGTGGGAGACATACAGATTTTTAAATTCAGATGAAGATAAAAGTGGATGCTAAAGAAGGAGGGGGAGCTGTGTTGGATATTCTGTGTCCTTCCAGGGCCAATATTTACTATTCATGACTTTTGCTTTGTGCTTTAGTAGAAAAATCCAACAGACTGTGTCAATCTGGCACTTTTCTCTGCCCTGGATTGTAGTTGGGTTAGCTAATAGGAGTTTGCATATTGGGAAGAAAGAGGTCCCAAGTGTGCATTTTCCTGGTGTCCTCCCCACTGGTGTGGTTTGGAGTGGCTGTGTGCCACTGTAACCTTCTAGGATTTAAGTCTGTTTGTATAAGGGCTAAATTTAAATATTTTTAATGACCTAGGACTGTTTTGTTTCTTTTGACACTTTTGTTATGATTCTAACCAGTCTTTTTCAAAAGTGATTTATAGAGCACTAGTTCTGGGAGATGTTAGACATTAATGAAGAAAAAACTAACTTGAATATATGATAGATGATTTTTAAAGATAATATTCTTTATCATGTTACATATAAATAAGTGATTATTCCACTTGTTATTCGAGAACCAAGAAGATTTACGAAGCACACAAAGCCTTTGTTTGCCTGTGCATTCTGAAATTATTTAGAAGTGCTTGTGACACGTGATATACAGTATACTGCTGGTGTTCTCTACAAAGAAGATTCTCAGTAGTCCAAGTGTATTTGTGACTTGGAGTCTCTCTTCAAAGTCTACTCTAAACTATGTCCTGGTGATGACCATTCATGTCATAGTTTCCTGGCCTCCAATTATGCAGGGTGACCTATAGAGATTTACATACATACTTTTACAGTATAGTGATATTTCTTTAAATTATATATTTAAGTATTTTGTTCTATGATTTTAGTTTTCTTTCTTAGGTACATCAACTATTTCAACTATGCGTATATATGATCTTATTTGGCCTCCTTATGTTAACATTTCTTCTTTTTTATCATGAATTTTGCTCACTTTCCTCATTTGTACTCTATATGCCCATAACTATGTTTTCTCAGTCAGTTTACCCATGTGCCCCTTTCCGTTGTATCTTCTTTTCTATGGGGTTTTAGTTTTTTCCTTTTACTTTTTTCTGTCAGGATTTGATCTCCTCTTTCTTTCCTTCATCATTTCTTTTCTTTTACTTCATTTATTTATATAAATCATTGCCTCATCTCGTGATGAACTATGTGTTCACATTTCTCATTTGCTCCATGAAAATATTTTTGTGGTCAGTGCCCTAATCTTAATTTTAATAAAATTATGCTGCCTTTTTTTTCTTATGACATCTTTCTGTAAATGCCGTGGTAACCAGAGATGTGGTACCAGAGATGACAGGAGAGGAATGTAGGATTGAGCTAAATTCCCCAGGCCAGAAGATGCTGTTTAGACTCGGGGTGGTCAACTATAAACAAAAGCAGCAGCTCTTTCTCCTTCCTCAGGGCAGTGGTTAGGAGGTTAGGAGATGAGGAGTGAGGCTGAGGAAAGAAAAGTACAGCTACCCCCTGGGAAAGGAGAAAGAGAGATGGTGTTTGTTTAAAGTTAGCCACGTCAAAGCACCTGATGCAGGTAACTGGGGAGACTGGGTTCCCTCAAAACTAGGCTTCTTTACTCCCCTCTCCAGGATGCATAGATACACATCTCCTGGGAATCTTATCAAATGTGTGGCTGGGGAAGTGGAATCACATCACAGCAGAGTCCATTCTGCCCTACCCCTGGCAGCAGGATAGGCCCAGGGGAAAAGAGGTACCTTTAGCCTCTAGGTCTTTAGGGCAAATGCTTGGAGAGCAGCAGGCTGTGGGTCTTTGATTGGGGTTAAGCATTTGGCTGAGCTTGGTATTTATCTTCTGAATGTTTTGACATATGGTATGTGGATTTCCTTTTGTCTTTTTGTCACAGACCTGCCAATATTAGTGGGTAAGACTGGCCACTTCTTTGTTCATTAGGTACAGTTCTAATCCTTAATTTTATTGGCAGTGTTCCTCTAAATTTATAAACAACGTAGGAGCTTCCACTTGTGGTGTATCGTCAAATCACATGCCTTTTAATTAATGTTGAAATTACAGTATCCATGGGGGATTGGTTCCAGGACCCCCATGGATAACAAAATCTGCATGCTCAAGTCCCTTCTATAAAATGGTGTGTTATTTGTATACAATCTACCTACATCCTCCTATAAACTTTAAATCATCTCTAGATTACAAATAATAGCTAATGTCGTGTAAATGCTATGTAAATAATTATAGTATATTTTTATTTATATTTCTTTTATTGGTGTATTGTTATTTTTCTTCCCTGAATATTTTTGATCTGTGGTTGGTTGAATCCACAGATATGGAACCTGTGGATATGGAGGGCTAACTGTATTTGGTCAGAAATTGTTTGATTTTTCATTAGAAGTTGAAATTCTAGGTTCAAATGGTTTCCTCAACTAATAATCTCACAAAATTCATTGAATAGGTAAATCTAGCTATTTTATAAACTGTATTATAAAAGTACAATTTGCTTCTGATTATCTTAAGGTACACATGGCATCTCTGAATGAAGTATTTCTCTATAGGCTAAAATGTACCCTTTAGTAGTGTTTTTCAGGGCAAGTTCATTTTATGAGATTTAATAGGTTTAAATAATATAGGTTTAAATATTTTTCTTTGTCTTTATATTTGAATGACAATTTGGCTAAGCATAAAATATAAGGGTCACATTATCTTGCACTGGTTACTTTTTTGGCATCCCTTTACTGCCTCTATGGGATTAATGTTGCTTTAGGGAAGTCTGAATGTAAGCTTATGTTTTTTATTTCCTTCTGCATAAGTGACTTTATCTTCTTGTCTAGCTGTTCAAAAAAGTCTTTTCATCTTTAAAATTCACAGACTTTACAAGGGAATATTTTGGTGTTGAAAGTCCTGCATCAGATTTTCCTGGGATTCTCCATATCTTTTTAAATCATAGATCAATTTTAATTATAGAAAATTTTCCTTAATTTTACCTTTAAACATATTTATTTTTCTATTTTGGTTGATTATACCTATGTTTGATTGCCTTTGTCTGAATTCTATATCTGTAATTTTCTCTGTAACCTTTTAAATCTTGGTGTCTTATTTTTCCTTTATTTAATTTTGTTCATATTTCTCAAGTCTATTCTCTCTGTCATAATTCTCACAGTCTCTATTCTTTTTTGACCATTCCAGGGTGACCTCCATTTCTGATAGTTTTGTTCTTTTATGTTTTATAGAACAAAACATGATACTGAGTTATTTAGCCCATGTTTGTGTTTTTTTCTTTTCTTTCTCTATTTCACTGCATTTCTTTCTTTCTTTCTTTCTTTTTTTGAGATGAAGTCTTGCTTTTCTGCCCAGGCTGGAGTGCAGTGGCTCACTGCAACCTCCTCCTCCCGGGTTCCAGCAATTCTTCTGCCCTCAGCCTCCCGAGTAGCTGGGACTACAGGGGTGTGCCACCACACTTGGCTAATTTTTGTATTTTCAGTAGAGACGGGTTTTACCATGTTGGCAATGCTAGTCTCAAACTCCTGACCTCAAGTGATCCACCCACCTTGTCCTTCCAAAGTACTGGAATTATAGGTGTAAGCCATCACGCCCTGCCTCAACACATTTCTATGAGCTTATTAAATCCCCGTTTTGAGCTCTGGATTTTAAGAGGCAATTGTTTCCATTCCTTTTTTAAGTATGGCAATATAGTAATTTTAAAATCTACATTAATGACAGTATTTTTCTGGAGACTGTTCTCCCTTACTAGCCATTTGTTTTTCTTTTTTGATTATTATTCAACTTTGAATGAGGTGAATTATTCCTTGTCAGCTTTTTGTGGGATGTTTGTATTAGATTTCATAATACAGGACCACCTGTATTATGAAAATGGATCAATTAAATAGAGCTTTTCATGAAGCACTGTAAAATGGGTTATAGCTGGGTTGACATATTGATGCCTTTAAACCTTAGAAAGCTGAAGTAATAACAAGAGATTTGTGCTGGAGTGGGATTGCACAGATTAGTGACACAAGATCAAGCCGCCATAAATAAACCCCAGATAGTCAAGTTAGTAAAAGATGTGCTTTTTGGTTAATGCAATAGAATGCTGGATCTCTGTCTTCTCCCACTAAAAGATATTACATATGAATTAACTTAGCACTTCACAGCCCTGCTTCCTTTCTCAATGTATGCCTGTATTATTCACATTTTCTACTTGGGGCCTGCCTGGATGCCTCTGCTTTCTCAAGTTAGCTAATTGTCTGATTATATTCACCAGAGCTGATCTAATTGGCTTATTGCGATCACCTGGGCTGAGCTAATTGGCTTAATGTATTTACCCGAGTTGCAAAAGATGACCTCTGACCTACTTTTCTTCTGAGGCCTTTTTCGCAACATATACACACATATTACATAGACATAGCCATGTGATCCATTCTGTGTGTATATGTTTATCCACCTATCTTATATCTAAATAAAGTAGTAAAAATGCTAAGATAAAACCATTGTTTGTGTAATTATGGAATAAGGAACAGTCATGTACCAAACTCAGAACCTAGGAAAATTGAACTAATTGAAAAATTAGTTCACAGAAAAAAATGCAAGTGACAATAAATGTATGGAAAAATGCTTAATGTCACTGATTTTAAAAATGAAATTTAAAAAATTATATATATATATTTTTAACCAATGAGATTGGTAGTCATTTAAGTTTTATTATGTAAAGTGTTAATGAATTGTTGGTGGGATTGCATATTTGTATGACTTTTTGATAAAGTGGTTTGGCAGTATCAAAATATAAATATTTATTCACTTTGACCTAGCAGTTTCACTCTTTGTAACCTGTCCTATAGATAGGCTTGCCCAAAATGTGCCAGGGTAAACTTAAAAAAATATGTACATCATAACATTCTGATGGAAATAAGAAAATGATCTAAACCTATGTATAATACAATATAATATTAATAATATTTATTATTAAATACATGTGCTGGACTAGGCAATAAAATTACAGGACATTTATGCTATAGAATATTATGACAGTGACAATAAATAAATTTAAATATAGCTTTAAGTGCTAATATCAGAGACGTCCGGGACATAATAAGTGAAAACTGGACATTGTTGAATATAAAGATAGTATGTTTTATTATGACTATAATTGTGTAAAAAAATTAAATGGGGTATACAACACGTAAATGTGTGAGTAAATGTCTGAAAAACTGAAAAGAACTGTTGACAGTGGTTACCCCCATCTAAGTGACAGAGGTGAATAGGAGTGAATAGGCCTTCATAAAGTGAGGGCAGGCTGGGGTAAGAAAGTGTATTTTTCTTTTGATGTATTTTTAAATAGTTTAAATCAAAGTAAAATGATTGGAAGAAATAAATAAGGTTATATTATATTAGGCAAGTGTAATTTATATGATAGAAATTTAAATTATTAGCTGAATTTCTATAAATTCACAATTTTTTTTTCCACAAAGACACTTGTGTAACAACAAGGAATAGCACCAGTTGTACATCTTCAACTTCTTCACTTTCTAACTACTTGTATGTCTTCATCTTGGGACAACTATTGCTGGGGGCAGGAGGAACTCCTCTTTATACTCTGGGAACAGCCTTTCTTGATGATTCTGTGCCCACACACAAGTCTTCTCTCTATATAGGTAAGTTTACTCTCTAAACTGTCTCAGTATCACTTTATCTTATTATTTGTTCACTTTAGAAGTAAAGTATAACATAGGCTTACTAAAAAGTTAGTTGTAATGCCATAGGTTTTCCCAATAAATAAATGCAGTATTACTTTTGTTTTATTTCCTGCCAAATAATGTCAGTAAATATAAATTATAATGATTTTTGTTGATCCTCTGCTGTATTTCTTGCTCTAGGCATGCCAGCTTTGCAGGACAGGAATAGCCATTTAAGCAGCATTCTCTTTAGATTGCTTGAATCTTAGGGTAACTTTCACAAGTGACATAGAGGCAAATCTCTACAAGGTGTAGAGATTGAGCTCTGCCATTCTGTGTGATTTATGACATCCTATATTGACTTACAGTCCACAAAAGAAACCATTGTTTCTCCTTTGTGATCTAATTCCTGGTAGCATAAGTTTCTCTTAAATTCCTTCTCTTATGTTCCTGCAAGGTAAAGCTAACTAGACAATGCACAGCCCTACATCTAATTATTGAATACTTTATTTGCATATGAGTTTTCTCTTTATCAGTCTGTTAATCTAACATAGGAGATTCATTACCACAGCATTTGGAAGACAGTATGTTCAGTGTAGCCTAAGCCACTGAGGATCTCACAGATACCATTGGCTTTGATTACAGCCAGAGTATTCAAATGGAGAATACACTGCTGCGCCCACCCAGAATCAAACCCAAAGGGTACCTACCCAACCAACACCATAGATATATCTATAGGAATATGTCTTATCCTGTGAAAACTACTCAGTAAAATTGGAAGAGTGACTGTTACTCCAACTGTGCAGGTATCAATATAGTAACAAGCAAAAGCAAAAACATGAAAAAGCAAGGAAACATGGCACTTTGAAAGACATACAATAATTATACAGTAACAGAATCAAAATAAAATAAAAATCTGTGAAATGCCTAAAAAGGAATTTGAGCTAATGGTCTTAAAGAAACTCAGTACGATATCAAGGGAACTCAGATAAACAACACAAGGAAATCAAGGAAACAATTCATGATCTGAATGAGAAATTCAAGAGAGATAGATGTCATTAAAAATAACCAAATAGAAATCATGCAACTGATGAATTAAATGAATGAAATTACAAGTGTAGTTGAATGAAAAATTACAGTTGAGAGCTTTAACAATAGACTAGATCAAACAGAAAGAATTTCTGACCACGAAGAGCGGTCTTTTGAAATAACCCAGTCAAACAACACAGCAAACAAAATGAAAAAAAAAATAAAGAAAGCTTATGTGACATATGGGCACTATTAAGTATACAAATATTTGAATTTTAGGAATTTCAGAAGGAGAAGAAATGGGAAAAGGTATAGAAAATCCATATAATGAAATAATGCTGAAAACATCTCAAATTGTGGGTGAGAAATTAGACATCCAGGTACAGGAAGCTCAGGGATTCCCAAATAGATTCAACCCAGAAGGGTCCTCTTCAAGGTGTATTATATTCAAACTGGCAAAAATCAAAGACAAAGATAATTCTAAAAATAACAAAAGAAGAGCGTCAAGTCACATATGGAGGAATTCCCATTAGAAAGATTTCTCAGCAGAAACCTTACAGGTCAGGAGACAATTGGATGATATATTTAAGAATGCTCAAAGGCAGGGGTCTGGGGGTGGGAGGGACACAGCTGTCTGTCAAGAATACTATATCCAGCAAAGCTATTCTTCAGAAATAAAGGTGAAATAAAGTATTTCCCAGGCAAGCAAAAATTGAGGGAGTGCATCATCACTAGACCGGCCCTACAAAAAATGCTTAAAGGAGTTCTACATCTGGAAGCAAAAGGACAATAATTACCACCCTGAACACAAGTGAAAGCATAAAACTCAATGGCAGAGAAGATACTTAAGAAAAAGAAAGGAATCAAATGTTATCACTACAGGAAACTGCCAAACTACTAAGATGAACGAGAGAGGAAGAAATGAACAAAGGATATATAAAACAATCAGAAAACAATTATCAATGATAACAACCTTGAATGTAAATAGTTTAAATTCCCTAATTAAAAATATAGATAGGCTGAATGGATTAAGAAAGTATATCTAACCATATGCTGCCTAGAAGAAACTCATTTCAACTGTAAAGACACACTTAGACTGAAAGTGAAGGGATAAAAAAGATATTTAGTTGTAATTGTAAACCAAAAGGGTGTGGCAGTAGCTATATTTAAATTAGACAAAATAGTCTAAGTCAAAAAATACAAGAAAGAGACAAAGAATATCATTTTACAATTACAAATTCACCAAGAATACAAAAATAAATTCACTAAGAAGATATAGCAATTATAATCGAATATGCACCCAACACCAGAGCATGCACATATATAAATCAAATATTATTAGAGTTAAAGAAATGGACCCCAACATAATAACAGTTGGGAACTTTAATGCCCCACTTCCAGCACTGGGAAGATCATCTAGGCAGAAAATCAGTGAATAATATTGCACTTAAACTTCAGTATAGACCAAATTGACCTAACAGGTATATACGGAACATTTTATCCAGCAGCTACAGGATACATGTTCTTCTTTTCAGCACATGGAACATTCTCCAGGGTAGACCATATGAAGCCACAAAGTAAGTCTCAAAAAACTTTTAAATATTAATAATATATCAGGTATATTCTCTGACTACAGTGAAAAAAAACTAGAAATCAATAATGAGGAACTTCTGGAACTATACAAATAGATGAAAATTAATCATCATGCTGCTGAGCAACCAATATGCCAATGAAGAAATTAAGAAGGAATTACATGAAATTAGAAATACAATAAACCAAATCTTATGAGGTACAGCAAAAGCAATGCTAACAGGGAATTTTATACCAATAAACACCTACATCATAAAAATAGATTTCAAATAAACCACCTAATGATGTACCTCAAGGAAATGGAAAAGCAAGAACAAACAAACCCAAAATTAGAAGGAAAGAAATAATAAAGACTATAACAGAACTAAACAAGAGTTACAAGAGTTAAAAAAAAAAAAAACTACAGAAGATCAATGAAATGAAAATTGGTTTTTTGGAAAAGATAAAATAAAGCCATTTGCTAGACTTAAAAAAAGAGAGAAGACCTAAATAAGTGAAATCAGAAACAAAATAGAAGGCATCACAGCTGATACCACAGAAAAACAAAGGATTGTTAGTCTTACTAACAAATACATCCAACAAATTGAAAAACCTGGAGAAAATGGATAAATTCCTAGGCACATACAACCTACCAAGATTGATCCAGGAAGAAATAGAAAACTTGGTCAGACAAATAACATGTAATGAGATTGAATCAATAATAAAAAGTCTCCTATGAAACAAAAGCCCAGGGCTGGATGGCTTCACTGCTGAAGTCTATAAAACTTGTAAAGAAGAACTTAGCACCAGTTCTTTTCAAACTATTCCAGATAGTTGAAGAGGAGAGAATTCTTCCTAACTTATTCTGAGACCAGTATTACCCTGATGCCAAAACCAGAGAAAAACAGAATGTAAAGAGGAGCTACAAGCCAATATCCCTAATGAACATAGATACAAATTCCTCAACAAAATTATAGCTAGCCAAATTCAATGGCACATCAAAAAATAATACACCATGTTCAAGTGGAATTGATCTCAGTGATGCAAGAATTAGTTTGCCATATGGAAATCAATAAATATGATACATCACATAAACAGAATGAAGGACAAATATCACATGATCATCTCTGTAGATGTAGAAATGTATTTGATGAAACTCAATATCCCTTCATGATAAAAACTTTTAAGAAATTAGGTATAAAAGGAACGTACATCAACACAGTAAAGGCCGTATATGGAAAACCCACAGCTAACGTTATACTGAATGAGAAAAAGCTGAAAGCCTTTCCTCTAAGAACTGAAGCACAAGAAAGCCCACTTTCTGTTTTTTTTCTTTTCTTTTCTTTTCTTTTTTGAGATGGAATCTCGCTCTTGTCACCCAGGCTGGAGTGCAGTGGTGCGATCTCTGCTCATTGCAACCTCTGCTTCCTGGGTTTAAGTGATTCTCCTGCCTCAGCCTCCCAAGTAGCTGGGATTACAGGCACCTGCCACCACACCTGGCTAATTTTTGTATTTTTAGTAGAGACAGGGTTTCACCACGTTGGCCATACTGGTCTCGAACTCCTGACCTCAGATAATCCACCCACCTCGGCCTCCCAAAGTGCTAGGATTACAGGTGTGAGACACCAGGCCTGGCTGAAGGCCCACTTTCATCACTCTTATTCAACATGGTACTGGAAGTCCTATTCAGAGCACTTAGGCAAGAGAAAGAAATAAGGGACATCAAAATTGGAGAAGAGGAAGCCAAATTGTCTCTCTCCACAGATGACATAGTCTTACATAAAAACATCTAAAGACTCCACCAAAAAACTCTTAGAACTATTAAATAAATTCAGTGAAGTTTCAGGGTACAAAGTCACATTAAAAAAATCAGTAGTATTTCTTTACACCAATGATGAACTAGTTGAAAAATATATCAAGAAAGTAATATCATTTATAATGGTTACAAAGAAATACATAGGAACAAATTTAACCCAGGAGGCGAGAATCTTTAAAGGAAAACTACAAAACACTGATGACAGAAACTGAAAACAGAAAAAAAATGGAAAGGCATCCCATGCTCATGGATTCAAAGAGTGAATATTGTTGAAATGACTGTCTATACTACCCAAAGCAATGTACAGATTCAATGCAATCCCTATCAAAATTCCAATGTCACTTTTCACAGACATGGAAAAACAGTCCTAAAATTCATACGGAACTAGAAAAGATGCCAAATAGCCAAAACAATCCTGAGCACAAAGAACAAAACCGAAAGCATCACACTATCTGATTTCAAATTATACAACAAAGCTTTAGTAATCAAAAAAGGATGGTGTTGGTATCAAAACAGACACATTGACCAATGGAACAGAATAGAGAACTCAGAAATAAATCTATGTATTTATGGCCAACTGATTTTTGCTAAAGATACCAAGGATATACACTGGGGACTCTTTAATAAATGGTGCTGTAATAACTGGATATTGATATGCAGAAGAATACAACTAGACCCCTATCTCACACCATATACAAAAATCAACTCAAAATGGATTAGAGACTTAAATGTAAGACTCAGAACTATAAAATTACCAGAGGAAAACATAGGGGAAACACTTTAGTACATTGTTCCAGGCAAAGATTATATGGCTAAGACTGCAAAAGCATAGGCAACGAAAACAAAATTAGACAAATGGGGCTATATCAAGCTAAAAAGTTGCTGCACAGCACACGAAACAATCATCAGATTGTAGAGACAACCTATAAAACAGGAGGAATTATTTGCAGACTGTTCATCCAACAAAGGTCTAATTTCCAGAATATATAAAGAACTTTAACAACTCAACAGCAAAATGTCCAAATAATCTAATTATAAAATAAGCAAAGAATCTATATAGCCATTTTTCAAAATAAGATATACAGATGACCACCATGTGTCCCCATGTTATTGTAGCGCTTCCCACAATAGCTAAGAGATGGAATCAAGCTAAATATTCGTCAACAGATGAATAAAGAAAATGCGAAATGTATATACAACAGGATACTATTCAGCCATAAAAAAAAAAGAATCCTGTCATTCATAGTAACATGGGTGAGCCTAGAGGACATCCTGTTAAATGAAACAAGTCAGGCACAGAAGATAAATATTGCATGTTCTTACTGGTATGTGGGAGCTAAAAAGAAAAAATATCAGCTCATAGAATTTGAGAATAGAATTACGGTTATTAAAGGCTGGGGAAGATATGGGAAGGGGAGGATATGGAGAGATTTGTTAATGGATAGAAAACTACAGTTAGGAGAAATAAATTCTGGTGTTCTATATAGCACTGTAGATTGAATATAGTTAACCATTACTCATTGTATATGTTCAAAAAGCTAGAAGAGGGGATGTTGAATGTTCCCAACATAAACAAGTCATAAATGTATGAGGTGATGGGTGTGCTAATTACTACGATTTGATCATTACACATTGTATAGATGTATTGACACATAACCATGTACACTCTAAATCTGTACAATGGTTATGTGTCAACTAAAAAAGGGGAAAAAAAGTGAAACTATATTCAACTGACTCCCCAAAATACTTGGGAGCTTAAATAAACAGCAACAACAACAACAATAAAAAGACATGAGTGGTCAAATAACTTTTGTTTTATGAAAATTCAGAGTTATATATGGCAACATTTTAAATATCTCACAGATAGAAATAAGCTCAATTTAATTCTACTGCAAGTAAAAATAGGGAGAGTCCCTACCCTAAGAGCAAGAAATCTAATGGCTTACTTTTAAGAAATAGACTGATCAGCACATCCAGATTTGAAGTCAGCTGCTGTAGTGCAAAATACAAAATTCTGTCTGAGTTGTGCAGAGTAGAAAAGACTTCTTGTTTCACATTGCTTGCATTGTTTTCTTCATGATATTGTAAAGTGTAACTATGATCACTATCAGTAAAGGATAAATGGTAGATATACTACCTCTACTGCCAGTTAACAACACTTTCCATGGATTTATAATTTTTGGTTTTGTTCTAAGTATTACTACAAATAGCTTTTATATTGAGTTATGTGTTTTAGGATTTTTGACTTGACTATCAATTCAAATGGTATTGTTTTAGTGAAAATATGTGTGATTTTGATATGTTTAATTGTTTAGATTTTTCTGTAGTAAAATATTTGTTTTCACTGTTAGATATGCAAAGTGAAGTTGTACATATGACTGTATTCAATGTCTCTGTTCTTCTTCTAGGAACCGGTTATGCTATGTCAATCTTAGGCCCTGCTATTGGCTATGTATTGGGAGGACAACTGCTAACCATATACATTGATGTTGCTATGGGAGAAAGGCAAGGCAGTATCTATTTTTCTTTTATTTAAAGTCATTTTATTTTAATTATGCCAGCATCATAGACAGAACATTTTCACAGTACTTCCCTCAGTATAGCATGAGGAATTATTCAGGAAACAAAATTGAATACAAAGAATTCTTATATAATATCTTATTTGGCTGCATTACCTTTTGGGTCAGTGCTATACCATCTTTTATTATAATAACATATTTTCATAAATAATATTTAATAAAGTCATCTGGTGAAATTTTTAAAAATAAGTATGTAGGACCCCATGCATTGTTCAAAAATAAGAATTCAATAAAAATTAGCAGTATTTTCCATAGATTTAGTTGGGACTAGATAGTCTGAAGAGTCTCAAGAGTCTGTGATTCTCAGAAAATGTTCCATAGTAACTCTGATAATGTCAGAGATCACAATTATGCCATTTTAACAATGATGACAATGAAAGATAGTAATAGATAATATTTATTTGTCCTATGCTATATACCAGACACCATATGTTTTGAGTGTTAACTTATTTTATGTGCTATCTTATTTAATCCTCTCAAGTATTCTGCAAAGTAGTTGATACGCACAGGTTGGTAAGTGGCTAAGACATGAATTAAAGTAGATCTCTTTGACTCCAAAATTCAACACTGAGTTACTTACCTTCTCCATTTCCTGATTAGAGAAATTTGTGCCTTTACTGAGGTCATATTTTTTTTCATTTTGCCACTGGGAATAATAACTGCACAATCCTCTACATGACCATGAGCAGTGAATATAAAAATGTGGTCATAGGTATGTGATTTGTTCTCTAAACTGTTAGTCCTAGGTTAATCTTTCACAGCCTATAAAAAGGCATGCAGAAGAACTCTTGAATTAGTGACCCAGAGATTTAAGAAAGGACATTTTAATTTCAGTGGAAAATTACAGGAGTTGTAGGATTAGTGTATTTTCGGAAAGGGCCAAAGTGTATTAAAATATGAGACTCCTGGCTCGGCACAGTGGCTCATACCTGTAATCCTAGCACTTTGGGATATCAAAGTGTAAGGATCACTTGAGGCCAGGAGTGGCTTGTGCCTGAAGTCCCAGCTACTTGGGAGGCTAAAATGGGAGAATCACTTGAACCCAGGGGTTCAAGGCTGCAGTGAACTATGATCATGCAATTGCACCCCAGCCTGGGTGACAGACTGAGACCCTGTTTCAAAGAAATAAATAGACAAATAAATAGTTGCTTTAAGACTAATTTTACATTAAAGAAATGCTCTAATTGAAGCACACTCTGGACTTTTAACACAGATCAGTGATTTGCTGTGATATATATTTAATTTAATACAGTAGAGAAGAAAATTCAGCCAAAGTTAAAAGAATGTTGAGAAATTCTACATATCTTTTCAAATATTTGTCATATTTACTATTAGATATTTTAAACTTTTGTGTCATATTTGCCATTTTTAAACATTTTGTAAACCATTATTCTTATAACTCTCAATTATGTCTGCTACCTGTTTTCTGATTCTTTGCAATGGCACCATTAAACTGTTGGATATTATAATCATATTCTACTATATGCACTTGAAGTATAAAGTATATGATTATCCTAACTGAGTTTTAATTAATAAGGTAGAGTTGACTTTTACCTCTTGTTTTTCTATCATATAGCACTGATGTCACTGAGGATGATCCGCGATGGTTGGGAGCTTGGTGGATTGGGTTTCTTCTATCATGGATCTTTGCTTGGTCTTTAATAATACCTTTTTCTTGCTTTCCAAAACATTTACCAGGTAAACATGCTTTCTTTAAAACCAGAGAGGTTTATTTTAATTGTAGGCCAGTTGCTATTTTCTATATGATTAATAAGAACTATAGATTCACCCTGTTTCTTTTATAGAATCTCAACTGTCTGCCTATGTAAACTTTTGAATATTCTTCATTCTAGAAAATATTGGGTAACAATCTTAATATTCATGTTTTTTTAATTTCCAATTAATAATAAAACTATGAATATTTACCTCTTTAGTACTTAATAAATTTGTTTCTTATGTTTTATCTGCAATTCTGCTTTATGTGTATGCAAGGTACAACGTCTTTTAAACTGTTAGTTTGTATTCAGTTAGTCATTAATTTCAATCTGTCTTAAATCATTCATGTTAATTATTTGTAGTTAAAAGTGCAAGTACTTTTTTTTTTAAGTTATCACTGAAGTCATTCCGTAGCGTACTTTTTTTTTTTTTACTGTATGTGAATATTAAACATTATTTTCTTTCTTTCTTTTATGTTTTTTGAGACAGAGTCTCCCTCTGTTGCCCAGACTGGAGTGCAGTGGCACGATCTCCGCTCACTGCAACCTCTGCCTCCCGAGTTCAAGCAATTCTCCTGACTTAGCCTCCTGAGTAGCTGGGACTACAGGCATGTGCCACCACTCTCGGCTAATTTTGTATTTTTATTAGAGATGGGGTTTTGCCATGTTGGCCAGGCTGGTCTCGAACTCCTGACCTCAGGTGATCTGTCTGCCTCAGCCTCTCAAAGTGCTGTGATTACAGGCATGAGCCACCACATCCGGCTTGAATACTAAACATTCTATATAAAAAGAAAAGGTTAATAAGAAAGACTATTCATTTTTCTCTATGAGCTCTTGCTTCTGTAAAATCATGTAGTTAAAATTCATATCTGTAGAAGTATTTTTCTTTAGGTTGAAGGTATTTAGTTGTTTACATTGTTATTTGCAGCAGGATAGATTATTAACTTTTGGAAATGGGCAAGAGACAATCTGACAGACTGAGTAGGTAGACGCGTTAATTTCTTTCTACCCTGAGCCATTCATTTATAGTTCCATATGTTAACTGTTTTCTCAAATTTGTTGGCAGTACCATTATTAAAAATCAAAGGGACATGGTAATAAGATGGCAAATATTTCATTTGTCAAGCATGTTAGGATTAAGAGAGCAGAGGAAAAAAGCCACAAAAGTACTTTAATGTAAAAGATCAAAAAGAGAACCATTTGAAAGGAAGAAAAAAATGTTAAGAGATTTTAAATGAAAAGCATAGATGTGTGATTGGAGCAAAATTGTCTCATTTTAATGTTTAGACTGGTTGGAACTTCCTTAGCTAGTAATAATGAATACTAGTTCTTGGGGCATCCTGATTACAGACATGGATATTTACATATTTGAACAATTTTATTAACAGAAGAACTAGCCTCTTATAGAATTTATATACTAGTGGAAGTATGTGTCGGTTAAAAAGTAAGCACTTTTTTTACATGAAGAATAAAATGATAGAGCACGTTTACTTATTATATATTATATATATTATACATATAATATATTATATGTATAATATATATATTATATATATATATATATTTTTTTTTTAGGTACAGCAGAAATTCAAGCTGGAAAAACTTCCCAGGCTCATCAGAGTAATAGTAATGCAGATGTGAAATTTGGAAAAAGTATTAAAGATTTTCCAGCTGCTCTAAAGGTAAAATAAAATTCTTCTCTGTCTCTCTCTCAGTCTCATACACACACACATATACACACACACACCTCACATGTACATATGTGTAGATGTGTTTATATATTATATATACACACATATATATATACAAATACAACCACACATGTATACATACATATAAACACCCACATAAACCCACACACACCAACACATACCCACACATGCAAACACACATGCCATCTTTTCATAGTAGCATTTTGTTTGCTTGTTTACTACAATTTGAGCTCTTATAAACAACTCTTTGGATTCAGTTTTATTGTCTTTTGAGTAAATGAAAACTATTGCAGGGTAGAATGGTTGAAAGAGCATGAGTTGTCTTATTGGCAATATCATATTCAGTGGTTCCTTGTTAACACTAATAGCCCATTATTCCATGACATTTTCCTTATGAAATTGATTAGTCAATTATCACTGAATTGTAAATATATTTGAGAATTCTGAAACAATATTTTTCTTTTGTGAAAGAGGTGGTTAGTGGTAACTTCTTTTGAATTCGAGGCTAAAGAACAAAAGTGTTATGGTCCATTAAGTTGTACTCAGCAGAAAAGTATTCTTTCTATTTAGTGTTATAAAAGTTTTATTCATAAAGGACTTTATAATTTTACCTTTTCAAGATGTGAAATTGTTTGCTTTTCATTGTTTTTGGTTTCTTGTCAAATAAAAGCCTTAAAATGTTTTTACTTCTCCACTCAGCCCATCTTTCAACTCTCCACACCATACATGCACATTCTTGTGTTTTGCTGATATTGTTCATGCTTTAATTGCAACTACTGTTATTTTCTCTTACAGTAGTTCTGTTCTATTTCATTATTCCTGTTTAGTTTATCTTATAAATTTTAATTTACATTACCATATAGAGTCATTACTGACCATTACTTTTTTTTGTCCTTGTGTCCTCCTGCTTAGAGATCTCTCTATTCTGATTTCAATCTCTATGAATTCAACATTTTCTTGTTGGTTTTCCTTAGATAGGATACCACCTAGATATCCTTGAATGTCTGAATAATATATTTTACTAGGTGAATACTTTTGGATCATTCCTCTTTAATCCCAGTAGTCTGTGGATATTGTTTGCTCTTTTCTACTTAATTGTGTTGTATTTGAGAAGTTTTATGTTAGTGCGATTCTGACTTATTCTTTTCATCTTTATGTTGGTAAGTTTTTTCATTTATCTTTGATTACAGGAAATTTACTCAGTTATGCTGAAGTATATGTCTTTTTTCATTAATTCTTCTCAAGATTTGATTATTTTCAATCTGAAGACAATTTTTTAAAATATTGCTATTTTTATTATTATTAATTATTTTAAATTATTGCATGTTTTTAGGTACTTTTTCCTCCTTTTGTCAGTCTATGTGGCTCTGACTTCTAAAGCTCCCATCTTGCTCCTTTGTGACTCCGTGTGTGTGTGGTGTGTGTGTGTGTTTGTGTTTTGCTTGGTTTTATGAAAAATTTTTTGGCATTTAATATTTGAGAACTATAATTTGGTTTTCATTTTGTGGTTAAATGTATTAACACAATTAACCTCCATACTACCCTCTGTCAATAAATAAGATTATGAGAGGTCTAGCCATATAGACACCTATTTAAAGTTGCTTAACTGTGTTTCTAAAGTGCTTAATTGCTGAGTGTAATCATGGAACCATACTATTAATTTGATACTTAGAGACCATTCTCATCTCTGCTCATAGTCTTAAACTCTTTCTTTACTGTACATAGGAATTCAGAACACAATAAAATATCAAATAGGTGGTAGATTTATAGTGTGGAGATTTACAGTAACACTGGGGAAGGGAACTTTTCCAAGAAGGCTTTTACCTTCTTTCCATAGCCCTTGGAATGCAATAAATGCATAACCACCATGTTGAGGAATTATCTATCAATTTTCTAGGTTTTCCACATATAAATTTTCTCATCATGTATGTGTAATTCTATTAATTATCCATAGTTATATTTTTGTTTTGGAGGAAATGCTGAAATTTTACAGATGATTGTAAAATTTTGTTATTTCATCATGCTAACCTTCTAATTCTGTACTTTGCAATACAATCATAGCTATTCATTTGAGGAACTGTATTTTTTTCTTTAGAATTTGATGAAGAATGCTGTCTTTATGTGTTTAGTTCTATCAACTTCTTCAGAAGCCTTAATTACTACTGGATTTGCTACATTTTTACCTAAATTTATAGAAAATCAATTCGGATTGACATCCAGCTTCGCAGCTACTCTTGGAGGTAAAACATTTTCTTTATCTTAACCTAAAAATTTTACTTTACTATATTAAATTTTTATGAGGATAGTGTATAATTTGAGGTAGCCCTCCTTGAAATTTAAACTAAAACCAGCCCGGCCAACATGGTGAAACCCTGTCTGTACCAAAAAACATAAAAATTAGCCGAGCATAGTGGCACGCACCTGTAGTCCCAGGTCCTTCAGAGGCTGAGGTGGGAGAATCACTTGAACCTGGGAGGTGGAGACTGCAGCGAGCCGAGATTGCGCCATTGTACTCCAGCCTGGGTGACAGAATGAGATCTTGTCTTTAAAAAAAAAAAAAAAAAGACACTTAAACTTAATTTTGGTAAAAATTTCTGATTTTCTGACATTAGGCAATCTTTTGTATGAACTAGAGAAAGACAAAGGCTAAAATTCCTAAAGAGAACATATATTAATCTTAATGTTCAATACATTAATTTGACTAATTCCCTACTTGATGGACCTTTAAGTCATTTGTACATGTATTTCTATATCAGGTGAATAAATATAAGTTAAAACCATATTGACACTTGTTTTTGATGTTTTCCAGTTGTCAGTATGAGTGAGTATATGTGTATGGTTTCTCACAATCTACATTCTTTTTTCTTATTAGGGGCTGTTTTAATTCCTGGAGCTGCTCTCGGTCAAATTTTAGGTGGCTTCCTTGTTTCAAAATTCAGAATGACATGTAAAAACACAATGAAGTTTGCACTGTTCACATCTGGAGTTGCACTTACGCTGAGTTTTGTATTTATGTATGCCAAATGTGAAAATGAGCCATTTGCTGGTGTATCTGAATCATATAATGGGTAAATACAATTCAGTGCTTTTTGATATTAATACCAGAATAATAGACTAAGCATTTCCAAGCATATGTTTTCTTAAATGGTGAGAAATTGGCTTTTTAAAAATTTGGAAGACCTTTTTTCCTATGTAAGAACATGTGGTTTTGTTTTTAGTTTAGATAATTGATGTCTTCTTAAAAGTTGGGGATATTTATACAAAGAACATTTAAGGAGCAACTTTCATATACTGGGCACTATACTTCCTCAGTGATACAAAGATTAATACTGTAGGATTTTTGCCTCTAAGCGATTCACATCCTAGGGAGAATTTCACATTATATGCTTTTATTGATTTAAGTTTTTAGAAATGGAAATAACTCCATAATTATGATAAAAATTATCTTATTAGGTTGGTTGCAAACAGACAAGAAGAGAAATTAGAATAAAGCTAGTCCTTGCTAATACTTACCATTATTGTATCTACTTAGAAGTTTATGTTTATTGTAAATAAATAAATAACTTGTTCTCACCTGTAGACATGTTTCTAGCTATAACTGATTCAACCATTTATATTTCTTTGTTTTCCTTTTTTGTTTTGCTTTGAAATTTTAAGCCATAAGTAGGTGGTCAGGCAGGAGGGTGTTGCACAGCAGTGCATTTTATACCTCACAGTGCTGCTTTAATTGTTTCATTACATGTGTTTGAGGCTGTCAAGGAAAGTGGTACGTTAGGTCAAGGACTCCATAATTTTGTATAATATGACATATAGATGATATAAATATAATCTACTTTGCTCAGAAAAGTTTGCCAATGACAATCATCATGATTTGTAGTTGCTGCTAATATATCTGTGATTCTTTTACATTAATGCTGAGTGTTCTAAAGCAGTGTTTAGTTAAGCTCCATCACATTTTTTTCTTTTTTTGTTTTTTTTAGACAGAGAGTCTTGCTCTGTCACCCAGGCTGGAGTGCAGTGGCACAGTCTTGGCTCACGGCAACATCTGCCTCCTGAATTCAAATGATTCTTGTCTCAGCCTCTGGAGTAGCTGGGACTACAGGCGCATGCCACCATGACCAGCTAATTTTTGTATTTTTAGTAGACGTGGGGTTTCGCCCTGTTGGCCAGGTTGGTCTCAAACTTCTGACCTCAAGTGATCTGCCTGGCTCGGCCACCCAAAGTGCTGGGATTACAGGTGTGAGCCACCGCGCCCGGCCAAGCTCCATTACATTTGTTCAACATTTGTTGAATGCTTCCTCTGGCAGATCTTCTTGGCAAAATACCTGTTCTAAAGGAGAGATTGCAAAAGAAAACAGTGAACAAATAGTCAATTAGGTAATGGGAGATTAAAAAAAATTGCTATGGAATTGAAAAGAAGGTGAGCTTTTCAATTTTATTTGATTAGAATCCAGAAGGGCTTCACAGCATAATAGTGAAATGGGGTTTAAAAATCCTTCAAGGATACAAAGAGTTTTGAGAAATAAAGATTTGAGAAGAGAGAAAGGGAGAGGGAATATGCTAAACCAAGGTTATAAATGCTATAAAATGTGAAGGCTAGTTTCAGAGACCAGGTTGAATGGAACTTAGATTATGTGTCTAGAAATAGTAGAAATATATTTTGGAATGTTGAAAGGTAGGTAGAGGTTAAGTTGTGTAGACCTGACTTTCACCCCTATAAACTTCACCCAAACTTATCCCAGTAAACATTTTTTGTATGTTCCTTTTAGAAAAAAAAGGAAGTTCTGGATAGTTTAACACATAGTTTATCACCTTGAGTAACAAAGTACATGTGAATCCATTTAATATTGTCTACCTTAAATAATAGTTACTACCAGGTGTGCTGTCCAGGTGTGTAATCAGAAAGGAAGGCATGTGTGATGGGGTAATTCTGAGGTTCACGTAGGGGTTGGCCATTAAGATATATTAAGATCTGGGATATAGTGTTTAATACACATACATGTTTCTTAGTGATGAGAAAAACTGAAAGTGAATACACATAAATATCACTAAACGTATATGTTTTTACTCATATTTATGTATGTGTGTGTATATAGATATAAATAGAAATAGGAACAGAATTTAATGTCACAAAGTAGGTGTGACATTTTCAGATCATTTTTTTCTCATGGCCCCAAATTCTTAGTTTTAGCTTCTATACACTGAGTATTAAAATGTGTATATTACAAACAGGTCAGTCAAACTAGTCTCATCTAAGAAACACGTATAAAAGAAAAGGTACAGGCATATGTTGAGGATATTGTGGGTTTGCTTCCAGACCACCAAAATAAAGCATATATTGCAATAAGCAACTCAAGTGGATATTTTGGTTTTCCAGTGCATATAAAGGTTATATTTACCCTATACTGTAGTCTATTACATATACAATAACCTTATTTCTAGAAAAGCAATGTACAATGTATATACCTTAATTTAAAAATTATTTATTGCTGAAACATGCTGACAATCATCTGAGCCTTCAGCAAGTTGTAATTTTTTTGCTGGTAGAGAGTCTTGCCTCAGTGTTGATGGCTGCTGACTGACCAGGGTGGTGGTTGCCAAAGGTTGGGGTAGTTGTGGCAGCTTCTTAAAATAAGACAATAATGAGCAGTCAGAACACACACATCATTCATTGATTAAATTTTACTTCTTAAAGGGGCATGGTTCATGGTGTCCTGAAACAATTATTATAGTACATCAAAAATCACTGATCACCATAACAGAAATGATAATGAAAAAGTTTGAAATTTTGCAAGGTTACCAAAATATGAAATAGACATAAACTGATCGTGTACTCTGGGAAAAATGGCACTTGATAGACTTACTGAATACTATCACTATCACTAGGTTGCCACTAACCTTCAGTTTGTAAAAAACACAAGATTTGCAAAGTACAATAAAACAAAGTAAAGTAAAGCTAGGTAAGCCTGTCTATGGAAAGAACAGACTAAGAAGCTCAAGAAATACCTTTTCAGGGAGTGAGAGACAGAAGAGGTTCTGAGGATGTAGGGTTTCTAGTAGAGGGGTGCAAAGAATCTTTGACTTTTGCCATGGTAAGCACAGATGGGTAAAAAGAGATTTTGCATCCATGAATTAATGAATTAGGTTCATTGATATGTTCTTTGAAAGTCCCTGTTTAATATAACAGCATTTCCAAAAAATGTAAGATCAGGGGATATATATATATATAAATAATTTCAACTTTTAGATTCAGGGGGTACATGTGCAGATTTGTTACCTGGGTATATTATATGATGCTGAGGTTTGGGGTATGATTGATTCTGTTACCCAGGTACCAAGCATAGTACTGAATAGTTTTTCTTTTCTTTTTTTTTTTTTGAGATAGAGTCTCCTTTGGTCGCCCAGGCTGGAGTGTAGTGGCACGATCTCAGCTCACTGCAACCTCTGCCTCCTGGGTTCAAGCAATTCTCCTGCCTCAGCCTCCCGAGTAGCTGGGATTATAGGCGTGCCATCACACGCAGCTAAATTTTGTATTTTTAGTAGAGACAGGGTTTCACCATGTTGACCAGGCTGATCTTGAACTCCTGACCTCAGGTGATCCACCCGCCTCGGCCTCCCAAAGTGCTGGGATTACAGGTGCGAGCCACTGTGCCTGGCTAATAGTTTTTCAACACTTGCCCCACTTCTTCTCTTCTCCCTCTTGTATCTGCAGTGTCTATTGTTGCCATCTTTATTCCATAAGTACTCAGTGATTAGCTCCCACTTTTAAGTGAGAGCATGTGGTATTTGGTTTTCTGTGCCTGTGTTAATTTGCTTGAGATAATGGTCAGGATATTTTTCAATAATATTTTAAAGTAATTTATTATTAAATCTTTAATTGGGCACAATACTAAATTCGATTGCATGAATACTGTTTATTTTCCCACTGTTCCCCACTGCTCTTTTGTTGCCTTGACAATCTATAGGAACTTTGAGTCTTATTTTGGTGATCAGTGGTGGTAATGATGATTCATGTTTTACTTAAAACCTCATAGAATATAGAAATACCATAGTGTATACACACAGTATTTTTTTCTGTATCTGATCTTTAGCTAGAATTTTATTGATTATATGAAATAGCATCTTAAAGAGGCATATCAATATTTTGCAATAGTTTTAGGGAAATTTTAGCCTGTTATAGAGGCATAATTATAGAATACTTTGTATTTAAGAAATTAATGTTTGAATTCTACTTGTGGCAAACATAAAGATGTTTATATATGCACATTTATTTTATTATATTTTAAATCTATTAAACATTTCAAAATAGGATATTTTAATATTTTTAAATATGTATACACTAAGAAAATTTAATAAACTTCACAAGCATCTGCCGTTTTTCTACTAATAGCTTTCTAGTTACCTCAAGAAGTAAACCTTTGTAAAATATGTAGACTAATGTGACCACCCCTTGATATTAAGGAATATAAGCTATATTTCTTTGTTAATACTATAATTTGCATCATGCTGTCTTATACTTTGTATGATCTCAGTAATTATTTATCAATAACATGAGAATTATATATTGGGAACTTTAAAAATTGCTGTGTAAAGGCTATTTCTAGAGTTGCAGGGATGGTTTTTCTCTGGTTGTCTTATTTCTGCATCTATGTTATGAGCTCTGTGAGCGGACACTCTGGTGATGGCTTTTGTGAATGTGATCAACCCTTGATATTATCATCATACTTGATAAAGATAAATCTGGCAGCATCTGTGGAATAGATTTGAATAAGATGAGACTGCAGGCAGAGTGGCAGATTACTATCTTGATCACTCTTTCCTTCAGACTCCCTACTGATTTAGTCATTTTTTTCTCTTTAATTTGTTTTCTTCATGACTTTCTTGTTCTCCGCCTACTTTGTATGTCATCATTTTCCAACACAGTGTCGGTTATCTTCTAATACTTACAGAAATCACTCATTTACTGTGTTTGACCCCTGATGCAAGGAAGTTAGCTTCATGGTGGCAGAGGTTTGCTTCTCCTCCTCCCTCCCTTCTTCCCTTCCTTTTCCTTCTTTCCCTTTCCTTATCTCTTTCCCTTCCCTTCCTCCCTTCTTCCCTTCCTTCTTTCCCCGTTTCCCTTCCTTCTCGCTTTTCTCCCTTCCTTCTTCCCTCTCCCTCCCTCTTTCTCCTTTTCTCCTTCACTCCCTCATTCCGTTCCTTCTATCCATTTCTCTCTCTCCCTCAATCTGTCATTTCTAGTTCTAACTCTAGCTCCTTCTTTCTTTTAAATATAATTCTACCACCTTGAGTAGTCTAGCACATAATTGGTGTCCATTGTGTCTTTATTAAATAAGTGGACTCCCAAGACTTCAGTACCCTTCTCATTCCATACACTATATGACTGATCTTATAAATGTTCGTGGTTTCAGCTACATCTATGTCCAAATGGTTATTAAGAAATCTAGCTCCATTCAAGATTTCTTCTCCACCAAATTGGAGATACTCTTAATCTTATTACTTACAATACCATACTCATCATTGTTCTCCTGTACCTAAACACCAGGTTAGATATTAGGAGTCACCTTTGACTCTTCCATTCTTTTTTTTTTTGGAAATGGGATCTCACTCTGTTGCCCAGGCTAGAGTGCAGTGGCACAATCATAACTCACTGCAGCCTCAAACTCCTGGGCTCAAGTGATTTTTCTGCCTAAGCCTCTTGAGTAGCCTCTTCCATTTTTAACAGGAAGAGTCATCTTCAACCAATCCATCACCAAATCTTACTGATTCTACATCCAAAAGTTTTCTTTAATCTGCTTCCTATCATCATATGTTCTATCTTAGCTCTCCTTTATATTGTCATCACCTACTGTCTAGGGTATTGTAACTGGTCCCCTTTCTTCAAATTCATACTCTGTACAACTCCTAGAATTACTTCTTTAAAACGAACTTTTGACAGTGTCACTTTCCATTCTAAAAATACCTTAACGATTACCTTTTGTCAGGCCCATGTGGCTCTCAATTAAACTGGTCCTTTACTCCTGTCCAGCTACATTTCCCATCACTCTGTGCCTCAGACATCATTCATATTTCTCCACAGAGGATGCTGTTTCTCTACCCTATGCCTTTGTACCAGCTTTTTCTGAAGTACGTTTCCCCTTCCCCATTTGACTGGCTTACTTGTACTCATTCTTTATATATTTTTTACGATTTTTTTTGTATGGAGTCTCACTCTGTTGCCCAGGCTGGAGTGCAGTGGCGCAATCTTGGCTCATTGAAACGTCTGCCTCGTGGGTTCAAGAGATTCTCCTGCCTCAGCCTCCCGAGAACTGGGACTACAGGTGCCTGCCACCATGCCCAGCTAATTTTTGTATTTTTAGTAGAGATGAGTTTCATCATGTTGGCCAGGCTGGTCTCAAATTCCTGACCTCAAGTGATCCACCCGCTTTGGCATCCCAAAGTGCTGGGATTACAGGTGTAAGCCACCGCACCAGCCTCTTACTCATTTTTTAAATCGCATCTCAGGCAGTAGCTCCTCCAGCCCCTTTTCTCTAAACTTTGGCTTGTGTTAGGTGTCCTTCCTTGGTGCTTCTAAAAGGCACTTTGCTGATATCTGTAACCACACTTAGCATATTACTGAATAATTATCTAAGTCCCTCTCTACTTCTAAACTGTGAAATCCTTGAGGGCAGAGACTGTCTTATTCGGCTTTGTATTCCCGTTACCCAGCATAGGGTCTAGCAGTTGCTCAATATATGTTGTTTGAATGAATAAATAAATGAGGTATAAGGGATGCATTTTTGATTAGTGTAACCCTTTATATTAGGGAAGATGTTTTCTCTAAGAGGCAGCTTGCAATGACACTGAGCCTGGGGACTGGGAAAATTATATTTGGTAAGGAAAGAAAAGTAACTTAATCTCCCTGGACCTCAGTTTTCCCATTGATGAGATGATTATGTTCAACAGCATGATTTTGTTCATCCTTCCAAGTTTAAAATATTGTCTGCATCCTGGACATATTTGGCACTGTATGGAGATATTTTGGTTGCTGTAATGAAGGAGAGTGCTACTGGTATCTGGTGGAAGTCAGAGAAGCTGCTAAACATTCTATAGTCCATAGAACCAACCCCACAAGAGAATTACCTGGTGCCAGATGGGAAACTCTTGTCTTCTTCACTTATTCTGCCTTTTATTTTAAATTACTGACAGATACTATACTATATGACTATTGTTTTTATTGCCTCTCTCCGACAAGAAGTTAAACTTTATGTGCAAAGGAAGACGTTTTATTTGTTTAGTAATTATGTGTTGAGTGAGTGAATAAATGACCTAATGGTAAGATATAACAGTGCTTCGAAATTGTTAGTTAAAAGTTATGACAGATCATTTACCCTTCTTTCATTTCTTATTTACAGGACTGGAGAATTGGGAAACTTGATAGCCCCTTGTAATGCCAATTGTAACTGTTCGCGATCATATTATTATCCTGTCTGTGGAGATGGAGTCCAATATTTTTCTCCCTGCTTTGCAGGCTGTTCAAACCCAGTTGCACACAGGAAGCCAAAGGTAGCTTATGTCTCCTACTTTTCCCTTAATGAGGCAATATGTTTGTGGATTATCTTGACTTCTCTAATGGGGTTATGCAATGCCTATTCTTGCCTTCCTGCTCCATTGCCTCCGTTAAGCAGCCCATGATGTCTCCAGCTGAAATAGATTCTTTTTCCTTCATGCCTCTTGCAGTTATTGTTGAAAAATCAATTTGGAAGTTACAAACATTTTAGTAACATCACTTTGTTGCAGTTATGAAATATCTTTTACCTTTTCAAATTGTTTTATAGTCATCCCTCACAATACATGGGGGATGGGTTCCCGGACCCCTGCATATACCCAAATATGCCATACTTAAGTCCTGCCGATGGCCTTGAAGAACTCGCTTTAAGTCAGCACCTCAGTATATATGGGTTTTGCATCCTGCGAATACTGTATTTTTGATCCATGTTTAGCTGAAAAAAAAAATCCGCATGTAAGTGGAGCAGTGCAGTTCAAACCTGTGTTGTTCAAGGGTCAATTTTATTTTTCCCTAACTATTTAAGATCTTTGAAGGCAAGAGAGTTTTCCTATTTTCACTAGGTACAGTTTATATAATAGAAACTTAGTATTTGTTTTATTTGATATACCATGAATACACTTAAAATATTCAAATCAATTTATTTTTAAATACAAATTCATATTTAATTCTGGATCTGAATACTAATCAGTGTGCCTAGATGTTATTTCTTTTCTGTACAGTTAAATAGTTTAAAAGAACTCAGTACAATTTTACTGTACTATATCTTAGAAACTAAATATTTCATCTTAGCTAAACTTAAGAACCTTGGAAATAAATAATATTCAGATTATGAGTAGTACGCAGTATAGTATGCATTGGTAGATAATGTGATAACTTTAAAAGGATCTAAGGGAAATATATACTGTGGTATAAAAGAAAACAATGAATAAGATGTGTAAGAGTTATATGACAATTTTGAATATTTGAATTTTTTTCTGTATATATGACCAATAAATGCTATTGACTAACTTTGATTAGAAGCAGATTATGACAAGGAGTTATTAGGAAGGGTTTTAGTCACATAACTAAATATATATAGACACAAATACCATCCTGCACAAGGGAACAACACAGAAAATCTAATACCCAGAGCATACTTAAAATAGTTTTTGTTATTTCGATATGGTTAATTTAATATTTATATTTTTCACCAAATGCTAAGATAATTACTATCTTACACAGCAAGTTGTCTTCTAGAATTTTTTAGGAAGAGCAAATGATTTTGACTTGCAAATTTTCTATTTGTCCTGACTTTTTTATGTCCAATCAGTCCATGAAATAATCAATTGATCCACAATATTTTTCTTATGAAATATTTCAGATAGGCAATATACATTTATAATACTTTTAATAAGCACCCATATACATTTGTTCACAGCAATACAGTTTTAATCTTATATTTCACACCAGTGACCCAAACTACAAAATCTGACCTTGACTAACTGCTATATTGCAGGCAAATGAGAGTGGTAAAGTTTCATTAGGATAGAAAATACTGTTCTCAGTTTCTCTCCTTAAAATTTTTAAAGGCTGAATTACCTCATTATTTGATATATCTGATTGCTGAATATGTAATAGTCAATTTTGGAGGTGTCATCTGCATATTTGGTTTTCCTGAATTGGTACCAGTGGTCTTAGAATGGCTTTAGCACCAAAAAAAAAAAAAAAAAAAAAAAAGTTTCTGGCCTTTGGAACAATGAAAGCACTGCTTCTCTTTGATTTCTCTGGCTCTGCTCTGATTCGTTGAGGCCTTAATGTCTAAAAAAGATTTATAGTAAGGATAAAGGATATGGAAGGATGGAGTTGAGATGTAAAATGACTTTAAGAAATAATTACTGTTGAAAGAAGTGTAGAATGTGCAAGGTCATGTAACTTATATTCCCATTAAATTGTTTTGTAAGTCAATAATCACTGTAGCAGGTTACAAACTGAAGTAATGGCCACAAAAGTCAAATACAGATAATTCCACATCATAAATATGGTTTGTTTCCACTTGCTTAATTTCTTAAGGGTTAAATATTCTCTCAGCATAATTTGTTGAATATGGATTAAGACAGTATGAGAGTGTTTGCCATGTCTAGAGAATACCTAATTTACAATAATTTATTTTCTAAATGATCACTTTCATTGTTTTTATGTCTAATATTTTTAGGTATATTACAACTGTTCCTGTATTGAAAGGAAAACAGAAATAACATCCACTGCAGAAACTTTTGGTTTTGAAGCTAAAGCTGGAAAATGTGAAACTCATTGTGCGAAACTGCCCATATTCCTTTGCATTTTCTTTATTGTAATTATTTTTACCTTTATGGCCGGTACTCCTATAACTGTGTCTATCCTAAGGTATGTAGCACGTTGAGAAATTTTCATTCCCTAAGGCAACATGTTGATGGAAAACAAATGGACTCGGGGTTCATTTGGGGTTCATATTGACCATTGGTTCAATACCAATCAGCCCTTACAAGATCATTAGTTCTGTGGCATTGGACAAGCTCCTCTGTAGAACCCCAGATGTAGGAGATTTAAATGATATGCAGGTGAAAGTGTCTTCACATTGCCTGCCTGGCTTGTGCTTGGTGTTTTCTCTGCTTCTTTCATGAAGCTTCAGGTGTGAGCTGGAGAAACGTTCAGTTTTGAGTATCATAGAAATAAAATGCATTCCAATATGCCAGAATCAGAATGGCATGCATTCTACCTTATGCATTAGGCACTGTGACGTTAAATCTTCCTTAAGCAGTGCTAATCAATAAGAAACTGGCTATTACCTGTGTTGTTCACCTGTGTTTTATGTTTCCAGTTGCTCTTCCTCCTTGTATCCCACTGCACAAACACATTCCATACTTGTACATTTCATACCTGTCCTTCCATAGAGTCATCAGTCTTTGTATATCTTTCCTAATGAATTATAGCTTTTTTCTTTTTTTGTTCCTTAGTATTTACTCACTACATTTTCTTTTTTTACTGTTTATTTAATTTTTATTTTAAGCTCAGGGGTACATGTGCAGTTTTGTTCTTTTTGCTTAGAGTAGCTTTGGCTTTTCTGCACTGAAGCCATTAGGTCCTGGGCTTTTCTTTACTGGGAGACATTTCCTTACAGCTTCAATCTTGCTACTTGTTATTGGTCTGTTCAGGCTTTGGATTTTTCTTGATTCCATCTTGGTAGGTTGTATGTATCTAGGAATTTGTCCATTTCTTCTTGATTTTCCAATTATTGGCATATTGTTGCTCATAGTAGCCACTCATGATCCTTTGAATTTCTACAGTATCACTTGTAATGTGTCTTTTTATTTCTGATTTTATTACTTTGCATCTTCTCCTTTTTTTCTTAGTCAGGCTAAAGGTTTGTCAATTTTGTTTAATTTTTCATTGATCATTGGTATTGTTTTCTTCATTTCAGTTTCATTCATTTCTCCTCAGATCATTATTTCCTTTCTTCTACTAATTTTAGGTTTGGTTTCTTCTTGTTTTTCTAATTCTTTAAGATGTATCATTAGATTATTTATTTGAAATTTTTCCTTTTTTTTGATGTATAGCTATAAACTTCCCTATTAGTACTTCTTTTGCTATATCCCATAGATTTTGGCATGTTGTTTTCATTATCATTTGTTTCAATAAATTTTTCAATTTTCTTCTTAATTTCTTTATTGACCCACTAGTCATTCAGGAGTATATTGTTTAATTTCTATATATTTGTATAGTTTCCAAAATTCCTCTTATTAATTTCTTGTTTTAGTCCATTGTGGTCAGGGAAGATGACTGATATTATTTCAGTTACTTTGAATGTTTTAAGACTTGTTTTGTAACCTAACGTATGGTCAGTCATTGAGAATGATCCATGTGCTGACGAAAAGAGTGTGTATTCTGCAGCTATTGGATGCAATGTTCTGTAAATATCTATTAGATCCATTTGGTCTATAGTACAGATTAAGTCTGATGTTTCTTTCTTGATATTCTATCTGGAAAATCTGTCCAATGCAAAGCATGGGGTGTTGAAGTCTCCAGCTATTATTGTATCAAGGCCTGTCTCTCTCTTTAGCTCTACTAATATTTGCTTTGTATATCTGGGTGATTCAGTGTTGGCTACATATATATTTAAAATTGTTATATCCTCTTGCTGAATTCACCCCTTGATCATTATATAGTGACTTTCTTTGTCTCTTCTTATAGCTTTTGTCTTGAAATCTATTTTTTCTAGGTATAGTGACTCCTATTCTCTTTCAGTTTCCATTGGCATGGAATGTGTTTTTCCATTTCTTTATTTTCAGTCTATGTGTGTCTTTATAGGTGAAGTGTCTTGCTTGTTGGCAACAGGTCAATGGATCTTGTTTTATCATCCATTCAACCAGGCTGTGTTTTCTGATTAGAGAGTTTAGTTCTTTTAGATTCAGTGTTATTGATAAAACAAACAAGTAAAAAGAAAACTAATAAAAACTCTACACCTTAACTTTGTCCCCTGGCTTTTTATTCTTTTGTTGTTTCTATGTATATCTTATTGTACTATGTCTTGAAAAGTTGTTGTAGTTACTATTTTTTATTGGTTCATCATTTAACCTTTCTACTTAGGATAAGGGTAGTTTACACACCACAGTTCCAGTGTTAGAATAGTCTGTGTTTTTCTTTGTACTTATCATTACCAGTGAGTTTTGTACCTTCAGGTGATTACTTACTGCTCATTAATGTTCTTTTTCTGATTGAAGTACACCCTTTAGCATTTCTTATAGGACAGGCCTGGCATTGATGAAATCCCTCAGCTTTTGTTTGGGAAAGTCTTTACTTCTCCTTCATGTTTGAAGGATATTTTAACCAGATATACTATTCTAAGGTAAGAGTTTTGTTCCTTCAGCATTTTAAATATGACTTGCCACTCTCTCCTGGCCTATGAGGTTTCCACTGAAAAGTCTGCTGCCAGATGTATTGAGGCTCCACTGTATGTTATTTGTTTCTTTTCTCTTGCTAGTTTTATGATCTTTTCTTTATCCTTGATGTTTGAGAGTTTGATTATTAAATGCCTTGAGGTAGTCTTCTTTGGGTTAAATCTGCTTAGTCTTCTATAACCTTCTCGTACTTGGATATTGATATCTTTCTCTAGGTTTGGGAAGTTCTCTGTTATTATCTTTTTGAATAGACTTTCTTACCCATCTTTTTCTCTACCTCTTCTTTATGACCAATAACTCTTAGATTTTCCGTTTTGAGGCTATTTTCTAGATGCTGTAGGCATGCTTCATTGTTTTTTATTCTTTTTTCTTTTGTCTCCTATGACTGTATATTTTCAAAAAGCTTGTTTTCAGTCTCACTAATTCTTTATTCTGTTTTATCAGTTCTGCTACTAAAGGACTCTGATGCATTATTCAATACGCCAATTGCATTTTTCAGCTCCAGAATTTCCACTTGATTCTTTTTTTGTTTTGAGATGGAGTCTCGCTCTGTTGCCCAGGCTGGAGAGCAGTGGCCATGATCTTGGCTCACTGCAACCTCTGCCTCCCAAGTTCAAGTGATTCTCCTGCCTCAGCCTCCCGAGTAGCTGGGATGACAGACGTGCACCACCATGCCCAGCTAATTTTTGTATTTTTGGTAGAGACAGGGTTTCACTATGTTGGCCAGGCTGAGTCTCAAACTCCTGACCTCAAGTGATACATCTGCCTCAGCCTCTCAAAGTGCTGGGAATTGCAGGTGTGAACCACCATGCCTGGCCAATATTATTTCAGTCTTTTTGTAAAATATATCTGATAGAATTCTGAATTCCTTCTCTGTGTTTTTTGAATTTATTTGAGTTTCCTCAGCACAGCTATTTTAAATTCTCTGTCTGAAACGTCACATATTTCTGTTTCTCAGATTGGTCTCTGGTGCCATGAGCTCATTTGGTGAGTTCATGTTTTCCTAGATGGTGTTGATACTAGTAGATGTTCTTCAGCATCTAGGTATTTAAGAGTTAAGTATTTATTATAGTCTTCATTGTCTGGGTTTATTTGTAGCCATCCTTCTTGGGATGGCTTTCCACATATTTGAAAGGACTTGGGTGTTCTAATTTTAGTTGTATCTGCTTTAAGGGGCACCCGAAGGCCAGTAATGCTGTGGTTTTTGCAGTCTCTCTCCCTCTGTTCTGAGCCACCTAAAGCTGAAGGTGGAGTGATGCAAACACCTCTGTGGCCACCACCACTGTGATTGCACTGGGTCGTACCTGAAGCCAGCACAGTTTTGGGTCTTTTCCAAGGTCTTTTGTAACTACTCCATGGTTACTAGTTCTGTTTGCTTAAGGACCTGGGGCCCTACAATCAGCAAGTGGGAAAGCCAGCCACGCTTGTGTCCTTCGCTTGGGTGGGGAGGTCCTACAGGCACTGGTGGGTCTAGAAGTGCCACCCAGAAGTCAGGGACTAGAGTCAAAAACCTTAGAAGTCTACCTGGTCTATTGTATTGCGGCTAAGCTGGCATGGAAACCACACAGTGTAGTCCTTTCCACTCTTCTTTCCCCTTTGCAAAGGCAGAGAAGCTTCACCCCATAGGCCCCTCCAACCCAGGCCACGAGGAGTACTGCCAGACTACCACCAATGTTCCTTTATGGCCCACTGCCTCTTTAAGTCAGCTTGTCATGAATGCTGGCTGGGCTGGGACTCACCCTTCAGGGCAGAGAGCTCCCTGCTGGCCCAGGACAGGTCCAGAAATGTCAAAGAGTCAAGTTCTGGAATTGGGGACTCCAATAACCTGCTTGGTGCTCTACCCCCCGGGGCAGTGATGGTACCTAAAGCGTAAGACAAAGTCCCCTTTACTTTTCCCTCTGCTTTTCTGAAGCAGAACGAGTTTTGCCCCGTAGCCACCAAGCTGGTAATGTGCTGAGTCTTATCAGAAGCCAGCAAGTCTCAGAGTTCTCACCCAACGCCCTCAATGTAGTATCTGGGTATTGGTGCTGGTTATTCAGGCCCAAGGGCTCTTCATGACTTAAAAGTATATGAACGCTGTCAGGACTGGTGTATTTCCTTCAAGGCAGCAAGCACCCTTCTGGCCCAAAATGTGTCTAGAAATATTTTCTGGGACCTAAGGCCTGAAATGGGAGGGCCTCACAACTCTGACTGGTGCTCTGTCCTCCTGTAGCTGAGTTGGTATCCTAGATGCAAGACAAAATCCTCCCCACTCTTCCCTCTCTTCTCCTCAAGTGGCAGGAAGGGGTTCTTTTGGAACCTGGAGCTGTGCAGCCTGGGGATTAGTGGAGGAGTAATACCAGGACTCCATTGTCTGTCCCAGCTGTTGTCTCAGTATGTCACGTGTGCCTCCAGTCCACTGTCTTTGAGCCTAATTCAGCACTAAGACTTGCCCAAGAGTTGCAGTCCCTATGGCCTAGACTGCCTTTCAAGTTAACTTGGA
This sequence comes from Homo sapiens, assembly GCF_000001405.40. Lineage (NCBI taxonomy): Eukaryota > Metazoa > Chordata > Mammalia > Primates > Hominidae > Homo > Homo sapiens. The sequence continues at coordinate 102,242,238 of NC_000005.10, read as the reverse complement.
GACACAGTGCTGTAGCCCTTGGTGGTGAGTTGTTTTGTAAGCACTCAAGTTTGGACTGCTGCATAGGAGATTAACCTCTGGCCAGGGCTGGTTTAAATACTCCCTCTGTGGGCAGGTGTCAGGTAAGTTGGTCTGGTTTTCCTTTCTGCTCTAACAGGACAGCAGTGATTTTATTGCCTCACAATTGCTCTATTCTCCCTCCCCACCCCAAGAGATTCTCTCTGTATTACACTGCCACTGCCTGGGTTGGGAGGTGTGGTGTCTGAGATTCAGGACTGTTTTTTTTTAATCTCTTCAGTGCCTCTTTCAGGAATATAAAGTTCAAACCAGGTATTATAAGTGCTCACCTGACTTTTGATTCTTGTTAAAGTGTTGTGTTTTTTTTTCTGTGTAGATAATTATTAACTTGGAGCTTTTCAGTCTATCATCTTGTTCCACCCTCTGGCTGTTTTAGCTATTCTGGATTTTTTGTCATTCCATATGAATTTTAGGATTGTTTTTTCAATTTCTGTGAAAGATGCTCTTGGAATTTTGATGGAAATTACACTGAATTCTGTAGATCACTTGATGTAGGATAAATATTTTAAAATATTTATTCCTCCAATTCATAAACAAGGGATAGCTTTCCATTTATTTGTGGCTTCTTCAATTTCTTTCATCAGTGTTTTATAGCTTTCAGTGTACAAGTATTTTACCTCTTTGGTTAACTTTATTCCTAAGTATTTTTTTTTCAATGCTATTGTAAATTTTGTTGTTTACTTGATTTCTTTTGTTCATTGTTGGTGTATAGAAGTGCAGCTGATTTTTGTATTATGATTTTGTATGCTAAAACTTTACTAAATTCATCTGCTAGTTGTAGTGCTTTTTTGGCAGGATCTTTAGTGTTTTCTACATATATGACCATGTCATCTTCACAGAGATAATCTTACCTTTTACTTCCCAATTTGGATACCTTTTATTTTTCTTGCCTACTTACTCTGGATAGGACTTTTAGTACTATGCCGAATAGAATTCATGAGAGTGGGCATCCTTGTCCTGTTCTTCATCTTAGAGGAAAGGCTTTCAGGTATTCACCATTGAGTATGATGTTAGCTGTGGATTTGTTATATTTGGGCTCTATTATATTGAGGTACACTCCTTCTATACATAATTTATTGATGACTTTTATGGAAAATATGTCTTGTTAATGAATACCCTTTCTCTTTACATTTATTAAAATTAATAAAGACTAGTGACTCTTTGGTGTTATTTGCAATATTTTAGGTCAGATAACATTTTTCTTCTTTTATAATCCCAGGAAGATTAAACCATTTATAAGCTCTTACAAATGCATTATTTTGCGTTTACAACATTTACTTTAATATAGGAATGCTAAACTCTTATAAATGTGAACTTGCTCAAAGAGTGAATATACTATACCACCTTTTTTGGTCTCATATATATTTAATATTTCCAGGTGTGTTAATCACAGACAACGGTCCCTAGCCTTGGGAATACAATTTATGGTCCTTCGATTATTAGGTATGCCATTTTTCTTTATTCATTGCTAACTGTTGGCTATTTTGGTTCATTAGTGTTATTTATTTTTTAATTTATGGCCTGTGGCAAAAAAAATTATAGTGGAAGGCTACATCATTCTTGTTGAAGGAAGCCATTTTCCAATGTTTCAGATATAGGATTATTTACTTATTGCATACTTTTAACCTACCTGACTGGTTACCTGTTCCAACTATGTTGCTAATAAAATCTTAAAAGGTGTGTCATGTCTATTTCAAATATAAAATATGATCATCAACACATAATTTCTTTTCTCTCTGCTTTTGTCTCTATTCGTGACACTATTGTGTTACACTAGCAATTAAAAATGATGTTAAAATGTTTCAACAGCAACTGTGGTATGGATATTGTGACTAGTTAAGAATTATTGGAAGAAAGAATTTGTACCAGAGAATTTTATAAAGTTCCAGGTACAGGACAAATTACAAGAAAGACAGACATAGTAAACATAATATTAAGATTATTTATTAAAGCAAAAACAAAAAGTTGGGGCATTAGAGATCACCTCGTCCAACTTGCCAATTTTTTCAGATGAGTAAATTAAGTCCCTGAGAAGTGCAGGGTTTTGCCCATAGTTACACAACTAGTGATAGAAATGAAAGTAGGAAAATGATTCCTAACTCTGAGTCTAGTACTCTGACTTGTATCATGCTACAGGTCATGAAAGAACAGACTGGATGTAGCTGAAATCTTTGTCTAAAAATTACAACCTCAAATAATTGGAAGTTTCTTAACTATATGGAAGTTGAGTACCTCATGGCCTCTTGGAAATGGTGGCGGGTATATAAGATAGTGATATTCCTAGATATGGTATTATAAGACTATATATTTGTATATACATACACTAATACATACAGAGGCCCATGTTAGTTTATATACACATGCACACCCACATAGATACAACATATACTATAGTTCAGCAGATTTATTTGTGCATCATGAATAATTTATTTTGATTTTTAACAAGTATAATAGCTAATTTCAAAGGCATATTTATTCATTATATTAGAAAAGTGGTGAATTAAAATATTAACTTTTAGCCCAATATATATTGGATATTTCTATTGAAATACTTTTTTGAATTGATTAGAAATACATAGTAATTACATATAATTATTTTAGAATATTGTATCTGCTTTATATTTCTTTGACTTGTACATGAATTAATTTGCATGTGGACAGATGAATACTTATTTTTATTTCTATAAAATATATGTATGATCATGTATAAAAAGATCTGTAATTCTAAACTGTAATCTTTACTGTTGTATATTTCACCCATAATTCTTTTAGGGACAATTCCTGGACCAATTATATTTGGTTTCACAATAGACAGCACATGTATTCTTTGGGATATAAATGATTGTGGAATTAAAGGAGCTTGCTGGATTTATGATAACATCAAGATGGCCCATATGCTAGTAGCCATAAGTAAGTGGTGACTTCTTGATAATTTTAGAGTAAACTAAGGATGTAAAAAAAAAAAAATCTCATTGTTGGTTACTTAGGGTCACAGGTATTTTGAAATGTTCAGTCCACATTGTTGAACCATCCAGTAGTCTTCCTGAAGCAGAGAACATTTATCACAGCATGTTATGAAAGGCTTTGAACAGATGGAGTTTGCAAGGCTCAGTACTAAATACAAGAAAATAAAATTCTAGCTTTCATTACATCATACAGTATATACTTTTCTTTTAATAACTTATCTCAAACATTTTTGGAAAGTATACTCGAAAGCTAAAAGAGAATTCTGAGAAACTCCCTGGAATGATTGTCATCTAGGTATCTAGGTGTTGCAAACACATATGGCTCAGGCAGGGAAGTATCCTTTGTCTCCAAGGCACGTTGTAAGGAACATTTTTATAGTTTAGAAGGTTAGCTGTGATGTTTAATTCTTTTTGCCTTTTGCAGTTTGTAATGTCTTGGTTAAGCAATGAATGAAATTTAAGGCAAGATTAAGATTAAGTAAAACAATGTATCTAGTTTACACTAGTAAAATAAAAGTTGAAATTTAAAAATTTAAAATTTGAATAATAACCTAGGAAACTAAAATAGCTTAGAGAAATCCTGAATGTATGTATACATATGTATCTAATATAATGTGTGATTTTCATTGTGATTATTTTGACACAGGTTGATCAAGATAGGCTATTATTACTCTTACATGCATGTAAATCCAGAGTATGCTTTCTGAGTTGATAGAGATAGAGTAATAGAATATTTGCTGAAGAAATAATCTATAAATTCTTATAGCACTTGGGGAGTAAGTATTGACAAGTATAGGCAAAATTAATCATCCCATTACTTTACCTGTTGTTAAAAACCATTTTTTATTCAATTTTTAAAATTATATATTTTTACCACAATCATGGCTACATACAATGTTTTTATGTTTAAAATTTATTTAATTCATTTTGTTTGTACTTTTTGGTCAAAGATATAGATAGAACAAATCATTCATTTTCCTAGTCAATGATGAATGGGAATCCCCCCACAAAATATATAAAACCTTAAAATTTTCAGAATGAAACAAATAAAAAAAGTTGTAAGTTGTACCTATGTAACTAATCATTCTATAGTCTAGTAATGCCTAGATGAATGAGCATTCCTGTTTTTCAAATACATGTTTTTAAACAAAATATTAATAATCAACAAAAAGAAACCAGCTACTGCAAGAACTATACTGTGAGACCACGTTGAATTTATTAGGCTGGCAATTATTAAATGCTTATACTGTGGTTGGAACTAGTTTCTCTTCATATAACTGAACTTAAAATCAGATTTACTTGGAAATAAATCAAAGTTTGTGAAGTGAATCTTAATGTTTATTTTTAGCTGATAAGAAGAGTAGATTTGGTTAAGTATTGAGTGTGATATCCTCCCACAGAGGCTTTAAGAACTCCAAAACCTTTTTAATTTTTAGAATTATTTTCTGTCCTGGAAGGGAATGTTCTTCAATTTATTCAGGTTCAAGAATGTTACAAACTACTTTCCCTCATTATTGACTTTTGGTTGCTTGCAATTTTTTATAGATATCATATTGTGTTAACGAATTTATTTATTTATTTTTGAGACGGGGTTTCTGTCTGTCACCCAGGCTGGAGTGCAGTGGTGTGATCTCAGCTCACTGCAACCTCCACCTCTAGGGGTGAAGCGATCCTCTCACGTCAGCATCCCAAGTAGCTGGGACTGCAGGCTGTACCATCCATCATACCTGAATATATTTTGCACTTTTTTTTTTTGGTAGAGACAGGGTTTCCTATGGTGCCCAGCCTGGTCTCGAACTCTTGGACTCAAGACATCCACCTCTCTCAGCTTCCCAAAGTACTGGGATTATGGGCTTGTGTTAACAAATCTAGATGGTGGCCCAATTCCTATTTAGTTCTATACAACACTTATTTTACAAGAATGCACAAGCATAACCAAGAATAAGTTAATTATTGTGCTCTATTACAGCTTAGAAAGAAAATAAGTACTAGTGACTTGAATTGTATACAAATGTTTTTTCTTTCCCCTTAATGTTTCAAAAATTTTAAACATAGAACTATAATGGTTATGTAATTATTCTCTTTAAAAATGTTCTATTCATGAAGATTTTTCTCAGTGATAATTTTTATCATAATTAAAAACAAAAGCACATGATTAATTTTTTTTTTCACTTAGGTGTTACTTGTAAAGTTATCACCATGTTCTTCAATGGATTTGCAATCTTTTTGTATAAACCACCTCCATCAGCCACAGATGTGTCATTTCATAAAGAGAATGCAGTTGTGACTAATGTTTTAGCAGAACAGGATCTCAACAAAATAGTAAAAGAAGGGTGAAATGGGAAAAGAGAAGACTGTTTTACACCTGGAAAATTTACCTCGATTTTTAAGAACACACATTGCCATGGCAGGATTATCTATCCAATATGGACAATCATATTTACAAAATTGATGTTTTTATAATCAAATGTATTTTTTTACTTATGTAGTTTTTGTTTTATGCAAGAAACAGACCTGTGCCTTCAAAGCCCACGTAAAGCCTCAAAACACAGCACACACACACACGAGCACACACACACACACACACACGAACACACACACACACACACACACGCACACATACACACTTATTTCCTATTCCCATTGTCTAGGTATGAAATCCTCAAGCAATAACAAGAAAAAAGGCCCACAATTAGAAAAATTTACATTTAAAAAAAATGTTGTTTCTATCCCCATTACAACTTGTTTAATTTTAATTTTCATTGTCAATATTTTGAGCTTAGAACATTTATGGTATAAAAATTTAAACTAATCAAAGTTGTGTGATGATTTCCGGGAATTATTATTGAAAGCCTATGAATTTAAAACCAGGTTTACCATGTAATTTGTTTTTAAATTTATGTATACTAGCCTGGCCTTTCTCCAAGCAAATTATTGAACTATTAGAATATGTTAGTTATCATCCTTGTGTCTTAGTATATAGTGAATACAGAAACATCAGCATTGTATACACATATTTTCACTTTAACTCAAGAATTCCAGGAGGTAATTTGTTGATATTACAATTTTTAACACATTTATGATTCTGTGATAATATTATTCAATTGCATATATTTCAGAGGAAAGTACCAGTCAGTAAAGAAAAATGCCAACTAAACATGAAACTATTGATCAATACTTATATACCTTTAATTTTTCCTATTTGAAAAGCCAACCACTTAACACATTACTCATAGCACCTAAGACAGTGCCTTGCATAGTGTAGTCATCTATTATTATTGTTTAATTAGAATATTAAACCCTACCCTTTAACTCAGCAGTCCCCAACCTTTTTTGCATCAGGGACCATTTTTGTGGAAGACAATTTTTCCATGGGGGAAGAAGGTATGGTTTTGAGATGAAACTGCTCCACCTCAGACCATCAGGCATTAGTTAGATTCTCATAAGGAGAGTGCAACCTAGATCCCTTGCATGTGCAGTTCCCAATGGAGTGTGCACTCCTATGAGAATCTAATGCCACTACTGATCTAACAAGAGGTGGAGCTCAGGCAGTAATGCTCACTCACCTGCCTCTCAGCTCACCAACTGTGTGGCCCGATTCCTAACAGGCCACACACAGCCCAGGGCTGGGGACCCCTGCTTTAACTGATGCATTGATTTGATAAAGTATTTTACAAGCCTGATAATGTTATAACCCTGTTTATTCAGGTCAGATTTATGCCAACTTTGCTGAGAATATGGAGGGTATAGATGAGTGAACATCAACAAACATAACTTCTACCATGGTTAAGAATTTTACTTAGGAAAAGTATTGAAGTTCAAATCCAGATAGTATTACATTTGAAATTGTTATAAGGGTTATTAATTTAATAAAATTCATCATCAGGTTTCCCCTATAAGCTTTCTCCTAGGTTAATTTTCCACAAGCATTGTTTTATATACACTGTAATCAGGATAACACAAGCTTAGTGTTAGATCTTGTAGGAAACCAAGATTAGAAACATTAGAAATTTGCAGAATTTAAGAAATTATGTTTTGTGGTAATCTATGGCCAACGATGTTAGAACCTAGCGCAATTGTAAAGTGAAATTCAAGGAGAAGGAATGAGGAGTTAGGGAAGCAGCATACTTGAATATTAGAGAAGGAGAGGAGCTGTGGGTCAGGAATCAGAGAGACCTGCTAAAACCAGACAGATATAAACACCAAAGACGGAAGCCAAATAGGTAGCCAAAAATCCAGATATTTGAGAAGCAGGAAATTTATAGCAACCAAAGAAATAGGGCAAGAGAGGCAGGTGAACACACATGATACCTCAATTGACAATCTTCCTCCCACCAAGCCAGACACGTTGTAAATGCTGCTTCCTATTGGAGCCCAGAAAAAAGGAAAAGGAAAGTTTAGGCTTTCTTTGTCCTTTGTGTGGAAGCAGGGAATTGGATTGAAGACTTTCATAGTTGTAACATAAAGGCAAATCCTGAGGAACTCACTGATGGAGATGTGAAATGGCAGTAAGGAAGAAAACAGAATAACTGAACAAATATATTAGTCTAGGGCCACTTAATTTAGAGGAAGAAAAAAAATCAACCCATCCATAGAAATAGTTTGATAAACAGGTCACTAAATCATTGGCGTTTATAAAGATTCTTAGCTATCAAGGGCTGCATTGTATTTTATATACTCAGTTTTATAAGGTGATACTTTTTAAATAAGCGCTTTAATGAAAATGGTTAGACTGAAAATAATTTTGGTCCTTAAAAGGAGTCAGGAGCTTTTATATATAAGGTACATATTTTAAAAGAATACCTCCTTTATAACAGGGTTTTACAGACACTACCATAATTTATAATCATTATTTTTTACTTTTGGGTTCACCTAGATCATATGAGTTGATGTGATACTTCTAGAACAAAATTATTCATAGTGCGTTTTTTGTAATTTATGATTGTTAAGTAAGCTTGACTTATAAATTGACATTGTAATTGTGTACATAATTGGATATATGTGTTAAAATTTAACATTTAGATTTACTTAATTGTAGAAAATACAAATGTAAAACTTACACATGGAAAGAACTGTATGCAGTTGACTTTACTATGTAAATTGGAGGGAAACAAAGTTTTAGATCCATTTTCTTTCAAAATTTTCTTTATTGTAAAGTATGCAAAATATATATTCATACCATTTATTAAATCAGAATGTTTATACAAAATTGTCGTGTTTGAGCTTATTAAATGACACAGGTTTGAAACTTGCCTTATCTCTGTGAACATAAGCATATTTTATGGATGGGAAAGGGAAATTAGTATGCTTTTGAACTTGGTGAATGTATTAATAATTTAATCCAGTGATTTCTTGTATCTCAACAGATGTTTTTAATTCAATACAAACCACATGTATTATGAAATATATATTAGGGAAATTCTCTTACACAAGTTTCTACATATGACAGATTAATATATAAGATTTATATAAGTAGGATACATTTTACAGATGGTTTATTTGTAAACTATCTGATAAAAAAGTGTGGGATGTGTTTAATTTATCTCAGTTTATTGTAATAGTAAAATATTTTAAGGAAATAATATTAGATGTTAATTTGAAATGTAATGTTCTTTTCCCCCAGGCTCCTTCAGCTTTTTTTTCAGTAAAGTCCAATAAACACTAACTTTTACAGCACATATGAGTAATCAAAAATAGATGAAAGATAATCCACTTTGAAAAACTCAATGGGTAAGTTGGATTATAACATTTTAGTGCTTCAGCTAAAATTAATTTAGCTTATAAAAATTATCAAGAATTGATCATTTTTTTCTTTTCAAATTTAGTGCGTCTGACTTTCCATTTAAAATTTTATTTTGTAGTGCTTTTAGACTTTGTAAAATAGTACACATAAAATTCCTCTATAAGCTTTCTCTAGTGTTAATATTTTAAAAATCCATAGAACAATTACCTAAAACTAGAAACAATTACGAAGAAACTAGCATTGGCATGATACTATTAACTAATCTACAGATTTTATTATAATTTTGCCAATCATAACACTAGTGGTGACAAGGACAGGAGGCTGGGAAATTCTGGGCAGAAGAGAGCGAGTCCTGGTAAAGGCCCCACCCTCAAGCCTGGAACTACAGCCCAAAGTGAGAACATGCATTCCTGTTTTCCTGCTCAAATGTTGCCTTTTCCAAAACCACCCATGGCCCACTCTGCCCCCTATCCTGTGCCATCCCAGGCTTTGCCAGCAGAGCAGGCGAGGAGAAGATGAAAAGCAGCTGGACATTGGAAACTGGTTTGGGGCTGGAGAGAAGAAGTCCAGGCCACTGGACTTCAGGAAAAGATCATCTTCCTGCTCTATCCCTTTTCCAGCTCCCCTTGCGGCTGAGAGCCACTTTCATAGGCAATAAAGTCCTTCACATTCACTACCCTTCAATTTTTTCATGCAACCTGATTTTTCCTGGATGTTGAACAACAGCTCATGTGCCACGGGTGCGAATGCTAAAGGCTATCACTCTGACCCTCTGCCCTCACTGGTGGAGAGCAACTGCCTCACGTCAAAAGGCAGAGCGCCTACTGAGCTGTTTCACACTTAAGCCGTCAGCAGACAGCAAAGCTAAAAGAACGCTGTAAAGCATGCCCCTGGGGCTTCGGGAGTCGTGGGTACTCCCCATTAGATGCTTCCATGGAGCCTGCACGGCGTTTCCTGTTGGTGCCCCAAAGCACTCACCCTGGCTCCTGCATCCACTCACTTATGTGCTCTCTTCCACAAGGGGTTGAGCATAACAGGTTCTAGTGAGTGGAGTTTACCCCTGCTGGCACCAAAGCAACCAGCTAGCTCCAGTGTCCACACTCCAGTTCCCCCCTGCAAAGGGATCAGGGTAATTTCCTGCTTCAGTGGTCTTTATCTGATCTGAACCCAGTCAAGGATCCCATGTTAAATTTATTTATTACTGCTTCTTAATCTTTTCCAATCTGGAATGGTTACCCAGTCTTTTTTCTTCATGATATATTTCCTCTCTATGTCTATGTGTCAAATAACTCTAAACTTCAGTGGCTTAAAACAGGAAACATTTATTATCCTACCATTTTTGTGTGTCAGGATTTCAGGAGCAGCTGTGCTGGGTGGCTCTGGTTTGAAGTTTCTCAAGAAGTCTCAATAAAGATATTGGCTGGGGGTGTAATCATCTGAAGGGTTCTCTGGGATTGAGTAATGTGCTTGTAAGAAAGTGTGCTCACATGTTTGTTTGAAAAAGAACTTCATTCCTCAACATGTGAGCCTCTTCATAGGTCTTGTGACGTGGCAGCTGACTGCTACCAGGGTGAATGACACAAAAGAGAGTGAGAGCAACCAAAACTGAAAGCACAGTGTCTTATATGATTTGATTTTAGAAGTGACATACCATCTTTTCTACCACAGTCTACTGGTCATACAGATGACCTTAGTAATCTTAATTCCAGCTGCAAAGTCCTTAAAAGGATTTAAAAGAACTTTGCAGTAAACTAGAAGACCTTGATTCATATTTGGTTGAATAAGCCAGGGAGGAGAACACATCTTTACAAATCTGCCTACCATGCCTGGTATAGAGTGGGAAGAAAAGACAAAAGGTAGTACCAAGAGGCATGCATATTGTGACTATCATTGGGGTGATATTGGGGGCTGTCTACCATATATTACCTTGACAATTTTGAAAAGGATTGGCCAATTATTTTGTGGAATATCTATCAATTTGGATTAGTCTGATGTTTTCTCATGATTATATTAACATTATACGTATTTTTTGGCAAAAATGATATACTCTTCTCAACGCACATATTAGCGAGTACATGTTGTCTAAATATGACAGAACTTTGATCACTTGGTTAAGGTATGTATCTGCCAGCAATGACCACTCTAATTTTATTTTCTCCTGTGTTATTAATAACTAGCTCTTGAAGGGATACTTTGAGACCATCCAAATATCCTGTTTCTCAGCAAACTTTCATCCACTAATTTTAGCATCCATTTTTGATTCTTGCGTGCTTAATATGGTTTTTGCTAATAGTGATTTTCTGTATTCATCACTTGTGTAACATGTATTAATTGGTATTGTAATCTAAGAAAGAACTGTCCCTTTCTCTCTGTTTATTTAAAGTTACTCTATTATTTGAACAAATATACATTAATTGACTAGGTTATTATCCACTAGTTTTTTTTTGTCAAATGGTTTTTATGTAGACATTGGAGCCACATTATGTTGGCTCCTGTGTTTTTTGGACATCTTTACAACATTATTTGAGGACATCCTTACTTTTTAGCACCACAAGATACTCCAGGCTCTTCTTATACTTTCCATTATTTAAGGATCAAACAATTGAAAACCAAGATGTGCATGTTAACATACATAACATCTATTTCTATGTTAATTTATGTGTGTATGAATATGGATACCTCCAACTGCAATCCAACACCATAGAGTTCATGTTAATCTTCCTTTTCCTCATTTGTAAATACTTTCTTAAAGAGTGAGAAAACTGGCTTTTGTTATCCACAACACATTATTTGTCCAATACTAGATAGAGTATTAGTTTCTATTGCTGACATGAAAGATTACTACAAATTTTATGTCATAAAATAATATCCATTTATCTCTCAGTTTTGTAGTTGAGAAGCCCAGGAATAGTGTGGTTCAGGTAGTTCTCTGTTCCAGGTTTCACAAGTTGAAATCAAGTTGTTGTCCAAGGCTGTATTCATTTCTGGAGGCTCTGGGGATGAATTAACTCCCAAGCTCATTCAGGTTGTTGGGCAAATTCAGTTGCATGATGATATGGTTTGGCTGTGTCCCCACTGAAATCTCATATCAAATTGTAATCCCCACGTGTTGAAGGAGGGGCTTGATGGGAGGTGACTGGCTTATGGAGGCAGTTTCTAACGGTTAAGCATCATCCCCCTAGTGCTGTCTTATAAGTGAGTTATCATGAGATCTGGTAGTTTAAAAGTGTTTAGCACTTCCTTCCACCCTCCTGCTCCACCCTGGTAAAACATGCTTGCTTTCCCTTCACCTTCTGCCATGACTGTAAGTTTTCTGAGACTTCCCAGTCACGGTTTCTGTTAAGCCTGTTGAACTGTGTGTCAATTAAAGCTTTTTTCTTCATAAATTACTCAGTCTCAGGTAGTGCTTTATAGCAGTGTGAAAACAGACTAATACACATAGCAATGTAGGACTAAGGTCCCTGTTTTTTTTTTACAACAATGTCTGGAGGTTGTTCTTGGGCCCTAGAGAACATCCACATTTCCTGGTTTATGCACCTCCCCCCACTTCCTCCATCTTCAAAACCAGCAATGACATGTGGACTCCTTCTCAAGATTTGAATCTCTCTGACTTCCCCTCTGTCTCATCTTTCCTGCTCTCTCTTTTGCTGCTTCTTTATGACCCTAGCTGGATAAAATTACCTGCTTTTAAGAGCTCAAGTAATTAGATTGGGCCGACCTGGACAATTCAGGATAAACTCTCTACTTTAAGATCCATCATCTTAATTACATTTACAAAGTTTCTTGACCACAGTATCCAGTTAAGAGCTTCTTTGAGTAGCCCAGGGTGTGGAATATTGGGGAAGAAGCATCTTTAGAATTCTGTCTAATACACCTTATAAACACATAAATTAGTTTCAGTATTTCTGCACATACACTGTAAAAACCTGATCTACTGGAATGATGGAATGAGGGGTTCATCAAATCCTCTCCAAAAATGCAGCAATACAACAAAACTATACAAAATTATCAAAAACAATCACTTCAGGTCCCTGGGAATCAAACACAGGCATATGACAGACAGGGAAATATTTATTCACCAAAAAAAAACCCTACTAAATCTTGTATAAGAAAAGCGGACCTTGTATGGCAGCTCATGTCTGTAATCCCACTAGCTTGGGTGGCCGAGACGGGAGGATCACTTGAGCCTTAGAGTCTGAGACCAGCCTGGGCAACATAGGGAGACCTTGTCTCTGCAAATAATATGAAAAATTAGCCGGGGATATCGCCCACGTCTGTGGTCCCAGCTACTTGGGAGGCTGAGGTAGAAGGATCACTTGAGCCTGGGTAGTCCAGGCTGCAGTGAGCTGTGATCACCACTGCACTCTAGCCTGGATGACAGAGTGAGATCCTGTCTTGAGGCGAAAAAAAAAAAAAAAAAAAAGAAAAAACATAGGAGTCTCTGATGTATTTTAGCCTGGGGATGCTCTTGTTCCTTCACCAGCTTCATCATCGTGGTAGTACTGTAAGGGTGTCAGACTGTGAAAACCAGCAGTTTTGCAGGTAGAGGAGGCTGACTTGATTTGGAGTGGAATACAGTGAAACTCAAGGCCCATGGGCATTTTCTCAGTCACTGGCAATCTCAGTGGCCAGTGTTGCAGCTAGTGTGAGGTTGAGATGCTGGTTGAAACATGCAGTGCTAGCAGACTAGCAAGAAAGGATCTCTGGACACACCCAGCAGGGAAAATGAATTCAAAGATTGCTATAGTATATTTTCTTCAGTGTCTGGAGTTCAACAAAAAATTGCAAAGCGTCTAAAGCAGGAAATCATCACCCATACTCAGGGAAAATAGTCAATGAAACCTGTCTTGAAGGGGAGCAGATATTAGCCTTAGCATGCAATGACTTCAACACAACTATTACAAATATGCCCAAATAACTGAAGAAACCATGTTTAAAGAGTTATATGAAATTATGATAAAAATACCTCAAAGAGAATATTAATAAGGAGTAGTTATAGAAAAGAAAGGGGAATTTTGGAATTGAAAAGTATGATAACTGTAATGAACGAGAAATTCACTGGGGAAACAACATCAGATTAGAAATGTCAGATGAAATAATCAGCAACCTTGAAGATCTCCCAATTATTCTATCAGAGGACTAGAAAATAAGAAGAACAAGTAAAAATAACAGCCTCAGCAACCATGGGAAACCATGACACTTACCAATATATAAGGTAATAGGAATCATAGAAGGAAATAAAGGGACAAAAAATATTTTAAGAAGTAATGGCTAAAAACTTCCCAATTTGCTGAACAATTTAAATTACATAGCCAAGAACATTATCAAAGTCCAAAGAAGGGTGAACACAAAGAGATTCATAGCTACACACATCTTATTGAAACTATTGAAAGAGAACATTTTGAAAACAGCAAATGGAAACCCGGTCAACATGCACAGGAGGAAAACAATGCAACTAATGGCTGACTTCTTTCCAAAAATAATCGAGGCTACAAGGTAAGGGGGAATGACAGAATCAAAGTATTGAAAGAAAAAAAGGAATATAAAATATATATTTAGCAACTATATGCTTCAAAAGTGATGGTGAAATGACATTCCTAGATAAACTAAGACTGAAAAAATTTCCTCCTATCAAACCTGCCTTACAAGAAACACTCAAGTAAGTTCTGAAAGAAATGAAATGACGTACTGAAAAGGCTGAAAAGAAATGACGCTAGATTGTAACTAATTCACATGAACAAATAAAGAGCACTAGAAAAGGTAAGTACATGGGTGAATATGAAAGACTATATAAACATATATTTTCTCATATTTATCTTAACTGATTTAAATGATAATTTATCCATATGCAAAAAAACGAAGTTAAACCCCTACCTCACGTCTATATAAAACTAAATTCAAAATAGACCATAAGTTTAAATGTAAGGGCTAAAGTTTGTAAATATTTCTTCTAAAACATTTAGAAGGAAAAAAAGGTAAATCTTGATGATCTTGGATTAGACAATGGTTTCTCAGATACGACACCAGAAGCACAATGACAACATTAAAAAATGGAAACATTTGACTTAACATTAAACACTTTATGCTGTAAACAATACCATAAAAAATAAAAAGGTAACCCAAAAGCAGGAGAAAATATTTTCAAATTATATATGTGATAAGGGACTCATTTGCGTCCAGAATATATAAAGAACTGTTACAACTCAACAATAAAAAGATAAATGGGCCAATGAATACACGGGCAAAGCATCCGAATTGACATTTCTCCAAAAAAGATACACGTATGGCAAATAAATGCATGAAAAGATGGAATAGATTCTGTTTGTTGAAGAGGTTAGAGATACTGGTAATCCAGCAGTAGTGAGCACATGTAAGCAGACAGATGTTGCTTTCCAAACAAAAACTATTCTTTATTAAAAAAACAAACAAACAAACAAAAAAACAAAACTAGCGCTCTCTGGCGATATGGCTAATGCTTTATTGGAGAAGGGCACAACAGTGATGGCAATGTTAGTGTCTTTTTTTAAATCATTGAACTGTGTACTTAAAAATGGTGCATTTTGTGATAATGTATTTTTTCCCTAATAACACCGATTTGAAAATTTTAGAACATAATATTAGAAACAATTATATTTTTAAAAATAAGCCATTTAAGAAAAAACAAACAACAACAACAACAACAACAAAACAGCTGTTGATGGGTTCCACCAAGTTGAATGAGAAAGCCCTAGTGATGAAGGTGTAAGAGAGGAGGCTGATAAGATATTTCTAGTTGGATGCTTGTTGAATTGCAGTCCAATCAGAATGGACTGCATCTCATTCCCAATATGTTGAAGTGTAAAGGAACTTTGAAATGGGTTACTGTCTTAAGCCTAGGGCCCCTACTGCAAAGAGAGGGAGTCTTACAGGAATAGCTGCATTCCTAACATCTGAGGATGAGAATTTCCCATGCAATAAGATGCCATGAGGCATTACTATACTTGATGGAACTCTGCCTCAGGTGCTCCTTGCTGTGAGGTCCTTCCTACTAAATTAAGGAACAAAGGAGGATAGTTCTGTAAGAGCGTCAATCTTTCTGGGAATTGATCAGGTCAGAGGTAAACATGGACCTAATATTGCACCTCATAAATGAAGCAGTCTTCGAAGCCATGCCATAACGGAGCGCATGGAAGTCAGCCAGTGTCTGCCAAGAGAAGATGGTGTAGGCCTTGGTCAGGTAAGGATTTTGTCCCTCTTCCTATATTTCTTTCATCCTTTTCCTGATGCTAAGAGCACAGAAAACAAAACAGACTAATGAAGAACTACCCTCTCTTCCCTTATTGGTACCTTTTTCATGAGTGAGTTCTAATTTGGGGTTATAAGAGAAATGAGACTTTTCTAATGCCTAAAATTGCCATATAGCTATGAAATTTTAGATTGTTGTCAAGGGAGTGGGGAAGGTAGATCCTACAAAATATACCGGAAGATAGCAATGGGATAAAAATAAGGCCCTTTATAGATTGAATCCTATCAGCCCCACCTCTTCCAGTTACTTTACTATCTTTGTATTCTTGCTTTACTTATACAGAGAAAATAAACATAATTTTAGTACAATTCTCCCTTCCAAACCTATGAAAAAACTTATTCCTTACCTCGTGAAATTTATTAACTAGGGTTTGGGTTGAGGATTGGCAACAATGTCTATAATTGAAGTCACTCGTGGAATATTTAAAATTAACAATGCTCAAGCTCCATCCAGGACAAATGAAATTAACTTGTTAAAAGTTTCCCAGGTGATTCTAAAGTTAAGTTAGGATTGCAAACTGCTGAATATAAACTATCGCATTGAAGAAGATGCAGTGCAGGAGGCAGACATGACTCACTTTCTGTTGTCAGTGATTTAATGATGATTTCTTATTTCTAACTTTAGTCTCAGAGAATAAACATTTAGTTTTGAAAATAAAAGACATGAAAATTAATGGGGTAATTTTGAGGTTAAGACATTACTCGGGCTTCATCTGAAAATATGGAAGCATGTGCTCTTTGGGATGGATGAGGTTAATTGGGGACGAAAGTGTGTCCGAAAATTGGGAAACAGTAAAGAGAAATTTCTTTGTTTTTAAATTTTGCCCAGGGCTCTTCCTTTCAGAAATAACCACAACAACAAATTAGAGAACACCGCTTGGTAAATTCCTTCTTTCTCTGCATTGGTGAGCTACTTCAGTAATAGTATGAACATGACACTACTGGATATTTCATGAATAGATCCAGAAGTAGTTTGGCAGAGTACAGGCAATATACGGTGGTAGTAATATGAGAAATTCTGATAAGGAAAATGGGGCAGATTTGGCATAACTAGGTACAGGTGCTAAAGACACTCTACTCAGACATAAAAAAAGACATCCTAGGACATACTTTGCTAGTAATATGGAAACAACTGATCTATCTGGCTGCACAATGACACAATATTTTGACTGGTCTCTGACTGTTGTCAGCAAAGCTTACCCAAGGAAAGGGAACATAAATCACAATATCAGATATGTTCAAATTTTTTCCTTCTTCCCTCTCTTTTCCTTGTCCTATATACATCCTGTCTGGGGCCTGGTAAGATCAAATAAATCTATTATTGGCTTTCCTTTTATATAAGTAAATAATGTATTGATAATTACCATGTGTCTTTATTTATTTATTGAGAAATGGTCTCACTTTGACACCAGTCTGGAGTGCAGTGGCACCCTCATCGTTCACTGCAGACTAGAACTCCTGGGCTCAAGCAATCCACCTGCCTCTGCCTCACCAATAGCTAGGACTACAGGTATGCTCCACCACGCCCAGCTACCAGGTATCTTTGACAGGTGATTTGAAGGTCTGAAAATTAATTAAAAGCAGTAAAACCATGTTGAATAACATTATCCATGAAAACACTTTCAAAAAAAGTATAGCAGAAATCAGGTAATTCTAAGGAAAATAAGGTAGTTATCAGTTACTGCTTATCTACTCGGTGTGACAAAATGTACTAGATGTATCACGCATTTTATGCTCACGACACCACTATTGTTTTGCAAGTGAAACAACTGAAACCCAGGAAAATTAATTTGTCAAGGCCACAAAGGTAGAATCAGAGATAGAATTTGAATCCAGGTATCTGTGGCTCCAAAGTTCAGGCTTTCGCTTTTCACTAGTATATGCTGAAGTTCACTTTAGATTAAAAGGAACACAACCCACAACTTTTAGTCATGGGTATTATACAGTATCTCTTTTAATCCTAAAAATCATATTTAATAAAGCAATTGAACAAATTTGAGGCCCTAGACATAAAAATGTGATATTCTCAAGAAAAGAAAATGTTCACTAAGTTTTGGACCATCAACAAATAAAAAAAGAAAAAAGAAAAAAAGAAAAAAATGTGTCAAATGTCCTGTCTTTCTGGGATTGCAATTTCTATTTTTACCAGAAGGTGGTGGTGTTGCTTTTATAATACTAAGACAATAAGGTGCTTTGTTTGCTAAACTTTTTTTCTGTTCTTGATGGAGTAAAAATTGCATTTGCATTTACAGTTGTTCATTTTCTTTGTTCCCATACTCCTACTAATTTTGCAAGAATTCTTTTCTCATTGCAGATCATTGGAAAAGATTTCCAGTTAAAAGAAAAACTAGTAACGAATGAGAATTACTTTGTGGATGCAGTTTTTACTATTTTCACTTCCTTTCTAGGTTGGGAATAGAATAGCACATGTTTCTCATTTCACAAGTTTCACTGTAGATATTGACCAAAAGCAAATTTTTGTACTATTCTATAGTTTATTTTAAGATACCGAATAGCTATTTATATTGTCATCCATAAAAAGAATTTGGAAAAATGTACTAAAAAATAAAAAACTTCAAAATTTTTACAAGATTGTCTTCTCACTGATGAGCATGAATTCTGTATATACTAAAAATATTAACATGTTCTACTATTAGTACTAGCATCTCATCCCATGAATATCAGTAAGACTGCTTCAAAATAAAATTTAAAAATCAAATCTGAAAAAATTGATATGTTCTTATACTTATTATATAATTTCGATTAAAAATATTTCAGTTGTGCTTATAATTCTCAAACCATTTTTGGCTAGCCATGGGATGAATTATGTAATGTGATTTTCTTACAAAATGCCTCTTCCAGAGTTTTCTTTTTAAGTCAATTCAGGCTTTAATATGGAATGTTGTAACTAGAGTTACTCTCCTCAAAAACTTAAAATCTAACTGGTGAAATAAAGCATAAATATATGAAAAGTTTAAAAGTAAAGCAATACAAGATTTAAACAAAAAGTCAAAGACAATACAGTCATCTTCCAGAAACATTTATTGACCCTTTACTTAATGCAAAGAACTATTGTGAGCTCCAAAAATGATTGAGCAATGGGAGATAGAAAAAGAGAGGTACTCTGTCAATATTTATTCTCAGAGGCCCATGGGTTTCTGTAAATACAGGCATACCTCAGAGATACTGTGGGTCTGGTTCCAGATCACTGCAACAAAGCAAATATTGTGATAAAGTAAGGCACACAAGTGTTTTTGGTTTCCCAGTGCCTATAAAAGTTAATGTTTACACTACACTGTAGTCTACCAAATATGCAGTATTATTTCTAAAAGTGGGTAAACTTAATTAAAAATAGTTTATTGTTAAAATAATATTAAGAATCATCTCAGCCCTCAGGGAGTTGTAATCTTTTTGATAGTCAAGGTTCTTGCCTCAGTGTTGATGGCTGCTGAATAATTAAGGTGGTGGTTGGTTGCTGAAGGCGGGGGTTGCTGTGACAGTTTCATAAAACAAGACAACAATCAAGTTTGCTACACTGATTGACTGTTTCAGGAAAGATTTCTCTGCAGCATGTGATGCTGTTTGATAAGCATTTGACATATGGTAGAACTACTTTCAAAATTAGAGTCAATCCTCTGACTCCCTGCTGCTGCTATTTTACCAACTACATTTATGAAATATTCTAAATCCTTTGTTATCTCAACAATGTTGAAAGCATCTTCACCAGGAGTAGACCCATCTCAAGAAACCACTTGCTTTGCTTGTGCATAAGAAGCAGCTCCTATTCCTTCAAGTTTAATCATGAGATTATAGAAATTCAGTCACATCTTCAGGCTCCATTTCTAATTCTAATTCTTTTGCTGTTTCTACCACATCTATAGTTACTTCCTTCACTGAAATCTTGAACGTCTCAAAATCATTCATGAGGGTGACTCCATTAGAGCCCTTGGGTGACTCAGTGCATTGTCAATGAGCAGTAACATTTTGAAAGGAAACTATCTGAACAGTAGGTCTCAACAATGGACTTAAAATATTCAGAAACCAAGAGCTTTTTCTGTTTATGTGTTGTCATCCAGGCTTTGTTGTGCCATTTGTAGAGCACAAGCAGAGTAGATGTAGCATACTTCTTTAGGACCCTAAAGAATTATGAAATTCATGAAATTATGAAATTCTTTATGAAAAATCAGAAAGGTAAATGAGCATTGGCTTCAATTTAAAGATGCTGGCTACCTCTAACAAGAGAGTCAGCCTTCCCTTTGAAATTTTGAAGGTAGGCATTGACTTCTTTATAGCTAGTACAGTATTAGATGACATCTTTTTCAATAGAAGGCTGTTTTGTCTACATTGAAAATCTGTTGTTTATCTTAATGTAATAAAAGCCAGCTATGACAAACCCACAGCCAACATTATATTGAATAGGGAAAAGTTGAAAGCATTCCCCCTGAGAACTGGAACACGATGAGGATGCCCACTCTTACCACTTCTATTCAATATAGTACTGGAAATCCTAGCCAGAGCAATCAGGCAAGAGAAAGAAATAAATGGCATAAAAATTGGTAAAGAGGAAGTCAAACTATTATTGTTTGCTGATGACACAATTGTATGCATAGAAAATCCTAAAGACTACTCCATAAAGCTCCTAGAACTGATAAATTAATTCAGCAAAGTTTCAGGATACAAAATAAATATTCACAAATCAGTAGCTCAGCTATATATCAATAGCAATCAAGCTGAGAATCAAATTAAGAACTCAACCCCTTTTGCAATAGCTGTAAAAAAAAAAAAAAAAAAAACAAACTCCAAAATACTTAGGCGTGTACCTAACAAAGGAGGTGAAAGACCTCTCCACGGAAAACTACAAAACACTGCTGAAAGAAGTCCTGTATGACACTAACAAATGGAGACACATCCTATGCTCATGGATGGGTAGAATCAATATAGTGAAAATGACCATAGTGCCAAAAGCAATCTACAAATCCAATGCAATTTCCATTAAAATACCAACATTATTCTTCACATAACTAGAAAACACAATCCTAAAATTCATATGGAACCAAAAAAGAGCCTGCATAGCCAAAACAAGACTAAGCAAAAATAACAAATCTGGAGGCATCCCATTACCTGATTTCAAATTATACTGTAAGGCCATAGTCACCAAAACAACATGGTACTGGTATAAAAATAGACACATAGACCAATGAAACAGAATAGAGAACCCATAAAGCCAAATACTTACAGCCAACTGATCTTCAACAAAGCAAACAGGAACATAAAGTGGGGAAAGAACAACCTATCCAACAAATGGTGTTGAGATAATTGGCAAGCCACTTGTAGAAGACTGAAACTGGATCCTCGTGTCTCTAAAAAAATCAACTCAAATGGATCAGGGACTCAAATCTAAGACCTGAAACTATAAAAATTCTGGAAGATAACATTGGAAAAACCCTTCTAGACATTGGCTTAGGCAAAGACCTTATGGCCAAGAACCCAAAAGCAAATGCAACAATAACAAAGATAAATAAATGGGATTTAAGTAAACTAAAAAGCTTCTGCACACCAAAAGAAACAATCAGCAGAGGAAACAGACAACCCAGAGAGTGGGAAAAATTTTTGCCGTCTATACATTTGACAAATGAATAATATCCAGAAGCTGCCAATAACTCAAACAAATCAGCAAGAAAAAACAAACAATACATTAAAAAGTGGGCTAAGGACATGAATAGACAATTCTCAAAAGAAGATATACAAATGGCCAATAAGCATATGAAAAAATGCTCAACATCATTCATAATCAGGGAAATGCAAATAACACTCACCTTACTCTGGTGAGAATTGCCATAATCAAAAAATAAAAAAAAATAGATGTTGGCATAGATATTGTGAAAAGAGATCACTTTTACACTGCTGGTGGGAAGGTAAACTAGTACAACCACTATGGAAAACTGTGTAGATATTTCTTAAAGAACAAAATTAGAACTACTATTTGATCCAGCAATCCCATTACTGGATATCTATCCAGAGGAAAAGAAGTCATTGTACAAAAAAGATAGTTGTACATGCATGTTTATAGCAGCACAGTTCTCAGTTGCAAAATTGTGAAACCAGCCCAAATGCCCATCAATCAATGAGTGGATAAGGAAATTGTGGTATATACATACCATGGAATACTACTTAGCCATAACAAGGAACAAAATAATGGCATTTGCAGGAATCTGAATGGAATTGGAGACAATTGTTCTAAGTGAAGTAACTCAGGAATGGAAAAACCAAACACTATATGTTCTTACTCATAGGTGGGAACTAAGCTATAAGGACGCAAAGGCATAAGAATGATACAATGGACTTTGCAGACCTGGGGGAAAGGGTGGGAGAGGGGTGAGGGATGAAAGACTACACATTGGGTACAGTGTAGTTTGCTCAGGTGATGGATGTACCCAAATCTCCAAAATCACTACTAAGGAACTTATTCATGTAACCAAACACCACCTGATTCCAAAAAACCTATTGAAATAAAAAAAAATGAATTATTAGATGTTAAAAAAAGAAAAGAAAATCTGTTGTTTAGTTTAGGCACCTTCATCAATGATCTAAGCTAGATCTTCTGAGTAGCCTGCTGCAGCTTCCACGCACTTGCTGCTTCATATTGCACTTCTATGTAGGAAGATGGCTTATTTCTTTAAACCTCAATAACCAATATCTGTTACCTTCTAGACATTGGTTTAGGCAAAGACCTTCAAACATTTCTTCTGCAGTTTCCTCACCTCTCTTAGCCTTCACACTCAAACTTTCTCCATATCATTAATAAGGCTGTTTTGCCTTATTTGAAACATACAACTCTAAGATGGCAAACAATAAACAAATACTGTGTGTGTTCTGACTGCTCCATGACAGGGCATTCCCCCATCTATCTCCCTGTCCTCGGGTCTCTCTATTCCCTGAGACACAACAATATTGAAAATAGGCCAATTAATAACCCT
This sequence comes from Homo sapiens, assembly GCF_000001405.40. Lineage (NCBI taxonomy): Eukaryota > Metazoa > Chordata > Mammalia > Primates > Hominidae > Homo > Homo sapiens. The sequence goes on along the minus strand of NC_000005.10, from coordinate 102,219,190 downwards.
ACAATGGCCTCTATGTGTTCAAGTGAAAAGAAGAGTCACACATCTCTCACTTTAAATCAAGAGCTAGAAATGTTTGAGCTTAGTGAAGAAGGCATGTCAAAAAGTGAAGATAGGCTGAAAGCTAAGCCTCCCGCACCAAACAGCCAAGTTGTCAATGCAAAAAGAATTAGCTTTTGAAAGAAATTAAAAGTGCTACTCCAGTGAACACACAAATGATAAGAAAGCAAAACAGCCTTATTAATGATATAGAGACAGTTTGAGTGTTCTAGGTAGAAGATCGAACCAGCCACCACATTCCCTTAAGCCAAAGCCTAACCCAGGGCAAGGCTCAAACTCTCTTTAATTTTTTGAAGGCTAAGAGAGGTGAGGAAACTGCAGAAGAAATTTTAATAGTCACGTCAAAGAGCACTGACGACAGATCACCAGAACAGATAATAATGAAGAATTTTGAAATATTGTGAGAATTACCAAAATGTGACACAGAGACACAAAGGGAACCTATGCTGTTGGAAAAATGGCACTGATAGAGTTGTTCAACACAGGTTTGTGCCACAAACCTTCAATCTGTAAAAATTGCAAAACTTGCAAAGCATGATAAAGTGAAGCACAGTAAGGAAGATATGTCTGCAGATGTGGAATTAGTCAATTTTATTAAAACAATTCAATTTTTCACAAGGTATCTTATTGAGGAGGTGTTTAGAGAGTCAAGCTTAACACCAGTTATACAGAAGTATACTCCACCCCTGCCAGCCAGTGCTTACATACAGTCAATAAAGCAGTAAAAGCATACAATAGAGAGTGTTCAAATTGTCACCACAACACATGATGAAAGTGACTCACCAACTCTGAGATTTTTATGCAGGACAGTGACAGCTGTGTTAGTGATTTAGAAAGTGATGAACTGACATAATGTTACAAAGCAATGCCTGATCACAAATGACTTGCACAGCCCTATGCCGAAACTGGTTTGGTTAGAGCTGTCTCCATAATGGAGCAGACATCTAGAAGCTTCTATTGTGCTTTGCATCCTAATATTATTTGCCATGGATGGTATTACTTCTTACTTCAGAGAGAAAAGACAGATTATTAAATAGGATCATTCTCAGCTTTCATTTACACCACTTTACCTCCCATTTACAAATTAACATATATCTATTATTTCATCTCATCTCAGTGGCAAAGAGGCCCCTTCTTTTTCAGGGTCATCTACTAACCTAGTCCTTTCATTCTATTATGAATCTTCGTGATGATCTTCTTTGCGACCTTGCTCAGTTAAATTCTCTCTGCTCTCTAGAATATATTAATCTCTTCTCTCTTTCATCTTTTTCCATCTGAAGACTTCAAGTTCTCTCTTCTGTAGAATATTTTCCCCCTCCCCCGATGCTTACCAAATGCCCAATTCCAAGCCTAATCTGTCTTCTCATGTCTTTGCTCATAGCAGACATCTCTTTTGGGGTAAATCATAAGCATCATAAACTCAATTTGTCAGCAACTGAACTCAACATCTAACTTCCCTTCCCACCATTCTACCTTGCTTGCTTTCTACTTTTTGAGTAATGGCAGTACCTTACCTGTTGCCTTTGCATTCTAAACCCATCAGCAATCCCTATGTCAACAGTGAACTATAAACTAGCATCAAATATTGCATGTAGTGACTATAATTTCAAAGAAAGGATAATATATAAACATCATTTAAAATTTCTTCATTGAATAGATATTGGATTTTACTATGTAAAAGCAGAATAAATGGAATGCCGTATGTAGATATAGACTAAACATTTTCCTGTATTACCTATATATATATATTCTCAAGAAATAATTAGAGAAAAATCAAGAGTGACAAAATATTTAATTTAATTTCTTGGTTTAATTTTATTTTCAAGCATTATTTCTCTCATGAATATATGACAACTTAATAATCTTCAATATGAATCACTTTTTGATGTAAACTGAAAATGGAAATGCTTGCTCTTTTTGAATTCTTATTTTCCAGCTTTACAATACCTGGCTGATAGCCCAGAACCAGTCCCAGAAAAAGCTATAAAGTAAAACTTGTAGTTTTAAACATTTTTATAATTTTGTCCAGCCTTGGGGTGTCAAAGCAAAAACTGCATCAGGCAAAGTTAAATAGACAAGGACGACTTTATTCAAGGTTATTTGCAATAGAAGAGGAAGACCAGAACTCAACTCTGCTCAAACAAAAGCAGGTAGAGTGTTTAGGAGGTGGAGTAAGAGAAAGATCATAGGCCACCTGTGTTTGCCAGCTGGCTTTAATCCAAGAAAAAGTAAACTTTTTTATTTTTTTTTATATTCAAGACAGGAGGTAGTTTTACAACTTAGAGCGAGGAGCCCACTGAAGTTAGGCTCCTATTCTCTTGCAAAAACTGGGAAATAGGGGTACTACTTTCCTTGATGATTGAATTTTCACGGGATGGCCCCTAGCTATTTGAGAAAGACATTTCTGAATTGTAAAATCAGCAAGAGACCTTTAAAAGTATTTACATCTCGCAGGGGCAGGGAAAGAATGAATTACAAGTTTTTCAGAGTAAGTGCTCTAGGAAAAGAGATGTCAGGTGCCTAGAATCAGGAAAAAGTAAGTCTAAAATTTAGTCAAACTGAGGGAAATGTGAAAGCTGTTAAGAGAGTAAGGGGGGTGCAAATTCTTTCACTTGGTTTCAATTTGTCTAAAGTTTCTCTAAGCACGTGTTGTGTAGCTTATCCTGTGGTTGCTAGGTATTTGATTTTGGATTCTGGGACTCACTAACATAGAAGTCCTTCTGAAATTTCAGTCAGGCTTAGCCTATTATTTTTTCATTAAACAGCATATCTGTCAATGGATTTGTGGTTTTAATCAAATGAGTATAACAGACCAATTAGTTGCTAGAAACTGCAAAACTAAGCCACAGTGTCCTCAACAGACATTGATCCTATTTTTCTGCTTTGAATTCTGATATAAGACGGGTACTCATAAAAGACTGATGTGAACAGAGCAGGCTGAGATAACACAGGCTCAGACACACTAAAGCTACTTAAGTAAATGGTTTGAATGTGGGCCAATAAGAGACTGGGGAGTAAGCATATTAAAACCACTATAATGGAAGACATGAAATGAGACAAAAGAAACGAGGGATGGAAATGTGATGCACGAAAGGAAACTCATACAGGGGATTAAGAAAATTACTTTGCTATTGTGTTTTATTCCAGTTAAAGTGAATGACCTTCTCTGGAAATGGTTCATGAATTTAGTATTTATAAAAGAACACAGAGTCATACAATAGTTGATGGCATACAGGTTAACTTCTTTTTTTTTTTTTTTTTTTTTTTTTTTTGAGACGGAGTCTCGCTCTGTCGCCCAGGCTGGAGTGCAGTGGCGCAATCTCGGCTCACTGCAAGCTCCGCCTCCTGGGTTCACGCCATTCTCCTGCTTCAGCCTCCCCAGCAGCTGGGACTACAGGCGCATGCTGCCACGCCCGGCTAATTTTTGTATTTTTAGTAGAGACGGGGTTTCACTGTGTTAGCCAGATGATCTCGATCTCCTGACCTTGTGATCCGCCCACCTCGGCCTCCCGAAGTGCTGGGATTACAGGCGTGAGTCACCGCGCCTGGCCAACTTTTTTCTTTTCCTTGTTTCTTTCCTTATCTATTTCCCTTTATGGGTTGGATAATTAGCTACATTGCAGATACACAATGTGTATACATAAAATCACCAAGAATGGAAATGCAATGGGCTATACTTATCTAGCTGAAGATTGGACTTTTCCAATGTCATATCCTCCTCACCAGTCACAAAACTGCTGTACTTTAATAACTATTTGGTTTATGAAGGGATGTGTTTTGAGAGCATTTTCCCAATTTTCAGTGAATTAATAGGCCCAGGTGGTCTGGTGCTCTGTTGGATGGATGTTTCTATTTTGGTGGAAAGTTATTTTTTCATAAATTCACTCTCATGCACATATAAATGTGAATAATAAGCCTTGTTATTCCTATGACAATAGAGCAGCGGACCCCTGCTGGGGGTGGGGAGGGTAAACAAAGCATAAGTTAGGCGCCATCTTGGATTTGTGTTTTTTTCCTCCTAGGTAAAAAGATTGACTTCAAATTTTTCCCATTCTAATGAATATAGCCTTAACTCTCAGAGGATAGGAGGGAGCAAATATCTTTCTGCCATTAATGTGAAGAAAGGGGCCGGGCGCGGCGGCTCACGCCTGTAATCCCAGCACTTTGGGAGGCCGAGGTCAGGAGCTGAAGAGCAACCCCGCCAACGTGGCGAAACCCTGTCTCTGCAAAAATACAAAAATTAACCGGGCATGATGGCGGGTGCCTGTAATCCCAGCTACTCAGGAGGCTGAGGCAAGAGACTTGCTGGAACCCGGGAACGGAGGTTGCAGTGAGCCGAGATCATGCCATTGCATTCCAGCCTGGGTGAAAGAGGAGACTACGTCTCAAAGAAAAAAAAATGAAGAAAAGGTGTACACACCGAGGTGAGTTTACTGTAACCCTATAAATTAGTACAGCAGTTTTGCATAGATTAGATACTAGTCCAGGGGTTACCACATTTTCTCTGTTCACAGCAAACTTAATGTTTCCGTAATTTTTTTTCCTGGAATACCTAGACCCTAAGAAATGGCTAACATTTTTTTTTATTAACTAAATAGGTCCAAAAATTAGTAAATATTTATTTCCTAAAATTAGATAATTATACGAAAGCAATACTCATAAAGTATATTAATATATTTTTATTTCATTCTTAAATAATCACAATTACTAATGTGTGTACCTTCCGGAGACTGCACAACTTAAACCTCGAAACTGGATTGGATACCGACTTCCTCCTTTTATATCTCACATTGATTTTCACAGGTAATTTCTTTTTATCATAGCGATTGTTGAAGACCCAACTTTGCAAAGATACAACGTCACCTAAGGAATACAGTACAATTAAATGTTAAGACTCTGAATTCCTCAATCTAGCAGTTTGTACAAAGTTCAACAGATATGAAGTATTGCTTTGCTTTTCTAAAAATTTTTAAATATTCCACAGGGCTTTTATGAGTTTGCTACTACACGATGGGGTGTGTAAAGGCAAATGCAAATTAAAAATAAAAGGTTTAATTCTTCCTGTTGAAAATAAGGTAAGAGACCTCTCTCCCCTCCCTTTGCTTAGAGCTTTTATTTTAGAAAACCTGTAATTGTAACTTATTTCTGTATCTTTGAAATGTATGTAAATCTTTTCAAAAGCCAAAAGAGCCTTTTGCCCATTTAATGACCCAGGAATGTCTTTTTCTTCAAAACCTGGGAACCATCTCTTTGAAATGTAATCATCAAGGAAGATAAAGCCCCTATCTCCTAGGTTGTGTGGAAGGGAAGGAACCTAAGGTAGTCAGGTCCTTGGTCTCAAACTACCTCCTGTTATAAAGATATGAGAAGTTTATTTTTCCTTTGGATAAAGCCAATTCAGTTATTAAGTAAATTTACAAATCTTAATTCTACGTATGACAGATGGTGCTGATAGGTCCTCTTACTGGGGAACTAGTTATTGTTTATTCAGAGAATATGCATGTGAGTTGTATCTATTTGGCTGTATAACAGTGCGATAAACCTTTCTGCTCTTGCAATCTCTTTAGTGGATTATGCTATGATGCACATCACATTCTGGTTTTAATGCTTGTTAGATAATAAAATTGCTTTATTTCTCTTTTACCTTTGTGAAGAAGTTTTCTGGACGGGGACGAGATTTTATTTTAATTACATTTTCCCAAGTAGCGCTTTTAGCTCATTATGGGAAAATGGTCCTGTTTCAGGAAAAACTGCCTGTGGTTCAAAAATAAGTAACATGCAAGTAAAAAAAATTGCCAGGCAAACACTACACAAGGATTGACAGGAAAGACACATAATTTTAATATACTTATTTGGTGAAGAAATATGTGGTAATACAAACAATACATGAATAAATAGAGATTAGGCAAAAATTATATTATGTTGGGTAGATCAGTGGAGGGCAAGATAGATTGTAAGGGACCTGATATTTTCACTTACTATAATGGGAAGCAAAAGGATGATAGCTAGAATTGATGAACAAAGATCTGACAACAAATATATTATTTAGTAATAGAGAAGTAAATAAATAACATGAAATAGGCAATAAACATGAAAATGGTTGCCTATGGTAAGTAGGATGGTGATTGTGTGTGGGAGAGGTGAAGAGGTAGGGATACGTGAAAACTTGTTTTTGTTACGCTTTCAGAACTATTTGACATTTCAAACTGAATATTTTTTGATAAAGACTAAAAGTTAAACAACCTCTTGATTCTTAGAGCAGAAGTGATTATTTTAAAGGGAAAAATGACTTACAAGGGTTTAGTGAATTTTTTAGTGCAATATCTAGAATGTTCCTTCAGTTGTGATTGCTGAAGCTTTGAGACACCTTTCGTAGGATATCCTCTTTCACTCTACTTCTCCTGTGTACGTAAGATGAGGTTGCCCAAAAATGGATGGATCTCAAAGTGAAACATGGAGTTTGAAGACATTGTCCAAGTGCCAATTTGTGAGAACTGTGATTTGTCTGGAAATTTAGAATAGACAGAATACTAATATTCTGTCTACACTCTACATGATGCCAGAATAATCAGCTCCAAAGTGAAGAATTTAGGCAATCAAGGGAATGCAAAAAGTCTTTTGTCTCATTGCCAAGTTTTTTTTCAGTCTTTTATAGACATGCATTTAGTCATTTCTAGCATCTATGCAAAAGTTTTTGAAAGTAAATCTGCTTTGTAATTGATTAAATATTATAACTTCTAGCTTTTGTACATACACACAAAATCCTATGGGAGTAAACATTTTTAAACAAAGTAATAAAAATATGTGGAGACAGAATACTTTATGGTCAGAAGCACGACCTTAAATTTATTTGATAGAAAACTAAATATTGTCAGCTTGTGGCATGAAAATAATCAGGAATTGGTCAGAAAGGCAAGTTCTGTGATTTTTTAATGTGAGATAAATTTTGGCTCAATATGGGCTTTAAGAACTATGTGCTCCACATGGCTTTGTTAACCTAATATCTGTGGATAAGTTACCGTAAAACACTCTGAAGAAAGTAATCATCATTTTTCCATTACTGATAAGCAGGCTTAAGCTAAAAGGCTGAAAAAATGAGAACTAATCTACTAAAATTATCACGGAGTTCATTTGATATCTGGATATTAGAAGTTTTAACATTAAACAAAAAAAGAAAACCAGTTCTTTATGCTGCTAAGATACTACAATGAGAGATAATAAGCCTGAAGAATCTCTCAAAAAGGACCTCATTGTCTTTTTCCTTTGTCTTCCTGCTAGCACATTTCTGGCATGCTTTTATTGCCTTATATTTTCTGTAGTCACAAAACTGCTAGGCACCTGGACCTGAAGTACGGTATCGATTAGGAGAGCAACATTTGCAATCCCAACAATAGCTAACTTTGCAGTGGCAGTGCCATTTTAAGTTCTTTCTGAATTAGGAAAAAATGGAAACAACTTTCTTATTAAAGAAAGGCAAAAGTTGTTTGGACCAAATGACTATATTACGGGTATGTAATAATGAATACAATAGCTAGGATTATAAACTAGCTTTTCACAAAATATGCTGTCTTTAATTTTAAAAATTTCCTAATCATTGATTTGTGTATGTGTGTGTGTGTGCGTGTGTGTGTAATGAGAACATTTAAGGTCTACTCTCTTAGCAAATTTTAAGTGTACAATACAGTACTGTTAACAATATTCACATTGCTACATGTAAGGTCTCCAGAACTTGCATAACTGAGACTTGCATAACTGAAAGTTCAGACCTATCATTCACATTTCCTCATTTTTCCCTTCCACTACCAGTCCCTGGAAATCACCATTCTACTTTCTATTTCTGTGAGTTTGGTTGTTTCAGAATCCACATTTAAGTGAGATCATGCAATATTTGTCTTTTACTGTCTGGTTTATTTCACCTAGCACAATGGCTTCTGGATTCATCCATATTGTCACAAATGTCAGGATTTTTTCCTTTTAAAGACTGTATAAGGTTCCATTGTGTATATATACCACACTTTCTTTATCCATAGATTCATGGATGGACACTTAGGTTGATTGCATATCCTGGTTATTGCGAATAATGCTGCAATGAACACGGAGTGAAGATATCTCTTAAAGATGTTGATTTCATTTTCCTTGTATTTATACCCAGAAGTAGGATTCCTGGGTTATAAGGTAGTTGTACTTTTAAATTTTTTGTGGAACCTTTGTACTGTTTTTTTATAATGACTGTACCAGTTTACATTTCCATCAACGGTGTACAAGGGTTCCCTTTTCTCCACATCATTGGAACACATCTTTTCTTTTCCTTTTGATAATAGTCACTTTAACAGGTGTGAGATGATATCTCACTTCCATCTGATGTGCATTTCCCTGATAATTGGTGATGATTAGCCCCTTTTCAAAAATCTGTTGGCCATTGGTATGTCTTTGGAGAAATGTCTATTCCAGTTCTTTGCCCATTTTAAGATTAGATGTTTGTTTTCTTGCTATTGAGCTTTGTGAGATCCATTTACATATATATATATACACACACACGCACATACACACATACATATATGTGTATATGTATATTTTAATAAAAATGTATACATATATGTATATTTTAATAAAACATAGGTATGTATTTTTGAGACAGAGTCTTGCTTTGTTACCTAGGCTGGAGTGCAGTGGTGCAATCTTGTCTCACTGCAACCCTGGCTTCCCGGGTTCAAGCAATTCTTGTGCCTCACCCTCCAGAGTAGCTGGGATTACAGGTGTGTACCAGCACACCCGGCTAATTTTTGTCTTTTTAGTAGAGTCTGGATTTCATCATGTTGGCCAGGCTGGTCTCGGACTTCTGGCCTCAAGTGATCCAGCTGCCTAGGCCTCTTAAAGTGCTGGATTTACAAGCGTGAGCCACTGTGCACAGCCCTCTTTATATATTTTGGATATTAAACTCTTATCAGAGGTAAGGCTTGCAAATATTTTCTCCCATTCATAGGCTGCCTTTAGTTTTTTAATTGTTTCCTTTGCTTTGCAGAAGCTTTTTAGTTTGATGCAATCCCATTTGTCAATTTTTGCATTAGATGTTCATACTTTTGGTGTTATATTTTAAAAATCATTGCCCAAACCAGTGTCGAGAAATTTTTCTCCCATAATTTCTTCTAATAGTTTTATGGCTTCCAGTCTTCCTTTTAAGCCTTTAATACATTTTGAATACATTTTTGTATATTGTCTGGGATAAAGGTCTAATTTCATTTTGCATATGGCTGTCTAATTTTCCAAACACTATTTATTGAAGAGACTATTCTTTTCCCCTTGTGTGTTCTTGGCATCCTTGTCAAAGATCGATTGACTGTAACTAGGTGGATTTATTTCTCAGCTTTCTATTCTCTTCTGTTGGTCTATGTGTCTGTTTTTATGCCATCACCATAGTGTTTTGATTACTTTACTGTAGCTTTGTAACATATTTTGAAGTCAAAAAGTGTGATGCCTCCAGGTTTGTTTTCCTTACTCAGGACTGCTTTCATTATTCAAGTCTCTATAGATTTCCTGTGAATTTAATATTTTTTTTTCTATTTCTTTTTTTTTTTATTATACTTTAAGTTTTAGGGTACATGTGCACATTGTGCAGGTTAGTTACATATGTATACATGTGCCATGCTGGTGCGCTGCACCCACTAACTCATCATCTAGCATCAGGTATATCTCCCAATGCTATCCCTCCCCCCTCCCCCAACCCCACCACAGTCCCCAGAGTGTGATATTCCCCTTCCTGTGTCCATGTGATCTCATTGTTCAGTTCCCACCTATGAGTGAGAATATGTGGTGTTTGGTTTTTTGATCTTGCGATAGTTTACTGAGAACGATGATTTCCAATTTCATCCATGTCCCTACAAAGGACATGAACTCATCATTTTTTATGGCTGCATAGTATTCCATGGTGTATATGCGCCACATTTTCTTAATCCAGTCTATCATTGTTGGACATTTGGGTTGGTTCCAAGTCTTTGCTATTGTGAATAATGCCGCAATAAACATACGTGTGCATGTGTCTTTATAGCAGCATGATTTATAGTCATTTGGGTATATACCCAGTAATGGGATGGCTGGGTCAAATGGTAATTCTAGTTCTAGATCCCTGAGGAATCACCACACTGACTTCCACAATGGTTGAACTAGTTTACAGTCCCACCAACAGTGTAAAAGTGTTCCTATTTCTCCACATCCTCTCCAGCACCTGTTGTTTCCTGACTTTTGAATGATTGCCATTCTAACTGGTGTGAGATGGTATCTCATAGTGGTTTTGATTTGCATTTCTCTGATGGCCAGTGATGATGAGCATTTTTTCATGTGTTTTTTGTCTGCATAAAGGTCTTCTTTTGAGAAGTGTCTGTTCATGTCCTTCGCCCACTTTTTGATGGGGTTGTTTGTTTTTTTCTTGTAAATTTGTTTGAGTTCACTGTAGATTCTGGATATTAGCCCTTTGTCAGATGAGTAGGTTGCGAAAATTTTCTCCCATTTTGTAGGTTGCCTGTTCACTCTGATGGTAGTTTCTTTTGCTGTGCAGAAGCTCTTGAGTTTAATTAGATCCCATTTGTCAATTTTGTCTTTTGTTGCCATTGCTTTTGGTGTTTTGGACATGAAGTCCTCGCCCATGCCTATGTCCTGAATGGTAATGCCTAGGTTTTCTTCTAGGGTTTTTATGGTTTTAGGTCTAATGTTTAAATCTTTAATCCATCTTGAATTGATTTTTGTATAAGGTGTAAGGAAGGGATCCAGTTTCAGTTTCCTACATATGGCTAGCCAGTTTTCCCAGCACCATTTATTAAATAGGGAATCCTTTCCCCATTGCTTGTTTTTCTCAGGTTTGTCAAAGATCAGATAGTTGTAGGTATGCGGCGTTATTTCTGAGGGCTCTGTTCTGTTCCATTGATCTATATCTCTGTTTTGGTACCAGTACCGTGCTGTTTTGGTTACTGTAGCCTTGTAGTATAGTTTGAAGTCAGGTAGTGTGATTCCTCCAGCTGTTGTTCTTTTGGCTTAGGATTGACTTGGCAATGCGGGCTCTTTTTTGGTTCCATATGAACTTTAAAGTAGTTTTTTCCAATTCTGTGAAGAAAGGCATTGGTAGCTTAATGGGGATGGCATTGAATCTGTAAATTACCTTGGGCAGTATGGCCATTTTCACGATATTGATTCTTCGTACCCATGAGCATGGAATGTTCTTCCATTTGTTTGTATCCTCTTTTATTTCCTTGAGCAGTGGTTTGTAGTTCTCCTTGAAGAGGTGCTTCACATCCCTTGTAAGTTGGATTCCTAGGTATTTTATTCTCTTTGAAGCAATTGTGAATGGGAGTTCACTCATGATTTGGCTCTCTGTTTGTCTGTTGTTGGTGTATAAGAATGCTTGTGATTTTTGTACATTGATTTTGTATCCTGAGACTGCTGAAGTTGCTTATCAGCTGAAGGAGATTTTGGGCTGAGACAATGGGGTTTTCTAGATATACAATCATGTCGTCTGCAAACAGGGAAAATTTGACTTCCTCTTTTCCTAATTGAATACCCTTTATTTCCTTCTCCTGTCTAATTGCCCTGGCCAGAACTTCCAACACTATGTTGAATAGGAGTGGTGAGAGAGGGCATCCCTGTCTTGTGCCAGTTTTCAAAGGGAATGCTTCCAGTTTTTGCCCATTCAGTATGATATTGGCTGTGGGTTTGTCATAGATAGCTCTTATTATTTTGAAATAGGTCCCATCAATACCTAATTTATTGAGAGTTTTTAGCATGAAGGGTTGTTGAATTTTGTCAAAGGCTTTTTCTGCATCTATTGAGATAATCATGTGGTTTTTGTCTTTGGCTCTGTTTATATGCTGGATTACATTTATTGATTTGCGTATATTGAACCAGCCTTGCATCCCAATTCCTCGACACATACACTCTCCCAAGACTAAACCAGGAAGAAGTTGAATCTCTGAATAGACCAATAACAGGAGCTGAAATTGTGGCAATAATCAATAGTTTACCAACCAAAAAGAGTCCAGGACCAGATGGATTCACAGCCGAATTCTACCAGAGGTACAAGGAGGAACTGGTACCATTCCTTCTGAAACTATTCCAATCAATAGAAAAAGAGGGAATCCTCCCTAACTCATTTTATGAGGCCAGCATCATTCTGATACCAAAGCCGGGCAGAGACACAACCAAAAAAGAGAATTTTAGACCAATATCCTTGATGAACATTGATGCAAAAATCCTCAATAAAATACTGGCAAACCGAATCCAGCAGCACATCAAAAAGCTTATCCACCATGATCAAGTGGGCTTCATTCCTGGGATGCAAGGCTGGTTTTTTTTCTATTTCTGTAGAAAATGGCATTGCGATATTGATGGGGAGTGCATTGAATCTGTAGACCACTTTCGGTAGTGTGGAAATTTTGACAATACTAATTCTAATCCATGAACAATGGATGCCTTTCTATTCATCTGTGTCTTCTTTAATTTCCTTCAGTAATGAAATTTAGAATTTTCATTGTACAAGTATTTAACCTCTTTTGTTAAGTTTATTCCTATTTTATTATTTGTGTTGCTATAATGAATTATTTTCTTAATTTCTGTAGTTTGTTATTATTGTATAGAAATGCTATTGATTGGCTGGGCATGGTGGCTCACACCTGTAATCTCAGCACTTTGGGAGGTCAAGGTGGGTGGATCACTTGAGCCCAGGAGTTCGAGACCAGGCTGGCTAACATGGTGAAACCCCATCTCTACCAAAATTACAAAAATTACTTGAGCATGTTGGCACACGCTTGTAGTCCTAGCTACTTGGGGGGGCTGAGGCAGGAGAATTGCTAGAACCCAGGAGGCAGAGGTTGCAGTGAGCCATAATCGTGCCACTGAACCACTGTACTCCAGCTTGGGTGACAGAGTGAGACTGTTTCAAAAAGAAAAAGAAAGAAATGCTACTGATTTTTGTATCCTGATTTTGTATCCTGGAACTTTACTGAATTTTCCTTAGTTCTAATAAAATTTCTGTTTAGTCTTTAAGGTTTTCTGCATATATTATTATGTCAACTGCAAACAAAGATAATTTTATTTCTTCTTTTCTGAGTTAATTTTATTTCTGAGTTATTTCTGAGTCATTTCTGCGTTAATTTCTGAGTTTATTTCTGAGTTAATTTTATTTCTTCTTTTCTGAGTTAGATAACTTTTGTTTCTTTTTTTTTCTGTCTGATTGCTCTGCTTAGGACTTCCAGTACTATGCTGAGCAGAAATGGTGAGAGTGGGCATACTTGTCTAGTATCGAATCTGAGACAGAAGCTTTCCATTTTTCCCCATTGATTATACTAGCAGTACTTTTTATATATGGCCTTTGTTGTGTTAAGGTAAATTCTTTCTGTGTTTATTTTGTTAAGGGTTTTAATCATGAATGAGTATTGAACTTTTCAAATGCTTTTTCTTCATTTATTGAGGTGATTTTTCCCCATTTTGTTTTGTTAGTGTAATGTATCACTTGATGGATTTGTGTGTGTTGAACCATACTTGTATCCCAGGAATAGATACCACTTGGTCATGGTTATGATCCTTTTAATGTGCCATTGAATTTGACTTGTTAGTATTTTATTGAGAACTTTTGCATCTATGTTTATCAGGGATATTGGCCTTTAGCTTTATTTACTTGTGTTGTCTTTTTCTAGTTTTGGTATAAAAATGATGCTAGCTTCACAAAAAAAGTTTTTTTAAAAAAATTATTTTATTTTAAGTTCTGGGATACATGTGCAGGATGTGCAGGTTTGTTACATAGGTAAATGTATGCCATGGCGGTTTGCTGCACCTATCAACCCATCACCTAGCTATTAAGCCCCACATGCATTAGCTATTTATCCTGATGCTCTCCCTTCTCCCACCCTCCAGACAGGCCCTGGTATGTGTTGTTCCCTTCTCTGTGTTCACATGTTCTCATTGTTCAGCTCCTACTTATGAGTGAGAACATGCAGTGTTTGGTTTTCTTTTCCTGAGTTAGTTTGCTGAGAATTACAGCTTCCAGCTGTATCTGTGTCCATGTAAAGGACATAATCCTTTTCCTTTTTATGGCTGCATAGTATTCCATGGTGTATATATACCACATTTTCTTTGTCCAATTTATCATTGATGGGCATTTGGGTTGATTCCATGTCTTTGCCATTGTGAATAGTGCTGCAATGAACATACACGTGCATGTATCTTCATAATAGGATGATGTATATTCCTTTGGGTATATACCCAGTAATGGGATTGCTGGCTTGAGTAGTATTTCTGGTTCTAGGTCCTTGAGAAATTGCCACACTGTCTTCCACAAAGGATTAACTAATTTACATTTCCACCAACAGTGTAAAAGTGTTCCTATTTTTCCACAATCTCACCAGCACCTGTTGTTTCTTGACTTTTTAATAATTGCCATTCTGACTGGTGTGAGATGGTATCTAACTGTGGTTTTGGTTTGCATTTCTCTAATGATCAATGATGTTTAGCTTTTTTTCATATATTTGTTGGCCACATGAATGTCTTCTTTTGAGAAGTGTCTGTTCGTGTCCTTTGCCCACATTTTGATGTTTTTTTTCTTGTATATTTAAGGTTTTTTGCAGATTCTGGATATTAGACCTTTGTCAGATGGATAGATTGCAAAAATGTTCTCAAATTCGTAGGTTTTCTGTTCACTCTGATAATAGTTTCTTTTGCTGTGCAGAAGCTTTTTAGTTAGGTCCCATTTGTCAATTTTTGCTTTTGTTGCAGTTGCTTTTGGTGTTTTTATCATGAAATCTTTTCCTGTGCCTATATCCTAAATAGTATTGCCTAGATTTTCTTCTAGGGTTTGCATAGTTTTGGGTTTTACATTTAAGTCTTTAATCCATCTTGAGTTAATTTTTGTATAAAGTATATCGAAGGGGTCCAGTTTCAATTTTCTGCATATGGCTAGCCAGTTTTCCCAGCATGATTTATTAAATAGGGAATCCTTTCCCCATTGGTTGTTTTGGTCAGGTTTCTCAAAGATCAGATGGTTGTAGATGCATGGTCTTATTTCTGAGATCTCTATTCTGTTCTATTAGTCTATCTGTCTGTTTTGGTACCAGTATCATGCGGTTTTGGTTACTGTAGCCGTGTGGTATAGTTTGAAGTTGGGTAGCATGATGTCTCCAGCTTTGTTCTTTTTGCTTAGGATTGTCATGGCTATTCAGGCTCTTTTTGGGTTCCGTATTTTAAAGTAGTTATTTCAAATTCTGTGAAGAATATCAATGGTAGTTTGATGGGAATAGCATTGAATCTGTAAATTGCTTTGGGCAGTATGGCCATTTTCACGATATTGATTCCTCCTATCCACAAGCATGGAACATATTTCCATTTGTTTGTATTCTGTCTTATTTCCTTGAGCAGTGGTTTGTAGTTCTCCTTGAAGAGGTCCTTCACATCCCTTGCTAGCTGTATTCCTAGGTATTTTATCCTCTTTGTAGCAATTGTGAATGGGAGTTCATTTGTGATTTGGCTCTCTGCTTTTCTATTGTTGGTGTATAGGAATGCTTTTGATTTTTACACATAGATTTTGTATTCTGAAACTTTGCTGAAGTTGCTTATCAGCTTAAGGAGATTTTGGGCTGAGATGATGTGATATTCTAAATATAGAATCATGTTGTACGCAAACAGAGACAATTTGACTTTCTTTCTTCCTATTTGAATACCCTTTATTTCTTTCTCTTGCCTGATTGCCCTGGCCAGAACTTCCAATACTGTGTTGAATAGGAATGGTGAGAGAGGGCATCCTTGTCTTATGCCAGTTTTCAAAGGGAATGCCTCCAGCTTTTGCCCATGCAGTATGATATTGGCTGTGGGTTGGTCATAAATGGCTCTTATTATTTTGAGATATGCTCCATCAATACCTAGTTTATTGAGAATTTTTAACATGACGTGATGTTGAGTTTTATCAAAGGCCTTTTCTTCATTTAGTCAGATAATCATGTGGTTTTTGTCATTAGTTCTGCTTATGTGATGAATTACATTTATTGATTTGTATATGTTGAACCAGCTTTGTATCCCAGAGATGAAGCCGACTTGGTTGTAGTGGATAAGCTCATAAAGTAAGTTTTGAAGTGTTCCTTTTTTTATTTTCTGAAAGAATTTAAGAAGGGTTAGTACTAATTTTTCTTTGAATGTTTGATAGAATACAGCTGTGAAGCCATCTGGCCCTATGCTTTTCTTCTTTGGAAGATTTTTAATTACTAATTCAGTCTTCATCTTTGTTATTGGTCTGTTCAAGCTTTATTTTTCTTCTGGATTCAGTTTTGGTAGGTTGTGTGTTTCTATGAATTTACCTGTTTCTTTCAGCTTATCTAATTTGTTGGCATGTGTTTGTTAATAATGGTCTCTTATGATTCTTCATATTTCTCAGGCATCTGTTGTAATGTTGCCTCGTTTATATCTGATTCTATGAATTTGAGTCCTCTTTCTTAGTCTAACTAAAGTTATGTCAATTTTATTTATCTTTTTAAAAAATATATTCAGTTTTATTGATTATTCTTTTTTTATTCTCTATTTGATTAATTTGTGCTCTAACATTTATTATTTCTTTCCCTCTGCTAGCTTTGGGCTTAGTTTTTTCTTCTAGTGCCTTAAGGTAAACATTTAGGTTGTTTGAGGCCTTGTTTCCTTTTTATGCAGGCATTTATACAAAATTCTCTCTTTTTAGTTAATTTCAAGTGATTTAAAATAATGCTTTTAAGGTGGTGTTAAAACTAGGTTTGAATTTAGTTAATTCCGAGTGGCTAAAACCTTGTTTAACTAAAATAAAATCGAGTTAAAATCTAGTTGTAAGTTTTTGACGTTTGTTCTATGGCTGTCCTGAGGATAATATTTCTGAAAGTGGAAAAATATTGAGCAGTACTAGAAAACTGAATCTCAGGAAACAGTGTCTATTTTAGTAAATATTAATCTGTATATTTCATCTTATTGCCACTCTTAAATCAGCAATAGGTGCAACTTAATATCCTAAAATTTAATATTCCATAAACTTTGG
Organism: Homo sapiens; assembly: GCF_000001405.40. Lineage (NCBI taxonomy): Eukaryota > Metazoa > Chordata > Mammalia > Primates > Hominidae > Homo > Homo sapiens. The sequence continues at coordinate 102,202,107 of NC_000005.10, read as the reverse complement.
TACATCTCTGAATTATTATCGGTCCAAATGTAATTGTGGCTTTTGCTATTACTTTCAATGGCAAAAGCCACAACTACTTTGCCCCAACCTAATAATATTCAAAGAAAATTAACTTGGATAAAAATTCTATGTTACAAAATTAGCGTAATGCTATTAGTTCAATGCCACTAAAATCTGGCTCTCTTTCAATCTTTATGCTTATTTTTTAGGGGGTCTTTTTTCTTCTTGCCTCCTAGATGTCAATTTTTCTCCTGTTACCAACCTCAGCCTTGTTCATGCTGTGTATTACCCACATCAGTTCTCAGGTTTCAGACACGTTTCTGATTGTCCCAATAGCCTCACTTGCCCAGTGCTACCAAGACTAGATTTAGAGTCCAAACACTGCTGTTCTTTTTGACTTTACTTATTCTATTACTTGCCTCTCAGTCACACAGATTGAAACAATCTTAAATGTTTTTGACTCATTAGCATTGACAGAGCAGGAACATTGCCATGAATGTTGCTTCTATCTCATCCAATTGGACCAACTAAGAAATGCTGCTGAAAAACTTAAAGAAAGGGCTAAAATGCTAAAAGAATACCAAAACAACCAAATAGATTCTTGGTTTGGGAACAAAATCATATCATGGGTCATCCCATTCCTGGGCCATCTCCTAATAATATGCCTAGTACTAATGTTTTCACCCTGCCTAATTAACCTTTTTCAAAGATTTTTAACCGACAGGATCATGATCATTTCACAGACAGCTACCCAAAAACATCTACAGGCAACGTTACTCCTACAGTCAATCTGAGACCAAAGAATTCTCCGTCCCCACCTCAGCAGGAAGTAGCCGGAAAGAACACACTGCCCCTTGTCCTTTTATAACTATAGGGTGTGGATTGACAGAGCAGGAGCATCACCATCTTGGGCAAACACCATCATTTTAAGTTCCCCTTTGATTAAAAACCGTCTAAATCCAGCCCCAAAACAGCCTAATGGCTAATGTCAGCATGGCCAGAAACATTCCAACCCTGAGATAAACCTCCCTGTGACCAGAAACATGCCAATCCTGAGATAACCTCCCCTCTGACCAGAGACATTCCAACCCCACAATCAAACTGTCCTTCACACAGAAACATTCCGAGCCTGCAGTAAGTTCCCACCCTCTAAACCCTTAAATACCTTTAATCTGTAAGAGAGAATGCTCCTGATCGAAATCAGCCAGAAGACCCTCTCAGATTTATTCTCCAAAATAAACTTGTCTTTGACTGTTAAGCTGCTTTTCATGTTTCTTTTCTCTTTCTTTAACTCTTACAAGCATTCCTTACTCTACCAAGATACTGTCAGTGCCCAACCATATCCCTTCAGTTCATCCCATGAGGAAAGTCCCTGAGTCTCTGATTGTGGGAGTATGCTTGTGTCATGTATAGGGCAAGCTGGAAGTGTCAGAAGGTTGATGGCTTAAAATTTAAGCTAACATTTAAGATCTATGAACTTTGAAAATATTGAAGTTAATCACCTAAAGAAAGGTTTCTGTAATTTTTTCCAGAGATATAGAATCATAATTTTATATACTTAACTACTGATTTCTGAAAACATTAGAGAGAAACTTGTAAAACACTTGTCATAAAATGAAAAGAAATGTCAAGATGTCCTTATGATGCTAGCATAACACATACATTTATTTTATTGTGTTGCCTAATCTTTTAAAGAAGATATGGACATTCTTACCTTAAATAAATCACAAAAATTACACTCATTGTCACACAAATCTAGCAAATGGGTTACTTATCCCCCTAGTTCCTATAGCAGGATATTATCTGTCAGTCATTTTGTTCTATGGCATATTTATTATGAGGCTCCTATTTCCTATGCGGAAAAGCAAAGTCATGACTGGAATGGTAGTGAAGCACCATGGGTCAGGGAAGAGAAACATGGTGGAACTAGAGCCAGGGTGCCTCATACAGACCTCTAGCCCAGCAAGAATCTTCATGTGCTGCAGATGATGCTGGTATTGCTGACTAGTCAGTGCTGTAATAGTTCTGAGTTTCTGGTAGAAAGGCTCCCGATAGCCTAGGTAGGAAGTACATAAAGGACTTCTCACAAACCATTGTTAGGGACAGAATACTAGTATGTAACAAGGTTACTGGGTCATGCTTCGGGTTCTGCTACTGACCTAGTCATGAATGTGCCTCAGAAATTTAAAGTATGAAATATTCCAATATATCCTTGCCTACTTCATAGTGGGCACTTAATGAATCAATAAAGATTAGGTATATTAGGAACTGTTTTGTTCCTGAAACCGGTTCAAGTGTCTTCACATATACTAACTTCTTTAGTCTGCATAACTGTTCCGGGTGGTTTTAACAGATGAAGAAATAGAGATTGGAGAAGGTTAAATTGCTATTTGTTATCTAAACTTAGTACTATAAAATGAATGAAAGAATATACTTTAAGGCTGTATAGGTACAATAACATCAAGATTCCACTCCCTCTTCCCTCCACACAACACACAGAAAAGATGTCTTTGAGCAATTTTCGGTCTAGTAAATAATTGCTCTTAACAACTATAACTAAAGATAGTCCAGGAAGTGAGCTTCAATACTTATAATTAATAGCATACATCATAAAATTTACTGTATACTAATGGAAACCCTGAATAAGTAGAAAACAATAGAGATAATCTAGATTTTTAAAAAAAATTTTTGACTTTCTTTTTCTGGTAACTAAATAAAAAGAAAATGAAATACATCAATTGCAATCACTATATCTTAAACTTTGTAACTTTTACAAAATATATTTTACAAAAAATATTTAACTTTCACTGGGCCATCTCCTAATAATATGCCTAGCACTAATGTTTTCACCCTGCCTAATTAACCTTTTTCAAAGATTTTTAACCAACAGAATCATGACCATCTCAGAGACAACTACTCCAAAACATCTACAGACAACGTTACTCCTACAGTCAATCTGAGAGCAAAGGATAAAGATAGCCCAGGAAGTGAGTTTCAATACTTATAATTAATAGCATACATCATAAAATTTACTGTATACTAATGGAAACCCTGAATAAGTAGAAAGCAATAGAAATAATCTAGATTTTTAAAAAGATATTTTTGATTTTCTGGTAACTAAATGAAAAGAAACATCAAAATGAAATACACCAATTGACAATTGAACTGGTTTCAGGCACAAAACAGGTTCATAACATACCTAATCTTTATTGATTCATTAAGTGCCCACTATGAAGTAGGCAAGGATATATTAGAATATTTCATACTCTAATATATTTTGTAACTTTTACTTTTCTTCATAAAATAACTTAGAAATTAGGTTATATCGGTATCAAAGACATCTAGGCCAGCATTGCCCCTGCAGGGAATTCATCATAGAAATGTGAATGCTACTTTCTCTACTAGACATCTCTTCACCTTCCTCTAATCTACGATTGACTCCTTCCTCATGCTCTCAATCCATTCTTTTGGCTTTTATTGCCACTGGCAAATATGAAGAGCTGGGAAATTGTGAAACATCCCTAGAGAAACTCTGCAAGGTTGCTGTCTCAGAAAAAAAATGACTGCATTAGATTTTTCTCCTTTTCTTTTGATTTACTTCCCAATTGCCTATTTCCCAGTATCAAGGGTCATAATCCTCTAAAAACTTTGGTTCTTTCTGTCCCCACTAATCACACTTAAAATATTCTCTTCATTATACTAATATTTCTCAAAAATCAGAAAAAAGTCTTAACTTCAAGAATATTTTGTTTTCCTTCCTTGAAAAACTCTCTTAGAAGCGAAATAGTACAGATCTACTTATCTCCTTGACAGTAGAAAAGGATAAACTCTAACAAGTATAAGTACATTGACTTGTTTTTATTTATCTCACAAAAAATGTTGCTTGAAAATTCCAAGTTCAAAACTTAAAAAGAAAGTTTTGATGATTGATCTTTTTTCCTCATGATTAGACACATTTTACTGTGTGGAATTAGATAGTTAAAAGGAATAAATATTAGGAAATAGAGGTCTCAAGAGTGCTCTTTTATTTTTAATTAACTATATCATTAATTAGAAGGAATTCTTAAATACAGTCATTATTCTTCATTCAGTGGTAAGATTTAATGAATATGTTGAAAGTATCCATAGATCAGAACCTGGATGCTTGTATACCTCTTACTTACCCTTCAATTAGAGAGAAATTATCAGGAAAAATATAGATTTTTATAATTAAATATGGTATTACTTCTTAATATCTGATTTACCACTTTGTTTTGAACATTCAACCCTGCTTTTTCACATACTGTTAGTTACATGTAACTTTGAGGATCTATTCTTTCCATTTTTCACAATATTCTGAGTGAGAATCTCTGTTTTCAAGAATGAGGCATCTATTAATGTAAAAAAATTGCAGGGACCTTTGCAAAAGCTTTATTGTAGTAACATAATAATAGTCATGGGGTTTCTGGAAAGGCTTTTCACCTCATTGACTGAGGCTTTAAAGAAGTATCCTAATAGAAATGCTTTAGAACTAATGAAAAAAAAACCAAAATTTTAATTCTAAACTACTGCCATAATGCCAGACTCTTGTACTTACCTGTCACTGATATTTTGGAAGAGTCACCTGGGAAAATGGAGCTCAATTTCTGTCTTTGGTTATACTATTTTAGAAACTGGCATGTGACTACAATAAACAGCTAGAGGAAAGTTGCCTTTAGAATAACATGGATCAACTCTGTGTTTTGTTTCCAACCACCACCACTGTGATACAAAGATGACATGGGATAGTCTTCAGGGTTTCTTAATCTAAAGGCAGAACAAGTCTACCTAGGATGGAAAAGCTACTGTTACCAAGTCAAAATTTCTGTCTGTTTATCACTGTTTGGATTAAAGTCACATACTTAAAAACTGTTTAGTCATTGGTAGTATTCACAAGTTGGCATTTCATTATTTGAAATTTGGAAGTAGACAAACTAATATTAAGGTAAAGTAAAGCAAATTTCTAACCTTACAAGTAAAACCAGCTGTTTGAATTTTTAGAACATTTTTCTAGTCGCTTCCAAGATGGCTGAATAGGAACAGCTCCGGTCTGCAGCTACCAGTGTGATCAATGCAGAAGACGAGTGATTTCTGCATTTCCAACTGAGGTACCTGGTTTATCTCACTGGTCCTGGTTGAACAGTGGGTGCAGTCCACAGAGGGCGAGCTGAAGCAAGACAGGGTGTCGCCTCACTCAGGAAGCGCAAGGGGTCGGGGGATTTCCCTTTCCTAGCCAAGAGAAGGAATGACAAACTGTATCTGGAGAAATGGTACACTCCTGACCAAATACTGCACTATTCCCACTGTATTAGCAACTGGCAGACCAGGGGATCCCCTCTCGTGCCTGGCTCAGCAGGTCCCACACCCACGCAGCCTTGCTCACTGCTAGCGCAGCAGTCTGAGATCCACCTGTGACACTGCAGCTGGACACGGGGAGGGGTGTCTGCCATTGCTGAGGCTTGAGTAGCTCACAGTGTAAACAAAGAGGTCTGGAAGCACGAACTGAGTGGAGTCCGCGGCAGCTCAGCAAGGCCTACTGCCTCTATAGATTCCACCTCTGGGATCAGGGCATAGTAGAACAAAAGGCAGCAGACAGCTTCTGCAGACTTAAACATCCCTGTCTGACAGCGCTGAAGAGAGCAGTGGTTCTCTCAGCATGGCGTTCGAGCTCCAAAAATGGATAGACTGCCTCCTCAAGTGGATGACTGACCCCTGGGTAGCCTGACTGGGAAATACCTCCAAGTAGGGGCCGACAGACATCTCAAACAGGTGGGTGCCCCTCTGGGATGAAGCTTCCAGAGGAAGGATCAGGCAGCAATATTTGCTGTTCTGCAGACTCCTCTGGTGATATACCCGGGCAAACAGGGTCTGGAGTGGACCTACAACAAACTCCAACAGACCTGCACCTGAGGGGTCTGACTGTTAGAAGGAAAACTAACCAACAGAAGGAAACCAGGTATTTGAATTTTTAGCACATTTTTCTAGTCGCTTCCAAGATGGCTGAGTAGGAACAGCTCTGGTCTGCAGCTCCCAGCATGATCGATGCCGAAGACGGGTGATTTCTGTATTTCCAACTGAGGTACCTGGTTCATCTCACTGGTACTGGTTGAACAGTGGGTGCAGCCCACAGAGGGCGAGCTGAAGCAGGACATCAACATCAACAAAAAGGATATCCACACCAAAACCCCATCTGTAGGTCACCAACATCAAAGACCAAAGGTAGATAAAACCACAAAGATGGGGAGAAACCAGAGCAGAAAAGCTGAAAATTCCAAAAAACAGAGCACCTCTTCTCCTCCAAAGGATTGCAGCTCCTCACCAGCAAGGGAACAAAACTGGATGGAGAATGAGATTGAGAAATTGACAAAAGTAGGCTTCAGAAGGTCGGTAATAACAAACTTCTCGAAGCTAAAGGAGCATGTTCTAACCCATCACAAGGAAGCTAAAACCTTGAAAAGACGTTAGATGAATGGCCAACTAGAATAAACAGTGTAGAGAAGACCTTAAATCACCTGATGGAGCTGAAAACCATGGCACAAGAACTTCGAGACGCACAAGCTTTAATAGCCAATTCGATCAAGTGGAAGAAAGGATATCAATGATTGATATCCAAATTAATAAAATAAAGTGAGAAGACAAGATTAGAGAACAAAAGAGTGAAAAGAAATGAACAAAGGCTCTGAGAAATATGGGATTATGTGAAAATACCAAATCTACATTTGACTGGTGTACCGCAAAGTGACACGGATAATGGAACCAAGTTAGAAAACACTCTGCAGGATATCATCCAGGAGAACTTCCCTAACCTAGAAAGGCAGGCCAACATTCAAATTCAGGAAATACAGAGAACACCACAAAGATACTCCTCGAGAAGAGCAACCCCAAGACACATAATTTTCAGATTCACCAAGGGTAAAATAAAGGAAAAAATGTTAAGGGCAGCCACAGAGAAAGGTCGGGTTACCCACAAAGGGAAGCCCATCAGACTAACAGCAGATCTCTCTGCAGAAACCCTACAAGCCAGAAGAGAGTAGGGGCCAATATTCAACATTCTTAAAGTAAAGAATTTTCAACCCAGAATCTCATATCCAGCCAAACTAAGCTTCATAAGTGAAGGAGAAATAAAATCCTTTACAGACAAGCAAATGCTGAGAGATTTTGTCACCACCAGGCCTGCCTTACAAGAGCTCCTGAAGGAAGCACTAAACATGGAAAGAAACAACCGGTATTAGCCACTGCAAAATTTTTTTTTTTTTTTTTTTTTTTTTTTTTTTTTTTTACTTTTTTTTTTTTTAATTATACTCTAAGTTTTAGGGTACATGTGCACATTGTGCAGGTTAGTTACATATGTATACATGTGCCATGCTGGTGCGCTGCACCCACTAACGTGTCATCTAGCATTAGGTATATCTCCCAATGCTATCCCTACCCCCTCCCCCGACCCCACCACAGTCCCCAGAGTGTGATATTCCCCTTCCTGTGTCCATGTGATCTCATTGTTCAATTCCCACCTATGAGTGAGAATATGCGGTGTTTGGTTTTTTGTTCTTGTGATAGTTTACTGAGAATGATGGTTTCCAATTTCATCCATGTCCCTACAAAGGACATGAACTCATCATTTTTTATGGCTGCATAGTATTCCATGGTGTATATGCCCATGCCTATGTCCTGAATGGTATTACCTAGGTTTTCTTCTAGGGTTTTTATGGTTTTAGGTCTAACGTTTAAATCTTTAATCCACCTTGAATTGATTTTTGTATAAGGTGTAAGGAAGGGATCCAGTTTCAGCTTTCTACATATGGCTAGCCAGTTTTCCCAGCACCATTTATTAAATAGGGAATCCTTTCCCCATTGCTTGTTTTTCTCAGGTTTGTCAAAGATCAGATAGTTGTAGATATGCGGCATTATTTCTGAGGGCTCTGTTCTGTTCCATTGATCTATATCTCTGTTTTGGTACCAGTACCATGCTGTTTTGGTTACTGTAGCCTTGTAGTATAGTTTGAAGTCAGGTAGTGTGATGCCTCCAGCTTTGTTCTTTTGGCTTAGGATTGACATGGCGATGCGGGCTCTTTTTTGGTTCCATATGAACTTTAAAGTAGTTTTTTCCAATTCTGTGAAGAAAGTCATTGGTAGCTTGATGGGGATGGCATTGAATCTGTAAATTACCTTGGGCAGTATGGCCATTTTCACAATATTGATTCTTCCTACCCATGAGCATGGAATGTTCTTCCATTTGTTTGTGTCCTCTTTTATTTCCTTGAGCAGTGGTTTGTAGTTCTCCTTGAAGAGGTCCTTCACATCCCTTGTAAGTTGGATTCCTAGGTATTTTATTCTCTTTGAAGCAATTGTGAATGGGAGTTCACTCATGATTTGGCTCTCTGTCTGTTGTTGGTGTAAAAGAATGCTTGTGATTTTTGTACATTGATTTTGTATCCTGAGACTTTGCTGAAGTTGCTTATCAGCTTAAGGAGATTTTGGGCTGAGACGATGGGGTTTTCTAGATAAACAATCATGTCATCTGCAAACAGGGACAATTTGACTTCCTCTTTTCCTAATTGAATACCCTTTATTTCCTTCTCCTGCCTGATTGCCCTGGCCAGAACTTCCAACACTATGTTGAATAGGAGCGGTGAGAGAGGGCATCCCTGTCTTGTGCCAGTTTTCAAAGGGAATGCTTCCAGTTTTTGCCCATTCAATATGATATTGGCTGTGGGTTTGTCATAGATAGCTCTTATTATTTTGAAATAGGTCCCATCAATACCTAATTTATTGAGAGTTTTTAGCATGAAGGGTTGTTGAATTTTGTCAAAGGCTTTTTCTGCATCTATTGAGATAATCATGTGGTTTTTGTCTTTGGCTCTGTTTATATGCTGGATTACATTTATTGATTTGCGTATATTGAACCAGCCTTGCGTCCCAGGGATGAAGCCCACTTGATCATGGTGGATAAGCTTTTTGATGTGCTGCTGGATTCGGTTTGCCAGTATTTTATTGAGGATTTTTGCATCAATGTTCATCAAGGATATTGGTCTAAAATTCTCTTTTTTGGTTGTGTCTCTGCCCGGCTTTGGTATCAGAATGATGCTGGCCTCATAAAATGAGTTAGGGAGGATTCCCTCTTTTTCTATTGATTGGAATAGTTTCAGAAGGAATGGTACCAGTTCCTCCTTGTACCTCTGGTAGAATTCGGCTGTGAATCCATCTGGTCCTGGACTCTTTTTGGTTGGTAAACTATTGATTATTGCCACAATTTCAGAGCCTGTTATTGGTCTATTCAGAGATTCAACTTATTCCTGGTTTAGTCTTGGGAGAGTGTATGTGTCGAGGAATGTATCCATTTCTTCTAGATTTTCTAGTTTATTTGCGTAGAGGTGTTTGTAATATTCTCTGATGGTAGTTTGTATTTCTGTGGGATCGGTGGTGATATCCCCTTTATCAGTTTTTATTGTGTCTATTTGATTCTTCTCTCTTTTTTTCTTTATTAGTCTTGCTAGCGGTCTATCAATTTTGTTGATCCTTTCAAAAAACCAGCTCCTGGATTCATTGATTTTTTGAAGGGTTTTTTCTGTCTCTATTTCCTTCAGTTCTGCTCTGATTTTAGTTATTTCTTGCCTTCTGCTAGCTTTTGAATGTGTTTGCTCTTGCTTTTCTAGTTCTTTTAATTGTGATGTTAGGGTGTCAATTTTGGATCTTTCCTGCTTTCTCTTGTAGGCATTTAGTGCTATAAATTTCCCTCTACACACTGCTTTGAATGCGTCCCAGAGATTCTGGTATGTGGTGTCTTTGTTCTCGTTGGTTTCAAAGAACATCTTTATTTCTGCCTTCATTTCGTTATGTACCCAGTAGTCATTCAGGAGCAGGTTGTTCAGTTTCCATGTAGTTGAGCGGCTTTGAGTGAGATTCTTAATCCTGAGTTCTAGTTTGATTGCACTGTGGTCTGAGAGATAGTTTGTTATAATTTCTGTTCTTTTACATTTGCTGAGGAGAGCTTTACTTCCAAGTATGTGATCAATTTTGGAATAGGTGTGGTGTGGTGCTGAAAAAAATGTATATTCTGTTGATTTGGGGTGGAGAGTTCTGTAGATGTCTATTAGGTCCGCTTGGTGCAGGGCTGAGTTCAATTCCTGGGTATCCTTGTTGACTTTCTGTCTCGTTGATCTGTCTAATGTTGACAGTGGGGTGTTAAAGTCTCCCATTATTAATGTGTGGGAGTCTAAGTCTCTTTGTAGGTCACTGAGGACTTGCTTTATGAATCTGGGTGCTCCTGTATTGGGTGCATAAATATTTGGGATAGTTAGCTCCTCTTGTTGAATTGATCCCTTTACCATTATGTAATGGCCTTCTTTGTCTCTTTTGATCTTTGTTGGTTTAAAGTCTGTTTTATCAGAGACTAGGATTGCAACCCCTGCCTTTTTTTGTTTTCCATTGGCTTGGTAGATCTTCCTCCATCCTTTTATTTTGAGCCTATGTGTGTCTCTGCACGTGAGATGGGTTTCCTGAATACAGCACACTGATGGGTCTTGACTCTTTATCCAACTTGCCAGTCTGTGTCTTTTAATTGCAGAATTTAGTCCATTTATATTTAAAGTTAATATTGTTATGTGTGAATTTGATCCTGTCATTATGATGTTAGCTGGTGATTTTGCTCATTAGTTGATGCAGTTTCTTCCTAGTCTTGATGGTCTTTACATTTTGGCATGATTTTGCAGCGGCTGGTACCGGTTGTTCCTTTCCATATTTAGCGCTTCCTTCAGGAGCTCTTTTAGGGCAGGCCTGGTGGTGACAAAATCTCTCAGCATTTGTTTGTCTATAAAGTATTTTATTTCTCCTTCACTTATGAAGCTTAGTTTGGCTGGATATGAAATTCTGGGTTGAAAATTCTTTTCTTTAAGAATGTTGAATATTGGCCCCCACTCTCTTCTGGCTTGTAGGGTTTCTGCCGAGAGATCCGCTGTTAGTCTGATGGGCTTTCCTTTGAGGGTAACCCGACCTTTCTCTCTGGCTGCCCTTAACATTTTTTCCTTCATTTCAACTTTGGTGAATCTGACAATTATGTGTCTTGGAGTTGCTCTTCTCGAGGAGTATCTTTGTGGCGTTCTCTGTATTTCCTGAATCTGAACGTTGGCCTGCCTTGCTAGATTGGGGAAGTTCTCCTGGATAATATCCTGCAGAGTGTTTTCCAACTTGGTTCCATTCTCCACATCACTTTCAGGTACACCAATCAGACGTAGATTTGGTCTTTTCACATAGTCCCATATTTCTTGGAGGCTTTGCTCATTTCTTTTTATTCTTTTTTCTCTAAACTTCCCTTCTCGCTTCATTTCATTCATTTCATCTTCCATTGCTGATACCCTTTCTTCCAGTTGATCGCATCGGCTCCTGAGGCTTCTGCATTCTTCACGTAGTTCTCGAGCCTTGGTTTTCAGCTCCATCAGCTCCTTTAAGCACTTCTCTGTATTGGTTATTCTAGTTATACATTCTTCTAAATTTTTTTCAAAGTTTTCAACTTCTTTGCCTTTGGTTTGAATGTCCTCCCGTAGCTCAGAGTAATTTGATCGTCTGAAGCCTTCTTCTCTCAGCTCGTCAAAATCATTCTCCATCCAGCTTTGTTCTGTTGCTGGTGAGGAACTGCGTTCCTTTGGACGAGGAGAGGTGCTCTGTGTTTTAGAGTTTCCAGTTTTTCTGTTCTGTTTTTTCCCCATCTTTGTGGTTTTATCTACTTTTGGTCTTTGATGATGGTGATGTACAGATGGTTTTTCAGTGTAGATGTCCTTTCTGGTTGTTAGTTTTCCTTCTAACAGACAGGACCCTCAGCTGCAGGTCTGTTGGAATACCCTGCCGTGTGAGGTGTCAGTGTGCCCCTGCTGGGGGGTGCCTCCCAGTTAGGCTGCTCGGGGATCAGGGGTCAGGGACCCACTTGAGGAGGCAGTCTGCCCGTTCTCAGATCTCCAGCTGCGTGCTGGGAGAACCACTGCTCTCTTCAAAGCTGTCGGACAGGGACACTTAAGTCTGCAGAGGTTACTGCTGTCTTTTTGTTTGTCTGTGCCCTGCCCCCAGAGGTGGAGCCTACAGAGGCAGGCAGGCCTCCTTGAGCTGTGGTGGGCTCCACCCAGTTGGAGCTTCCCTGCTGCTTTGTTTACCTAAGCAAGCCTGGGCAATGGCGGGCGCCCCTCCCCCAGCCTGGTTGCTGCCTTGCAGTTTGATCTCAGACTGCTGTGCTAGCAATCAGCGAGATTCCGTGGGCGTAGGACCCTCTGAGCCAGGTGTGGGATATAGTCTCGTGGTGCGCCGTTTTTTAAGCCGGTCTGAAAAGCGCAATATTCGGGTGGGAGTGACCCGATTTTCCAGGTGCGTCCGTCACCCCTTTCTTTGACTCGGAAAGGGAACTCCCTGACCCCTTGCGCTTCCCAGGTGAGGCAATGCCTCGCCCTGCTTCGGCTCGCGCACGGTGCGCACACACACTGGCCTGCGCCCACTGTCTGGCACTCCCTAGTGAGATGAACCCGGTACCTCAGATGGAAATGCAGAAATCACCCGTCTTCTGCGTCGCTCACGCTGGGAGCTGTAGACCGGAGCTGTTCCTATTCGGCCATCTTGGCTCCTCCCACTGCCACTGCAAAAATTTATCAAAATGTAAAGATCATTGACATTATGAAGAAACTGCATCAACTAATGGGCAAAATAACCAGCTAGCATCATAATGTCAGGATCAAATTCACACATAACAACATTAAACTTAAATGTAAATGGGCTAAATGCCCCAATTAAAAGACACAGACTGGCAAATTGGATAAAGAATCAAAATAATAAGAGCTATTTATGACAAACTCACAGCCAATATCATATTGAATGGGCAAAAACTGGAAGCATTCCCTTTGAAAACCAGCACAAGACAAAGATGCCCTCTCTCACCACTCCTATTCAACATAGTGTTGGAAGTTCTGGCAAGGGCAATCAAGCAAGAGAAAGAAATAAAGCATATTCAAGTAGGAAGAGAGGAAGTCAAATTGTCTCTGTTTGCAGATGACATGATTGTATATTTAGAAAACCCTATCATCTCAGCCCAAAATCTCCTTAAGCAGATAAGAAACTTCAGCAAAGTCTCAGGATACAAAATCAATGTGCAAAAATCACAAGCATTCCTATACACCAATAGTAGACAAACAGAGAGCCAAATCATGAGTGAACTCCCATTCACAATTACTACAAAGAGAATAAAATACCTAGGAATCCAACTTACAAGGGATGTGAAGGACCTCTTCAAGGAGAACTACAAACCCCTGCTCAATGAAATAAAAGAGGACACAAACAAATGGAAGAACATTCCATGCTCATGGATAAGAAGAATGATTATCATGAAAATGACCATACTGCCCAAAGTAATTTATAGATTCAATGCTACCCCCATTAAGCTACCACTGAGTTTCTTTACAGAATTGGAAAAAACTACTTTAAAGTTCATATGGAGCAAAAAAAAAAAACAAAAAAAAACAAAAAAAAACCAAAAAAACCCTGCATAGCCAAGAGCATCCTAAGCAAAAAGAACAAAGCTGGAGGCATCACACTAGCTGACTTCCAACTATACTACAAGGCTACAGTAACCAAAACACCATGATACTGGTACCAAAAAAGATATATAGACTAATGGTACGGAAGAGCGGCTTCAGAAATAACACCACGTATCTACAATCATCTGATCTTTTGCAAACCTGACAGAAACAAGCAATGGAGAAAGGATTCCCTCTTTAATGAATAGTGTTGGGAAAACTGGCTAGCCATATGTAGAAAGATGAAACTGGATCCCTTCCTTACACTGTATACAAAAATTAACTCAAGATGGATTAAAGACTTAAATGTAAGACCTAACACCATAAAAACCCTAGAAGAAAAGCAAAGCAATACCATTCAGGACATAGGCATGGGCAAAGCCTTCTGAGTAAAACACCAAAAACAATGGCAACAAAAGCCAAAATTGACAAATGGGATCTACTTAAACTAAAGAGCTTCTGCATAGCAGATGAAACTATCATCAGAGTGAACAGGCAACCTACAGAATGGGAGAAAATTTTTGCAATCTACCAATCCGACAAAAGGCTAATATCCAGAATCTACGGAGAACTTAACAAATTTACAAGAAAAAAACAAACAACCCCATCAAAAAGTGGGCAAAGAATATGAACAGACACATTTCAAAGGAAGATATTTATGCAGCCAACAGACATACAAAAATGCTCATCATCACTGGTCATCAGATAAATGCAAATCAAAACCACAGTGAGATATCATCTCATGCCAGTTAGAATGGCGATCATTAAAAAGTCAGGATACAACAGGTGCTAGAGAGGATGTGGAGAAATATGAACACTTTTACACTGTTGGTGGGAGTGTAAATTAGTTCAACCATTGTGGAAGACATTGTGGCAATTCCTCAAGGATCTAGAACTAGAAATACCATTTGGCCCAGCAATCCCATTACTGGGATATACCCAAAGGGTTATAAAGCATTCTATGATAAAGACACATGCACACATATGTTTACTGCGGCACTATTCACAATAGCAAAGACTTGGAACCAACCCAAGTGTCCATCAGTGATACACTGGATTAAGAAAATGTGGCACTTATACACCATGAAATATTATGCAGCCATAAAAAAGGAAAGTGCATGTCCTTTGCAGGGACGTGGATGAAGCTGGAAACCATCATTCTAAGCAAACTATCACAAGGACAGAAAACCAAACACTGCATGCTCTCACTTATAGGTGGGAGTTGAACAATGAGAACATGTGGACACAGGGCAGGGAACATCACACACCAGGGCTGGCTGGGGGGTGGGGGGCTGGTGGAGGGATAGCATTAGGAGAAATACCTAATGTAAATGATGAGTTGATGGGTGCAGCAAACCAACATGGCACATGTATACCTATGTAACAAATCTGCATATTGTGCACATGTACCCTAGAATTTAAAGTATAATTTAAAAATTTTTTTTTTCTGTGGGACCATACTATTTGTTTGATTTTTCTCTTCCCATTAGAATTCAAGCCATGTAACAATCTTTGACTTAAAGGTGAAAATTGCATTGGGATATTTTTTCTATCTTGATATATAGGAAGGATACACAATTGTCAGTATAGCCTCTGAACTAACATCTTTTCTTCACAAAATTAGTTTTCTAGAAACAAGAAATATTCTATGTGAAATCATGTATAGTAGGGTTAAATATTTATTTTCGATACTTATCTATTCAAATAAAAAGGTTTCTTTACATCCTATAATTTATATGATCTTTTCAATGCCTTGACATTGTAGGATGGAACAGAGTCCCCATGTCCTCCCATCCACACCTTACTATGTTCATTTGCAATACAGTAAACTCTTCAAATACAGCAATTTAAGTCCTTTTATTCCAGTTAACTTGGAAACTTAATTCTTTTTGGGATGACTTAATTTCTCAAATGTTTTTTCTGTCATCCTCAGCTGTTTGCCAACATGCCTTCTGGTAATATGATATGGGGTTTACATGTCTCCATAGTGGTATCAGGATACAAATTCTGTGGAATCCAGTGATTTTCTTTGACCTCTGCTGTTGGTGTGACTAGTTATATAGATTATTTGAACTAGTGATTGCTGTGCTGGGTCAATGGATGCTTGGGCATTGTGCTGACATCTACTATTGAAATATATGGACACCACCTTTTGCCATCGATAAGAAAATAGGTACTCAGAGCATTCTCTTTATCCCAATCCTATATTCTTCCGAAGGTCCACTGTATCTCTTTAGGAGGGTTTAAGAAAACTATTTAAACCTCTTTAGGGTCCCCACAATTGGAAGGGAGCCAGAGGAGAGGGCAACCTTAGGCTATCTCTCTAACCATTTCCTGCTGCCAACCCTGTATGATTCCTGACATGTCATGTTGAACGTGGCCACATAAAAGTCTTCTGTTAGAACAGGGGTATGCAAACTACAGCCTAGAGACCAAATCTGCCTGCCACCTGATGTGAAAAAGTATTATATTTGAACACAGCCACACATTCATTTATATGTTATCTATGGCTGCTTTTGTGCTAGGAGGACAAAGTTTGAGTAGTTGTGACAGAGACCACCTGGGCCACAAAGCCTAAAATTATTATCTGACCCTTCATAGACATTGGCTGACTCCTGCTCTAGAGACTTACAGCCTTCCCAGGGTATCCTGGATAAAATGTGTCACTATCCTCTCTCCCTCTCTCCTGTTCTCAAGATTCACCATGCCCATTAGGATTTTTCCAGAAAGGAAAAATAAGAACATGGGTCGACCTCTTTCACCATCATCTTTTCTTCTTGGGACCTCAAGGGGTACCTCTCTATTCTCTTCTTGTGTGCCAGCAATTGCCTTAAGTCAATATGTCCTTTCTTAGTTGTATTCTCTCTTTTTCTTGATATCCAGATCACAGGCAGGGAGTATGGAGCGGGGAAGCAACTTCACAAAGAGGAAATATAAATTGGGAGATATTTCAACAGATGTTATTCTTTGATTTTCCTACTTGTGTAAGTTAGTACCAATAAACAGGCACTTGAAAGACTAAATTGTTACTTTGTTTTTCCTAGTAATGCTAAAATATTCACATCACATCTTTCTTTTTTCTCAAATAAATTAAGTAAAACATAATGATCATGAATGATTTAAGTAAGTGAAAAACTAATCAGAATTTGGGAATAATATTGTAGCATTAGCAACTATGTGCAGTGCTCAAATTGTGTTTACACCACACATGCTGTATCAGCTTCTAAAATTTATAGTTTATATTCTTCTATCAAAACATACTTATTTATATATTTCTTAACCTCACATTAAATTGGGTTGACTAATGTTTCAATTCTTAATAGTAGCAGGGTTTTGTTATAATTTTTGCATCAGAAATTATTCACAAGGCGTCATGTTTGGATGCTTGAATTCATATGTTACCTAGTATCTAAGGTTTCCATGAGCTGATCAAAAGCTACTTTGATTTGTCAACATATGCTGTATCGTCTCCTTTGTGAGTTCAACTTAACATGGTTTAAAAACTTAAAGATGCTTGTACATAGTATACTTGAGTATGCAGCAAACTTATGAATATTCATATGACATGTAAATGCTATGTTTATCTGATGTGTGTGTGTGTGTGTGTGTGTGTGTCTGTGCATGCATACAAGCAGTGGGTTGCCAGGGTAGCAGGAAGGATTGGTGATGATTAGCTACGAGAATTGGAAGTACAGGAGCATCTAACTCCCTTGCTTTTCTCTCCATCAATTGTACTCATTCAGCAAAAGACTGACCTCTTTAAATCCAAATTTCTATCCACTAGCTACTTGCCCCCAACTAGCTGAATGTGGTTAGATAAAAACATCCAATTATTGCTCTCATTTTAAATTTATGATCATAAATCTTAAGTGGTCCTCAGGATTGTCTAGCAAAACCATTACCCAGTAGAGAAGAAGACATTGAACATGCTGAGGAGCAATGGTCTAGTTTGATTCTTGATGTCAGAGTGGATGGTATCCATTGGTCACAGGATGGGCAAGACTTGAATAAGGGCATGAACTACGTAACCACAGTTACAGAGGTAAAGGCAGTGTCCACTCATTCTTCTACTTCCAAGAAAACTATTTGCCCATTTCATCCCATCTCAAAGGTCTAGACTAACTCTCCCTCATCTTAACTCTTTGCTGATTTTATCTCTACTTTTCCCAAGAAAATCTGAGCAATCCTAAGAAATGATGTTATCTTTGCACCTCCAACTCTGCACACTGACTTGCATCATCATGTTTTTACTCTGTCTTCTCTTCTATAACTGTGGTTGAATAGTCCGTGCTTCCACCCAAGTATTGCTCATTATGTGACCAGTCAATAACATTCACTCGAACATCATGAACCTCCTGCAATTAGCCCACTGCTTCTCAGCATCTGTATTAGTCCGTTTTCACACTGCTGATAAAGACACACCCGAGACTGGGAAAAAAAGAGGTTTAATGGATTTACAGTTTCACATGGCTGGGGAGGCCTCACAATCATGGCAGAAGGCAAGGAGGAGTAAGTTACATCTTACATGGATGGTGGCAGGCAAAGAGAGAGCTTGTATGGGGCAACTCCCCCTTTTAAAACCATTGGATTTTGTGAGATTCATTCATTATCATGAGAACAGCATGGAAAAGACCAGCTTCCATGATTTAATCACCTCCCATCTGGTCCTTCCCACAACACATGGGAATTCAAGATGAGATTCGGATGGGGACACAGCCAAACCATATCAGTATTTATTTCCTACTGTAATCTTAAATGATGTGTCTCATTTAAAACTATTTTTTCTCATGTATTTTTCCTTGACCTAAAACTAGAAAGAAAAGAACAGCTATGAGAAAAACAAAACTAAAAACAAAATATGTGATAAGAATTGATGGTATCAGTATGTGAAGATTCTGTGAGTGATTACATCATGAGGGTGGGGCCTTCATGAATTACATTAATGCTCTTATAAAAAGAGAATACAGAGACCTAGCTAGTTCCTTCCACTGTGTAAGGACACAATGAAAAGTTGCCAACCATGAACCAGAAAATGTGCCCTCATAATACACTGAATCTTCTGGGGTCTTACTATTGAAGTTTTCAGCCTCCAGAATTATAACAAATAAATTTCTCTTATTTATAAGTCACACAATTTATGGCATTTTGTTACAGAAGCTAGAATGAACTAAGATACTCTGCTATGCTATCCTTAGCATACAGCTTTCATTCATCAAAATTCACTCCTGGGAAAGTATCTGTTAGTTTCATTATTAAAGGATATTTTTCTTTGTAAGGGTACAGGTGTTAGGCCAAGGTTTTTCAAAATCCAGTCATTTTAGCACCATCTCCAACTTTTTGCCACATACCACTTGTACTATTACTTAATTAACACCTTTATTCTATCTTAAATAGACTTGGAATTATTATTTGCAGTAATCTGCTTGATATCTTAGAATTAATACTTTAGTTATCTTTTTTCAAGTACATGTAGAAAGAAGTATTGTATATAACTGTTTCAAAAAGTTTATTAATATCTCATTTCAAATCAGTTGTACACAATTACTTGTCCATATACTATCTGTGAATATATAATGTGTCAACATGGCTTAGCTACGGTGCCCACATGTGTGGTCAAATAGTAGTCTGGATGTTGCTGTAGAGGTATTTTTCAGATGTGGTTAACATTTATGATCAGTGGACTTTAAGTGTTGCTGATTACCCTCCATAGCCTGCTTCATCCAATCAGCTGAATGCTATAAGAACAAAGAGTGAAGTTTCCTGCAGAAAAAGAAATTTTGCTTCAAGACTGCCACAAAGAAACCCTGCTAGAATTTCTCGCCTGCTGGTCTGGCCTACAGATTTTGGATTTGCCAGACCATCACAAGCACGTGAGCCAATTCCTTAAAATAAATCTTTCTTGATATATATCCTATTGGTTATATTTCTTTGAAGAACTCTAATACAGTATCCCTTAAAAAACATTGCCTTAACACAAGAGAATAAATCATTAGGAGTACAATTTTAATTAATATTGAAAAGTTATGTTTGAAAAGGTAATATTTGTTCACAGAATAAAATTCAATGGATATATAGGCTATAAGGTAAAAAAATAATACTCCCTTCCACTTTTCTGTCTCCAAAACATCTGGCTCTTTCCTTAGGGAAAACCCTTATTACCACTCTCTCCCATATCTCCAGGAATATTCTGTATATGTAATCAAACGTGTACATAAATAGTTACACATACATACATACTCCCAGACATTTAACATTTCTGAAATCAGGGAGATTTTTTTCCTGGCTATAACGATTATGCTTGCCATTTTTGCTTGATTTTGTTTTTATGTGGCATAACTGGACAACTTAACTGAAATATATTTTAACGGACAAACCAGTTTTAAGGGTTATTTACAGGCTGCGCACGGTGGCTCACACATGTAATTCCAGCACTTTGGGAGGGTGAGGTGGGTGGATCACTTGAGGCAAGGAGTTCGAGACCAGCCTGGCCAACGTGATGAAACCCCCGTCTTTACAAGTACAAAAATTAGCTAGGCATGTTGGCACATGCCTGTAATCCCAGCTACTCCAGAGGCTGAGGCAGGATAATTGTTTGAACCTGGGAGGCAGAGGTTGCAGTGAGCCCAGATTGCAGCACTGCACTCCAGCATGGGCAACAGAGTGAGACTCCATCTCAAAAACAAAAACAAAAACAAAAACAAACTACTTACTTACAGGAATATGAATGATTTTGATTATTTGGAAAAGAAATTTGTTGATACATTCTGGGAGACCAAGAGAACACTAGTATTAAAATCTGCAGAATGAGTGTCAGCCCCTTGAAGGAAAATCCCAGAGATAATATCCATTCTAGCAGGTATGAGGTGATACCTCATTGAAGATTTGATGTACATTTCCACAACACGTTTCACAGTGCTGTTGAAAGCCTTTTCATATTCCTGTTGGCCATTCTTTTGTCTGTCTTCTTTAGAGAAATGTCTGTGTTTTCATAGTTCCTTTGCATATTTTAAAATCAGGTTATTGTTATTTTTTGCTATTGAGTTGTATGTGTTCCTTATATGTTTTGTATGTTAACCCTTTATCAGATGTATGGCTTGCAAATATTTTCTTCCATTCTTTAGGTTGCCTTTCTTTCTTTTTTTTTTTTTTTTTGACTGTTTCCTTTGCTGTAGAGAAACTTTTTAGTTTGATGCAATCTCATTTGTCTATTTTTTCCTTGGATGACTGTGCTTTTGGTGTCATACCCAAACAACTATTTCCAATGTTAGATATAAGTTCTAAATTTCTCTTCAATGAATCAATATGTCAGTATGTTCAATTCTTTGCCTTCTACTTTTAATCCTAACTTCCTTGTAAAGCAATCTTTTTTGATTACCTGCTCCGCCCTAACTCATTCCAATTATCTGCTCCACCATGACTCATTCTCCACCCTGACACATTCCAATTTCCTGCTCTGCCATAACCATTTTTCCTGCCAAACCGCTCACCTCGTCACTCTCTTTAAATTAGCCAATCGGAATTAGTTCAGCCTGTAAGGTCTAACCCTAGCCAATAGGGGAATGACACAGCAGCAGGGGCCATGAGCATCAGGAATAGGAACCCCTTCCCCCCTCTTGTCCAGGTGTGTGCTCACCACTGCTCTGTCTGTAAGGGCGCACCCTTCTATAGAAGTACATTGCCTTGCTGAGAATTAAAAATAACATTTTATATTTGAGTGCCATTTCTTTTACAGCACTGAAACTTTATTTATAACACCAAGAACAATGTCAAAGAAGCATTGTCCTTTGTTTTCTTCTTGGATTTCAGGTAAAACATTTAAGTCTTTAATCCACATTGAGTTGATTTTTGTGTATGGTGTGATATAAAAGTTCAATTTCATTCCTTTGCATGTGGATATCTAATTTTGCAAACATCATTTATTGAAGACAGTATCCTTTTTTCTTTTGTATTCTTGGTGTTATTTTAAAGATATTGGGCCTTATATGTGTAGGTTTATTTCTGGGCTTTCTACTCTTGTTCATTTTTCAATATGTTTATTCTTAAATAAGTACTATACTGTTTTTATTACTGTAGTTTTGTAATACATTTTCAAATCAGGTAGTATAATACTTCTTGCTCTTTTCTTCTTATTCAAGATTGATTTAACTATTCAGGGTCTTCTATAGTTTGATATGAATTTTAAATTTTTATTTTATTTCTATTAAAATTGCCATTGGGATTTTGATAGGTGTTGCATTAAATCTGTAGATCACTTTGAGTAATATAGACATTTTCACAATACTGATTCTTCCAATCAATTAACATGAGCTATCTCTCCATTTATTTATGTCTTTTAAAATTTCTTTCATTAATGTTTTATGGTTTTTAATGAACAGATCATTTGCCACCTCACTTAGATTTATTCTTATTATATTGATATCATTCCACATAACTTCATATGTTTGTTTCATTTTTTAAATATTGCGTTATATTTTCACTGATGACATACTATAGTTTAACAATTTACTCTTCACCACTATTTCAGTTTGGTTAAGCTATTTTTAATATTTTGCTACTTAAGAAGTACTGGGGACTTGCTGGCCAGATGGCTGAATAGGAGCAGCTCTAGTCTGCAGCTCCCAGGGAGATCGATGCGGAAAGTGGGTGATTTCTGCATTTCCAACTGAGGTACCCAGTTCATCTCATTGGGACTGGCTGGACAGTGGGTGCAGCCCACGGAGGGTGAGCTGAAGCAGGGTGGGGCATCGCCTCACCCAGGAAGTGCAAGGGGTTGGGGAATTTTCTCCCCTACCCAAGGGAAGCCATGAGGGACTGAGCCTAAGGAGCTCCAGCACAGATACTGCTCTGGTTCCATGGTCTTTGCAACCTGCAAACCAGGAGATTCCCTCTGGTGCCTACTCTACCATGGCCCTGGGTTTCAAGCACAAAACTGGGTAGCCATTTGGGCAGACACTGAACTAGCTGCAGGCATTCTTTTTTTTTCCATACCCCAGTGGCCCCTGGAAGGCCAGCAACACAGACCGCTCACTCCCCTGGAAAGGGGTGCTGAAGCCAGGGAGCCAAGTCATCTGGCTTGGCAGGTCCCATTCCCATGAAGCCAAGGAAACTAAAATCCACTGGCTTGAAATTCTCACTGACAGCACAGAGGCAATCTGAGATCGACCTGGGACAAGAGCTTGATTGAGGGAGGGGTGTCCACAATAGCTGAGGCTAGAGTAGGCAGTTTTATGCTCACAGTGTAAACAAAGCCTCTGGGAGGTTCGAACTGGGCAGAGCCCACTGCAGCTCAGCAAGGTTGCTGTGGCCAGACTGCCAGATTTTTCCTCTCTGGCCAGGGCATCTCTGAAAAAAAAGGCAGCAGCCCCAGTCAGGGACTTATAGCTGACTTAAACGTCCCTGCCTGATGGCTGTAGAGAAAAGTGGACCTCCAAGCACAGTGTTTGAGCTCTGCTAAGGGTCAGACTGTCTCCTCAAGTGGGTCCCTGGCCCCTGTGTATCCTGACTGGGAGACACCTCCCTGTAGGGGCTGACAGATATCTCACACAGGAAGGTTCTGGCTGGCATCTGGCAGGTGCCCCTCTGGGACGAAGCTTCCAGAGGAAAGAACAGGGAGCAATCTTTGCTGTTCTGCAGCCTCTGCTAGTGATACCCAGGCAAACAGGGTCGGGAGTGGACCTACAACAAACTCCAGCAGACCAACAGCAGAGGGGCCTGACTGTTAGAAGGAATAGCACATCCACTCAAAGACCCCATCCAAAGGTCACCAACATCAAAGAACAAAGGTAGATAAATCACAAAGATGGGGATAAACCAGAGTAAAAAGGCTGAAAATTCCAAAAACCAGAAAGCCTCTTCCCCTCCAAAGGATCACAACTCCTTACCAGCAAGGGAACAAAACTGAATGGAGAATGAGTTTGACAAATTGACAGAAGTAGGCTTCATAAGGTGGGTAATAACAAACTCCTCTGAGCTAAAGGAGCATGTTCTAACCCATCGAAAGGAAGCTAAGAACCTTGAAAAAAGGTTAGACGAATGGCTAACTAGAATAACCAGTGTAGAGAAGAACATAAATGACTGGATGGAGCAGAAAAACACAGCACAAGAACTTCGTGAAGCATACACAATATCAATAGCCAAATCGATAGAGCGGGAGAAAGGATATCAGTGGTTGAAGATCAACTTAATGAAATAAAGAGAGAAGAAGAGAAGACAAGATTAGAGAAAAAAGAATAAAAAGGAACAAACAAAGCCTCCATGAAACGTGGACTTATTTGAAAAGATGAAATCTGCGTTTGATTGGTGTACCTGAAAGTGATGAGGAGTATGACATCAAGTAGGAAAACACTCTTCAGGATATTATCCAGGAGAACTTCCCCAATCTAGCAAGACAGGCCAACATTCAAATTCAGGAAATATAGGGAACGCCACAAAGATACTCCTCGAGAAGAATAACCCCTAGACACATAATTGTCAGATTCACCAAGGTTGAAATGAAGGAAAAAATATTAAGAGCAGCCACAGAGAAAGGTCGGGTTACTCACAAAGGGAAGCCCATCAGACTAGCAGCAGATCTCTCAGCAGAAACCCTACAAGCCAGAAGAGAGTGGGGGCCAATATTCAACATTCTTAAAGAAAAGAATTTTCAACCTGGATTGATGGGTGCAGCAAACCACCAGAGCATGTGTATACCTATGTAACTAAACTGCACCTTCTTCACATGCACCCCAGAGCTTAAAGTATAATAAAAAAAGACAAAGAAAAAAAAGAAATACTGAAGTATACATACTCACATATATAAATTCTATCACAGAGTGGGTATATTTTTAGATTGAATTATTAGAAGTGGGATTGTGAGGTCAATGATTTGGTTCATTTTATATTCTGGTCAATATCAACAAATCATTCTCCATAGATGTAGTGTCTTATTACATCTCTACCGGAATGTTTGTGAACATTTCCTTATAATTTCCTTACAACTTAAAAGTGGAATTTGTAGTATCAGAAAGTCTTGGCAAGGAATAGGACTGTATAAAATAGTTACATTAATTAGAACTTATTCAATTGCAAATAACTGAAACAGTGTGAATTCTAATAAACATAGCAAAATAATTAAAAGTAAATAAAATATGTATTCGAAAAATAGGAAGGAGACTTGATAAAAATGGATGTAAAAAACCGAAAAGCTGGCCGGGCGCGGTGGCTCACGCCTGTAATCCCAGCACTTTGGGAGGCCGAGGCGGGCGGATCACGAGGTCAGGAGATCGAGACCATCCCGGCTAAAACGGTGAAACCCCGTCTCTACTAAAAATACAAAAAATTAGCCGGGCGTAGTGGCGGGCGCCTGTAGTCCCAGCTACTTGGGAGGCTGAGGCAGGAGAATGGCGTGAACCCGGGAGGCGGAGCTTGCAGTGAGCCGAGATCGCGCCACTGCACTCCAGCCTGGGCGACAGAGCGAGACTCCGTCTCAAAAAAAAAAAAAAAAAAACCGAAAAGCTTGTTGTGTTTATAGACTAAAATTACGAAATTATGCAACATGGATCCTCCTTTGCCACTCCTTTCTTTTTCTCTCAGAGTGCCACCTTCATTCCTTCAGACTTCTTTCCTGATAAAGAGCCTAGCCCTGAGCATCCCTGAAGTCATGTTCTTTTAGTTTCTATCCAGAGGGAAGTTCTTTTTTATCAGCAGCAACAGAAAATTCACCAGGGTAAGATTCTATTTAGCCTGGTTCATGTCCGTTGCCCCAAACTTAGCAACTATGAATAGGGTGCTATTATTGGCTCAGCCTTGATCACCTGTCCACAGATCATCTGGAAAATAAGAACTGCTGCCACTGCAGGGGTGTCATTATTTGCTCATGAATAACTTCCATTTGTCTCTCAGAGCACACTGTATGGGGGGAACACACTTCCTAACATCGGGCTCTAGAGACAGCAGAAGACAAAAGTTCTTGTGGCTGTGTATGAAGAAGAACAGGAAGAAGAGAAAAGGACAAGGAGAAGGGGAGGAGAGAGAAAAGACAGTAAAGCAACACCAGTAAATGAAGGAGAGAGATGGTGAAACTAGAGAAAGCAAAACAATGGTGGAGGATGGAGGATGACTGAACAAGGATCCTTATGGTAGTAAAGAAAAAAGTGGGCCAGGTGTGGTGGCTCACACCTGTAATCCTAGCACTTTGGGAGGCCAAGGTGGGAGGATCATCTGAGGTCAGGAGTTTGAGACCAGCCTGGCCAACATGGCGAAACCACATCTCTACTAAAAATACCAACATTAACCAGGCGTGGTAGTGCGTGCCTGTAATCTCAGCTACTCAGGGGGCTGAGATGGGAGAATCGCTTGAACCCGGGAGGCAGAGGTTGCGGTGAGCCAAGAAGATTGCACCATTGCACTCCAGCCTGGATGACAGGGCAACCCCGTCTCAAAAAAAAAAAAAAAAAAAAAGAATAAAATGACGGGGAAAGAAAGAACATGAATTATCAACAAATTGAATATACAGTCCTGCTTCAGAGCTCTATGCTTTAAGAAAAACTTACGTGTCCATGGAAAATTGCAACTACACTTTGAAAAACATGCCTCTAGATGAAAAAGCACTGCTTATTTGGAAGTCTAGGAAGGATATTTTGCTAAAATCTCTTTTGAGTGTTGCTGCCTCACTGGATATAATTGAAAATTGTTATTATCTCATAAGTGTTTTATAATGTGTAGTGAAATGTGCCCTGAACTGACCCCCTTCGGCACACTCCATACATCTCTTAGCCATGAAGAGCAAAGCACCAAGTACATTTTACACTCTGTTTTAAAACCATGCATAAAGAGCCAGAATTGGTCTGCATATCTGAATTCTTTGACTAAGGCCATGGAGAAACATGATAACATCTAAACCAGTTATTCCTCTCAAATCAATGATAAAATAAAAAAAAAACACCCAAGTACATCACGTAATTGGCCTCATTTCTATTTGTGAATAGTTTTCTTAAGAAACTAGTAGACACATACTTATTTGGTGGTTAATGTGAACTCAGTTTCCATAAATATAAACATGTTGTTTAATAGAAGGGAGGCTGGAAATCTTGGTGGCATTTGGCTTCATTGATCTAAAATGACATGAAATATTTATGTACAAATATACTTTAAAACATATTGCAATGAGATTTTTGGCAAGGAATTCTTTTTGAATATCAAGCTTAATCTTAAACAAAGTTTTCATCACAACACTTTGCAGCAAAAACATTAGTTTCTCTATGATTAATTAGATGACTCTTAAATCTGACCATCTGTGTCCACTATTGTAGTACTGTTGTCCGATGAGTGTAGTCTTCTTTCTTCCAAAATGATGGTGCATTCATTGAAAGCAGGGAGAAAACGTTATCTTCCATATGCTCTTAAAAATGTCTAGTGCAGATCTGAGCATGTGGTGTATACTTAATCCATCTTCATTGACTTGATGTGGCTTACCTTATCTTAACATGACTGTCTGCAAGATGGTGTGGGTCGGCCTACAAAGTGATTTCTCTCCAGATAATAAGATTCCCTAACCCCAATGTCCTTGACATTCCTTTCAAGCTATCCAATATACTACCTGTGACCCTAATCTTGGTAAAAGCCAAAGGAGGGTGTGAGGATATTTGAGTCATTCTATGTTCTTTCTCTTTATATCTTATTTTTTTTTCAGTCTATAGGGCCATATTATGTGACTTATTTTTTGCTGCTTGTATTACTGAAACTTCTCATTATATTCTTAGATAGATTAATGGCTTGCTATTTCCTCACTGTTGTATGTTTATAGATGAATCAAGCCTCATGGCTCTGCATTGTTTTCTTATATCCAATTTGGTAAAGCAAGTCACATGGCTGGTCCTAAAATCAGAATTGGTCCAGCTAA
Source organism: Homo sapiens (assembly GCF_000001405.40). Taxonomy (NCBI): domain Eukaryota; kingdom Metazoa; phylum Chordata; class Mammalia; order Primates; family Hominidae; genus Homo; species Homo sapiens. The sequence goes on along the minus strand of NC_000005.10, from coordinate 102,174,663 downwards.
GGACTGAACTATGCCCGCCCCCTCCATCTTCCCAAACTAAAATTCATATGTAGAAGCCCTGATCACCAATATGACTATATTTGGTGGTAGAGCCTTTTAAAAGATAATTTAGGTTAAATAAGGTCATAAGGATGGAGCTCTAATTCAATAGTACTGGTGTCCTCACCAGAAGAAAGAGAGACACCAGGGATGTAAGTGACAGAGAAGAGGCCTGGTGAGAACACAGTAGTGAGATAGTCATTTGCAAGCCAATGAGAGAGACCTCAAAAGAAGTTAAACTTGGTGACTCCTTGGTCTTGAACTTCCAGCCTCCAGAACTGTGAAAAATTAATTCCTGTTGCTTAAGCCACCCAATATGTAGTATTTCTTATGGTAGCCCCAGCAGACTAATGTAGGTGGGTTGTATAAAATTTCAGAAGAAAAGGAATGAATATATTATAGATAGGATATTAGTGCCATCAATGTATAAAATAAATCTACAAGGGTATTTTTTAGAGTACACTTCTTACTGTATTCTAATGTTTAATACTAAATATTTACTACATAAATACATACTATTTACTACATAAATATGTAAAATTTTACATATTTACCTAACATAATCTGACATATAATAGACATGAAGAAAAGTGCACAAATAATGACTGTGAAGTATGACTTTTCCCCAAAGTTAACATACCCATGTAATCACCATCAAGATTAAAATATAGAACACTGATTCCTGTGTGTGTGTTTTGAGATAGCAATAAATTCATATTTAAATGGATAGACAATAAATCATACAAAACTGATTTGAAAGATATCTGTTTTCTACTGTATGCCAACTTTGTCATAAATCAGGTTTGATGTATGGTTCTCACAGCATATTCTGTTCTATTGTGCTATTTATACCAGTACCACATACTCTTAATTGCTGTAGTCCTACAAATTTACTGTTCTTATTTAACATTGTCTGAGGCATATCTGCTTTTATGCCTTTTCATAGACATTTTAGAATCAGCATGTACGTAAAAAGACCTGCTTAGGTTTTGATTGGAATAACATTAAATCTATAAATCAATTAAGAAAAAAATGATATCTTTACAATATTGAGTTTTATGATTCATCAATGTTTTATGTTTTTATTTATTATATCCTAATTCTACTCAGGGCTTTTAGTGTAGCCATCTTCCAAATAGCGTACATTGTACCCATTAAGTAATTCCTCATCTCCCACCCACCTACATTTCTGCTTCTTCACTGTCTATTTCTCCACCATTTATGTCCATGTGTGCACGTTGTTTAGCTCTCACTTATGAGTGAAAATGTGATATTTTGACATTCTGAGTTATTTCACTTAAGATAATGGCCTCTAATTCTATCCACATTGCTGCAAAAGATGTGATTTTATTCTTTTTTTATGGCTAAGTGGTAACCATAGTGTGCATGTATACACACACAGACACGAACACACATACTCTCTCGCCACACACACACTTCTCTACACACCCACAGAAACATACACACACACAAACACACACCACGTTTTCTTTATCCAACCTGGAAAATAATGACCTATGAGCCTGTAAAATCAAAAGCAAGTTAGTTACTTCCTAGATACAGTGGGGGTACAGGCATTGGGTAAATACGGCCATTTCAAATGGGAGAAGTTAGCCAAAACAAAGGGGCTACAGCCCCATCCAAGTCTGAAATCCAGTGGGGGAGTCAAATTTTACACCTCCAAAATGAACTACTTTGACTCCAGGTCTCAGATTCAGGTCATGCTGATGCAAGAGGTGGATTCCCATGCTATTGGGCAGCTCCACCCCTGTGGCTTTGCAGGGTACAACCTCCCCACCCAGCTGCTTCCATGGTCTGGCATTGAGTGTCTGTGGCTTTTCCAGGTGAACGAGGCAAGCTGTTGGTAGATCTGCCATTGGGGTTGGAGGATTGTGGCTCCCTAATCACAGCTCCACTAGGTGGTTCCCCAGTAGGGACTCTGTATGGGGGCTCCAGCTCTACATTTCCCTTCTGCACTGCCCTAGCAGAGGTTCTTTATGAGTGCCCCCTCCCTGAAGCAAACTTCTGCCTGGACATCCAGGCATTTCCCTACATATTTTGATATCTAGGCGAAGTTTCCTAAATCTCAATTCTTGACTTGTGTGCATCCATAGGCTCAACACCATAGGGAAGCTGCCAAGGCTTGGGGTTTCTACTCTCTGAAGCCACAGTCTGAGCTGTATGTTGGCCTCTTACAGCCATGGCTGGAGTGGCTAGGACACTGAGCACCAAGTCCCTAGGCTGCACACAGCACAGGACACTGGGTCCGGCCCATGAAACCACTTTTTCCTCTGGGCCTGTAATGGGAGTGGCTGCCATGAAGGTCTCTGACATGGTCTGTAGACATTTTCCCCATGGTCTTGGTGATAAACTTTGGGCTTCTTGCTACTTATGCAAATTTCTGCAGCCAGCTTGAATTTTTCCTCAAAGAATGGGTTTTTCTTCTCTCCTCCATCATCAGGCTGTAAATTTGCCAAAGTTTTATATTCTGTTTCCCTTTTAAAATGGAATGCTTTTCACCTCTTGAATGCTTTGCTGCTTAGAAATTTCTTCCACCAGATACCCTACTTCATCTCTCTCAAGTTCAAAGTTCCACAAATCCCTAGGGCAGGGGCAAAATGCTGCCAGTCTCTTTGCTAAAACATAGCAAGAGTCACCCTTGACCCAGTTCCCAGCAAGTTTCTCATCTCCATCTGAGACCATGTCAGCCTGGATCTTATTGTACATATCACTATTAGCATTTTTGTCAAAGCCATTCAACAAATCTCTAGGAGGTTCCAAACTTTTCCACATTTTCCTGTCTTCTTCTGAGCCCTCCATACTGTTCCAACCTCTGCCTGTTACCCAGTTCCAAAGTCACTTCCACATTTTTGGATATCTTTTCAGCAACACCCTACTCTAACTGGTATCAATTTATTGTATTAGTCCATGTTCACACTGCTGATAAAGACACACCCAAGACTGGGAAATTTACAAAAGAAGAAGTTTAACTAGACTTACAGTTCCACATGTTTAGGGAAGATCTCACAATCATGGCAGAGGGAGAAAGGCCCTTCTTACATGATGGCAGCAAGAGAGAATAAGGAGGAAGCAAAAGCAGAAACCCTTGATAAACCCATCAGATCACGTAAGACTTATTCACTATCATGAGAGTAGCATGGGAAAGACCGGCCTCCCATGATTCCATTACCTCCCACTGGGTATTATACTTGGGAATTCTGGGATATACAATTCAAGTTGAAATTTGGGTGGAGGCATAGCCAAACCATATCACATCTGATATGGAACAGTTGCGTCACCACACAAAAGATTTTTCACATTGACCTTCTAAAACCACACACCCCTCCCTCTGACAGCCTGATCCTCACCCCAGTCAATAGCAATTGCAATCACTAATCTTTTCTTCATCTCTTTGTTTTCTGTCATTTCAAGAATCTTATATAAATGGACTCATACAGTACGTAACCTTTTGGGATTGGCTTTTCTTACTTAGTATAATTGCCTTGACATTTATCCAAGTTGTTGTGTATATCAGGAATTATTCAATTTTATTGCTAAATAGCAGTTCATGGTATAAATGTACAACACTTCGTTTAATATCCCCTCATTATGGAACATCTAGGTTGTTTTTAGTTTTAGCTATAATAAATAAAGCTGCTATGAACATTCATATATACATTTTTCTGATGTTTTCATTCTCTGGGAAAAACAGCATATAGTTAGAAATGTTATTTTAAATTTAATATTTTTATTATTAAGGAATAGCATATATACTAGAAAGTATACAAAATAAATATACTCATGTAATCACCATCCATGTCAAGTTACTGCAAAGATAACACCTATCTCATCTTTGAACACTCTGAGTTAGTTTTGCAAAGTTTTGAATATTCAAGAATTAAAACCTGACATTCTTTTGTCTTATTTCTTCACAATATAGTTGTCATATTTATCCAGTGATTTCATATAGTTGCAGCTCATACAATATTCTATCATATAAATATCACACAGTTTTAAAATTGACATTGTACTTGTTAAGTTGGGGAAATTACAGAAAATGCTGCTATAATTATTCTTATACATATTTTTTAGGCATATAGTTATACATTTCTGTTCAGCACACACTTTGGGTAATAATTTCTTAGAATGTAATATGAGTACATTCATAAATATGAGGAATTGGCAGTTTTCTAAAATAATTTTATCGATTTACTCTCCTTCAGTGGTAGAGAAGAATGCAAATTTGGTTGCATTTCATTTGTGCCAACATGTGAAAATGTCTTACAAATTTTAGCAAAACTTGTGGGGGTATAATGGTATCTTTTGTTTTAATTTGCATTGTCCTGATAAATAATGAACTTGAGCACCTTTTCAAATGCTTACTGATCATTGGCATATCTTTTAGAATATACCAATGCATATGCTATATTGTAGAATACCTTTTTAAGTCTGGTTTTTATTTTTCGGTTAGATTGACATTTTGCTGAATTGTAGAGATTGTTTTTGTATTTACATTTTAAGCAATTGTATTACAAATATTATCTAAATATGTAGATTGCTCATTCATTATTTCAATAGGTTTTTAATATACAACAGAAATTCATTTTCAATACAATCTCAATTTATAATTTTTCTTTTTATGCTTTTTATGCTCCACTTGAGAAATATTTTTCTACAACAAACTATGACAATATTGCCCTCTTATATTTCAGAAACTTTATTCCTTTTATTTTTTGCATATAAGTCAACAATCCTCTTGGCATTAAATTTTGTGTATGATGTGAGGTATGAGTTAAGATTCATTTTTCCTCTCTTTGGGTAAATGATTAACTCAATAACATTTATTTTGAAAAACATTTAATGTTCTACATTATGGTCTTTGTAATTAAATAATAAATCAACCTGTCAATTCTGTTCATTCATCTATTTGTTCATTCTTGCACCAATATCACATGCTTTTAATTATTAATTTTAAAACTAATTTTCTGTGTCTGAGAAATTAATTCCTTCACTTATTTCCTCCTTCTTCAATAATATTTTCTTTATAAGTTTTGAAGTCAATTTGTCAAATTTTATAAAAATCCTATTGGGGTTTTGATTGGGTTTGCGGAATTAAGAAGATACTTTTGTAATATTGAGTCTTCTAATCCATGAACATGGTATATACCTCCACTTATTCTTATCTAGACCTTCCTTCATTTCTTTCAGAAATATCATATACTCTTATTATTAGCAATATACACTACATAATAGTGTATACCAATTAATATACAATGATATGTATTATTATGTATATAATATGTAGTATATTGACATACATATTATTATAGTCATGTTTTGCTTAATGATGGGGATACATTCTGAGAAGTCAATCAGATCAGATCAGATCAGATCAATCAGGTGATCTCCTGATTGTCTGAACACCACAGAGTATACCTACACAAACCACATATATTATATAGTTTAGGATATATCATATAGCATAGGTGTGTAGTGGGCAATACCACTTGTGGTATTGCTCCTAGGCTGCAATCTTGTACAGCATGTTACTGTGCTGAATGATGGAGGCAATTGTAACACACTGATAAGTGTTTGTGTATCTAAACATATATAAACATAGAAGAGATACAATTAACATATGGCATAAAAGATAAAAATTGGTATGCCTATATTGGACACTTACCATGAATGAAGCTTGCAAGACTGGAAGTTGCTCTGGGTGAGCCAGGAAGTGAGTGGTGAGTGACTGTGAAGCCCCAGGATGCTACTATAGAATTCAGAAATGCTGTACATTTAGTCTACTGTACATTTATAAAATAATTTTTCTTTCTTCAATAATAAATTAACCTTAGCTTACTGTAACATTTTTACTTTACAAACTTTTTTATTTTTTCAACTTATTTATTTATTTATTTTATTTATTTATTTTGAGGCAGCATCTGGCTCTGTTGCCCAAGCTGGAGTGCAGTGGTGTAATCACAACTCACTGCAAACCTCGACCTCCTGGGCTCAAGGGATCATCCCAGCTCAGTCTCTGGAGTAGCTAGGACTACAGGTGTGTGCCACCACACCCAGCTAATTTTTTGTAGAGATGGGAATCTCACTTTTTTGCCCAGGCTGCTCTTGAACTCCTGAGCTCAAGTGATTTTTTAAATTTTTTCACTCTTTTGTAATAAGACTTTGCTTCAAACACAGACACATTATACAAGTGTACAAAAATATTTAATCTTTATTATATAAGTTTACATCTATTTAAAAGAGTTTTTTATTTTTACTCTTTAAACATTTTTGTTAAAACTAAGACACAAAGTCACATATTAGCCTAGGCCTACACAGGGTCAGGATTATCAAGATGTCTCTAGGCACTAGGAATTTTTCAGATCTGTCATAATTTTATGGAATTACCTTTATATATGCAGTCCATTTTGGACTAAAATGTATGCTTTGCACAACTCTATTATGCATAATATTGTATTCCTCTTCTTTCAATAGATTTATTTCTGTTTTTGATGTGGAGTCTTGTCTGTTACCCAGGCTGGAGTGCAGTGTGACAATCTCAGCTCAATGCAGCCTTCACCTCGCAGGTTCAAGAGATTCTCCTGCCTCAGCCTCTCCAGTAGCTGGGATTACAGGTATGCAACACCATGCCCAGCTAATTTTTATATTTTTAGTAGAGACGGGGTTTCACCATGTTGGCCAGGCTGGTCTTGAACTCCTGACTTCAAGTGATCCAACCACCTTGGCCTCCCAAAGTGCTGAGATTACAAGTGTGAGCCACTGAGCCCCGCCTGTTTTTGATAATTTTGATATATTAAGCAGTACCTCTTTTTTTTTCCCAAATGCACAAATTTGATTGTTTTATTGTCACTCCTTGGTTTAGGGCTAACGTAAAATAATCAGATTCAGGATTTTTTTTTTTGAGACCAGATTCAGGATTTTCAGAAGGAAGGGTGTAAGACAGCTGTTTCAACTAGATTAGAATAATAATTTTATAATTTTAATCTTTAAAAAACAAGTTTTGAATTAGAGCAGTTTTTGATTTACAGAATTTTTGCATCAAATTTTTGCAAGAAAAGTTTTCTTAGATACCCTGAACACAGTTTTCCTTATTAGCATTTATGTTACTATATTATTATATGTTTGTCAAAACTGATACACTATTATTCACTTAAATCCACTTTTTATTCAAACGTCCTTAGTTTTTCTATAATGTCCTTTTTCTGTTCCTATCGAGTAGCTATGTTTCTGCAGGATCCTCTGGATTTTGACAGTGTCTCAGAATTTCATTTTTGATCGCCTTGACAGTTTGGAGGATTATTGGTCAGAAGTTTTGAAGAATGTCTCTCAACTGACTTTTGTCTGTTGTTTTTCTCATGACAAGACTATGGTCGTGGATTTTGGGGATGAATATGACAGAGGTAGTGTCATTTTAAATCACATTATATCAAAGGTACATAATATAAAGATGTTTTATTACTGTGATGTTCCCTTAATGTTATTTGTCAGTGTTCTTTTTTTTTTTTTTAATACTTTAAGTTTGAGGGTACATGTGCACAACCTGCAGGTTAGTTACATATGTATACATGTGCCATGTTGGTGTGCTGCACCCATTAACTCGTCATTTAACATTAGGTATATCTCCTAATGCTATCCCTCCCCCCTCCCTCCACCCCACAGCAGGCCCTGGTGTGTGATGTTCCCCTTCCTGTGTCCATGTGTTCTCATTGTTCAATTCCCACCTATGAGTGAGAACATGCAGTGTTTGGTTTTTTGTCCTTGCGATAGTTTCCTGAGAATGATGGTTTCCAACTTCATCCATGTCCCTACAAAGGACATGAACTCATCATTTTTTATGGCTGCATAGTATTCCATGGTGTATATGTGCCACATTTTCTTAATCCAGTCTATCATTGCTGGACATTTGGGTTGGTTCCAAGTCTTTGCTATTGTGAAGAGTGCTGCAATAAACATACGTGTGCATGTGTCTTTATAGCAGTATGATTTATAATCTTTTGGGTATATACTCAGTAATGGGATTGCTGGGTCAAATGGTATTTCTAGTTCTAGATCCCTGAGGAATTGCCACACTGACTTCCACAATGGTTGAACTAGTTTACAGACCCACCAACAGTGTAAAAGTGTTCCGATTTCTCCACATCCTCTCCAGCACCTGTTGTTTCCTGAGTTTCTAATGATTGCCATTCTAACTGGTGAGAGATGGTATCTCATTGTGGTTTTGATTTGCATTTCTCTGATGGCCAGTGATGATGAGCATTTTTTCATGTGTCTTTTGGCTGCATAAATGTCTTCTTTTTAGACGTATCTGTTCATATCCTTCACCCACTTTTTGATGGGGTTGTTTTTTTCTTGTAAATTTGTTTGAGTTCATTGTAGATTCTGGATATTAGCCCTTTTTCAGATGAGTAGATTGCAAAAATTTTCTCCCATTCTGTAGGTTGCCTGTTCACTCTGACAGTAGTTTCTTTTGCTGTGCAGAAGCTCTTTAGTTTAATTAGATGTCATTTGTCAATTTTGGCTTTTGTTGCCATTGCTTTTGGTGTTTTAGACATGAAGTCCTTGCCCATGCCTATGTCCTGAATGGTATTGCCTAGGTTTTCTTCTATGGTTTTTATGGTTTTAGGTCTAACATTTAAGTCTTTAATCCATCTTGAATTAATTTTTGTATAAGGTGTAAGGAAGGGATTCAGTTTCAGCTTTCTATATATGGCTAGCCAGTTTTCCCAGCACCATTTATTAAACAGGGAATTGTTTCCCCATTTCTTGTTTTTGTCAGGTTTGTCACAGATCAGATGGTTGTAGATATGCAGCATTATTTCTGAGGGCTCTGTTCTGTTCCATTGGTCTGTATCTCTGTTTTGGTACCAGTACCATGCTGTGTTGGTTACTGTAGCCTTATAGTATAGTTTGAAGTCAGGTAGCGTGATGCCTCCAGCTTTGTTCTTTTGGCTTAGGATTGACTTGGCAATGTGGGCTCTTTTTTGGTTCCATATGAACTTTAAAGTAGTTTTTTCCAATTCTGTGAAGAAAGTCATTGGTAGCTTGATGGGGATGGCATTGAATCTATAAATAACCTTGGGCAATATGGCCATTTTCACCATATTGATTCTTCCTACCCATGAACATGGAATGTTCTTCCATTTGTTTGTATCCTCTTTTATTTCATTCAGCAGTGGTTGTAGTTCTCCTTGAAGAGGTGCTTCATATCCCTTGTAAGTTGGATTCCTAGGTATTTTATTCTCTTTGAAGCAATTGTGAATGAGAGTTCACTCATGATTTGGCTCTCCGTGTGTCTGTTATTGGTGTATAAAAATGCTTGTGATTTTTGCACATTGATTTTGTATCCTGAGACTTTGCTGAAGTTGTCTATCAGCTTAAGGAGATTTTGGGCTGAGACGATGGGCTTTTCTAGATATACAATCATGTCATCTGCAAACAGGGACAATTTGACTTCCTCTTTTCCTAATTGACTACCTTTATTTCCTTCTCCTGTCTAATTGCCCTGGCCAGAACTTCCAACACTGTTGAATAGGAGTGGTGAGAGAGGGCATCCCTGTCTTGTGCCAGTTTTCAAAGGGAATGCTTCCAGTTTTTGCCCATTCAGTATGATATTGGTTGTGGGTTTGTCATAGATAGCTCTTATTATTTTGAGATACATCCCATCAATACCTAATTTATTGAGAGTTTTTAGGATGAAGGGTTGTTGAATTTTGTCAAAGGCCTTTTCTGCATCTATTGAGATAATCATGTGGTTTTTGTCTTTCGTTCTGTTTATATGCTGGATTACGTTTATTGATTTGCATATGTTGAACCAGCCTTGCATCCCAGGGATGAAGCCCACTTGATCATGGTGGATAAGCTTTTTGATGTGCTGCTGGATTCGGTTTGCCAGTATTTTATTGAGGATTTTTACATCGATGTGCATCAGGGATATTGGTCTATAATTCTCTTTTTTTGTTGTGTCTCTGCCAGGTTTTGGTATCAGGATGATGCTGGCCTGATAAAATGAGTTAGGGAGGATGCCCTCTTTTTCTATTGATTGGAATAGTTTCTGAAGGAATGGTACCAGTTCCTCCTTGTATCTCTGGTAGAATTCGGCTGTGAATCCATCTGCTCCTCGACTTTTTTTGGTTGGTAAGCTATTAATTATTGCCTCAATTTCAGAACCTGTTATTGGTCTATTCAGAGATTCAACTTCCTCCTGGTTTAGTCTCGGGAGAGTGTGTGTGTCGAGGAATTTATCCATTTCTTCTAGATTTTCTAGTTTATTTGCGTAGAGGTGTTTATAGTATTCTCTGATGGTAGTTTGTATTTCTGTGGGATCGGTGGTGATATCCCCTTTATCAGCTTTTATTGCGTCTATTTGATTCTTCTCTCTTTTCTTCTTTATTATTCTTGCTAGCGGTCTATCAATTTTATTGATCTTTTCAAAAAACCAGCTCCTGGATTCATTGATTTTTTGAAGGGTTTTTTGTGTCTCTATTTCCTTCCGTTCTGCTCTGATCTTAGTTATTTCTTGCCTTCTGCTAGCTTTTGAATGTGTTTGCTCTTGCTTCTCTAGTTCTTTTAATTGTGATGTTAGGGTGTCAATTTTAGATCTTTCCTGCTTTCTCTTGTGGGCATTTAGTGCTACAAATTTCCTTCTACACACTGCTTTAAATGTGTCACAGAGATTCTGGTATGTTGTGTGTTTGTTCTCGTTGGTTTCAAAGAACATCTTTATTTCTGCCTTCATTTCGTTATGTACCCAGTAGTCATTCAGGAGCAGGTTGTTCAGTTTCCATGTAGTTGAGTGGTTTTGAGTGAGTTTCTTAATCCTGAGTTCTAGTTTGATTGCCTGTGGTCTGAGAGACAGTTTGTTATAATTTCTGTTCTTTTACATTTGCTGAGGAGTGCTTTACTTCCAACTATGTGGTCAATTTTGGAATAGATGTGGTGTTGTGCTGAGCAGAATTTATATTCTGTTGATTTGGGGTGGAGAGTTCTGTAGACGTCTATTAGGTCTGCTTGGTGCAGAGCTGAGTTCAATTCCTGGATATCCTTGTTAACTTTCTGTCTGGTTGATCTGTCTAATGTTGACAGTGGGGTGTTAAAGTCTCCCATTATTATTGTGTGGGAGTCTGAGTCTCTTTGTAGGTCTCTAAGGACTTGCTTTATGAATCTGGATGCTCCTCTATTGGGTGCATACACATTTATGATAGTAAGCTCTTCTTGTTGAATTGATCCCTTTACCATTATGTAATGGCCTTCTTTGTCTCTTTTGATCTTTGTTGGTTTAAAGTCTGTTTTATCAGAGACTAGGATTGAAACCCCTGCCTTTTTTAGTTTTCCGTTTGCTTGGTAGATCTTCCTCCATCCCTTTATTTTGAGCCTATGTGTGTCTCTGCATGTGAGATGGGTTTGTCGGTGTTCTTTTTATTTTTAAATTCAGTCTGCCAATCTCTGTCTTTTAATTAGTGTATTTAAATTATTTTAGTTAAGGTAATTATTGATATCTTAGGGTTTAAGTTTGTCATTTTATTATACGATATCTTTTCATTCCTTGTTTCTCATGCTTTGTTACTCTTTTTATACCTTCCTGTTGGTTAATTGAACATTTTTGAGGATTTTATCTTAATTTATTTAATAATTTTTTGAGTGTATAGTTTCTATAGTTTATTTTTTTATTTTCTGGGGGATGGAGTCTCACTCTGTCACACAAGCTGCCAGGATGGAGTGCAATGGCATGATCTTGACTCACTGCAACCTCTGCCTCCCAGGTTGAAGAGGTTCTCCTGTCTCAGCCTCCCAAGTAGCTGGGATTACAGGCATCCACCACCACGCCTGGCTAGTTTTTGTATTTTTAGTAGAGATGTGGTTTCACCATGTTGGCCAGACTGGTCTCAAACTCCTGACCTCTGGTGATCCGCCCGCCTCAGCCTCCCAAAGTACTGGGATTATGGGCATTAGCCACCGTGCCTGGGCTGTTTGAATAGTTTTTATAGTGATTTCTCTAAGTATTATAATATACATATGCAACTCATCAGTCCTCTGATATCAGTGTTTTAACATTTCAAGTGAAGTGTGGAAAACTTACTTTCATTTAGGAACTTTACTCTCCATACTATTGTCCTAAGTATCAGTTAGTGTTAAACATTTTTGTTTCAGTTATTGCATGTAGTTTGGAAAACTGGTGTGGAGAAAAATAGGCTATTGTATGTATCTATATTTCTGCTTTTTATATTGCTATTTATCTCATTGTGTTCTAAGATTCTTTTATCGTTTACTTGCTGTTTGTAAAACTTTTTCTAGGCATTCTTTAATGTTAGGTCTTCTAGTGACAGATTCTTCTAATTTTTCTTTGTCTGAGAATGTCTTTATTTCCTCTATTCTTGAAGGATAGTTTCACTAGAACTCACTTTTTATACTTTTCTTTCTTCCAGGATTATACCAGTCAGCAAATGCTATGTAATGAACCACTCCACGCATTAGCAACTTAAAATAACAAACATTTATTTAACTATGATTGTGTAGTTTTGCAATTTAGGCAGGCTCTGCTGAGAACTTTTGTTTCAACTAGGTTTTCTCAATTGTCTTAAATCAGTTACCAATCAATGAGAAAGTTCCACTTCTAAAAGTTGGTTGGCTGTAAGCCTGAGCACTTTAGCTATTAGTATGTCATCTTACATATATGTCTCATTTACTGAACATGTACACATGGCAGTAGCAGGAACCAAGAGAGAAAGCAGAAAACTTAAAAACTTTCCAAGTCACAAATACAGCCTATATACAAGAGATATGGGAAGAGAGTCTATCTTTTGATCATAGGATCTACAAAGTCACACTGCAAAGGCAGTGGGTTGAAAAAAAGAAGTGTGGGGCCCTGAGGCCATTTTTGAAATTGGTCTGCTACAAAGATCTGAAAACTTTAACCTGTCTTTGTAAGCCCTTAATGGTACCAAAGAGATTTAGAAAATATTTTATCATCATTTTCTGTTTTTTTTTTTTTTTCTCATTGGGAAGGTATGTCTGACACAATTTAATTCTCCATAGCTGAAGGGGAAGTCCTACAATGATATTTTTTAGAACAATAATTCTGGGGGAGATGAAGATTATTTGTACTTCTGGAAAAGGTAGGCATCTAAACCATAAGACTAAAAGTGGTATAAACAGCTTAAAATAGAGTTCAAAGCACTTTTGATTTCCTTCATGTATGATGAATATGAGAATTAAGATAATTTAGCAACAACTGTCCTATCAAGATAGAAATAGAACAGTAAAAGGAACATGACAATCATTGTTGTGAAAGAGAAATAGAATATAAATGGAGAATCAACATGAAGCAGTAAAAAACATAATATTTTTAATATTATGACAAAATAAATGAACTTATGTGTCAAGAACTATGGTAAACACAAGAAAAGAGGCAAGGTGGAGTTCTTTACAATAATAATACTCATGCTTTATTTTTATTTCAATGGAATTATTTTCTAAGGATAAAGACCAATAATAAGACAAATCACACAGTCTCAAATTCAGTTACCTGAATTCAACATAGAATTTTTAAGATGTCTCCCTGTTGTAATATGTGACAATGAAGTTTAATTTTTCATAGTAACCTTCAATAAAAGCAAATTAAAAGTCATTTTTTTCTGAATCAGAAAAATGATACTTGTTAATTATGTGCTTTAAAATAGAAGTCTAGGATATTTATTAAGGCTATTTAAAAAATTATGTTTTAAAATAGTTAGTAGTAAAAATATCCAGGATGTTTGTTTTTAAAATAATGATAAAAGCAAACATAAACATGTTGTAGTGTATACATTGAGGACAAATGTTTTTAAAAGTGTCAAAGGAAAATGGAAGTAGAAAATATTAAATTGGAAAACTGTAATCAAACAATATAATTATTATAGCAATGAGAGTATGCAGTCTAAATTTTTTAAATTACTTGTAAAGAATCTCAGATTTTTATTTTTACTTATTTTTTAACTTTTATTTTAAGTTCAGGGGCACGTGTGCAGGTTTATTATATAGGTAAATTTGTGACTTGGGGATTTGTTGTATAGATTATTTCATCACCCAGGCATGAAGGGTAATACTCTTTAGTTATTTTTCCTGATCCTCTTACTCCTTCCACCCTCCACCCTCCAAAGGCCACAGTGTGTGTTGTTCCCCTCTGTGTGTCCATGGGTTCTCATCATTTAGCTCCCACTTATTAGTGACAACATGTGGTATTTGGTTTTATGTTCCTGTGTTAGTTGCTAAGGATAATGACCTCCAGTTCCATCCATGTTTCTGCAAAGGACATGATCTCATTCTTTTTTATGGCTGCATAGTATTTCATGGTGTATATGTACCACATTTTTTAAATCCAGTCTATCACTGATGGGCATTTAGGTTGATTCCATGTCTTTGCTATTGTTAATAATGCTGCAATGAACATAGGCATACTGTGTCTTTATAACAGAATGATGCAATTCCTTTGGGTATATACTCAGTAATGGGATTGCTGGGTTGAATGGTATTTCCGTCTTTGGGTCTTTGAGGAATTGCCACACTGTCTTCCACAATGATGGAACTAATTTACACTCCTACCAACAGTTTATAAGCATTCTTTTTTTCCACAATCTTGCCAGCATCTGTTATTTTTTGACCTTTTAAAAATCTCATTCTGACTGGTGTGAGATGGTATCTCATTGTGGTTTTGATTTGCATTTCTCTAATCATCAGTGATGCTGAGTATTTTTTCCATATAATTGTTGGTCACAGTTATGTCTTCTTTTGGGAAGTATCCGTTCATGTTATTTGCCCACTTTTTAATGGAGTTGTGTGTGTGTGTGTGTGTGTGTGTTTGTAAATGTGTTTAGTCCCTTATAGATGCTGGATATTAGACCTTTGTCAGATGTGTAGTTTGCCAAAATTTTTTTCTATTCTGCAGGTTGTCTATTTACTCTACCGATAGCTTCTTTTGCAGTGCAGAAGCTCTTTAGTTTAATTAGATCCCATTTGTCAATTTTTGCTTTTGTTGCAATTGCTTTTGGTGTCTTCGTCATGGAACTCTTTGCCCATGCCTATGTCCTGAATGGTATTACCTAGGTTTTCTTCCAGGGTTTTCATAGTTTTGGGTTTTGCATTTAAGTCTTTAATCCATCTTGAGTTAATTTTTGTATATGGTGCAAAGAAGAGGTACAGTTTTACTCTTCTGCAAATGGCTAGTTATCCCAGCATCATTTATTGAACAGGGAATCCTTTCGCCATTGCTTGTTTTGGTCAGGTTTGTTGAAGATGAGATAGTTGTAGGTGTGCGGCCTTATTTCAGGGTTCTTTATTATGTTCCATTGGTCTATGTGTCTGTTTTTGTACTAATATCATGTTGTTTTGGTTATTGTAGCTCTGTAGTATAGTTCAAAGTTGGGTAGTGTGATATCTCCAGTTTTGTTCTTTTTGCTTAGGATTGCCTTGGCTATTTGAGGTCTTTTTTGGTTCCATATGAATTTTCAAACAATTTTGTCTAGTATTGTGAAGAATGTTAGTGGTAGTTTAATAGGAACAGCATCAAATCTATAAATTGCTTTGGGCAGTATGGCCATTTTAATGATATCAATTCTTCCTATCCGTGAGCATGGAAGGTTTTTCCATTTGTTTGTGTCATCTGATTGCTTGCAGTGTTCTGTAGTTCTCCCTGTAGAGATCTTTCACCTCCCTAGTTAGCTGTATTCCTAGGTATGTTACTCTTTTTGTGGCAATTGTGAACGGGAGTACGTTCCTGATTTGGCTCTCAGCTTGACTGTTGTTGGTATATAGGAATGATATTGATTTTTGCACATTGATTTTGTATCCTGAAGAGTCTCAGATTTGGTAGTTAAATAGCAATACAGTTCAACAACATGCCATTTTCAAGCTTATGGATTGAAGAGTGTTAGTAACAAGGTAGCCAGCAACAAGGCCTTAAATGGAGTGAGAACACCAGCAGCCTCCTGCTCAGTGTTGTCAGGGCAACTGTAGATGTATACGCTTCTGTTCTAAGGTTTACTCAATTTAGTGTCTATATCTTTTCTATTTTGGCAGTTAAAAATGAAAAGACTATGTGATTATAATAAAACTAACTGAAGAAAACCCATGAAAATAATCTGAAAAATATTATTCAAGTGTTCTATATTCATCAACCAATTATAATTTCTATATCAATTGCACTGTCAGACTAAAGGCATAATTTTTCAGAGCCTGTGCTGTGAGCTCAACTGATTGTCACAAAAGTAAGCTGCATGCTTTCAAATTAATACAAATCACCAATGCTAAAAATCCTGAAGCATGAATGAAGTTTGCAATCATACTGATGCAGAAGGAGGATTAGAACATAAAGGGCTGGTTTTGTTCTGCAGTACTGACTCTTGGTAAAGGCTTCAGGTGAGTAACCTGCAGTCACACTGCTGCACTCATTTTTGAGGCATTGGGAGGGGAGAGTTTATGGTTTTGTAAAATGGTAAAATACCAGGCCAGGAAAATGACCTTATTAGACTTGAGCTTGGCTAAAGGCTGATGCTGTATGTTAGAAGGCTTGCTCTTCATTATGCTGCTCACTGCCAATCCACAAGATGATAAAGAGAGGGCAGAAGATGTAAAATGTTTATCTCTCTTCAGTTACCTTGTGGACATCTGCCATATTCTTTCTTTGCGTCTCTGACCCTCTCTGCAGCTGTTGGCTATAAAAGCTTTGGGTATGTGTCTGTCAGTACAGCTAATGCCCACTGTGACAATGCCAGGGTCAGTGTCAGAACCCAGATTCTGACACTTGAAAAACTTAGATTCAGAGTGGTGAGTGCTACAGTCCAATGCCGAGTATTTAGTCGAACTGGAGAGAACGTTGATTTTTTGCAAAGACTAGCACCAAGGCTCATAAGCCATAAATTATATTTGCCCTCAGTCGCATTCACCACTTGGCTCAGATTCCAGTCTGGAATAGGCTAAGACTTTGTGTATCTACTTCTCATAAAGATCAGCTCAGGCTACAAAACTATCTGCTTGTTCATTTTCTTCTGCAGATTTCAGACATGCCTGGTCAACTTTGATTCTCAGCAAACAACACAAGGTGGGCTCAAGATGGGGCCTCTGAAACACACTAGTAGAAATATTCAGAAATCTTAAGTTTAACTCAAGATTTTGTAAATTTAGTAATACAAATATTCCAAGACCCAGTGATCTCACTCTACTCTCCAGAGCTTGTTTCTTTGACAAACTACTGCACCCAAATAAAGATGTCAATTAAGACTGAAGTGTTTCAACATTCCAAAATGTTAAAAGTTTATTTTTAATTTTCTTAAGCCAGAAATTCCTGTAATAATCTTTAGCTTTATAAGAATTTCCTAAAACTAATGTTCTTCAGAGGATTGATATTTGAGATGAGTGGAATCTCTATTTCTATTAAAATGATTTCATCATTTTCTTCTACTTCAAGAGCAGGTCAATTTTGTAATTTCATTTCTAAATGCTTCTAGTGATCTGTTGACCACTGGCAGGCAGTTACCATAGTGATCAAACTGTAGGTAGATATTTGGGGTGGAGTGACAGCTCTAACTTCTAACTTCTTCTTCTTCTTTTTTTTTTTTTTTTTGAGTTGGAGTCTCGCTCTATCGTCCAGGCTGGAGTGCAGTGGCGCAATCTTCTCAGCTCAGTGCAACTTTTGCCTCCTGGGTTCAAGTGACTCTCCCGCCTCAGCCTCCTGAGTAGCTGGGATTACAGGCATCTGCCACCATGCCCAGCTAATTTTTGTATTTTTAGTAGATATGGGTTTTCACCATGTTGGCCAGGCTGGTCTCGAACTCCTGACTTCAAGTGATCTGCCTGCCTGGGCCTCCCAAAATGCTGGGATTACAGGTGTGAGCCACTGTATCTGGCCAAGATCGAACTTCTAAAGTGAGCATTCACAAATGTAAGCACAGTGAGGTTCCACAAAGGATGGTTTTGATACATACCTCTTAAGAGTAGACAATAAATACAAGGAGTAGAAATAATTTAATGAGTTGGAGATACATGTCTATTATTTACAAAAAATTACAAATCCAGAGTCAATGGGAGAACAAGTAAGACAACATAACATTTTTAAGATTAAAAGAAATATGGGGATTCAAGGTAAATGGAAAATGGCACTTTAAACCTAATAAACCATTTAACTTGTTTCCCACCGTTTGATGATAGTGTGTCCGGAATTGGTGGGTTCTTGGTCTCACTGACTTCAAGAATGAAGCCATGGACCCTCGCGGCGAGTGTTACAGTTCTTAAAGGCAGCGTGTCCGGAGTTTGTTCCTTCTGATGTTTGGATGTGTTTGGAGTTTCTTCCTTCTGGTGGGTTTGGTCTCACTGGCTCAGGAGTGAAGCTGCAGACCTTCGCGGTGAGTGTTAACAGCTCTTAAGGTGGCGTGTCTGGAGTTGCTCGTTCCTCCCGGTGGGTTTGTGATCTTGCTGGCTTCAGGAGTGAAGCTGCAGACCTTCACGGTGAGTGTTACAGCTTATAAAGGCAGTGTGGACCCAGAGAGTGAGCAGCAGCAAGATTCATTGCAAAGAGGGAAAGAACAAAGCTTCCACAGTGTGGAAGAGAACCCCAGGGGGTTGCCACGGCTGGCTGAGGCAGCCTGCTTTTATTCTCTTATCTGGCCCCACCCACATCCTGCTGATTGGTCCATTTTACAGAGAGTCGATTGGTCCATTTTGACAGGGTGCTGATTGGTGCATTTACAATCCCTGAGCTAGACACAAAAGTTTTCCACTTCCCCACTAGATTAGCTAGATACAGAGTGTCGAATTGGTGTATTTACAAACTCTGAGCTAGACACAGAGTGCTGATTGGTGCATTTACAAACCTTGAGCTAGATACAGAGTGCCGATTGGTGCATTCACAATCCCTTAGCTAGACATAAAGATTCTCCAAGTCCCCACCAGATTAGCTGGACACAGAGTGCTGACTGGTGCATTTACAAACCTTGAGCTAGACAGAGTGCCCATTGGTGCATTCACAATCCCTTAGCTAGACATAAAGATCCTCCAAGTCCCCACCAGATTAGCTAGATACAGAGTGCCGATTGGTGCATCCACAAACCCCCTGAGGTAGACACAGGGTGTTGATTGGTGTGTTTACAAACCTTGAGCTAGATACAGAGTGCTGATTGGTGTATTCACAATCCCTTAGCTAGACACGCAGATTCTCCAAGTCCCCACTAGACTCAGGAGCCCAGCTGGCCTCACCCAGTGGATCTCCCACAGGGGCCTTAGGTGGAGCTGCCCGCCAGTCCCGCGCCTTGCGCCGGCACTCCTCAGCCCTTGGGCGGTGGATGGGACCGGGCGCCGTGGAGCAGGGGGCGGTGCTTCCGGGAGAGGCTCAGGCCGCGCAGGAGCCCACGGCGGGCTGCCGGGAGACTCAGGCATGGCGGGCTGCAGGTCCCCAGCCCTGCCTCGCGGGGAGGCAGCTAAGGCCCGGCGAGAAATAGAGCACAGCGCCGGTGGGCCGGCACTGCTGGGGGACCCGGCGCACCCTCCGCAGCTGCTGGCCCGGGTGCTAAGCCCCTCACTGCCCGGGGCCGCAGGGCCGGCAGGCGCTCCCAGTGCGGGGCCCGCCAAGCCCACGCCCACCCGGAACTCTAGCTGGCCCGCAAGCGCCCTGCGAAGCCCCGGTTCCCGCCCGTGCCTTTCCCTCCACACTTCCCCACAAGCCCAGGGAGCCGGCTGCGGCCTCGGCCAGCCCAGAGAAGGGCTACCACGGTGCAGCGGCGGGCTGAAGGGCTCCTCAAGCGCGGCCAGAATGGGCGCTGAGGCCAAGGAGGCACCAAGAGCCAGCGAGGTCTGTGAGGGCTGCCAGCATGCTGTCACCTCTCAATAGCTGGGGTAAGTTGAAGAGTGGCAATAATTATTTTTTACTTTGAGATTATTACTCAGTAAAAATCTTCCATGATGAATAGGGTTTTGGAAATAAATATAATGCGTGCGTAATGGTTAAGCTGTGTTTTTTGAGAGTTCACTTCCAGAGATGCTCTACCACATAAGCTGGAGGTCTTTGAGCCTTTTTATCCTGTGGTTGCTCATTCTCTTCACAGTGGCAGCTTCTTGGGAACTGCTACTTGCTTTCTATCACTTGCACTCTTTCCTTAGAGTGCATAGGGAGACAGTTATGGGTCTTAAATTGCAAAGTAGTCTCAAACTGAGACACTAAGATGCAATGTTCCAGATTTTGTAATTTTTCTTTAAATGCCCTGGGCTGCCTTTTTTCCCCCCTTTCCTCCTTCCAGGCTTCCTGAGTAACTACCTAACCCCTGTTCTACCTCTCCAGTCAACTTAGCAGGAGCTTCTTCCTTTGTCACCCAGCTATATCATCTACTTTTTGAAAATTGTCCTGCCCTGGAATATTATTGAAAAACAACCCACTTCTACTTTTCAAAATGTATACTTTTCTTATTAGATCTCAATATGCAAGTTTACAAATTTTGATTAATTAATGATTCCACAAGCAAATGTAATTAGATGTTTATATGTAGCCATACTAGAACATGCCATTTATGTTTCAGATGAAGGTTTTTTGAAAATAATAACTCAAAGTAAAATAGGGTTGGGAATTTAAGGCAGCAGAGTGGGCATGGGAATTATATTTGTCTTGAGGCAGGTCTTAGTGGAGCTCTCAGAATCAGCCAAGCAGGGGGAATTTGCACTAGAGGGACCTCTGCTTTAAAGTGGACCTGTAACTGCCTGAATCAGGTGTCTGGAAATCTGTTATGTCATTGGAAGAATTCATTCTGTAAATGTCAGAGTTAAAGAAAATAGTAGAGGCCGCTGAACAAATTTTGACCTCATAGGTCCATCTCTGGAGTACAGTGTAATGCTTTGTATCAAGACCTTTTCAGATTTCAACTTAATTTTCACTTATTTTATACTTACTAGATGCTTTTTCCTGTAAAGCAATTACACTCCCTATATAATACGTAAGTTCTTCAATCCTGTATCAGGTCCCTGTGAGAGTAACAGAGCATTATTATCCTCACAGAACTCAGGCAGTTGCGATAGCATCATGCAGAGGGGCAAGGCCTCAGGGCCCCACAGTAATGATCAGTTTCCTCTTTTACCCATTGCAGCCACAAGATGGCAATGTGACAATTTAAATACAATCTAGAATTCTGTTTCATATAGTTGGGAGGCTTTTAAAGACTGTGGAAAACTTAAAGCAAATAGTTTACCTGAACTGGGAATGATATTCCACAATGTATTAATGTTTGTGTGTAGTTCAGGAGATGAGTGACCTCTATAGTCAGAGTGATTCAGGCTGGGACAAAATATGATTCTACAGCCACACCTCTTGCCTTCTTGGTTTCTCGTCTAAAGTGCTCCTGTATAATGCTTGATGCAAAAGTCCGTGGATTCTGCTTTTACACAGTAATGAGAAGGTTTCAGATGATATTGACTGGCGTTAGAGGACAATGGCAGTCACTGTGGTCTTATTTTTCTTCCTGGGAGATGCAGTCAGACTGAGTAAATTCCCAGCAAGGAGTTAGCTTTTGTAGGGCAATAAATCTTATCCCTTTACAACCAAGTCATTTAACAACTCCTCCAAAGTTCATTGTTTTTCTCAGTGAGTGAATGTATGATGAGCTTTACTTTATGAAAAATGTATCATTTAGGTACTTGAATCTGTGTTGTAGAATACAGAATTGTTCATTATAGAGAAATGTTTAACTTATCTGAGGACCACACAGTGTGAAATATGCATGTATGTGTTTACTTTTTAGTAAATTTAGGGTATATTTCCTTTCTTATAACCTAGAATTTCAAAAAAATATAAAAACTAACTGCTTAATAGAAAGTTTGTGAAGATCAAGACAATAATTCATGTAAAACAGTGTAGTCCTTGGCACATAGATATCGAACATCAAATGTTAATTATTATAATATTATTATTTCTGTTGTTATGTTTGTAGTTGATGTAACATTTATGCTTTTCTATGGGAAACAGCTTGACTCTGTCACAAAGTCACAGATAAAATTTCTTACCCAATTATCTGCTTTGGAAACGTAAAGACAGTAATATGGACAGCTAATTCATGTTGATTAAAAATGGTAAGGTATATGTCTTATACAAATAATCTTGCTTAATTTTCACAATACTATGAGGCGTGTAAATATATATACGCATACGCTATATACATATTTATACTGCAATATCAATAATATGTACATTATATCTCTATATGTGAAAACAATAAGAATTTTTGTTTCCTTTGTTTAATTTCTATCTCTTTATTGATCTATTTGATGGGACGTTGTCATCATACATTTCTTTACTTTTTTAAGCATGGTTTTCTGTTTTTATGAGCATATTTACAATGGCTGCTTTGAAATCTTTGTTAAATATGACATCTAGGTCAGTTCATGGGCAGTTTCTCTTGCCTGTTGTCTTTCCTGTGAGTGGGTCACACCTTCCTGTTTCTTTGCATATCTCATAATTTTTTGTTGAAACTGGGTGTTTCAGGCAATCTATGTAGCAACAATGAATACTGATCTACCCATCTTCAGGTTTTTGTCGTTGTTGTTGTTATTATTTGTTTAATGATTTAAATGGAAGTCTAAGTGAAGAATATTCCCCCCCAGTCTACAGTCTCTGTTGTAATAACACTCAGAGGGCAGCATTGGGCATGTGCAGTCACCTTGGGATGATGGCAGTTTTGGCAAGATTCTATTGGACCCTATCTTTCCCCTAGCTCTCTCTAAATAAAGGTGTCTGCCTTGGTTGGTATCATATCCTGCTGTTGGCCTCTGCTAATTGACAGTTCACTGCTGTTTGTTTTTGACAATGCCTTGGACACAAATTGCTCCATGATCATTTGGTTTCCTTTATAGGGTTGGTTTTTGAGGACTGATATGAGTTTTTGAGATGTGTTATAAACCCAGGAGATCTCTTCTTAGGTGTCTCTTTACCTGATTCTCTCTAATAAATGTGCATCCTATAGCTCAGCCTGTTCTCTTAGAGCTACCAGCCTCCTCTTAATTGCTTTCTACCCAAATCTTCATTGTTTTGAAATCACGCTTATGTGTAAGCTTTATCATGCTCTGTTTCAAATAAAGTTAGTTCCTTTAGGGAGAGCCTTGCACTGCCTCCACACTTTAGCAAAATCTCTGAGCCACTTCTCCAGGGTTGGGGACAGAAGTGACAGCCCTGTTTTATGAGCCTAGTACTGGGCAGGGATGGTAGCCTCTAGTTTTTTTGCTTTTCTTCCCATATAGAACCTCCACTCTAGAGTGAGCTGGTGTAAAAGCATTTGGGGCCCCAGCACTTTTATCTTGCTGTTATGAATTGAATATTTTTTGCCCACCCTGCAAATTTATGCGTTGCAGTTTTAACCCCCAACATGCTGGTATTGATTATATGAGAAAGTGGAGCCTTTGAGAAGTGATCAGGTCATGAAGGTAGAGCCTTCATGAATGGAATTAGTGCTGTAAACCCAGAAAATCTGAGACAGGTTTCAGTTAATTTAGAAAGTTTATTTGCCAAGGTTGAGGATGCGCGTCTGTGACACAGACTTAGGAAGTCCTGACCACATGTGCCCAAGGTGGTTGGGGCACAGCTTGGTTTTATATATTTTAGGGAGACATGAGACATCAGTCAATCTATTTAAGAAGTACATTGGTTCCATCCAGAAAGGCAGGGGGAGGGACAACTTGAAGTAGGGAGGCAGCTTCCAGGCCACAGGTAGGTAAGAGAAAAATGTTGCATTCTCTTGAGTTTCTGATATGCTTTTCCAAATGAGGCAATCAGAATATGCATCTATCTCAGTGAACAGAGGGATGACTTTGAATAAAATGGGAGGCAGGTTTGCCCAGGGCAGTTGCCAGCTTGAGTTTTTCTTTTAGTTTAGTGATTTTGGGGGCCCAAAATATATTCCTTTCACAGTGCCTTTATAAAAGATATCCCAGAGAGCTCTCTGACCTCTTTCTGCCATGGAAAACTGAGTGAAAAGATGGTCATCTGTGAACCAAAAAGTGGTTCACTAGACACCAAACCTACTGGCTCCTTGATCTTGGACGCCAGAACCATGAGAGATCAATGTTTGTTGTTTAAGCCATCCAGTTTATGGTAGCTTTGTTACAGCAGCCCAAATGAACAAAGAAAACTACCATTCCTGGGGTAGACCTTCTGCTCTATGAGTGTGGGCTGGGTAAGTAAAGGGAGTCCTGACCTCTTAGCTGAAATAAGCAGGAATTAACCTCTGCAAATTGAAGCTGAAGTGACAAGAAATAGAAATAAGCTTTCCTTGTCTTATAGGGAGATACTATACTCCTTGACAGGGAGCTGAGGGGCCACATCAAACTTGAATTGAGCTTCTGTGACACTGAGCTGGTGTGGGGGAGACAGGGAATGCACTGTGACTCAAGTGCCACGAATTCTTGGGGTTCTTGACAGGATTTAATAGATTTTCTCAAATAAATGTTTCTTCTTTTACTGTATGTCCTTAGGAAAATTGCCAGACTTTAAGGGGTTATTTGTAAAGAATTTTAACCACTTATGATTGTTTTGCTGGGGAACATGATTGCAGAGCTCCTCAAACTGCCACTCTGGGAATGTACCACCTATAGTAAGCATTTACTGAATGCTTACAGTATTTACTGTAAGCTTACATTTACTGAATGTCATCCAGGAATAAACATTTAAGTACTATCTCATTTATTTTTTATTTTTATTTTGGAACTTTAAGTTCAGTGGTACATGTCCAGGTTTGTAATGTAGGAAAACCTGTTTCACAGGGGTTTGTTGTACTGATTATTTCATCACCCAGCCAATAAGTCTAGTACTCTTTATTTTTCCTGATCCTCTTCCTCCTCCCACCATCCACCTTCTGATAGGCCCCAGTGTCTGTTGTTCCCTTCTTTGTGTCTATGTGTTCTCATCATTTAGCCTCCACTTATAATTGAGAACATGTTGTATTTGGTTTTCTGTTCCTGCATTAGTTTACTAAGGATAATGGCTTCCAGCTCCATCCATGTTCCAGCAAAGGACATGACCTCATTCATTTTTTATGGCTGCTTAGCATTCCATGGTGTATAGGTACCACATTTTCTTTATCCAGTCTACCATTGATGAGTATTTAGGTTGGTTCCATGTCTTTGCTATTGTAAATACTGCTGCAATAAACATACACATGCATGTGTCTTATACACAGTAATGGGATTGCTGGGTTGAATGGTACTTCTGTTTTTAGCTCTTTGAGGAGTCACCGCACTGCTTTCCACAATGGTTGAACTGATTCACACCCTCACCAACAGTGTATAAGTGTTTCCTTTTCTCCACAACCTTGCCAGCATCTGTTATTTTTTGACTTTTTTTTTTTTTGAAAATTATACTTTAAGTTCTAGGGTACATGTGCACAATGTGCAGGTTTGTTACATATGTATACATGTGCCGTGTTGGTTTGCTGCACCCATTAACTCGTCATTTACATTAGGTATTTCTCATAATGCTATCCCTCCCATAGCCCCCCACCCACTGACAGGCCCCGCTGTGTGATGTTTCCCACCCTGTGTCCAAGTGTTCTCATTGTTCAATTCCTACCTATGAGTGAGAACATGCAGTATTTGGTTTTCAGTTTGCTCAGAATAGTGGTTTCCAGCTTCATCCATGTCCCTATAAAGAACATGAACTCATCCTTTTTTATGGCTGCATAGTATTCCATGGTGTATATGTGCCACATTTTCTTAATCCAGTCTATCATTGATGGACATTTGGGTTGGTTCCAAATCATTGCTATTATGAATAGTGCCACAATAAGCATACATGTGCATGTGTCTTTATAGCAGCATGATTTATAATCCTTTGGGTATATACCTAGTAATGGGATCGCTGGGTCAAATGGTATTTCTAGTTCTAGATCCTTGAGGAATTGCCACACTGTCTTCCACAATGGTTGAACTAGTTTATACTCCCACCAACAGTGTAAAAGTGTTCCTATTTCTCCACATCCTCTCCAGCACCTGTTGTTTCCTGACTTTCTAATGATAGCCATTCTAGCTGGTGTGAGATAGTATCTCATTGTGGTTTTGATTTGCATTTCTCTGATGACCAGTGATGATGAGCATTTTTTCATGTGTCTGTTGGCTGCATAAATGTCTTCTTTTGAAAAGTGTCTGTTCATATCCTTTGCCCACTTTTTGATGGGGTTGTTTGATTTTTTCTTGTAAATTTGTTTAAGTTCTTTGTAGAGTCTGGATATTAGCCCTTTGTCAGATGGGTAGATTGCAAAAATTTTCTGTCATTCTGTAGGTTGTCTGTTCACTCTGATGGTAGTTTCTTTTGCTCTGCAGAAGCTCTTTAGTTTAACTAGATCCCATTTGTTTATTTTGGCTTTTGTTGCCATTGCTTTTGGTATTTTAGTCATGAAGTCCTTGCCCATGCCTATGTCATGAATGGTATTGCCTAGGTTTTCTTCTAGGGTTTTTATGGTTTTAGGTCTAACATTTAAGTCTTTGAAGCTATTTGACTAGTGTGAAATAGTATCTCATTGTGGTTTTGATTTGCATTTCTCTAATGATTATTAAGCTTTTTTTCATATGCTTGTTGACTGCATGTATGTCTTTTGAAAAGTGTCTGTTCGTGTCCTTTGCCCACATTTTAATGGTGTTTTTTTCTTGTAAATTTGTTTAAGTTCCTTATAAATTCTGGGCATTAGACCTTTGTCAGATGCACAGTTGGCAAAATTTTTCTCCCATTCTGTAGGTTGTCAGTTGACTCTGCTGATGGTTTCTTTTGCTATGCAGAAGCTCTTAAGTTTAATTAGATCCTATTTGCCAATTTTTACTTTTGTGAAGTGCTGTGTCATTTAATCCTTACAAGTACCCTTTGCGCTGGATACTATCATTACTCTTATTTATGGATAATAATATTGAGACTCAGATTACAAAGGTTGTACAAGGTTACACAGCTAGTAAATATTGGAGCCTAAACTAAAGTCACTCTGACTTCAGAGCGCACTTAACTTGGCCATAATGAACGGCCAGCGTGGTGCTCTATAGCCAGTGTTCCTTGAGCTAAACCCTGGCTCTCACACTTACTAGGTGGGAGACCTGGGGCAAATGACTTAATTTCTTTTTGCCTCAGTTTCCCCATACATAAAACTAGTACTTTCCATGTAGTATTGTGATAAACATTGAAGGAGGAAGTATATAAAAAAGTATTATGACAGTTCTTGAAACATATATGGGCTTAATAGTTATTAGTTTTTGTTGCTTTATTTTCTGTTTTTATTTTTATAATTTCTTTCTTCCATTTACAAATAAATTATTTTGTTCAACAGAAAAACAGAGAAAAAATCCTGTCCACTGGAACTGACATACCAGTTGAGTCTCTGAATATAGTTTATACTCTATCTTTTGAAGAGGGGGAAAAAATACTTTCAATCCCCATAGCTCATAGCATTTCCTTTGGTGGATTTTGAGTTATTAGCCTTTTAATAGTTATAGCTTTTTAATATGGAGCCACTTTTACTATTAATAAAGTAATAGTACTTTTCCCTATCTTTTTCAATAAAATGGCAATTTTCTCCTTTAGAAACACTTATAATCTTTAATAAGACAACATGTACTCCCTCAGAATTTGCCTCCTGGTCATTAGGCAACAACTGAGATGAAGTCACAGCACAACCCCGCTGGGGAAATACTGGGCCTGGCGAGGGAGGAAAGAGATTGTCTTAGTTTTCTATGGTTGCTGTAACAAATTGCCATAAACTTGGTAGTTTAAAACAGAAATTTATTTTCTCATCATTCTGGAGGCTAGAGGCCCAGAATCATTATTACTGGGTCAAAACTTAGGGCTGTGCCCCATCAACAGTCACTAGGGGAATCCATTCTTTGCTTCTTTCAGCTACTAGTGACCACTGACATTCCTTGACTTGTGTCCACATCACTCCAATCTTTGCCTCCATGGTCACATTGCCTCTTCCTCTTCTGTGTGCATGAAATCTCCTTTCTTATGAGGGCACTGGTGATTACATACAGGGCCCATCCATAAAATGCAGGATAATCTCTCCATATAAAGATCTTTAATTTAATTATATCTGCAAAGACTCTTTTTCCTTAGAAGGTAACATTTATAAGTTCCAGTAATTAGGGAGCCCTAATCTGATAAGACTGGTGTTTTTATAAGAAGAGAAAGAGATACCAGACTCGCTCTTTTCGTGGCATTCACACCAAAGAAAGCCATGCAAGGGCACAGAAGCTGGAGATCTGAAAGCCAGGAGAAGAGGCTTCACCATACACCAACCTTGATTTTGGACTGCCAGTCTTCACCACTGTGAGAAAATAAATTTCTGTTGTTTAAGCCACCCAGTCTGTAGTATTCTATTATGACAGCCTGCTGTGGTATGAATATGACCCCCAAAGTTCAGGTGTTGGAAACTTAACCCCCCGTGCAACAATGTTGAGAGGTGGGAACTTTATATAAAGGGATTAGGTTATGAGGCTCTGCTCTCATGAATGGATTAATGTTGTTATCACAAGAGTGGGTTGTTTTAAAAGAGGGTTCATTCCCCTCTTTCTCTCTCTCACCATGTTATGATGCAGTAAGAAGGCCCTCACTAGATGCATGCTTTCAATCTTGGACTTCCCAGCCTTCAGAGCCAGGAGCCAATATATTTTTGTCCTTTATAAATTACCCTGTCTCAGGTATTGTGTTATACAGTACAAATTAGACTAAGACACAGCCCAAGCAGACTAATGTACTCCTGTTGCCCAATTATTACTGTAAATGATCAGTTACAGCAACTCCAGCCTAAGAATGGCATGCTGACTTGGGCCCAGTTTCGTCTGGTCTAAGAGTTCGGGTCATGCCACTAAATAGCACCTGAGACCAGCAGATGTAGTAGCTGAGAGTCAGGGGAATCTAGATTAGTGGTGGAGGAATGTGAAAAATCATTATCAATGATAGATCAATCAGCAGTCTCTATCTACTACTAACCTTCCTCTTACATATCTCCCAGGATGTGAGGCTAAATTCCTGAAGATGCAGTTCTATGAACATACATGCAGACGTGGTTCTCAGTGGTGTGAAGGGGTCTATATGGATAGGAATATGAACCACCGAGATCTCCCTTCAAGAAATAAGTTGTTGCCTCAGGTGCTGCAGCAAATAGCTTTCAGCTGTCAGCTTGTTGCGTTATTGTCTCCACTGCACAACTGTTTTCAGCTAAAAGCATGTTCTTCCAGGGTCATTTTACATCTACTGACTGATACAGGTAGGGGTGTAAAGGCCCATTTGTTTTGTTCAAAAGCAGGACAACTCTGAGGGGCCATTTTAGCTTCAGGTGATTTTTGCGGTCTGGTGAGGCTGTCAGACCTGCACTGCAGTTTGACCTTTTCCTCTGTGCACTTCTGCTTCCTTCCCTTCCCATCCACACCTGCTGAAACAACTAGTGCTCCCTTATAAACATCTTGTATTATAAACTCTATCAGCTGGGCGCAGTGGCTCATGCCTGTAATCCCAGCACTTTGGGAGGCCGAGGCGGGTGGATCACGAGGTCAGGAGATCGAGACCATCCTGGCCAACACAGTGAAACCCCGTCTCTACTAAAAAATATACAAAAAATTAGCCGGGCGTGGTGGCGGGCGCCTGTAGTCCCAGCTACTCGGAGGCTGAGGCAGGAGAATGGCGTGAACCCGGGAGGCGGAGCTTGCAGTGAGCCGAGGTGGCGCCACTGCACTCCAGCCTGGGTGACAGAGTGAGACTCTGTCTCAAATAAAGAAAAAAGAAAGATAAACTCTATCTTGGAGTCTGCTTTCCAGAGATCTCACGTTTAGCTTTCACTAAAAATTGGGGTAATCTTATTAGAATGGGGAAAATTTAAAGCCTCCAATTTTCCTTTGGGGTCCTAGGCACGAATTTTATGGCAAAATGCAAAGTCACTCTTTGTCTCCTTGAGTTTAATTTTTTTTTTAACTTTTAGCTCCCACACTCAGTATATTGTTACACTAAACAATTGCCTTTTGGTTTAGCTTTGTGTGAGTTTGTTTATAATAAAGAATCTTAAATGTACCTAACAGATGAGGAATTTATACATTAAGATATGCACCTATGTTTTATTGTAGTCTGCCCTAATAGAACCTTAGCACTTTGATGCGTCGTTTCCCTAGAAGGCTTTAAATGTTGAAGGCAGATGGGAAAAAACTATTATAATAGAGCTAAGAAATATTAAATTTTTCTTCCATGGGTGATATATAACAAGATATAATCTTATAATTTTTTGTTTCAAAATTGTGTCAAAGCAACAGCCATTGTAATTGATATTAAAGGGGGCCAAAAGATGGGACAAGCTGTGTGTGATCTGTTTATGTTGAGATTAGACATCCATCCTGAGTAAGACAGCCTATAATTCTGTAATTACAGTCTGCAAACTATGTGAAACAACAACAACAACAATTTCAGTATGCGTATCACGATAGGAACAACACAATAAATGTATCCTACTTTTCTGAACAGTTCTCTTAATATGATATTTCTTTGATGTCTCAAGTGTGTTTATTCTGTTGAGCGTCTCCTGGGATCGCTGGTGTTCTTCCACTGCATCTTGTTCCTATAAAGGGAAAAACAAGTATTAATGTACCTCAATCAATGAAAAAGCCTTTAAAAAGTTAAAAGGTCTATTTTATATTATAAATAAATTATTTAATAATAAATCTAAATATCAAAGGGGGTTTTTATTTTGTTACAGTAACGTGAATTAGTGGAATTTTATAATCTAAAATACATTTTAAAATTAGGCCCTTTGAAAATTGCTAACTATATATTTAAAATGTTTTCACCACAAAAATGGATAAGTATGGGATGTAACAGGTATGTTAATTAGTTTGACTTAGTCATTCCACAATCTATACATATATCAGACCATCATGTTGTACACTACAAATATACATAATTTTTGTTATTAAAAATAAATTTTTAAAAAATATGCTTTCTTAGTCCTTTATCATACTTTATTTCTATGGGCTACATTTAAAGTTATCTAAGTCCATTTTTATCTCCTTTATTTACTAATATATCTACTTTTTATTTTCTAACTTTTAAAAAATCTATTTTCAGTGGACATTTGCTGTTTCACATAGTGGCTTTGTATTCTGATTTGTGCATTTAGTCTCCATTCTACTTATAATGTCATTCAATTTCTTTTTAAAGAATTATGCCTCCTTCACTGTGAAAATCATAGTGGGATTATATATCCAGATGCCCTGCACATGATTAATGGACAGAAAAAATAAAAAATAATTGGAATTCATGCATTACAGTGTTGGTGGCTGGTGGGAGAATGTTCAGCAGTGTTAGCATCCTTGACCTTCAAAGCACACTTCACCTTGGTCCTTTTACCCAAATTGGATCTCTGATTATTCCTACTGATGTCCTAAGTTTCTTGACAACTTTCTAATAAATTCCATTTTCAATCATGTTAGCCAGCCACTTTATGTTGATAGCAATAAAAACGAAATATCTGACTGATTCAAAATTTTAAGAGTGCATAAAAATATCAAATGTCAGAATTCTATAGGGAATATAAAATAGGGGACTATTCCATCTAAAGTGTTGTAAAGACAAATAATTTTGAACTTTGTCATTTAATAACTCTATTACTCATTTTCTTTCTGGGTCATTTAATCTACTTTTAGAATATTTTCTCCTTATATGTTTCAATGATATATTTGACCCAAGAACATCTCTTAACTCTACTGAATTTTTTTTTATTGTGGGAAGGGATATGCCAGACTACTGTCAGAGTGAAGGGTCATTAGGATATTCAGGTTAGCAGGTTTGGGGAATAGGATTTGAATCAAGTAGCAACTATGTTGACCATAAGTAGCTCATGTTGATCATTGATTCAGCTATTTATTTGTTCATTGGGCAAGTATTCATTGTGAACTTTATGTGTGCCAGGCATATATTAGATATTAAAAGGAGATTATGAAAAAACAGTAAATTTCAATTCAGGATGAGAAATACCCTGAGAAGTGGAAGCATGGAATGCTGTGGGAGCCCCGGAGGCTCCTGAAAAAGCCGAAGATGAATTCTTAAATGAGTCGATGCTTGTTGGGGTCTTGAAGAATGTGTAGGAAGTATCTCAGCAAAGAATGTGGAAAGAAAGAACAAAAAGCATGTGTGCAAAATCATAGGAAAGAAGGATGGTATATTTGAAGAAAGGAAATAGTTCAGTGTGAGTTGAACAGGGTTTCAGGGTTGATGTTAGGGGTTTGATAGTTGACTCTAAAAAGGATGATGGGTACCAGAGATGCCACATTCAGGAGTCTGGGCTTGATGGATAAGCCTGTAGTGAGCTTGGGAGCTATAGGAGTAAAATGCGCATTTTAAGAGAAATCACCCTGACTGCTATACAGAAAATGCACTATAGAAGGCCTAAAATAAAAACGGAGAAATCAGTTAAACCTATTTTAAGAGTCCAGGTAAGAAATTGGAGGAGACCCCTAAGGCAGAGACCCAGTATAATCAGTCTAATGCCCCTCCCAGATAATCACCAAAGGAGGAAACATACAAGTAGATATCACTTTTCAGTGTTAACTTTAAACATAAGTCTCATAGGTAGACTTCATTCATTCACTCATTCATAAATTGAATGCTATTCTATACCCTTGTCATGCATTATTCCAGCCACTTTGTGTATGGTAAGAAATGAAGCAGGAATACTATGTACCTCATGTATCTCAGCCAGAGTTCTAGCAGGGAACAATGAGACATTCCAAATTGCATAATTTAAGAATGTTTTAATAAAAGAGACATTTGTAAAGTGTGTATGGAAATCACAGAGTAGAAGGCTGTTTCCTGGGGTAACAGGTATAATCAGTTTTGACTTGGAGAAATAAGGAAGGGAAGTGGTATCAATAAGTTGGAAGTAGACAGCCTTGTGCAGAGGGGCCACCTTGAGAGAAGCTGTGACTTTCATTGGGGCTGGAGGTTTCTGCTAATCTCAGGTTACTTCTCATAGTGGGGGCTGGAGAATAAATATCCCTACTACCCCTTTATCACTCTGCCCTATCATTCTCTTCTATATCCTGCTGGGGCTCTCAGCTCAAAGAAATGGGAGACAAAAGGCAAGGTGGCTGTGTGATGTTTTCTATGCTGGTCTACATCCCAGAGCAAACATGTTACCATAACATGTCTTTTTGCTTTGTAATGTGGACTGGCATAGGAAATGACCATATTGCTGAAATCGATTTACAGGTTAAATGCTATTTCTATCAAACTATCAGTGACCTTCTTCACAGAATTCGACTTCATGATGAATTAGATTTCATGATAAAAACTGCAATTGCTTTCGAAACCAAAAATCGACAAATGGAATGTAATTAAACTAACAAAGTGTTGCGCAGCAAAAGAAACTATCAACAGAGTAAATAGAGAATCTACAGAATGGAGATAATTTTGGCAAACTATGCATCTGACAAATGTCTAATATCCAGAATCCAGAAGTAGGTGAAACAAATTTACAAGAAAAAAACAAACACCATTAAAAAGTGGGCAAAAGATATGAACAAACACTTTTGAAAATAAGACATACCTGCAGCCAACAAACATATGAAAAAATACTTAACATGACTAATCATTAGAGAAATGCAAATCAAAACTACAGTAAAATATCATCTCATACAGTCAGAATGGCTATCATTAAAAAGTCAAAAAATAACAGATGCTGGTGAGGTTGTAGAGGAAAGGGAATGCTTATACACTACTGGTGGGAATGTAAATTAGTTCAGCTATTGAGGGAGGCAGGGTGGGAAATTCTCAAAGAACTTAAAACAGAAGTGCCATTTAGCCCAGCCATCCCATTATTGAGTACATATATTCAAAGAAATATAAATTATTCTACCATAAAGACACATGCACACATATGTTCATTGCAGCACTACTCACAATAGCAAAGACATGGAATCCACCTGAATGTCCATCAGTGAAAGACTGGATAAAGAAATGTGGTACATATACACCATGGAATACTATGCAACCATAAAGATGAATGAGAACATGGATGATGCTGGAGGCCATAATCCTATGCAAACTAATGCAGGATCAGAAAGCCAAATACCATATGTTCTCACTCATAAGTAGGAGCTAAACATTGAATGCATGCAGACACAAAGAAGGGACCTACAGAAACTGGGTCTTACTTGAGGGTGGAGGGAGGGAGGAAGAAGAGGATTAAAAAAAAACTACCTATCAGGTACGATGGTTATTACATGGATGACAAAATAACCTGTATACCAAACCCCTGTGACATATAACTTATCTATGTAACCAACCCACACATGTACCCATGAACCTAAAGTAAAAAAAAAAAACAAAAAAACAGATATGTTGCAGAAGGTTGAAGAGTTAACTGGGAGGAGTTAAAGGTGTCATGCCTTGAAAATAGCTTGATATGTGGTGGCTTTTCTCTGTATAAGAGTGCATATGGTTATCCTTTCAAGAATTTGTCTAATGTTCGTTTTACCTTGATTTCACCCATATGGAATGTAGGGGGAAGAAAGATTTGTATACTGTGGTTTTCTCTATGTTAGCTTCATCTTGCAGGTATCTCTGGATGGCATCCCCTTCTTCAAGATAGCTTTCTTTTTGAAGTAGGCAGGTTCCTTTATAAACAAATTG
Organism: Homo sapiens; assembly: GCF_000001405.40. Classification (NCBI taxonomy): domain Eukaryota; kingdom Metazoa; phylum Chordata; class Mammalia; order Primates; family Hominidae; genus Homo; species Homo sapiens. The sequence continues at coordinate 102,139,967 of NC_000005.10, read as the reverse complement.
GATATGCTAAACTATATATTTGTTAACATTGTATTCAAAGTAATATGCAATGGCACTCGTGTATTGATGTGGTTCTGCAGCATCTTGCACTTTAGGCAGACTTCAGCATGTGTAAAGAAGAATTTGAGTCAAAAAATTGTTTGCAAGGACTTTGCTTCCATTTCTTGTGGCCTATGTTTGCCCATGTGTGAATTATTTGGTATTTTTGCTTTCCTCAATGTTTTGAGGCTGTAATGATGAAAGGCTTCAGTGTCAGGCCTGTAAAATCTATTGCCCTCTATTACTTTTTTCTATATAAATAGAAGGTGACAATAGCAGCTTTTGTCACTGGCAATTTCAAATCCATTATTTTGAATAGAACTGACATTCAGGTTTTTAGTTGGTCTGCTATAAAGTAAAAGATGCAAAAATGACAGCAGAGTAAATTTACCTAGGTATAGGAAAATTGTGTATTTACATTTTAAATTGTGAAAAATAAACTTTTGCTGGTCTGCCATCTATAGCCAATGCTATATTGATGGTACCAACTGGCTTGCATTTTTAATAAAGATAATAGCATAGTTTTGGTGGTTCATTTTTTTTAGCATTTAAAATAAAAAAAATTGTTTCTGGTTGGGGACATTATTTCTTTCAGTAGTCAGCTTGGCCAAATCTGTAAAAGTTATGCTGTCAGGCAATATACCATTTACTCCTGCTTACTCATTACTCATTCATTTACTCATTGAGATTGTTAGCATTCTCAGAATGCTGGAAGGAAAGATTTAGATGATAAAGAGTTGAAGACTTCAATCATATTTCGAGATGTCTTGCAAACAAACGTTAATAAAATGCTTTGATGAGAAAGGAAAGGAGGCTGAGTCTGATCAACTACACAGATATTTATTGCAATGATTTACTTCTTTAGAATATTCCAGTGTTTTGGGGAGTATCACTTTTTCATCTATAATATACTTTAGTTACATGGAGGAATCACAGACATTAATAAAAAAAAAGAACTTCCATGAGGTTTTAAAAATAGGAAAGTATGTCCTTAGCAAACTAATGCAGGAACAGAAAACCAAATACTGCATGTGCTCACTTATAAGTGGGAGCTAAATGATGAGAACTTACCAACACAAAGAAGGGAAAAACAGACATTGGGGTCTGCTTGAGTGGGGAGGGTGGGAGAAGGGAGAGGAGCAGAAAAGATCACTATTGGGTACTGGGCTTAATACCTGGGTGATGACATAATCTGTACAACAAACACCTGTGACACGAGTTTACCTATGTAACAAACCTTCACATATACCCTCGAACCCAAAATATAAGTTTTACAAAAGCTACCCCTGCCCTTTACTCTCACCAGCAAACATTGTAAATTGAGCAATATTGTACCTGCTGGGACAATGAGAATCCAAAAGTAAAAGGCTGTGTTCTTTGCAAACATAAACCAAGCAGGAATGGCGTACAAGACTGCAGCCAGTGTACATGGCTTGCATCTAGGGAACGTGAAGGGCCAAAGTCCTCCCAGGGCCTCCATGGAATGCTATCAATGCTGCACAAAAGAATCCCACATTTTTTTTTTTTTTTTTTGTGACAGAGTTTTGCTCTGTTGCCCAGGCTGGAGTGCAGTGGTGCTATCTCGGCTCACTGCAAGCTCTACCTCCCGAAGAATCCCACATTTTTATACCCACTATGCAGATGGACCTTGGAGGCCATCCAATGTCAGTCATGAAGAGAGAAATGTAAATATAACATTTCACCCCAATTCTTTAAACTTTAATAGCTATAGAAAAGCCAGAAAATAAAAGGGAAAAAAGTCAAGTAGAAGTGAAGAAATGGATTTTATCTCTTCCACTGTAGATTTTGAGCAATAGGTTAGGCCTGCAGTGGGAGAAGAAAGTTTTGAATTGAAAATGAGATTAAAGTTTTGATTTAGGATGAATGCTTTTTTAGTACCTGAAGGTGAATATTACTTGCTGCACATGGATTTTGTTCCCTGAAAGTGGCTCAGAAATCATGTGGTATGAACAAAATGTTGCCAGAGGAATAGGAATGAAGATTGAACAGGGTATGTTTGAAGACAGGGTTTGTAGAAAAATAAATCCATTTCCTGGTCTCAATAAACTGGTAATATTATGATCACAGGATTTTTTTTTTATTATTATACTTTAAGTTTTCGGGTACATGTGCACAACATGCAGGTTTGTTACACATGTATACATGTGCCATGTTGGTGTGCTGCACCCATTAACTCGTCATTTAGCCTTAGGTATATCTCCTAATGCTATCCCTCCCCCCTCCCCCCACCCCACAACAGGCCCCCGTGTGTGATGCTCCCCTTGATCACAGGATTTTTTGTATGTTGAATTTGAAGCACCATAGCATAATAAGTCAGTGCTATGCCTTCTGAATAATTTTATTTCATTAGTGTAATAAAAAGGTTGAAATTGTTTTGTTTGTGCGAAATATATGTGGTATCCATTGATCACCCAAAGTAAACTGAGCCACTAGTCTTTATCTCCACCCTGCTACCTTCTCTTCTGGTACTTATTTCTTTTTTTTTTTTTTTTTTTTTTTGCTGTTCTTTATTTTTTTTTTTATTTTTTTTTTATTATACTCTAAGTTTTAGGGTACATGTGCACATTGTGCAGGTTAGTTACATATGTATACATGTGCCATGCTGGTGCGCTGCACCCACCAACGTGTCATCTATCATTAGGTATATCTCCCAATGCTATCCCTCCCCCCTCCCCCGACCCCACCACAGTCCCCAGAGTGTGATATTCCCCTTCCTGTGTCCATGTGATCTCATTGTTCAATTCCCACCTATGAGTGAGAATATGCGGTGTTTGGTTTTTTGTTCTTGCGATAGTTTACTGAGAATGATGGTTTCCAATTTCATCCATGTCCCTACAAAGAACATGAACTCATCATTTTTTATGGCTACATAGTATTCCATGGTGTATATGTGCCACATTTTCTTAATCCAGTCTATCATTGTTGGACATTTGGGTTGGTTCCAAGTCTTTGCTATTGTGAATAGTGCCGCAATAAACATACGTGTGCATGTGTCTTTATAGCAGCATGATTTATAGTCCTTTGGGTATATACCCAGTAATGGGATGGCTGGGTCAAATGGTATTTCTAGTTCTAGATCCCTGAGGAATCGCCACACTGACTTCCACAATGGTTGAACTAGTTTACAGTCCCACCAACAGTGTAAAAGTGTTCCTATTTCTCCACATCCTCTCCAGCACCTGTTGTTTCCTGACTTTTTAATGATTGCCATTCTAACTGGTGTGAGATGATATCTCATAGTGGTTTTGATTTGCATTTCTCTGATGGCCAGTGATGATGAGCATTTCTTCATGTGTTTTTTGGCTGCATAAATGTCTTCTTTTGAGAAGTGTCTGTTCATGTCCTTCGCCCACTTTTTGATGGGGTTGTTTGTTTTTTTCTTGTAAATTTGTTTGAGTTCATTGTAGATTCTGGATATTAGCCCTTTGTCAGATGAGTAGGTTGCGAAAATTTTCTCCCATGTTGTAGGTTGCCTGTTCACTCTGATGGTAGTTTCTTTTGCTGTGCAGAAGCTCTTTAGTTTAATTAGATCCGATTTGTCAATTTTGTCTTTTGTTGCCATTGCTTTTGGTGTTTTGGACATGAAGTCCTTGCCCACGCCTATGTCCTGAATGGTAATGCCTAGGTTTTCTTCTAGGGTTTTTATGGTTTTAGGTTTAACGTTTAAATCTTTAATCCATCTTGAATTGATTTTTGTATAAGGTGTAAGGAAGGGATCCAGTTTCAGCTTTCTACATATGGCTAGCCAGTTTTCCCAGCACCATTTATTAAATAGGGAATCCTTTCCCCATTGCTTGTTTTTCTCAGGTTTGTCAAAGATCAGATAGTTGTAGATATGCGGCATTATTTCTGAGGGCTCTGTTCTGTTCCATTGATCTATATCTCTGTTTTGGTACCAGTACCATGCTGTTTTGGTTACTGTAGCCTTGTAGTATAGTTTGAAGTCAGGTAGTGTGATGCCTCCAGCTTTGTTCTTTTGGCTTAGGATTGACTTGGCAATGCGGGCTCTTTTTTGGTTCCATATGAACTTTAAAGTATTTTTTTCCAATTCTGTGAAGAAAGTCATTGGTAGCTTGATGGGGATGGCATTGAATCTGTAAATTACCTTAGGCAGTATGGCCATTTTCACGATATTGATTCTTCCTACCCATGAGCATGGAATGTTCTTCCATTTGTTTGTGTCCTCTTTTATTTCCTTGAGCAGTGGTTTGTAGTTCTCCTTGAAGAGGTCCTTCACATCCCTTGTAAGTTGGATTCCTAGGTATTTTATTCTCTTTGAAGCAATTGTGAATGGGAGTTCACCCATGATTTGGCTCTCTGTTTGTCTGTTGTTGGTGTATAAGAATGCTTGTGATTTTTGTACATTGATTTTGTATCCTGAGACTTTGCTGAAGTTGCTTATCAGCTGAAGGAGATTTTGGGCTGAGACGATGGGGTTTTCTAGATAAACAATCATGTCGTCTGCAAACAGGGACAATTTGACTTCCTCTTTTCCTAATTGAATACCCTTTATTTCCTTCTCCTGCCTGATTGCCCTGGCCAGAACTTCCAACACTATGTTGAATAGGAGCGGTGAGAGAGGGCATCCCTGTCTTGTGCCAGTTTTCAAAGGGAATGCTTCCAGTTTTTGCCCATTCAGTATGATATTGGCTGTGGGTTTGTCATAGATAGCTCTTATTATTTTGAAATACGTCCCATCAATACCTAATTTATTGAGAGTTTTTAGGATGAAGGGCTGTTGATTTTTGTCACAGGCTTTTTCTGCATCTATTGAGATAATCATGTGGTTTTTGTCTTTGGCTCTGTTTATATGCTGGATTACATTTATTGATTTGCGTATATTGAACCAGCCTTGCATCCCAGGGATGAAGCCCACTTGATCATGGTGGATAAGCTTTTTGATGTGCTGCTGGATTCGGTTTGCCAGTATTTTATTGAGGATTTTTGCATCAATGTTCATCAAGGATATTGGTCTAAAATTCTCTTTTTTGGTTGTGTCTCTGCCAGGCTTTGGTATCAGAATGATGCTGGCCTCATAAAATGAGTTAGGGAGGATTCCCTCTTTTTCTATTGATTGGAATAGTTTCAGAAGGAATGGTACCAGTTCCTCCTTGTACCTCTGGTAGAATTCGGCTGTGAATCCATCTGGTCCTGGACTCTTTTTGGTTGGTAAACTATTGATTATTGCCACAATTTCAGAGCCTGTTATTGGTCTATTCAGAGATTCAACTTCTTCCTGGTTTAGTCTTGGGAGAGTGTATGTGTCAAGGAATGTATCCATTTCTTCTAGATTTTCTAGTTTATTTGCGTAGAGGTGTTTGTAATATTCTCTGATGGTAGTTTGTATTTCTGTGGGATCGGTGGTGATATCCCCTTTATCATTTTTTATTGCGTCTATTTGATTCTTCTCTCTTTTTTTCTTTATTAGTCTTGCTAGCGGTCTATCAATTTTGTTGATCCTTTCAAAAAACCAGCTCCTGGATTCATTGATTTTTTGAAGGGTTTTTTCTGTCTCTATTTCCTTCAGTTCTGCTCTGATTTTAGTTATTTCTTGCCTTCTGCTAGCTTTTGAATGTGTTTGCTCTTGCTTTTCTAGTTCTTTTAATTGTGATTTTAGGGTGTCAATTTTGGATCTTTCCTGCTTTCTCTTGTAGGCATTTAGTGCTATAAATTTCCCTCTACACACTGCTTTGAATGCGTCCCAGAGATTCTGGTATGTGGTGTCTTTGTTCTCGTTGGTTTCAAAGAACATCTTTATTTCTGCCTTCATTTCGTTATGTACCCAGTAGTCATTCAGGAGGAGGTTGTTCAGTTTCCATGTAGTTGAGCGGCTTTGAGTGAGATTCTTAATCCTGAGTTCTAGTTTGATTGCACTGTGGTCTGAGAGATAGTTTGTTATAATTTCTGTTCTTTTACATTTGCTGAGGAGAGCTTTACTTCCAAGTATGTGGTCAATTTTGGAATAGGTGTGGTGTGGTGCTGAAAAAAATATATATTCTGTTGATTTGGGGTGGAGAGTTCTGTAGATGTCTATTAGGTCCGCTTGGTGCAGAGCTGAGTTCAATTCCTGGGTATCCTTGTTGACTTTCTGTCTGGTTGATCTGTCTAATGTTGACAGTGGGGTGTTAAAGTCTCCCATTATTAATTTGTGGGAGTCTAAGTCTCTTTGTAGGTCACTGAGGACTTGCTTTATGAATCTGGGTGCTCCTGTATTGGGTGCATAAATATTTAGGATAGTTAGCTCCTCTTGTTGAATTGATCCCTTTACCATTATGTAATGGCCTTCTTTGTCTCTTTTGATCTTTGTTGGTTTAAAGTCTGTTTTATCAGAGACTAGGATTGCAACCCCTGCCTTTTTTTGTTTTCCATTGGCTTGGTAGATCTTCCTCCATCCTTTTATTTTGAGCCTATGTGTGTCTCTGCACGTGAGATGGGTTTCCTGAATACAGCACACTGATGGGTCTTGACTCTTTATCCAACTTGCCAGTCTGTGTCTTTTAATTGCAGAATTTAGTCCATTTATATTTAAAGTTAATATTGTTATGTGTGAATTTGATCCTGTCATTATGATGTTAGCTGGTGATTTTGCTCATTAGTTGATGCAGTTTCTTCCTAGTCTCGATGGTCTTTACATTTTGGCATGATTTTGCAGCGGCTGGTACCAGTTGTTCCTTTCCATGTTTAGCGCTTCCTTCAGGAGCTCTTTTAGGGCAGGCCTGGTGGTGACAAAATCTCTCAGCATTTGCTTGTCTATAAAGTATTTTATTTCTCCTTCACTTATGAAGCTTAGTTTGGCTGGATATGAAATTCTGGGTTGAAAATTCTTTTCTTTAAGAATGTTGAATATTGGCCCCCACTCTCTTCTGGCTTGTAGGGTTTCTGCCGAGAGATCCGCTGTTAGTCTGATGGGCTTTCCTTTGAGGGTAACCCGACCTTTCTCTCTGGCTGCCCTTAACATTTTTTCCTTCATTTCAACTTTGGTGAATCTGACAATTATGTGTCTTGGAGTTGCTCTTCTCGAGGAGTATCTTTGTGGCGTTCTCTGTATTTCCTGAATCTGAACGTTGGCCTGCCTTGCTAGATTGGGGAAGTTCTCCTGGATAATATCCTGCAGAGTGTTTTCCAACTTGGTTCCATTCTCCACATCACTTTCAGGTACACCAATCAGACGTAGATTTGGTCTTTTCACATAGTCCCATATTTCTTGGAGGCTTTGCTCATTTCTTTTTATTCTTTTTTCTCTAAACTTCCCTTCTCGCTTCATTTCATTCATTTCATCTTCCATTGCTGATACCCTTTCTTCCAGTTGATCGCATCGGCTCCTGAGGCTTCTGCATTCTTCACGTAGTTCTCGAGCCTTGGTTTTCAGCTCCATCAGCTCCTTTAAGCACTTCTCTGTATTGGTTATTCTAGTTATACATTCTTCTAAATTTTTTTCAAAGTTTTCAACTTCTTTGCCTTTGGTTTGAATGTCCTCCCGTAGCTCAGAGTAATTTGATCGTCTGAAGCCTTCTTCTCTCAGCTCGTCAAAATCATTCTCCATCCAGCTTTGTTCTGTTGCTGGTGAGGAACTGCGTTCCTTTGGAGGAGGAGAGGCGCTCTGCGTTTTAGGGTTTCCAGTTTTTCTGTTCTGTTTTTTCCCCATCTTTGTGGTTTTATCTACTTTTGGTCTTTGATGATGGTGATGTACAGATGGGTTTTCGGTGTAGATGTCCTTTCTGGTTGTTAGTTTTCCTTCTAACAGACAGGACCCTCAGCTGCAGGTCTGTTGGAATACCCTGCCGTGTGAGGTGTCAGTGTGCCCCTGCTGGGGGGTGCCTCCCAGTTAGGCTGCTCGGGGGTCAGGGGTCAGGGACCCACTTGAGGAGGCAGTCTGCCCGTTCTCAGATCTCCAGCTGCGTGCTGGGAGAACCACTGCTCTCTTCAAAGCTGTCGGACAGGGACACTTAAGCCTGCAGAGGTTACTGCTGTCTTTTTGTTTGTCTGTGCCCTGCCCCCAGAGGTGGAGCCTACAGAGGCAGGCAGGCCTCCTTGAGCTGTGGTGGGCTCCACCCAGTTGGAGCTTCCCTGCTGCTTTGTTTACCTAAGCAAGCCTGGGCAATGGCGGGCGCCCCTCCCCCAGCCTGGTTGCTGCCTTGCAGTTTGATCTCAGACTGCTGTGCTAGCAATCAGCGAGATTCCGTGGGCGTAGGACCCTCTGAGCCAGGTGTGGGATATAGTCTCGTGGTGCGCCATTTCTTAAGCCGGTCTGAAAAGCGCAATATTCGGGTGGGAGTGACCCGATTTTCCAGGTGCGTCCATCACCCCTTTCTTTGACTCGGAAAGGGAACTCCCTGACCCCTTGCGCTTCCCAGGTGAGGCAATGCCTCGCCCTGCTTCGGCTCGCGCACGGTGCGCACACACACTGGCCTGCGCCCACTGTCTGGCACTCCCTAGTGAGATGAACCCGGTACCTCAGATGGAAATGCAGAAATCACCTGTCTTCTGCGTCGCTCACGCTGGGAGCTGTAGACCGGAGCTGTTCCTATTCGGCCATCTTGGCTCCTCCCTCTCTGGTACTTATTTCTATAACTTCTAAGGAAGTTTCCATTAAGACTGACCCAGCAATGAGACAGGTAACACTTCATTCCAGTTTCAAACATCAGCATCTTTGAATAAAAATGCAAACAATTGATAATGTAAGAAATTGAATATAAAGAAATAAAGAAGTGAAGTTTTAGTTTTAAAAAGGAAGAACAACTAAAGAAGACAGCAACGGAAAGGAGAGTCTACGGCTATACCACCCTGAATGCCCCAGATCCTGTCTGATCTCAGAAGTTAAGTAGGGTTGGGCCTGGTTAGTAGTTGGATGGGAAAGGAGAGTCTATACGCATCTGGGAGGGAAGGGTTAATTCAGGTGCTAATGATGCATTTACTCACAGATGTAAAGAGGGTTTGAAGTATGGGGAAGTTTTGGAAAAGATAATAGAATTAGGTCAAATGAGGAGTTTTTTTAAGTCATGGGGAAGTTCTATTCTTATAAAGAGTGGGGGAGAGGGGAGAGAGAGAGAAACACCACCACCATAGGATTGATAGGAACTAAAGTGGAAGAACAAACCAACAAGAAAGGGTACATTTTATGAATGCTGTATGTGTAATTTAAGAGAGTTAAACATGAAATCCTATTTAGCTTTATCACCTTGGTGAGTTTTAGGCATGGATCTACGTCATTCTGGATAAATTGCTACAAAATCCGAATCAGTCAAATTACTTCCCAAGCTGCTTACACCATTTCAAGTTTAATTTCTTGGTGACTAGGCAGGATGCTCATTTTTCTCTGATGATTCAAGCTGAGCATTTTTTACAAAATCTGGAGAAGTTTATGATGGAGATTTTTAAGCTCCCAGAATAGACCTGATTAAAAAATTATTTTAACTAAAGGAATGTATTACACCAACTCGCAGTCGAAACGTGGCTTGAATCCCACTCATTGGAGTAATGAATGATTCAAGAAGCCATTAGTATGCCTTTCCATGTTGTATGCTCACACTACTCTTCATCTTTCTCCTTCCCTCTATTCTGACAGTTTAATCTTTCACTTTCTCAGCAGGTTTTCTGATTGGCACTTCAGTAGGTTATACTCATGTTGCTGGTCTACCATCCATAGCCAATGCTTTGTTGATGGTACCAACTGGCTTGCATTTTTAGTGAAGATAACAGCATGGTTTTGGTGGTTCTTTTTCATTTCTTAAGCATTTTAAATCTTTTAAAAAAATGTTTTTGGAAGGAGACATTATTTCTTTCAGTAGTTGGCTTGGGCAAATCTGTAAAAGTTATGCTGTCAGGCAATATACCAAAGACAACTATTTGAAGAGGAAAATACATAAAGTACTGATATTTGTGCATTTAGCATATATAATAAAACTACCTTTAATATAAAAGAGATGGAATCCCTAGACTATCTTTTCCTCAGTTTATGCTTGAAAACATTGATATTTAATAACCCAGGGTAAAGGACAGGTAATCAGCAATTTTCTTGAACAGTAACTTACATTTGATATATATTCCTGTCCTCTTTACAAGCTTCATGCAGTCCTGTAATTTTATATCTCATTATGCTCACTGGCATCTAATAAAAAATGCCAGTGTATAAATCAACTATGAAATTAGCCTAATAAATTGTGTCACACTTTAGAGTTTTTGAAAATCATCATTAACCTCTTTGTAACTTATTGAAATAAAATGGAAATGTGCCTTTTTTCACTTTCCTGTATATGCATGCACACACACAAACACACACATAGCAAATTTGGTTAATTATTTGAGGAATTTACTATTACTAAGCCTTTATTTCACAAATAATTTAAAAGATTATTCAGATATCTGCTTCTGCCTGGGACATAGAAAACTGGAAAAAGTCCGTCACTCTCAACCAAACACAAGAACAAGCTAAATAAACTTAAAAATTATAACTTTTTTGTACACACCTGAGAGGTGAAGTTACAGGACAAGTTATCTGATGTCTAATAGAAAAGCAAGTCCTTGCAAGGGTATAAGGCTCCAAAAATAGTCTCAACTGTGCAGAGATGGGAGGATAGGATCTGGGGCACTGTACTGGCATGAGGGATCCAGTTAAACAGTGTACCAAATTGATAAAGGCTGAGTGTGGGCTACAGTGAGAGGATACCCCTGGGCTGCCAAACCACAGACAAATGGGGAATTTGCACTTACTCTCTGGCTCTTCTCCATGAAAATCCAATGGCTACTCACAAGAAATGCTGAAAGTGGGAAAATCATCCTCCTGTGGTGTAGACCTGAAAGAGGAGAAGCCAATACTGTGAAAAAGGCTTTAAAGAATTCCCATCCTTTGTGAAATTGAAGCCTTTAGCCTCCAAGAGAACAGCAGCAAGCCTTGTGGCCCCCAGGGCACAACTAACACAAAACCAAAATATGTTATCCTTGAGAGAGAAAAAAGGTAAATTGGACTTTGTCAAAATGAAAATTTTTTTGATCTAAAAAAGACACTGTTAGGAGAATGAAGTGGCGAACAATAGAAATAGTTTGTTAATGTGACAAACTGTGAAAATATTTGCAAATCAACTCTGATAAAAGACTTATAATCAGAATATATGAAGAACACTTAAAACTCAATATTCAGAAAATAAAACAATTGAAAATAGTCAAACAATTTGAACACATGTTTCATAGAAGATATATGTATGCCAAACATGAAATTTAAAAGATGCTCAACACTATTTATCATTAGAGAAATTCAAATTAAAATAGCTGTGAGATACCACTACACAGTTACTTACATACCAACAAGAACAACAACAACAATCTGACAATAGTGGGTGTTTCTAAGATGCAGAACAAAAAGAACTGTAATCCATTGCTTCTGGAAATGCAAAAATGGTATAGCCGTTTTGTGGCTATACAGTTTAGAAGGCAGAGAATTTTGTAGTTTTCTATAAAGATAGATTTTTACTTCCAGTTTCCAGTTTTATATGTAAGTAGCTGGGAAGTCACCACTTTGTCCTAAGGACAAGTAAAAAGCTAAACAGTTTGAAAAATCAACAGTTTTTCTTGGACCCCTAAGATAGAGGGAGGACATGGAGAAAAGCTTCCCCAACATTGGAGAGATAGATAGGCAAATACAGGGAGTCATGGCTTACCAGAGGCTCACAAGTGGGAAACCACTGCAGGAACCAGTGGTACGTAGAAAAACCTGAACTGTAATTGATGAATTGCTGGAAGCTCAGTGCCGACAACTCAAGAGTTAAAAACTCCAGCACACCCAGTCATGGGATGCTTCCATAATACTGTGAGATTTACCTTCAGGAGCTTGACCAGGTTCCAGCAGCAGGGGAAGAAAAGGAGCCATTTAAAAATACACCAGAGTGGGTCCGGCACTGTGGCTCATGTGTGTAATCCCAGCACTTTGGGCGGGTGAGGCAGGAGGATCACCTGAGTCACCTGAGGTCAGGAGTTCGAGACCAGCCTGATCAACGTGGAGAAACCTCATCTCTACTAAAAATAGAAAATTAGCCGGGAGTGGTGGCACATGCCTGTAATCCCAGCTACTCACGAGCCTGAGGCAGGAGAATCGCTTGAACCTGAGGGGCGGATGTTGTGGTGAGCCAAGATCGTGCTATTGCACTCCAGCCTGGGCAACAAGAGCTAAACTCCGTTTAATATATAATATATATATATATATTATACACACACACACACACACACACACACACACACACATATACATACACCAGAGCACTCTGTTCTTAACAAGGGCTGTCCTCAGGAGCAAGTAGTTAACCAGGGCGTAACTGGCTGAGGTATTATCAGAGTTTAGCTGATCTGGGAAACTGAAATGAAATACCCAACTCCAGGTAGCTTCCATGTGGGAAATATCCAACTCCAGCCCATCTTGCCATGCTGTTTCACCTAAATGGGAGAGAAAAAAAACTGAGAAACACTTGCAAAGTTCACAGTCCAGGGGCATAGTCTCACTAAAAGACTGAGACCTAATTATAGAATGCTTCCCCTTCCCTGATACCTTACCCCATCATATTACTAAAATCCTATTTTGAGTAATCCCTTTTACCCAGTATATCATGTAGGGCTATCAAAAAAGAATTACGTTGTATACCAAAAGGCAAAAAGCATAAGTTGAAGAGACAGAGCAATCAGAACCAGCTATGTCTGGGTGTTGGAATTATCAGACTGGGAACTTAACACAGCTATGATTGATAGATACGCCAAGGGCTCTAATGGATAAAGGAGACAGCATGCAAGAGTAGATGCACAATGTAAGCAGAGTAATAGAAATTCGAAGAAAAAATCAAGAATAAATACTAGAGATCAAAACACTAACAGAAATGAAGAATACCTTTGGCAGGCTTATTAATACACTGGACACAGCTGAGGAAAGATCTCTGAGCTTGAGAATATATCAATATAAACTTCAAAAACTGAGAAGTGAAGAGAACAAAGACTGGGAAAACCAGAACAGAATATTCAAGGACTGTGGTACAACTACAAAAGGTGTAACATGCTTATGAGAGAAAAGAGAAAAAGGAACAAAAGAAATAGGTGAAATGATAGTGACCGAGAATTTTTCCAAATTAATGCCAAACACAAAACCTCAGATCCAGGAAGTTCCAAGATCACCAAGCAGGATAAATGCCAGAAAATCTACACCTAGGCATATTATTTCAAACTACAGGAAATCAAAGAAAAAGAAAAGTTCTGAAAAAGCAGGGGGTGGTGGAACAGGTAAATACTTTACCTACACAGGAACAAAGATAAGAATTACACCTACGTCCTCCTCAGAAACAGAACCCAACTATACGTTCTTTACCAGAAACCCACTTTAAACATAGACACATATATATTAAAAATAAGTGGATAAAGAAAAATATACCATGCTAACACTTATCAAAAGACAGCAGAAGTAGCTGTGTTAATTTCAGGCAGCGAAGACTTCAAAACAGGGAAAGTTATAAAGAAGAGCATTACAAAACAGTAAAGGAGACAATCCTCCAAGAGACGTAACAAGTCTTAATGTGTATGCACCTAACAATACAGCATCAAACTATATGAGGCAAATGCTAATAGAACTGCATGGAGAAATAGATGAATTCACTGTTATTGTTGGAGACAATACCCTCTATCAGAAATGGACAGATTAAGCAGGCAGAAAATCAGTAAGGATATAGTTGAACTCTATAACACCATCAATCAACTAGATAAAATCAATATCCATAGACTACTCCATCTAACAACAGCAGAATACGCATTTTTTCTCAAGCTCACATAAAACGTTCCTCAGGATAGACCATATTCTGGGACATAAAACATACCTCCAAAAATTAAAAGTCAAGTCAAGTTAAGTTGAAAATAAAGAGATCATAGAATGTCTGTTCTCAGATCACAATGGAATTAAATTAGAAATCCATAACAGAGAGAAAAATACAAAATTTCAAAATACATGGAAATTAAATAACACTTCCAAATAACACTTAGTTCAAAGAACAAATCTAAAGAGAAATCAATAGCTATTTCAAACTAAATGTAAACGAAAACACTACATATCAAAATTTGTGGATTGCAGCAAAAGCAGTGTTTACAAGGAAATTGATAGCATTGAAACACAGAAATATTAGAAAAAGAAGAAAAGAGAAAAAATATCTAAAAGAGGAAATTAGAAAAGAGGAAATTACCTAAAACCTATAATATACATTAGAAAAGAGGGTATTAGAAAAGAAACATCTAAAGTCAATGATATAAATTTCTACCTTAGGGAACTAGAAAACAAGAGTAAATTAAATACAAAATAAGCAGAAAAAAGAATAGATATTAGAATAGAAATCAATAAAATTGAAAATAGAAAATAGACAAAAATCAACGAACCCCAAATTTGAGTATTTGAAAAAGATTAATAAAATTGGTAAGGGTTTAGCTAGAGAAACTAAGAAAAACAGATGACATAAATTACTAACATCAGAATCAGAAAGAGCCATCATAGATCCTATGGGTATTAAATGGATAATTAAGAAACACTATGAATGACTTTATGACCACAGATTTGATAACCTAGATGAAATATACCAATTCCTTGGAAGACACTATTTGCCAAACTCATACAAGAAGAAACAATCTTATCAGGCCTATGTCTATTAAAGAAATTGAATAAATAATTAATAACCTTCAAAAACAGCAGGAATCAGGCCCAGATGTGTTCATTGTCAAATTCTAGTAAACATTTAATAAAAAAATTATTTCCATTCTCTACAGTCACTTTCAAAAGTTAGAAACAAAGGGAATATTTCCTAACTCATTGTGTGAGGCCAGGATTATTGTAATATCAGGCAGAGACATGAGAAAACTTTAGACCCTTATTACTTCTTCATATAAATACAAAAATCATTCAAAATATTAGCAAATAGAATCCAACAGTTTATAAAAAGAATTATACACCATGACCAAGTGGGATTTATTCTAGGTATGCAAGGCTGGTTCAACATTCAAAAACTAATTAATATAATCTATCACATCAACAGGCTAAAAAAGAAAAAAAATGCATGATCATATCAATAGATGCATAGAAGCATTTGACCAAATTCAACACATTCATAATAACAACTCTCAGTAAACTATGAATAAAGGAGAATTTAATCAGCTTGATAAAGAATATCTAAAGGAAAAGTTATACTAATATCACAATGGTGAGAAATTTAAAATTTGAAGATCAGGAACAAGGCAAAAATGTCTCCACTCATTGCCTTTTATTTTTTATTTTTAAATTTTTGTTTAAAAATTATTTTTAGTTCAATAGTTTTGGGGGGTACAGAGAGTTTTTGGTTACATGGATGTATTCTTTGTTGGTGATTTCTGAAATTTTAATGCACCTGTCATCCAAGCAGTGTACCTTGTACCTGATATGTAGTCTTTTATCCCTCCTCTTCCCAACCTTCCCCCATCAGTCACCAAAGTTTATTATATCATTCTTATGCCTTTGCATCCTCATAGCTTAGCTCCCACTTATAAGTGAGAACATACAACATTTGATTTTCCATTTTTGAGTTACATCACTTAGAGTAATGGTCTCCAGCTTAATCTAAATTGTTGCAAAAGACATCATTTCATTCCTTCTCATGTCTAAGTAGTATTCTGTGGTCATCATCCCTTTTTAACATTATACTGGAAGTCTTAGTTAATACAATAAGATCAGAGATGGGAATAAAATGAATACAGAGTAGAAAGGAGTAAATAAAAATGTCTCTGCAGATGACATGATCATCTATGTAGAAAATCCAAAAGAACTGACATTTAAAAATTTTAGAACTAATAAGTGATTACAACAAGGTTCCAGGATACAATGTTAACATACAAGTCAACTGATTTCTTATATACCAGCAATAAACAAGTGGAATTTTAAACTGAAACCACAATTCCATTTACATCAGCACTCCCAAAACTGAAATTCTTAGGTATAAATTTAATACGATGCATACAAGATTTCTATGCAGAAAACCACAAAACTTTGACAAACAAAGAAGAAATAAATAAATGGGGGAGGTGTTCAATATACATGGATACAAGAGATACAAGATAATATTGTCAAGATGTCACTTCCCAACTTGATCTATAGATTCAATGGAATTCCAGTCAATAGCCCGGCAAATTCTTTTGTGGATCTGGCAAACTGACTCTAAAAATTTACATGGAGAGGCAGAAACCCAGAATAGTAAGCTGATTTCGAAAGAGAATAATGAAGTTGGAGGACTGACATTCACTACCCGACTTCAAGACTTACTATAAAGCTGCAGTAATCAAGACAGTGTGGTGAAAGACAAACAGAGCAATAAGTGAAATTAGTCAGACATGGAAAGGAAGTATTGCATTTGCTCACTTACATGTGGAATCTAACAAAAGCAAGTTAAATATACAGACATAAAGAACAAAATGTTAGTTACCAGGAGTGGTGGGGAGCAAATGGGGAGATGTTGGTTAGAGGATACAAAGTAGCAGATATGTGAGATGAACAAGTCTAGAGATCAAATGTACAACATGAGTTCTATAGAGGGCCATATTCAGTAATAAAATTGTACTGAATATGGGATGCATGCTTAATGAGTAGATTTTGATGCTCTTGTCACAAAAACAAAAATGAAAAGAAATGAGTAACTATGTGAGATGATGGATGTGTTAATTTGCTTAACTATAGTAATCTTTTTACTATCTATATGTATAATATGATATCATATGCCTTAAATATACACAATAAAATTTATGTACAAAAAAGCAATGTGACTTTTACATTGTTTTAAAATAACTTCCTACAAAAACTTATTCATCCAAGGGAAGAAAGGATGACTTTTTAGACAAGAAGCCTGGCAAACACTACCTTAATCAAGTGATCAAAGTGAACATTGTCAATAATCAGTAAGTTTAAATTCTGAGACTCCTGTTAGAATGCAAAGTAAAGACAACAACCTCAGTAGTGTATAAATGTTAATTTCCTTTTTTTCTGTTTTCACATTGGATTATGTAGATGATTGTCTTCATTGGTATGGAACATATACTAATGTACTTGGGGAAGAGGAGTATCATATGAAAAATTTACACTCAAATAGTTTAACAATTTTTGAAAAAATTTTACAAATTTTATGTTGCTTGAAATTATTTTAAAATAAATTCAAAAAATATGTTGACAGTCTTAACTGCAATTTACATTCCATGTCTTGTTATTCTTGCTTTAATAAACATATGGGTGCATTCTATCAGATCAATTAAATTAGTAATTTTGCTAGAAATTTTTCAGAGATTATAAAAAAATAAATTTTATGTACTGAATTGAGATTTAATGTGGTAAGTTCCCAGAAATCATGAGGCAATGTTACATTTATATTACATTCCAGGATAATTCAAATATTTTATAAAAACTGTGAATCTGTAAAAACAAAAATTATGACAAATTTTTCATATTAATATAATAAAGAACAAATTTAGTTTTAAATTAAAGAAAATCTTTAACTCTCCACTAAATATCAATAACGTGTTGATCTCCAACTTTTATTCAAATTTAATTGCTGAAGACTTGTCGCAAAATGGTAAGGCAAGCAAGACAGAAAGATTATCTAATTTATTTAAGACCCTAATTGAACTTTTTCTAAGTTATTACAAAACAGTCACTTAGAGACTGAAAATTATTTTACTTTCCTAGATTACATGATCTAGTTTCTTCTGAATTTTTTAGAGGATTCAGAAACTCATGTGCTTTAAACAATCAGGTTAGCCTAAAGGATGTCATATTTATATAGTTCAGCCATTAGATAAGGACTTACAGCAGTATTCGTTGAGTCTGTGGAAAAAATAACATACTTTGTCATGTTATTGCCTCTTTGAATCTGAAGATACCATTAAAATATTTGATGTAGCAGTTTACTAAATGGTGTCAAGTATTTAACCTGTAGAAAATGAGCTGTTTGAACTGTAGTCACCCATGGATCAGATTTCCGGTTTTGGACATTAGAAGATACTTGTTCAGGAGTGTGTGTCTGTGAGTGCTTGAGAAAGAGAGAAAGGAGGGAAAAATAGAAAGAGAGAGAAAAAGAAAATGAGTGAAATATGAAACTTTTATTTTCATTTATGATATTTATTTGGGATTAGTAGGGTTCTTTTTAAACAATCTAAGATCCTAGACTCATAATTTAAGCATGTAATATAAAATGGAATTATTGACATCTCAGAGCAATTTGTGAGTAAGGAACAACTTCAGGTGATATTCAGGTACCAATATGCAGGCTGAGGGACCTCAATAGGCCATTCTTGACCTGTTATGGACAACTTGATATGCAGAGCCACTTTGCTTTAGGTTTTAGAAGTTTCCTCACGCTGGTGGCATTCAGAGCCACAGAGTATGTGTTTCCCCAGTGGGCCATGAAAAGCCCTATCAGTTTTTGCATTTTGTTAAAAAGAAAATAAACTATACTAGAAATTGCATAGCCCTAGGAAGACCTGAAGTTTTTTATTTTTGAATAGATTTGATATGCATTCTAACACTTGATCCTAAGTGGTGCATAAAGGTTAGTATTGCAGTATCATACTCAATATCAAGAAAGTTCATAGCTTTCTTCTCATAAAGCTACTCTTTCTTGGACTTCTCATGAAGAAGTCCCATGATGAAATCTCACAATTTCTGTTAATGCCATGATTTTGGAACACTGTTAAGATACAGAATAATACAGGTTTCTTCTCCGAATGCTGAACTCCAAAAAAATGCATAAAATTTCAGAGTTCACCGAAATTCCAAATGATAGAATGAAATCTGAACTCTGGAAATCTGCAGTAGCATCACAAACAATTATTTAATTTTCAAAATACTTGAAAAAACTTGAAGTTTTTCTAATACTTTTCTTCTGTCAAGGAGAGCCAGTTGGAGGGAAGTTGACTATGATAGCAAAGTGTGTCATTCTCAGGACCCTGAGATCAGACATTACCTTAGGCTTTAATATAGCTACAATTAGTGTGAAATGCTGAGTTTCAAGGGGTCTAGGAGGGTTTGAATGGTGTAATATGAAGTATAACCCAAACTTCTTGAGTTGAGTATCATCATGACAATTTTAGCTATATTTGCATATTATCTATACTCCTGTTTACTTTTTTAGATTTTTTAAAACCATAGACTCACTTTATGTTTAAAAAGATTTATTTAAAAGTGAAACTTAGGCTGGGCGTAGTGGCTCACCCCTGTAATCCCAGCACTTTGGGAGGCCAAAGTGGGTGGATCACCTGAGGTCAGGAGTTCGAGACCAGCCTGACCAACATGGCAAAACCCCGTCTCTACTAAAAATACAAAAATTAGGCAGGTGTGGTGGCACCCACCTATAATCCCAGCTACTCAGGAGGCTGAGACAGGAGAATCAGTTGAACCCAGGAGGCAGAGGTTGCAGCAAGCCGAGATCATGTCACTGCACTCCAGCCTGGGTGACAGAGTGAGACTCTGTCTCAAAAACTAAATAAATAAAAGTGAAACTTTATAGCGCTATTGCATAATGTCTATCCATTGACAAAAAAAAATAGAAAATAACCATAATGTAAACTAGTAACAAAAGAGCTCATGTTTCCCACTGGAAAATAACTTTGTTTTTGCTGTCAGATAGGCCTGGATTAAATATTTGTATTTTATATGTACAATTCAAATATTTAATTGGTGACTCTGGGTAATCTTATCATCATAAACTCAGTTTTCTTACTTGTAAGATGGAGATAATTTCACCTAACTTTTAGTGTTGTTCTAAAAAAAAAGTATAATAAAATAATATGAGAAAGCCAAATAGCAATACTGGGACAAAGTAGGCAATCAGTAAATAGCGGCTCTTGTCATAATCATCCATGTGTTAAACTGTTTTCTGCAATTTTCTCATCTCCACCTGCTAAAATCTTACTTCAGTTCGAAATTTAAAAATTACTTCTTGCTCCAAGATTTGTTCTATTTTCCCTGCTGTAAACAAAATATTATTCTAATATTTTGAAATAATTAAAAACAAAAACATAAAAAGGAACAATTAAAAGTGCAAACTTTTTTTTTGTCTTTTATTGCATGATTTACCCCAGTTTTAAAAGAAACAAAGAATAATTAATCCAAATACTTGGTGACTATTTTTTTTTCAGAGAAGAGATGTTTTCAGGAAACTGGTTTTTTAATTAACAGAAGGAAGCTTTTACATTGTTACAATTTATTTTAAAGTTGTTATGACAACATATACACACAAATTGCACGAGAGAAAATTTTTAAAACAGACTCTATTGAGACTAAGGAGATTATAACTACAGGTCCTAATGACTATAATAAAAAAGCTCCTATAAAGAACAAAATTGTGTTTATGCATATTTTTCAGCTTTACTTGAAACAGAATACCAAGCACACTAAAATTTGCCATTGTAAGTACTTCTCCTTTTAATGACCTGAGTCATATTTTGTTTCTGTATAATTGGATATATTCCTACCGGGAGACCAGGCTATTAAACCAGAAGAGATCAGAGTATAGCCCAAACTAGAATAATGGCAAATGACAAATAAACATCTTCACTCACATCGTAATTTTTCCTAGTATTATTAACATATTTCAAATAAGTTTGTATAATTGGTAAGTAGGTATTTAAAGTAGCTTAAAAATGAACCCCAATGTTTATTACTTTTAATTTTTTTAAAAGAAGAATGTTTCCAGTTTTTTAACCATTCAAGCCTTGGCAAAGTTACAAGACAGTTAACAACTAAACATCTCCCAAGTAGGTTAAGTAAAAAATACATAGTATGAAACCAGTTCTTCTCCACACCTAAATTCAAGAGCAATAAATTAGCAGATATGCATAACCCCTATTCTCACCTGATAACATTTTATCTTATTTGATTTCAGTCTATGCTAAAGATAAAAATGTGAAGATTTTTTCCCTATGATTACAGCAGGCACTATTTGAACTCATAGGATGTACCTTTCTTTTAACACTGCATCATTTTTCAACTGCTGCTGTAAAAAATTAGCACACATTTAGTGATTCAAAACAGCACAAATTACTTGTGCTTCTATAAGCTAGAAATCCAACATGGGTCTCACTAGACTAAAATCAAGGTATCAGCAGAGCTGCTTTCGTTTTGGAGGTTCTGGGGGAAAACTTATTTTCTTGCCTTTTCCAGCTTCTAGAGGCAAACTGCATTCATAGCTTGTGTTCTCTTTCTGCATCTTGGAAGCTAGCAATGTCTCATCTCTCTGACCCAGACAGAGAATGTTCTCTGCTTTTAAGGACACAAGTGATTAGATTGGATTCACCTAGATAATCCAGGATAATCTCTCAAGGCCCGTACCATTAATCGTATCGGCAAAAGTGAATATGTAAGGTCACATATTCACAGTTGCTGGATATTAGGACTGCAACATCTTTGGGGGTCATTTTTCTGCCTTTCATACACTTTGAACCAAGAAAGACAGTATGCTTTTACTATGAGGAACACCTTTTGCTATTGTTTTGCCAAAAGTCTGTTTGCCAAGGGTCTGGGGAAAGCAATGAAAGGACACCTTTTCATTCTACCTTGTTAATAGTGAATCACTTAGAATGGTTCACATATTTTAAAAAGAAAAATTGAGAGAATGTAAATAATGAATGAAAAAATGTATGATCTTTGGAGCCATTATTTCCACAAGGTCAAGAAGCTACAGTGCTGTGATTTAAGCCCAGGCAGCCGGGTTGCAGAGGGTCTCAACTATTAACCACCATTCTATACAGTACTTTATGCAGTGGAGGAAATAATCCCCACCTGAATAAGTTAATATGAGACTTAAATAATCAAATGTTTATGAAAGACCCAGCACAGTACTTTAACCAAGGTCACTACTCAAGACTGCTAATTACCCTACCTATGCACACATCTATTTAATCTAAGGTAAAATAGAATAATAGCAAGATGCCAGAGAAAGGCATTTCTTGGGAAGGAGAGAAAACAAGAGAAGAAAAAAAGGCAGAAAAAGAGGGAGAAGAGGGACATTGCTTTCTTCATTTGGCAAGGGACCATAAAGGGTAATAGTTAAAAGCAGAGACTTTCTAGAGCAAGATCTGAACATTGTGTGCATTCAATATAAATATCAGTTTGAATCTTGTATTCAATGTTTCTCAAAATTTTTGCATGTTTATCTTCTCTAAGCACACAGTTCCTTGAGTAAATGGTTATCCATCTCTTTGGGGAAGGATTGGGGAAAATTACTACACTATATATTTTAAAATGGTTTGGTTAGCTTCCTCCTGAGGAACTGGTCTTTTCTTCAAAAAATGGGTCTAAGTCTATGTATTAGTCTGTTTTCACACTGCTGATAAAGACATACCCGAGACTGGCAAGAAAAAGAAGTTTAATTGGACTTACAGTTCCTCATGGCTGGGGAGGCCTTAGAATCATGGTGGGAGGCAAAAGGCACTTCTTACATGGCGGAAGCAAGAGAAAATGAGGAAGAAGCAAAAGCAGAAACCCCTGATAAACCCATCAGATCTCATGAGACTCATTCACTACCGTGAAAATAGCACAGGGAAGACTGGCCCCCATGAATCAATTACATCCACCTGGGGTCCCTGCCACAACACTTGGGAATTCTGGGAGATACAATTCAAGTTGAGATTTGGGAAGGGACACAGCCAAACCATATCAGTCTAAAAACTGTGTGATGAAAACTGGGCAATATCTTTTTACTGGGAAAACTGTTTTTGGCCTTGTGATCATCAACCTTTGACTTCTTTTTGTGGTGCAAATAGATTTATACCCTTGTTGTCTCCCAATTTTGGAGGGACAATTGATTACATTAATTGTCTTCAGGTTAGTTTCTTTGCCTCATTATCCACTCCTGACTTTGCCATTTTGTAGAATAAGTCCCCCTGCTTTCTGAAGGCTTAGCGGGACCACGTGTTCTCTCTTGTTTTAGGATTCTGTCATCCTCATTGAGTACATTTGTATTGAACTCTCCAACTCTGAGCCCTAGTCTATGGGAGAAAGTCATGCAACTGCATGAGAGGCACCTATGAATTCTCTCTATATTGCAACTTTTTTGAAAATTTGAAATTATTCAAAAATAAAATAAAGGTTATTAAAAATGAAATGCTAATCACTATTATGTAATTGATACGATTTTATATACATTATTCAAAGTAACACTTTTAATACACATTGTAATTGTCTTGTATGTAATACAATCTAGTAGAATTGCATTTTTTTCTAACATAATTATGAGTATCATTAATTATAGTTGCTATAGGCATTATGATGTAATATTGAGAAACAAGTCTAAAATTGTATAATCAATTCAATCTTGTCAATGGCTGTATCATTAAGAATCTGCTAAACTAAGTAGCTAGGTCAATTGGATTATAAAAGATGTCACTTCACTTTTTTGATTACAACTGAGTAGAAGGCATTCCAGGATAGGCTGGGTGCAGTGGTTCATGCCTGTAATCCCAGCAGTTTCAAAGGCCAAGGAGGGTGGATCACTTCAGGCTAAGAGTTTGAGACCAGCCTGGTCAACAGGGCAAAATCCTGTCTTTACTAAAAATACAAAAAAGATTGGCTGAGCATGGTAGCGCGCCTATAATCTCAGCTACAGGCTGAGGCATGAGAATAGCTTGAACCTGGGAGGTGGAGGTTACAGTGAGCCGAGATCACACCACTGCACTCCAGCTTGGGTGACAGAGTGAGACTCTTGTCTCAAAAAAAAAAAAAAAAAAGAAAGAAAGAAAAGAAGAAAAGGGCATTCCAGTGTACTTTTTACTGATCCACCATGAAAAAAGGCAAAAAGGCATTGGCACCACCAGTGATGACAAAAATGACAACTTTCCAACAATAATGCCACATTAATATGGAATCAGAAGTAGCAGTGTAGCAATTAGGGAAAGGGAGAGAAAGAACATTAATTGTTTCTGACAGCCTTATCTCTGTGTTTGAAATTCTCCAGATTGTGGAGAAAACAAATTTCCAATTAAGTGACTCATACACTGCAATTACATTCAATAATGTTTCTAAGTTTATTTCTGCATAAGCTGTCGGTTATTGGTACAGAAAACAAAAAACAGTTGATAACAGGTAAGGCAGAAGATGAAGTCAAACTCCATTTTATCTGGAGAAGAAAAATTTATTGGTATGCTTATTCTTACTAAAAATTATAGTTCACTCCCAGGTACTACCTTCTATCAAGGTTAAAATGTAAGAAAGGTGAAATATGATAAGGGTAAAAAAAAAAAAAAGAAGGACTGACAGTACAAACTAGCAGAAAGCAGAGAGAGGGGAGATTTTTAAAAATACATATAATCATCTCTAGTGTTGCATTTTAATTTGCTCATCATGCATTTTCTTCTCTCTTTTGAATAATGGACCTCCTCTGGAACCCGAGGCTGCAGTGAGCCTTGATTGTGCCAGTGCACTCTAGCCTGGGTGGCAGAGTGAGACCCTGTCTCCAAAAATATTAGATAATATAAAATTAACCATAAATTATATAATAGCAAAATTAATAAATATTTCAAACCTCATTACTTCTTAATCATTTTATTATATTTTATTATGATCTGTGCTCTTTAAGTTATTGATATCTATTAAATTTATATGGTGGAAATGCCATGTAATAGCACAATATTGCTTATCTGTTCCCCAATTCTCACTCAGGGAAGTCATGTTACTAGCTTAAACTTGGTCATGGTGGGAACATTCATTTCATGGAAACTAACAAATGCTACGAATCAGAGCACTCTTCTCCACCGTGAATTGCTGGTTGGTAAACAATTTCCAACACAGCACTGCATGTAACTTTACATAAAGCCATCTTTCCTTCAAGATGAAAAACCATTTTTCCTTTGTCACCAACACTAAAGTAAGAGAGTGTAATCCTTCCTAGGAATATGTACAGATGGATCTCCTGCCTTGCCGGGGATCCCAGGGCCAGAATATGTGAAACTCCTGGTTCTCTGTGTGACCCTAAGCAGCTGCTCTGCAGAGACTCCACTCAGATCTGTGTATCAGACCCATAGCCCTGTTGGCGTGGCCTCACTAGGGGATCTCCTGATCCACGGGTTGCAAAGATCCATGGAAGAAGCGCGGTTTCCCCAGTGGGGCCGCACAATCACTCACGGCTTTCCTTGGCTGGTTGCACCCTGCTGCTCCACCCCCTCCACCTCCTGCTGCTTCTATTCATTCTCTGTGGGTCAAGTTGTTTACCTGGTCAGTCCCAGTGTGAGAACCTGGATATTTCAGTTGAAAGTGCTGAATTCAATTTCAGAGCCGGTTATCGGTCTATTGAGAGATTCAACTTCTTCCTGGTTTAGTCTTGGGAGGGTGTATGTGTCCAGGAATTTATCCATTTCTTCTAGATTTTGTAGTTTATTTGCGTAGAGGTGTTTATAGTATTCTCTGATGGTAGTTTGTATTTCTGTGGGATCGGTGGTGATATCCCCTTTATCAGCTTTTATTGCATCTCTTTGATTCTTCTCTCTTTTCTTCTTTATTAGTCTTGCTAGTGGTCTATCTATTTTGTTGATCTTTTCAAAAAACCAGCTCCTGGATTCATTGATTTTTTGAAGGGTTTTTTGTGTCTCTATCTCCTTCAGTTCTGCTCTGATCTTAGTTATTTCTTGCCTTCTGCTAGCTTTTGAATGTGTTTGCTGTTGCTTCTCTAGTTCTTTTAATTTTGATGTTAGGGTGTCAATTTTAGATCTTTCCTGCTTTCTCTTGTGGGCATTTACTGCTATAAATTTCCGTCTACACACTGCTTTGAATGTGTCCCAGAGATTCTGGTATGTTGTGTGTTTATTCTTGTTGGTTTCAAAGAACATCTTTATTTCTGCCTTCATTTCGTTATGTACCCAGTAGTCATTCAGGAGCAGGTTGTTCAGTTTCCATGTAGTTGAGTGGTTTTGAGTGAGTTTCTTAATCCTGAGTTCTAGTTTGATTGCACTGTGGTCTGAGAGACAGTTTGTTATAATTTCTGTTCTTTTACATTTGCTGAGGAGTGCTTTACTTCCAACTATGTGGTCAATTTTGGAATAGGTGTGGTGTGGTGCTGAGAAGAATGTATATTCTGTTGATTTGGGGTGGAGAGTTCTGTAGATGTCTATTAGGTCTGCTTGGTGCAGAGCTGAGTTCAATTCCTGGATATCCTTTTTAACTTTCTGTCTCATTCATCTGTCTGATGTTGACAGTGGGGTGTTAAAGTCTCTCATTATTATTGTGTGGGAGTCTAAGTCTCTTTGTAGGTCTCTAAGGACTTGCTTTATGAATCTGGGTGCTCTTGTATTAGGTGCATATATATTTAGGATAGTTAGCTCTTCTTGTTGAATTGATCCCTTTACCATTATTTAATGGCCTTCTTTGTCTCTTTTGATCTTTGTTGCTCTGAAATTGAGGCAATAATTAATAGCTTACCAACCAAAAAAAGTCCAGGACGAGACGATTCACAGCTGAATTCTACCAGAAGTACAAGGAAGAGCTGGTACCATTCCTTCTGAAACTATTCCAATCAATAGAAAAAGAGGGAATCCTCCCTAACTCATTTTATGAGGCCAGCATCATCCTGATACCAAAGCCTGGCAGAGACACAACAAAAAAAGAGAATTTTAAACCAACATCCCTGATGAACATCGATGCAAAAATCCTCAATAAAATACTGGCAAACTGAATCCAGCAGCACATCAAAAAGCTTATCCACCATGATCAAGTGGGCTTCATCCCTGGGATGTAAGGCTGGTTTAACATACGCAAATCAATAAATGTAATCCAGCATATAAACAGAGCCAAAGACAAAAACCACATGATTATCTCAATAGATGCAGAAAAGGCCTGTGACAAAAATCAACAGCCCTTCATCCTAAAAACTCTCAATAAATTAGGTATTGATGGGATGTATCTCAAACTAATAAGATCTATTTATGACAAACCCACAACCAATGTCATACTGAATGGGCAAAAACTGGAAGCATTCCCTTTGAAAACCAGCACAAGACAGGGATGCCTTCTCTCACCACTCCTATTCAACATAGTGTTGGAAGTTCTGGCCAGGGCAATCAGGCAGGAGAAAGAAAGAAAGGGTATTCAATTAGGAAAAGAGGAAGTCAAATTGTCCCTGTTTGCAGATGACATGATTGTATATCTAGAAAAGCCCATTGTCTCAGCCCAAAATCTCCTTCAGCTGATAAGCAACTTCAGCAAAGTCTCAGGATACAAAATCAATGTGCAAAAATCACAAGCATTCTTATACACCAATAACAGACACACAGAGAGCCAAATCATGAGTGAACTCCCATTCACAATTGCTTCAAAGAGAATAAAATACCTAGGAATCCAAATTACAAGGGATGTGAAGGATCTCTTGAAGGAGAACTACAAACCACTGCTCAAGGAAATAAAAGAGGACACAAAGAAATGGAAGAACATTCCATGCTCATGAGTAGGAAGAATGAATATCATGAAAATGGCCATACTGCCTAAGGTAATTTATAGATTCAGTGCCATCCCCATCAAGCTACCAAAGACTTTCTTCACAGAATTGGAAAAAACTACTTTAAAGTTCATATGGAACCTAAAAAGAGCCCACATTGCCAAGTCAATCCTAAGCCAAAAGAACAAAGCTGGAGGCATCATGCTACCTGACTTCAAACTATACTACAAGGCTACAGTAACCAAAACAGCATGGTACTGGTACCAAAACAGAGATACAGACCAATGGAACAGAACAGAGCCCTCAGAAATAATACCACACATCTGCAACTATCTGATCTTTGACAAAACTGACAAAAACAAGAAATGGGGAAAGGATTCCCTATTTAACAAATGGTGCTGGGAGCACTGGCTAGCCATATGTAGAAAGCTGAAACTGGATCCCTTCCTTACACCTTATACAAAAATTAATTCAAGATGGATTAAAGACTTAAATGTTAGACCTAAAACCATAAAAACCCTAGAAGAAAACCTAGGCAATACCATTGAGGACATAGGCATGGGCAAGGACGTCATGTCTAAAACACCAAAAGGAACAGCAGCAAAAGCCAAAATTGACAAATGGGATCTAATTAAACTAAAGAGCTTCTACACAGCAAAAGAAACTACCATCAGAGTGAACAGGCAACCTACAGAATGGGAGAAAATTTTTGCAATGTACTCATCTGACAAAGGGCTAATATCCGGAATCCACAAAGAACTCAAACAAATTTACAAGAAAAAAAACAAACAACCCCATGACAAAGTGGGCCAGGGATACGAAGAGACACTTTTAAAAAGAAGACATTTATGCAGCCAACACACACATGAAAAAATGCTCTTCACTGGCCATCAGAGAAATGCAATCAAAACCACAATGAGATATCATCTCACATCAGTTAGAATGGCAGGCATTCAAAAGTCAGGAAACAACAGGTGCTGGAGAGGATGTGGAGAAACAGGAACACTTTTACACTGTTGGTGGGACTGTAAACTAGTTCAGCCATTGTGGAAGACAGTGTGGCGATTCCTTAGGGATCTAGAACTAGAAATACCACTTGACCCAGCCATCCCATTACTGGGTATATACCCAAAGAAATTTAAATCATGCTGCTCTAAAGACACATGCACATGTATGTTTATTGCAGCACTATTCACAATAGCAAAGACTTGGAACCAACCCAAATGTCCAACAATGATAGACTGGATTAAGAAAATGTGGCACATATACATCATGGAATACTATGCAGCCATAAAAAAGGATGAGTTCATGTCCTTTCTAGGGACATGGATGAAGCTGGAAACCATCATTCTCAGCAAACTATCACAAGGACCAAAAACCAAACACCGCATGTTCTCACTCATAGGTGGGAATTGAACAATGAGAACACTTGGACACAGGAAGGGGAACATCACACACTGGGGCCTGTTGTGGTGGGGGGTGGGGGAAGGGATAGCATTAGGAGATATACCTAATGTAAATGACGAGTTAATGGGCGCAGCACACCAACATGGCACATGTGTACATATGTAACAAACCTGCACGTTGTGTACATATACCCTAGAACTTAAAGTATACTAAGAAATATGTATATAAAAATAAAGGGATATATATGTATATGTACACACATATATGAATATATACATACATATATCATATTTTATATTGACTAATATGTTTATAATTCCTGATATTTTTCTTGTTACCATCTAATATCATCTCCTTTCATCCTGAAAAACTTTCTCTAGTGTTTATTTCAATGCAGGTGTGCTAGCAGTGAATTCTCAGTCTATATCTATATTTAAAAAAAAAAAGAAAGTGCTGAATTCACTTGCCCGTTTTCATTCCCCTTCATGAGTGCCACGGACCATAGCTGCTTCTAATCGGCCATCTTGGATCATGCGAACAGTACTGTGTTCAGCATCATTTAGTATTATTTGCTAGTTTTCTTCATTTTCTGAGGCTTCCTGCTGCAGAGATTTGGAAGTAAAGAGCAGCTTTTATTTAAATAATTCTTGAATTCTTAGTTGATTAATAAGGTCCTTTTGTATTCACTATTTTTTATTGAATTTTAGGTAGTACAGCATATGCATACCTAACTGGATATGGATATGCAATTAGGAAAATGTATCATTTAAATGTGAGGTGCTTTTAATTTTCTGTGCAAACTTTCATGATCCTAAAATATAGACATAAACAAAGAGCTAAAATTGAAAAAGCAAAAGAAACTCCATAGTGTTTTCTCTGCAAGTTCTTTGGAATTTCCAGTAACCTTTATATTTGACTATCACATCAGCAGGTTGGATTAAAGCAGACTGTAATTTCATTTTAAAAGTATAAGCTGTTATTTAAAAAAATAGTTTAAAAATTGTGCCATTCTTTTTTTATAAGGACATTCATTTATTTTGCAATTCATTTTATAAGGACATTCAAATGTCATTGATTTTCCTATCACCAAGGGTTTGTCTTTGCTAGTTCTTATATTAATGGCCAGGTTTCTAAAACAGACTAATAAGATAATAGCTAGTAAAGCAAAACAAAGCCAAAAATGAATCAATCAACCAAAAAATAAAGACAGAATGCTTGGTGTCTTGGAAGGTAATTTGTATATTCTGCAAAGTGAAGAGTTGATGTCAAATCTTGCATCATTAAATGACTTTTCTCGGGAATTATCTTGACACAATTTTGAAGCATTTTTTTCCATTAGCTAACCAATTTCCACCTAAGTGATAAAATCAAGTTCAACTTGATAGTTATAGCGACAAAGATTATGCTGTCAAATCAGATGGACCTATGTGAAGGCATTGTTTTTTTAGACAAATATAGAAAATTAAGTGCTAAAGAGAAGCACAAAAATAAAACTCTAACATTATAAAATAAGCTTTAAAGATAACTTGTCTCACTTCTTTCTTTAAAATGGAGTTTACAGTGGTTGACTCAATCTATTCTAGAAAATACTATAAAACAAAATTTATTTTCTCATTGACTTAAAAATTTCATTTTGGTCATATTGAATGCCTGAGAGACATTTATCTTCTATATTGTTTTATGTTCTTGTTGTTAATATTATTTGTTTTTACCTTCCAATCTTGTAAGGTTCTATTCTGACAGCCTTTCGTTTTCTGTGATTCTTTTGTTATGTCTAAATCATTTTGTGAAGCCAGTTATGGGTAATGGAACAGATCTGTATCCTTGGATTGTTTCAACAGACTTGGTTTGCCTCTGGCTTATAACTTCCTGTGGCAATTTGTAGCTCCAGCTCTGACTCTGGAATAGATGCCCATATCTACTAAGAAGATGAATAAGCTTTTTGCCCTAGAAAATTTGACAACCTGTTTGTAAGGTATATAAGCCATAGTTTTTATACATTATGAAGTCTTCAGATTAAAGTGTAATGATTTATTGAAGTTGAATTTCTCAATGACAAAGTAGATGACTTTGTTGTATTCCTTAAATGTGGCATTGATTGTAGTATAATAGTAGATTTGTAATATGAGTTCCTAGTTGATAACAATTCATTACTCTCAGTCTAAGAAGTGAATGCTACACAGGTAATGTGAACTCAGAGCTCATTAAAAACTAGGAATTCAAGTTAAAACTCAGGGGCTTGACAACACATCAATGTAGAAAATCACATTGATAAATAACATGCCTTTGTGAGATGGTAACTATTAGATTGGTGCAAAAGTAATTGCGGTTTTTGCCATTAAAAAGTAATGGTTAAAACTGTAATTTTATTTTTGCACCAACCTAATGCTATCAAGAAGGCAAACGAAAACAGAAACAAAAAACACCACAGTAAAATATTAAGTCCCCTGTCTGGGTGGTATGGATATAATATTTGTGCCCCCCCTAAAATTTATATGTTGACGTCCAATCCCCAAAGTAATGCTTTTTGGAGGTGGAGACTTTGGGAAATAATTAGGTCTTGAAGGTAGGACCATCATGCATGGGATAAATGTCCCTAAAAAGAGAAGTGGAGACACAGGATATCAGGATCTTTCTTTGGCTCATGCCACGTGAGGATACAATGAGAAGACAGCCATCGGGGGACTAGGGGAAGAGCAAAATGGCACAATAGAAGACTCCACCGATGGTCTGCCCCTCAAGGACACAATTTAACAACTATCTACACACAAAAAACCACCTTCATAAGAACCAAAAATCAGTTATCACTCACAGTACCTGGTTTTAACTTCATATCACTGAAAGAGGCACTAAAGAGGTAGCAAAAAAGCTGTGAATCACCAAGTCCACCCCTCCCCAACCCACTGGCAGTGAGGGCCTGGTGCAGGCCCTGGGGAAAGAGAAAGCACATTGATGGTGAGGTATTAAACTCAGTGCTGCCCTTTTATAACAGAAAGTAAAACTGGACCACACTCAGCTGACACCTGCCTACAAAGGGAGCATTTAAGCCAGCCCTAGCCAGAGGGAACTCATCTATCCCAGCGGCTGGAACTTGACTATCCACAAGCCTCGCTGCTGTGGACTAAAGGGCTCTGGGGATCAAAATGAACTTGAAATACAGTCCAGGCCACAAAGACGGCAACTCCTAGGTGAGTTCTAGTGCTAAACTGGGTGAGAGACTGAACTGGGGCACTAAGTGACCCACTGAGACAACAGCAGGGTGGCTAAGGGAGTGCTGGCATCACCCCTCCCCTAACTCCAGGCTGCAAAGGTCAGGGCTCTAAAAGAGATCCCTTCCTTCTGCTTGAGGGGTGGGGAAGGAAGAATGGGGAGGACTTGTCTTGCGTCTTGGATACAAGCTTAGCTACAGCAGGATACGGTACTGGTCAGTGTTGTGAGGCTACCTTTCCAGGACCTAGCTCCTGGAAAACATTTCTAGACACAGCCTGGGCCACAAAGGAATCCGCTATCTTGAAGGGAAGGCCTGAATCCTGACAGCATTCATTGTCTAATGAGCTAACTGAGGAGCCCACAGGCCCTGAATGACCAGCAGCAATATTCAGATACTACATTGAGAGCTTTAGGTGAGACACTGAGGCTTGCTGGCTTCTGTCGAGACTTAGCACATCACCAGCTGTGATTGCTATGTGATGAGTCTCCTTCTGCTTGAGAAAAGTGGAGGGGAAAGTAAAGGGGATTTTGTCTTACACCTTATGTACCAGCACAGCCACAGGTGGGTAGAGCACTAAGTGGGCTCTTGGGGTCCCTGATTCTAGAACGTGCCTCTTGGATGGCATTTCTGGACCTACCCTGGGCCAGAGGGGAGCCCATTGCTCTCAAGGGTGAGCCCCAAGTCAGGCAGTATTCACCACAAGCTGAATGAAGGACACTTCGACCTTAAGGGAACACCAGGAGTAGTCTGGCAGTACTCTCACTGGGCCTGTGGTGGTGGCCACAGGGTGAGGCTCTTCTGCCTTTGTAAAGAGGAGAGAATAGTGGGACATACTGTATCTCGTGGTTTGAGTGCCCAGGTCAGCTGCAGAACAGTGGAACACTAAGTAGATTTTCAAAGTTTTGACTCTAGTCCCTGGCTCCTGGATGGCATTTCAGGGTCTCCCTGAGGCTTAAGGAGACTTGCTTCCCAATAGATAAGAACACCAGCTGGCTGGCTTTGCCATCTGCTGGTTGTAGAGCCCCAGGGCTTTCAGTGAACATAGGCAGTAGCCTGGGAGTGGTTACAGCAGGTCTTGTGTGAGACCCAGTGCTGTGCTGCCTTCAGGTCTGACCCAGCACAGTACTGGTGGTGGCCACAGTAATACTTGTGTCATCCCACCCTTAGCTTTAGATGGTCAGAACAGAGAATGAGAGATTCCAGTTGTTTGACAGAACATAAAGAAAGAGAAAAGAGTCTCTGCCTGACAACCTAGAGAATTCTGGACCTTGCCCAAGACCTTCAAGTCAGTATCTCTATGAATCTGCAATAACCATAGTGTTACTGGGTTTGAGGAGCTCTGTAAAGCA
This sequence comes from Homo sapiens, assembly GCF_000001405.40. NCBI lineage: Eukaryota > Metazoa > Chordata > Mammalia > Primates > Hominidae > Homo > Homo sapiens. Next base: position 102,106,500 of record NC_000005.10, on the reverse strand, counting down.
GATCCAGCTAAGATCACAACATACATGTCCTTTCAAATATCTGGAAAGCCTTCCCCAGAAGGACAGGTACAAACAAGCCCAGAGTGCAAAAACTAAAATAAATACCTAACTCTTTAATGCTCAGAGACAGATGAACTGAGACTTACTGGCTTCAGCAAGTATCAAACCATCCAGGAAAACGTGACCTCACCAAATATACTGAATGAACTAAGGCATCAGGGACCAATCTTGGAGAAACAGAGAGATATGTGACCTGCCAGACAGCGAATTCCAGTAGCTCTGTTGAGGAAACTCAAAGTAATTCAAGATAACACAGGGAAGGAATTCAGAATTCTATCAGATAAATTCATTAAAGAGATTGAAATAAAAAGAATCAAGTAGAAATTCTGGAGCTGAAAAATGCAATTGACATACTGAAGAATGCATCAGTTTTGAATAGCAGAGTTCATCAAGCAGAAGAAAGAATCAGTGAGCTTGAAGACAAGCTAGTTGAATATGTTCAGTCAGAGGAGACAAAAGAAAAAAAGAATAAAAAACAATAAAACATGCCTCCAGGATCTAGAAAGTAGCCTCAAAAGGGCAAATCTAAGATCTGGCCTTAAAGAAGAGGTAGAGAGAGAGATAGGGACAGAAAGTTTATTCAAAGGGATAAAAACAAAGATTTCCTTAACCCTAGGGAAAGATATTAATATCCAAGTACAAGAAGGGTATAGAACACAAAGAAGTAAACTACCTCAAGGTATTAATAATCAAACCTCCAAAGGTCAAGGATAAAGAAAGGATCCTAAAAGGAGCAAGAGAAAAGAAACAAACAATATACAATGAAGCTCCAATATGTCTGCTTTTCAGTGGAAACGTTACAGGCTAAGAGAGAGAGGAAAGACATGTTTAAAGTGATGATGGAAAATAACTCTTACCCTAGAATAGTATATCTCTTGGAAATGTCCTTCAAGCATGAGGGGGAAATGCACACTTCCCTTGAGAAACAAAAGATGAGGGTTTTCATTAACAGCAGACCTGTCCTACAAGAAATGTTAAAACGAGTACTTCATTCAGAAAGAAAAGAATATTAATGAGCAATAAAGAAGCATTTGAAGGTACAGAACTCACTAGTAATAGTACATACGTGAAAAACACAGAATATTATAATACTGTGACTGTGGTGTGGACTTTTATGTAGAAAGACTAAACAATGAAGCAATTCATGCGTAGACTGGCTGGAGGGATTGAAAAACAAGACTCAGTAATTTGTTGCCTACAGAAAACACACTGCCTATGAAGACTCGCATACACTGAATATAATAGGGTGGAAAGAGAAACCAAAAAAAGGGCAGGAGTCACTATACTTTTATTAGACAAAATAGATTTCAAGACAAAATAGATTTCAAGAAGAGACAAAGAAGGTCACCATATAATGATACAGAGGTCAATTTAGCAAGAGAATATGATAATTTTAAATATATACGCACCCAGCATTGGAGCACCCAAATATATAAAGCAAGTATTATTAGAGCTAAAGAGAGAGACCTCAATTCAGTAATAACTTGAGACTGCAGCACGTCACTTTCAGCATCGGACAGATCTTCCAGACAGAAAATCAACAAAGAAACATCAGACTTAAATTGCACTGTAGACCAAGTGGACCTAATAGATATTTACAGAACTTTTCATCCAATGGCTGCAGAATACATATTCTTTTCCTCAGCACATTGATTGTTCTCAAGAATAGACCATATATTAGGCCACAAACAAGTCATAAGTCATTAAAAAAAATTGAAACAATATCAAGCATTTTCTCTGGCTATGATGCAATAAACCTAGGAATCAAGAACAATAGGAATTTTGGAAACAGTGCAAATACATGCAAATTAAACAACATGCTTCTAAATGAGTTACTGAAGAAATTAAGAAGAAAATTAATTTTTTTTAAACAAATGACAATGGAAACACAACATACCAAAACGTGTGGGATATAGCACAGACAGTACTAAGAGGAAGTTTACAGCTATAAGTGCATACATCAAAAAAGAAGAAAAGCTTCAAATAAACAAGCTCCAACTTAACAATGCATCCTAAAAAACTAGAAAAGTAAAAGCAAATCAAACCCAAATTAGTAGAAGAAAAGAACAGAGCAGAAATACATGAAATTGAAATGAAGAAAACAATATAGAAGATCAGTGAAACAAAAAGTTTGTTTTTTGAACAATTAAACAAAATTGAGAAGACAGCCATTGACAAATCAGGAAGTGAGTCATCAGCCATTTGACAGCCAATCTCCTGGTGTCCTGATTTTGGACTTCTCAGTCTTCAGAATTGTGAAAAACTAATGTTTGTTGTTTAAGCCATTTAGTCTATGGCCCAAACGGACTAAGAAATTGGGACTTGAGGTCCTTATACACATTCTCTAGGTCCACCTGGAATCTCAGAGGCCCTGAAACACTTACTTAAGAAGCTGTGCTTTTACTATTGAATCAGCAGTATGATCTTAGCCTTGGTAACAGTAGTGTAGTAAAGACCAGAGTCTTGTTCTAATATATACACCTTGGCTGGCATAACTATAGAATAGAATAATTCTTCTTGCCTCCCCTTTTTTGTTTCCTCTCTGCACCTTACGGCTATTTCTGATAAAAATAACCATACGGTGCAGAGAGGCTGCATGCTGGAAGGGATAGTAAGGAGCTGAAGATTCCACAATTTTATAGTTTTGAGCTCATCAAGAAGTTCTTCCTTGTTTTCCTTTGTGAGGGGTTTTACCTGCAATTCTCTAATCCAAGAAATGTAGGAAATAGTTATTACAATTTTAAAGGGAATAAGAATGAGGAAATAAACTTTGTAAGCAGGATTAATTGTAGGATTTTCAATGTAATATAATATATTATCATAGCAAAAGCAGAGGATTAAGGATCAAGAGACTTTAACTGTAGTCCCACTCTGCCATTGACCAGCAAAGTGACTCTATGGACCTGATTTATTCATCAGTACAATGGGGGATTTAAAATATTCTTTCTTTGCAGTCACACATTGTGTGATTCTACCATGGCTCTCACCACTCTTGTTAAATAAAGCATTCAATCCTGAGCTAAACTCTGAATCCTTAGTACTGCACTTGCTTTAAAATATATTTAGCTACTTCTTTAAAAAATGAGAAATAGCATGTGCATACCATTCTGAAGCCACTGGGTTTTATATCAACTTGTTCTTGACAGTTTTATACTTAAAAGACAACATATATCAAGCGGATGGTCCTCTCTGTAACTCTTGACATATTTTACATCATCATACCAATGCATTTTCAGCTGCTTATGCCAATGCTACAGTGGTAGTGAAGGTCTTAAAGTGTCCTTGGTTGACTTAAGCAAAATGGAGTTTTCTGTGCTTCTATAGCACTTTGTATTAAAAAGTATATATCTTATAGTGAGTCTTGTGGGTAGATGACTGCAGTCAGTGATAGAAGAAATGTATCTTTCTGCAGGACACAGGAATCAGTACTCAAATTGTGTATGTATGAGTACCCTTGAAAACTCTAAAGGGCACTGTGTTTTCCAGTGACAGTGGAGATTAATGCTCAATATTGCATTTGAGTAGCACCAATTTATTAAAATACAGTGTAGAAAAATTAGGTAGCCTAGCTGAATCCTAAATTAAGACACTTGGTGAAGTCTAGGTGTTTTCCAAGCTTTAGTCTGAATTAAGCCTTGTTGATGCCAATAACTGTTATGTTTTTTCTATATTGATGCTGTTTCTTCCAAAGCAATTGCTATGCTTTGTAAGAATCGTTAGTCAAATATAGATTTTTTTGATTTATTTCTAAAGAATAATTTATGATCTTGTTAAAGAAGGATTTATTGTTCTTCAAGTAACAACCTGAAGTTCATATTTTCCCCAATAAATCTAAAAAGTCATGGATTAAAACATAGCTGCAAATGCAACAACTTGGACAAATCTCAAAAACATTATGCTGAACAAAAAAGTCCCTCCATTTCCATACCAACCGATGGCGATAAAGTTAAGAAAGTATTTTATTTTGGAAAGGCAGGGAGAATGGAAGCAAGGACCATCAATTTCTTCAAGAGGTGTATAAGGGGTACTTTCTAGGGTGATGGCAGTGACTTATATCTTATTTTGTGCAGTCGTTATACAGGTATAATACAAGTGTCAAAATTCATTGACCTAAACACTTACGATCTATGAATTTTATTGCATGGAAATTGTACTTCAGTAAAAAAGATCTGAAAAAGAATATTCTGAAACGTTGATAGTTGTATACAAAAATAATTATTAAAACTTGCAAGTAAAAAGCAATGGGGCTGTACCTTTCAGAATGCAGCTTCAAGAACTCTTTGAACCTTCTCCCCAGTGAAGCAACCAAACAAGTAATAATTACATTTAACTACCCAATCATTTGAAGTTCATGGAAATTGTCCTGAAGGCACATGGCAAGTGTAAAAAATACTTATTAAAATAAATTTACTAAATCACTGCAGTGAGAGCCTGTGGCATTTAGGCCACAGCCCACTCTCTCCCCATCCCCAGCTAAGCATAAAAGAAGCCACACTCAAAGTGTATGCAACTTAGAAGAATGGGCTCTTTCTTCCCCCAGATCCCAGTTTAGACTATAGTCTTAGCTTGAGATGAGCAGACCATTAGCATTTCTCACTTCCACTCAGTTACATGTTTTAGAATCTGTTCTACACCAGAAAAGTTGAGATGTCTGGGGCTTTCTTCTTCCATTTATTTCTAAATTGCAGGGTGGACATTCTACCCTAGGCACAGCAGGCCAAGAATACTGAGCCCCAATCATTTGTGCCTTAACTTACTCATAGGGTAGAGATTTTACTCTAAGAGAGGCAAGCCTACAATAACAGAGGGTACTGACCCCACCCTGTACCCCACTTGTAAAGCATGTCTGAGAGAAGTAAGTCTTTGTTCCCATCTACTGCATCAGAGCAGCAGTGCAGGTTTTGCTCAGAGGGAGAAGCAGGCCTTAAGAACAGAGTTCCATAGCTCTCCTCAGGAGAATTGCCTTTATTTGGAACAGAGTGTGAGGAAGTCTAAATCCAAGGGCACTGTTGAAAATCATAGGGATTTTGGTGGTAAATATTTAAGTAAAAGTTGATAGGTTCATTAGAAAAACAAGCTAAACTATACACAAGCTAGAGGTTTAAACAAAGAGTGCCAGAAAAAGAGAAAGCTAAGAGGAACCCTGCTCCAGTTAGAACAAGCCCCAAAGATTAATCAGAAAAATTACTCCTGCGGGATCCAGAATTTAATTGGATCAGACTTAGAAGTAACTTATGCTGCAAGGCATTTTTGAGAACAATATGTCAATTGTCTGGTAATTAGTGGAGGTAATTAACTGAGTATGTTACCAACACAGGAAGACAAATTAAAAGAAGAGAGATGGCTCAAGAGAGTCCACCAAAAGTCACTGTCATAAAAGAGTGCCAGGATCTAAATGTTTGTGTCTTCCTCAAATTCATATGCTGAAACCTAATCCCCACTGCAGTAATAGTAAAAGGTGGGGCCTTTAGGAGGTGATTAGGTCATAAGGGGAGAACCCTTATGAATGGGATTACTGGCCTTGTAAAAGAGGCCCAAGCAAACCTTTTGCCACTTCTGTCATGTAAGCAGATGGTGAGAAGTCACCGTTTTTAAGAAAATGGACATTCATCAGATACCAAATCTGCCTGAATCTTGATCATGGACTTCTTAGCCTCCAGAACCATGAGAAGTAAATGTTTGCTATTTATGTTGTTTTGTTGTAACATCCTGATGAACTAAGACACAGGTGCATACCTTCAAGACTGGAATGGAATCAGAAATTACGCATTATGGGGGAAATAGACTTGACTTAAATAGTTCAGACAAGTTGCTAAACAAATAACCAATCAAACAATAGTGGGAACATGGAGGGGAGAAGGATATGAACATCCAGAGTTGCTACAACATGTTATCTCAAATATCCAGTTTTTAACAAAAAATTTATGGGGCATGACATGAAAAAAGGAAAATGTGACACATACACAAGACAAAAAAGCAGGCCACAGAAACTCCCAATAAAGGTATTCAGGTATCATATTTAACAAAGACTTCAAGGAAGTAGTTTTAAATATGTTCAAAAAATGAAAGTAAGTCATGTTTCAAAAGGTAAAGAAAGGTACATTAGTAGTACTAATGTAATTTCCACTAACAGCCACCTGCATCAGCAATGAAATCTCCCATATCTACCATCCTTCAGTTTATTCATGTGACCTTATTTCTCCTGGATGCCAGCCAAGAGCTCGGGTGCCATGAGTGGGGATGCAAAGGGCTGTCACACTGACCCTTTGCCCTTGCTGGCGGAAGGCAGCCACCTCACATGAAAAGGCAGAGGGTCCACTGATCTGTTAATATTTAAGCTGTCTGCAGATGGTAGAGCTAAAAGAGCAGTGTTATGCTCCCTCTGTGGCCTCTGGGGTCATGGGCATCCCCTCAGATGCTGCTGGGAGGCCGGAACAAAATTGGCTCCTGCGGGCGCCCAAAAATGCTTTTCCTGCATCTGTTCACCTGTGTGCCCCTCCCATGAGGGGTGAAGAACAGCAATTCTGAGTGAGTTGAGCTTGCCTCTGCCAGCACAGAAGCAACCAGCTGGTTCCAGCGTTTGTGCACTCCAGTTCCCACCTCGTTCCCACATGTGACCCCTGCCTGCGAGGAGCTGAGAGCTATGGGCTACGTGAGGCACCCTTGTTGCAAGTCCCGTGAAAGTCCAGGGAAATATCCTGGCTCATTAGTGTTTCCGAGAATGGTGGAAGAGATGAAGTTTATGAGAAGTCCTTCACCTGATACTCATTCTATCATATAAAGTCATCGCTAGCCACTTATCTACTTATGCCATCAAATTGTTTAATATTGCATAAGGGACATATGCCTGATAATGGCTTAGAAGTTGGAAATATTATTTTTTGTTTTAAAAATTAATCCCATCATTTTTGTTTGAAAATTACCTAAATATTTGTTGCAGGAAGTCAGGGACCCCGAATAGAGGGACCGGCTGGAGCCGTGGCAGAGGAACATAAATTTTGAAGATTTCATTTTAATATGGACGTTTATCAGTTCCCAAATAATACTCTTATAATTTCTTATGCCTGTCTTACTTTAATCTCTTAGTCCTGTTATCTTCATAAGCTGAGGATATACGTCACCTCAGGACTACTATGATACCTGTGTTAACTGTACAGATTGATTGTAAAATGTGTGTTTTAGCAATATGAAATCAGTGCACCTTGAAAAAGAACAGAATAATAGCAATTTTCAGGGAACAAGGGAAGACAACCATAAGGTCTGACTGCCTGCAGGGTCAGGCAAAATAGAGCCATATTTTTCTTCTTGCAGAGAGCCTATAAATGGACGTGCAAGTAGAGAAGTTATCGCTAAATTCTTTTCCTAGCAAGAGATATTAATAATTAATACCCTGGGGAAGGAATGCATTCCTGGGAGTGTCTGTCTTATTCAGTTGAAATAAGGACTGAAATAACGCCCTGGTCTCCTGCAGTACCCTCAGGCTTATTAGGGTGGGGAAAAAACCCCACCCTGGTAAATTTGAGGTCAGACCAGTTTTCTGCTCTCGAACCCTGTTTTCTTTTGTTCAAGATGTTTATCAAGACAATACGTGCACAGCTGAACAGACCCTTATCAGTAGTTTTGAATTTGCCATTGTCCTGTTTCCTCAGAAGCATGTGATCTTTGTTCTCCTTTTTGCCCTTTGAAGCATGTGATCTTGTGACCTACTCCCTGTTTTTGCACCCCCTCCCTTTTTGAAATCCTTAATAAAACTTGCTGGTTTTGGGCATCACAGTCCTACTGATATGTGATGTCACCCCTGGAGGCCCAGCTGTAAAATTCCTCTCTTTGTACTCTTTCTCTTTATTTCTCAGCCAGCCGACACTTATGGAAAATAGAACCTATGTTGAAATATTGGGGTGGGTTCCCCCAGTAAATATTATCCAAGGTAGTAGAGTTTTAAAAGGCATTAGAAAGGCATCAATGTATACACACTGCAAAAAAGAAGAAAAGATATTATCACTGCCAAAGTACCACTGATATTAGTACCTGGCTTGTCCTCTGTGAAGTAGATGATGACATCCTTCCAAGGTTCTGTCAGCTTCAGAAATGCCAGCAAGCCTGATATCATTACTGACATTACTGCTATGCAAAACATTGATGATTTTCACAACTTCCACTGTGTTAGATTGTTAGTGTGATATAACTTGTTCAGGAATACCGTGTTGCTGTGTATTACATGACAAATGATAGTCACGTAATTTGGAGACCAGATTCTGAAGTTACCTGAAGTACTCCTTCTGATGTGATTTCTGAAGTAGGACTATCATAATTTTTTTTTCTTGGTTTCCGTAATCTTGAGTTAAGCTGCTTTGTGTTTCTACCACAATTTCAGAGAAAACCGAGAGAGCTGTATTCTATTTGGTGTAGCTCTAAAACTAAAGTTGTGAAGAGAAATTACCTATCTGTGCAAACTGCTTCATGACAGGAACTCTACATAATGGGGAAAAGTTTCTTGTCTTAAATCTCAGTAAAAAGTAGTACTCACAGACCCAAATCCAAATGCTCACACATACTAAAAATATAGTTTTGTTGAACTGATGTCATTAAAAGACCCCCGAAATAATTTGTGTAGCTCCCAGTGAAACATTCCTGGTTTTTAAGTAGCCGATGTTAATCAAAATCTCTTTGCATTTTTATGCTCATTATTGGAAGCGTTCCACACTTGGGCATGATTTAAATTTCCATAAAAGTGCAATGAATCTGGAGTTGGCATTAAAATGTTATTAAGGTGACAAGTTATGATCAGTGCCTCCTTAGATGAGGTTGGTGATAGGGGTATCCCATTTATTAATCTTAGCAGAGGGCTTGCTTGGCTGTTCATTAATCATTTCCCTTTTATTAAGATGTCTTTTAAGACATAACAGGGCAAAAAAAAAATGTTGTTCCTTAATTCTTTGCCTGAATATCTCAGTCTTGGTGAGCTCAGAGTGACTCCGATTTGCTATATAGACTTGCTCTGCTGTTTTGTCTTTTACCTGCCCTCCAATTATTCTATAATGGCATTTCTTCTCATCTTAGGAATTGTCAAACAGTTGATAGTCATAATGATTCTAACGTCCCAGGTTCAGGGTTGTGAAGTATGCTTAGTGTAGAGATCTGAAATTGAAGGAGCCCTGGGTGAAAATTTTTTAAAGCATATTCTCAGGAGCTTGTTCAGTTATTGGAAAATTACTTGACATCTTATGCCTCTATAAAAATCATGAACATAAGCTCTCAGCACACCATATCAATAAAAATAAATACATATAGAATAGAAATAAAATCTGTCTTCTGAGTTTTCTGCTTCTTTCTGTAAATATTTATCCATTTGTTTGCCATTTGCTTGCAATAATTAATAAGAAAGTGGTAGTGGCTTCCAATGATTTAAGAACAATATAGAGAAATTAAAAGTTAATAATATATTTTAAAATTGACATTGACAATAGTGTCTTCTTTTTTCTTTAAAGGATAGTAAAATATCACCATCCTTTTGTGTTAGTCATGGGTTACCTCAGTTCAGGTGCCATAGTTCGAGCATCAAAACTCTAAGGAACTATATGACTACGTGCAACATGTTGCAGGGGATAAAAGGCAGCTTAGATTTAGAAATGGAAGAAAATAAAGGCGAAAGGCACCTTAAGCACTTCAGTCAGTTTTAGAGGTGTGTAGAAATAATCAAATTATAAATTAAGACTTACGTTTTGCCAACACTATGATAAAATACATAACAAATAAATAATAATAAATAGAAAACAAAGCACAGCTGAAAACATCTATCATGGAGTATTTGTGTACAGATAAATAACACAAGAAGAAAAATGTTTAAGTAAAAAAACAAAACACATGATACATACTTAAACATGTTTAAATGGAAAGACTATTGGAATCTAGTACCTACTGATGTGCTTGATATAAAATATGCACTCTACCTCACAAAGTTAAACATGGAATTACCATATGACACAGCAAATCTACTTCTAGGTATATATTCAAAAGAAATAAAAGCAGGGACTCAAACAGGTATGTGTATGCCAAAGTTAATTGCAGCATTATTTATAATAGGTGGAAACAATCCAAGTGAATGGATAAACACAATGTGGTACGTACACGTGATGAAATGTTACTAGCCATAAAAAGGAATAAATTGCTGACACATGCTGCAACATGGATAAACCTTGAAAGCACTGAGTAATAAGCCAGACACAAAATGACAAAGATTGTGTGATTTCATTTATATGAAATATCCAGAATAGGCAAAGTCATAGAGAGAGAAAGTAGGTATACTAGAGGTGGCCAGGGTCTGAGGATAGGAGCAATGTAAAGTCATTGCTTAATGCACAGAGTTTCTGTCTGGGGTAATGAAAAGTTTTGGAAATAGATGTGTCAGTGGTTGCACAACATTGTGAATGTTATTAAAGCCACTGAATTGCACACTTAAAATAGCTAAAATGGAATGTACGGTTACATATGATACTTTAAAATATAGGTATTTCAATTAATTTTAATGGGTCAGAATATAAGAAAAAGGTATCATTCATAGGTCTTACCATATCATGATGAAATATATTGGTATAGTGCCTTTCTTTTAGAAAATACAATGTATTTTTAGATATAGTTTATTAACCTCCATACAAACTATAATTTCATGATTTAAACTTCAGTACTCTAAGGAAGTTCAGCTACCCTGCTGCAGAGAGAGATCACATGGAAGGGCCTGGGGCAGGGTGGGAAGGAGGAGAGTAAAGAGAAACCATGTGGAGGAGGGAAAGAGTATACAGAGATTGAGGAAGAGAGAGATGGTGGCTGGGGGAGAGAGAGAGAAAGTAAGAATGAATGTGTAGGAAAACTGAGTTGGCCTCAGACAATGGGAAATGACCTCAATAAATCCACAAAATCATGAAAATATAATATCATTGTTTTTACCTGTAAAGGTTTGCTGTGATTTATTACATAGGAAACAGATTTTTGAAACTGATACATTCACTCCTTTATTCATCCAATAAATATCTGTTGAGTATCTACTCTATAGAGCCTATCTGTAGTATCTATAGTTCTAATTCTCATCCCTTTGCACCAGGACTTCTGGTTATTTCATACTTTTTTCCTTACCCTTCTTTATGAATTTATGTCACATTATCTTTTGATTCAAGATCCTTGGCTACAAACTTCTAAATTTTAAATTGAAGTGTCTGATCCTTTGAGTTGCAGCTTCTCTGAACTTTTAAGAGGTAAGACGTTGTAAATTCATTGTTACTAGATTCTGTGTATTTACATTGTAACTTATTCATTATTTAACTTTTCCTTTTTAGCATCGAGCACATTTTTTCCAGAAATATATCGAAAGTAGTTTTCTTCTTTCCTCCTTCTTGCCCCCTTAAGGAGGTGAGACACAGAGATGCAAATATACAAGTGTTCTTAAAAGAAAATCATGAGAATACTAATCCATGTTAATAAGCCAAATCACCTTAGTTTTCTGTTCAATGCTATATCTATTTTTATTTATTTATTTATTGTGATATACTCTGGTATTTTTATTAGTGGAAGCATTGAGGAAGTTGATCATGGACCTAAAAAAACTGTTTAGGGTAAATGTGTATGCATATGTATGTGCACACAAACACACCAAAGCAGACATGAAAAATCTTGGAGAAAAAACAGTATTAGTCTCATAAATACATTTTTGAATTATGGAGTTGATAGTCAGTTTACTTTTATAGTTCTGTTGAGTGAAGTATGTTATGATTTATAGTTCACTAGAGTCTTCCAAAAATGATATATACTTAATAAAATTTCTTTTGAAAGTATTTGCATTTTGTGGTACACACAAATTATTCATATGTATTTGTATATGATAAACAATTTTTGCCAGGAAATATCTTAAAGTAAAGAATGTTCATAGTTAGAAAATCTTTTTGGGGTATTACTAAAAGCAGAGCCTTTTCCTGCTGACATTTCATTAAATCTTCAGTGTGAGATACACATTTTTTCAATATGTAATGATAATTATCATTTATCATTACATATTACAAAAGAAACGCCAGTGCTGAATTGGAGTTTCTTTTGAATTGTCTTAAAAATCTTCAACACTTCAGGTAGTGTTGGATTCTTCCCCCGACCATAAACACCCTTATTCTGTCTGGAATACAATAAGAAGTCTCATTGCTTATGTGAGACTGAAGAGGGTAAGCCTTGACATTCAAAATAATCACAACCAATACTTCTTATCTTACTTCTAAAATGGTTTCAAAATTAAATCCTTACATAAGTTATAACCAGTTATAAACTTTCTAATTTGTTCAAGGTCTATATTCTCAAGCACATCATGAAAAAAAAGACAGCATTTTCTCAGGACTGTAGCAGGGATAGGATGAGGAAACCATGCATTTATGTTCAACAACAGTTTATCAAAAACTTGTTCTAATCTAAACACTATGGTTAGTATCAAAGATACAAAAATAAAATGATATGTGAGAAATACCAGTTAGGTATTAAAAATAAGTTAATAAGTTATAAGGGAGATAAAGTTATATAGATTACTAGAAGATGGGGATACTGCTTTTTTCAAAGAGAACTTGAGATTGAAGTTAATAATGCTGGAGTCAGGCATTTCTGTCAACTTTCTAGACTAAAATACTTGAAGCAATAATTTTATTTACATATCATATAGAGCTCAATTTACTTTTAATTAGTTTCTAATTCAATGCATTTTCCCATATATTATACTGAGTTATCTTCCAGACACCAGGGAGTTCTGGAAGTTACAAAGATGAAGAGGTCATAGTCTACTCATCCTTTGCAATTACTGGTGATTTACATATGACTTTTCTGATATGGTTAGGCTGTGTCCCCATTCAAATATCAAATTGAATTGTGTCTCCCAGAATTCCCATGTGTGGTGGGAGGGACCCAGGGAGAGGTAATTGAATTATGGGGTCCAGTCTTTCCTGTGCTATTCTCATGATAGTGAATAAGTCTCATGAGATCTGATGCATTTATCAGGGGTTTTTGCTTCTTCCTCATTTTTCTCTTGCCACCACCATGGAAGAAGTGCCTTTCTCCTCCTGCCATGATTCTGAGGCCTCCCCAGCCATGTGGAACTGTAAGTCCAGTTAAATCTCTTTTTCTTCCCAGCCTTGGGTATGTCTTTATCAGCAGTGTGAAAATGGACTAATACAGTAAATTGCTACCAGTAGAGTAGGGCGTTGCTGAAAATATACCTGCAAATGTGGAGGTGACTTTGGAACTGGGTAACAGGCAGAGGTTGGAACAGTTTGGAGACAGGAAAATGTGGGAAAGTTTGGAAATTCGTAGAGATTTGTTGAATGGCTTTGACAAAAATGCTGATAGTAATATGAACAATAAAGTCCAGGCTGAGGTGGTCTCAGATGGAGATGAGGAACTTGTTGGGAACTGGAGCAAAGGTGACTGTTGTTATGTTTTAGCAAAGAGACTGGCAGCATTTTGCCCCTGCCCTAGAGATTTGTGGAACTTTGAACTTGAGAGAGATGATGTAGGGTATCTAGCAGAAGAAATTCAGCAAAGCATTCAAGAGGTGACTTGAGTGCTGTTAAAAGCATTCCATTTTAAAAGGGGAACAGAGCATAAATGTTCAGAAAATTTGCAGCCTGATGATGCAGTAGAAAAGGAAAACCAATTTTTTGAGGAGAAATTCAAGCTGGCTGCAGAAAGTTGCATATATAGTGAGGAGCCTAATGTTAACCCCAAAATCAGGGGGAAAATGTCTCCAGCCTATGTCAGAGACCTTCATGGCAGCCCCTCCCATCACAAGCCCAGAGACGCAGGAGAACAAGGGGTTTCACGGGCCAGGCCCAGGGTCCCCATCCTGTGTGCAGCCTAGCGACTTGGTGCCCTGTGTCCCAGCTGCTCCAACCATGGCTGAAAGGGGCTAACATAGAGCTTGGGCTATGGCTTCAAAGGGTGGAAGCTCCAAGCCTTGGCAGCTTCCACATGGTGTTGAGCCTGTGGGTGCACAGAAGTCACCACAGAAGTTTGGGAACCTCTGCCTAGATTTCAGAAGATGTATGGAAATGCCTGGAGGTCCAGGCAAAAGTTTGTTGCAGAGGTGGGGCTCTCATAATAGTGATAGTGAGTAAGTCTCATGTGATCTGACGGGTTTATCATGGGTTTCCGCTTTTGTTTCTTCCACATTTTTCTCTTGCCACCACCATGTAAGAAGTGCCTTTCATCTCCTGCCATGATTCTGAGGCCTCCCCAGCCATGTGGAACGATAAGTCCAATTAAACCTCTTTTTCTTCCCATTCTCTTTATCAGCAGCATGAAAATGAACTAATACATTTCTATGTATTTTCATTTATCATTTATTAAAAACCTCAAAATTGATAATAAAATGATAAAAATACTTTATAACAAAATTTTCCTGTCATAATTGTTATTCATCACTTCAGTTTTCTCTTGTAACCAGGTAGTCAATTTGACATACCCTGGTTGCAATCAACAGGAAGGAAAACCTATGATTTTATCCCTAAGTATCTTAGAATACTACAGAATATCTTTCTTCACTATCTCTTCTTCAACACCAATTCACAAACAAAGAACATCATGTGAAAAACAAACAAATAAACAAAAAGCAAATAAAATAACACTGTAAGTAGGATATATTAGCTCCCTTGCAGGAGATCTTCTTTCCACCGTGAGTCAGAAGCTCCAGGAAATTGTTGACTGTCTTTTTTTTCCCTTGAAATTTATGTGTCCACCATCTTATATATATAAAAGTCTTCTACTGACTTAATCTAATCAGATTGTAGATGAAGAGATGGGAATCCCATTTCTACATTTCTTTAAGAAACAACCCAAAATCTCAAATTAAAAAAAATGAATTATTATATTTCTTTACTTTTTCACTTAGCTCCTGTTAAATTTCTTACATAAATAATACATGGGCTGAGAACAGGTAGTCTCTCTGATAGCTATTTAATTAACTTACTTAACTGTGACACTGAGGGCTCTCATACAGTTTTTTTCTCCCAAATTGTTGATGCCTTTAAATGATTACCCAGGATTGTGGAATGAGATTCACAACAACAATCTTTTTTATGAACATGGCACAACTTTTTTGTATGAGTAAATTAAAGACAGTATTTAAAATCCTAAAACTCATTGGATGTATGGTCGATTCAGGGATATGGAGATCTCTACACATGAGAAGTTTGCCAGCCAGCTATAAAGGAATTGGTACCAGATAAGTCCCATTACAATAGACAACCACAAAACAAAAAAATATATATCTTGAACAACTATTTTGGGGTGTTGACAATAGGAACTCCTGAGGGTTCCTCTCTGCCTGAGGACAGATGGTCCTGGTGAGCTGAAGGAATAGAGTTTTGGGAAATTTGCATCAGTAGGACTCTCTGGGGGCAGGGCACCAGAGATCAAAGAGATGTGTGTTGGGGGTATGCATATAGACCACTGGGGGGAGCCCTATGCAAGTCCATACTTGTACACTGGGCAGCACAAATAGAGGGCCAGACTGCACAAGGATTGTCTGAGAGCAGTTGCTACAGAGTTGAGAATGGACAAGAATTTCCTGAGGTTGTGCAGTACTATGGGACATTGTAATTGTGGTACAGTCTGAGTGGAGAGATGATCTATTCAGCTAGGTATACAGTTGAGAAACAAGAAAAGCCATGACTTAGGCATTAAGATTGCTTCCTAGAGTAATGTCTAAACTAGATTTTTCTTTAGAAAGCATAAACCTAAACTGTGTAAACAGCCATAGTGTAGTCAGAATTTGGAACTTGAGTCCCATGAAATAAACGGTATTGAAAGATATCTTGAGCTTGCTACAGATCTGCTCTAATAGAACATAAACCAACACTACACAAACCTATAGAAACTCCACCAGCAATTATGCTGCCTATTATGACAAAAATACAGTATATTCAGAGGAAGACAAAGGTATCCAGAGTCTTTAGCATACATAATTCATGATGTTCATTATATAATAAAAGTTGACAGATATTCCAAGAAACAAAAATGGGATGAACATGTGAGCAGAAAAACAGTTAAAAACAGACTCTGAGATGCCCAGATTTTGAAATTAGCTAAAAAACTTTAACACAACTATTATAAATATGTTCAGTGAGTAAGAAAAAAATGGCCATAGAGTGAATAGATGGAGCCTCAGGGTAGCAATGAAAATTATAACAAAAAGTCTAAAAGGAAAATGTAACTAAAACACTGAGAGTCGATAGAGAGGTGATGCAGATATTGACGCTGCAGAAAAAGGAAGCTGGTAACCCTGCAGGAGTAGGAGAACAGGAATAGTTCTGCAGCTTAACAGCTCCTAAAGAAGAAAGCACTGCTGGAATGCCCTGAAATACAAAAAAGCCCCATGGCTGAGTAAGAGCCTAACTGCTGCTCATTGCTCTTAGGCATATCTACTGATCACAGCCCAAATTACAACATCAAAAATATTCTTTCAATATACACTGCTGGTGAAATCCAGGGCAAGAATCTAACCATGAATAAATATCTTGTACAGAGACACAGCCCTCTGAAAGCATCCAAAAATGAAGCCAACAGATTATACCCAACTTAAATCAGTTAAGCCCTCAAGGGAAATAAAGAGCATAAAATCACAAAGCCCCATACAAATGACAGCAAATCCAGGAACAAGATGACAGAATAGAAGGCTCCACTAACTGTACCCCCAACACGGGCACCAATTGAACAACTATTTACACAGAAAAATTCCTTATTAAGTACCAAACATCAGGTGAGCATTCCCAGTACCTTGTTTTAACTCTGTATCACTTAAAGAGGCACAAAGAGATAGAGCAGCAAACAGTCTTGAATCACTGATGCCATCCCTCTCCTACCCCCCAGCAGTGGCAGCATGGTGCAGAGAGCATCTCTGGGCATTGGGGGAGGGAGAGCACAGCAATTGTGAGGCATTGAACTCAGTGCTGCCCTTTTATTGCAGAAAGAAAAACCAGACCAAACTCAGCTGACACCCACCTATGGAAGGAGCATTTAAGCCAGCTCTGGCCAGAAAAAAAATTGCCAATTCCAGTGGTTGGAACTTGAGTTCCTGTAAGCCATGTCACTGTGGGCTAAGTTGCTCTGGGGCTCAAAATAAATTTGAAAGACAGCTTAAGCCACAAGGACCCAACACCGGAGCACCCAGATATATAAAGCAAATATTCTTAGAGTCAAAGAGAGAGATAGTCTCCAATACAATAATAGCTGGATACTTCAACACCCCACTTTTGGCAATGAAAGAATATTCCAAATAGAAAATCAACAAATAAACGCTGGGATTAATATGCACTATACTATGGCTGTATTACTATCAGAGAAAGTATATTAAGATATTTGATAAAGTATCACATTTCATAACGATAAAAGGAACAATTTCTTAGGAAGATATAAAGATTCTAAAATAATAACTTCAGGAACTATAAATCAAAAACTGATGGAGCTAAGGGGGAAATCAAATAGGAAGTAACATATACTCCAATAAAGTTTGTTTTTCAAGAGAACTATATTAGAACCATGATTGCAAATATTGTAATAAAATTTTCCTCTGGGAGATTGAACATAGGGTTTATATTATTTTCAAGGTATTTCTAAGAATTTTGTAAAAATCATGGAATGTCCATGACTTCAGACTTTGAGAAAAGTGTAATATATAATCCATGTGTGGTGCTTTGCTATTTCTGTGTGACCTGCTGTGAATTTTTGAGGTTAGCATTTGGGAGGTGGTAATGTTGGGTACTTCCACGTGGAGGTAATAAAGGAACACAGACTAAAGGTTACTCTGAGCACTCCACAGGCATACTTGGAAGATTTATGAGTCTTATTTGGAAGATTTATTTATTCAGTTAATTATTAAATTCTATTTAGTGCTAACAAGTACTTCCAAATGTGTATGTTTTCAGCATAACCATTTTTCTTGGAATATCGTAAGCAATAAACATATTGACAGTGGTTTCTTGGCTTGCTGTTAAGAGCTGTGATTCAGGGAAACACATAGAATTTAATTTCAGAGGAAATAATAAAATAACTTACTGAATATAAAATATTTCAGTTGTATTACTGTAGCCGTGTTATGCATGAACATGTTCTCATTCAAATTTGAGTGACCTGAATATTGTTTATGCCTTGAAAATATGCATGGATTTTTTTTTGCTGTAAAATTTCCTATGTGCTTTTTGCATATTCCAAAGCTCTACAGACCTTTCAGTAATCAAGCACTGACTTAAAGGTTAGAAGAGTGACAATAAATCTGTTATTGTGCCTCATTCTGAGCTTCTGTAAAACTATAGCTCCTAGGCACTTAATTTGTTAGTGTAAATCATGGTGAATGGTGAATAGCTGTCTATTCCTCAGTCTCTTTCGTGATTTGAAACAGGTCTGTAATACTGACACATGCTTGATGTTACTACTTTTGAATAGAGACATGGCTCATATTCTGTCAAAATTACATTTCTAGTTACTAATTGTTTTCCTTTTCACGCAATTCCCTGATAGATTTTGTGTGTAATGGAATTTGTGAGAATATTCAATATGCAATAAATTCTAACTGCTCTTTCAGTAGCATTGTTACTTTTCCCTGGATACACAACTACTGCATTGAAGCCACGTTGATAAACCCATCTACTTTCAAAACCAAATTACAATAGGAATTTAGAAGGCTACAGGACTTTTAAACGTTGTGGAAAAGTACCTCCTTTGCCAAAAGAGTATATACATACAGTGTACAGTGTGAATATTTAAAATCACATTTTATTATTTAGAATATTTCTACTTTATGCAAGTGTCTTGTAATAATGTGAGTTACTTAGATTACCAAAGTGCCTGGAGAATACAGCAGAAATGCCTGATAAAAGCAGTTACTAAATTCTTCAAAGGATGTTTTAAAGAAGACTCAATTTTTGGAGTGAGTTGATGTCTCAGTTGTAAAATAAGCCAAAATTACTTCTGTGTTTTCTTTTGTTTTGTTTTTACCATGAGCGATTAGCAGTAGGACTGGAAGGTAAGGTAGATCACCTTTATGGAGTGGACAGTCTTCAAGGAATTAAACACCCATCCCTTTCTCTCTCTTTTAAGAAAGAGAAAAAGGTACTCTATTGGTTCTCGTCTCCACAATTAAAGGGATGGGGTGGGGAAAGATCTGTTCATAAAATTTGTGCGTACGTGAAAAAATGGAAGACAGGTCTTTTCTCTGTTGCATGCCTGCTTAGTCACTAGATTTGTCCATATGCCTCACACCTTGAATCTGGAGAAAAAGCACTAGGGAATGATCGTAGGGTAGTATATGTGAAAATAGGCCAGTTGAAGAGGACATAAAAACTACCCCTCAAATTCCTCATCTTGAGGGCTATGAAAGGTTAATTTCACCATGTTGAGGCCATAAGTGTCAAGTGACATAATAGCAGTGGGATTTCTGGGGTTCACCACAGCACCAGAGCAAGGAGGTACACACACCAAAGGGATACTTTGTGAGACTGAGGTGTGTGTCTTGAGTGGGAGTTTAGGGGTGGGGTTGGGAGATTTATAGTTGATCTTGAAGATATTAATTTTTGCTTACAGTAGTTGCTTATAATTCCGTGCCTGCCAGTGAGTTTAGATCAATGGTGAGATCAATATGAAGATAAAAGAAAACTTTCCATGGGCATTCATACAAATAGGTATTGTTTCTTCTTTCCCTTCTCCTCATCCCAGTACTTGAGTCTAAGGTAAGTTAAGATGGATGGGAAAATGAGAGTGAGCACAACACAGCTTTACACCAAGCCTGTAAGACAACAAGTCCAGCCACATGAGATTATACTGATATTTAATCATATATGTGGTAAATGTTAAAAATACTTAAGAATATACTTTAATAATTGATATGCTGTGGTTTTCATAGCTGAAATTAATGAAATTGTCCTGAGATAACATCAAGGGCAGTCTATCTAGTGGAAAAAGAGCATTTGTCAACATAGTTGGCTACATTATACAGGAAAGATGGATAATTTCAGGTTTATACACCAACAAGTTGACATATATAATCAAAATTGCACATTTCATGTCCTCCCAGAATTTACCAGTAGATACGCTGATCCTTGTCATTCAGGCTTTGATAGCCAATGTTTTTCCCAGATATCGATTCATTCTGGATGTATGGTTAATATGTATGATTTAGTGAGCAGAGAAAGTTCTCTATTCTAATAAGTTTTATAATAATTTTGAATTATATTTGATTAACGTGGATACAATTTAGACAAGATAAAAGGCTCTTAGAGCTAAATAAAAAGATACAGAAATTGTGGCAAGATTCTCCTTAACTAGGAAAGTAAGTTTCAGCGATGTCATATCTTGGCAGTGCCACTCTCCATTTTGCAAAGACTGGGAGAAAATAAACTCAATGCATAAGAAATGTAATTGAGAACATTTCCTTTGTTCCAAATATATGAAAACCTAGTTTTAAAACATTAGGATAATGAGATGCTAATGAAGCAACACTTTATGGATTCATTTATAAATGATTTACAGAGCACCTTTAATAAATCAAGCATTATACCAGACACTGAAAAAGTAAAGAAACATTATAGTGTTCACTTTTAAGAAGTTCACAATCCAGTAAACAGGACAAGGATAAAAAAAATGCAAGATTACAAGCATGCAAAATATAAAGGAAGCACAGATAAGAGAACAATTTAATTTGGTTTAGGGCTCATGGAAGACTTCTTAATCAAGGCAATACCTGAGGTGAGTTTTAAAAGATGAATTACAGTTTCGCAGGCAGGAAGGAAGGTGTAAAGATATAAGGTGTTTCATTTGGCTGAAGCATTAAGCATTATCTTGGAATGGTTGGTGTGATGCAATGAAAATAAACATTAAGGGTCAAATTAAGGAGAACCTTTTATACCAAACTAAATAACTTGGCATTTGCTCTATGTAATACAGGTTCACTGGAAATATTTTAATCAGGGGAGACAGAAGATCAGATTTTCATTTTAGAAATATCACTTTAGTAGCTCTTAAACGTTCAGTTGGAAAAGGCCAAGGCTAGAACCAGAAGAGATTAGTTAGGAAGTTAGTTTTAAAAATTATTTCATAAAATTAGTGAAATCATATTTTACACGTGATTTAAATTCCAAAATGGGGAAGGTACAATTCAAATACAATGAAAATTACTTTGAAAAATTCTTCAATTCCGTCACAAATTGCAGCAGAGTTTAACAAAAACATTTTTGACTCTAGGTTTGAACAGATCACTGTTTTGTTTTGCCCATTAAATACGTAGCTGCTTTTTGCAACTTTATATCTTTCAATACTCATCCTGATAAGTTTCTTACAGTGAGAGAAGTACATTGGAATTGATAACAACTGAAAGAACAATATTTTACATCTGTCTACTCACACTTGCAATGGAGTCCATGTTCACTGAGAGGATTAGAGTTTCTTCCCTTCTCTATCGTCTTCTGTTGTTCTTTTTCTTGAGATCTCATTACTTTAAAAATATATATGATGAGAGCTTATAAATTTAAGAAGGAAACAACTTCTAACTTAGCCTGAATCTTTTCCAGCATTAAACATCCTTCAGGAGTATCACAAATTAGCTTCTGGCTTTGACATTTGAAATTTAGGGAATATGTTGAACTAAAAGTTTTTGCTTTGCTCTAGCTTTTACTATTTTTTAAAACTTTTATTTTAGCTTCAGGGATACATATGCAGGTTTGTTATATAGGTAAATTGTGTGTCATGGGGCTTTGGTGTACAGATTATTTCACCACTCAGGTAATAATCATAGTAACCTCCACCTTCAAGTAGGCCCTAATGCCTGTGTTTCCCTTGTTTGTTGTCCATGTGCACTCAATAATTAGCTCGCATTTATAGTGATAACATGCGGTATTTATTTTTCTGTTCCTGTTAGTTCACTTAGGATTATGACCTCCAGCTCCATCCATGTTGCTGCAAAAGACATGATCTTGTTCTTTTTTATGGCTGCGTAATATTCCATGGTGTATGTGTACCATGTTTCCTTTATTCATTTTACCATTGATGGACATTCATGTTGTTTCCATGTCTTTGCTATTGTGAATAGTGCTGCAATGAACATATGCATGCATGTATCTATATGGTAGAGCAATTTATATTTTGGGGGATATATAACCAATAATGGGATTTCTGAGTCAAATAGTAATACTGGTTTGAGTTCTTTGAGAAGTTGCCACGCTGCTTTCCACAAGGGCTGAACTAGTTTACATTTTCATCAACAATGAATAAGAGTTCCCTTTTCTCCACAACCTCATCAGCATCTGTTATTTTTTGACTTTTTAAAAGTAGCTGTTATCACTGACGTGAGATGGTATTTCGTGGTTTTGATTTGCATTTCTCTAATGATTGGTGATGATGAGCATTTTTTCATATGCTTCTTGGCTGTGTGTATGTTTTATATTGAAAAGTATCTGTTTCAGCCTGGCCAATATGGTGAAACCCTGTTTCTACTAAAAATACAAAAATTAGCTGGGCATGGTGGTGCGTGCCTATAGTCCCAGCTACTTGGGAGGCTGAGGCAGAAGAATCGCTTGAACCCAGGAGGTGGAGGGTGCAGTGAGCCAAGATCGTGCCACTGCACTCCAGCCTGGGCGACAGAGCAAGAAGCCATCTCAAAAAAAAAAAAAAAGTGTCTGTTTATGTCCTTTGCCCATTTTTAATGGGATTGCTTGATTTTTGCTCGTTGATTTAAGTTTTTTATAGATTTTGATTATTAGGCCTTTGTCAGATGCATAGCTTGCAAATATTTTCTCTTATTCCACAGATTGTCTGTTTACTCTGTTAATACTTTCTTTTTCTGTGCAGAAGCTCTTTAGTTTAATTAGATATCATTTACTAATTTTTGCTTTTTTTTGCAATTGCTTTTGGCATTTTTATCATGAAATCTTTGCCAGGGTCTGTGACCAGAATGGAATTTCCTAGGTTATCTTCCAGGTTTTTTATAGTTTTAGGTTTTATAAAATCTTTAATCCATCTCGAGTTGATTTTTGTATATGGTGTGAAGAAGGGATCCAATTTCAGTCTTCTGTGTATGGCTATCCAGTTATTCCAGCATCCTTGATTGAATAGAGAGTCCTTTATCAATTGCTTATTTTTGTTAACTTTCTTCAAAGTCAGATGGTTGTAGGTGTGCAGCAGTATTTTGACTTTCTGTTCTGTTCCATTGGTCTAGGTGTCTGTTTTTGTACCAGTATCTTGCTGTGTTGGTTACTGTAAATTTGTAATATAGTTTGAAGGCAGGTAATGTGATGCTTCCAACTTTGTGCTTAGGGTTGCCTTTGCTATATGAGTTCTTTTTTTTGTTAATATGAATTTTAAAATCATTTCTTCTATTTTTGTGAAGAAGGTCATTGGTAGTTTAACAGGCACAGCATTGAATCTATAAATTGCTTTTGGCAGTATGGCCATTTTAACAATATTGATTCTTCCTATCCATAAGCATGGAATGTTTTTCCGTTTATTTGTGTCTTCTCTGATTTCTTTCAGCAGTGTTTTAAAATTCTAGTTATAGATAACTTTCACCTCCTGGTTAGTTGTATTTCCAGTTATTTTGTTCTTTTTGTGGCTATTATGAATGGGATTATGTTCTTGATTTGGTTCTCAGATTGGATATTGTTGGTGTATAGGAATGCTACTGATTTTGGTACAGTGATTTTGTATCTGGAAACATTGCTGAAGCAGTTTACCAGATCGAGGAGCTTTTGGGCAGAGACTATGGGGATTTTTAGGTATGGAATCATATTGTCTGCAAACTGGAATTGTTTGCGTTCATCTCTTCCTATTTGGATGCCTTCTATTTCTTTCTCTTGCCTGAGGGCTCTGGTCAGGACTTCCAGTATTATATTGAATAGAAATGGTGATAGAGGGCATCCTTATCTGGTTCCAACTTTCAAGAGGAATGCTTCCAGCTTTTGCCCATTCAATATGATGTTGGGTGTGGGTTTGTCATAGATGGTTCTTATTATTTTGAAGCATGTTGCTTCAATGCCTAGTTTGCTGAGAGTGTTAACATGAAGCAATGTTGAATTTTAACCAAAATCTTTTCAGCATCTATTGAGATGATCATGTACTTTTTGTTTTTAGTTCTGTTTATGTTGATGAATCACATTTTTTGATTTGTGTGTGTTGAACCAAACTTGCATCCCGGAAATAAAGCCTCCTTGATTATTAGGTGGTTAGCATTTTGATGTGATGCTGGATTAGGTTTGCTAGCTTCTTGTTGAGAATTTTAGCATCTATGTTCATCAAGGACATTGGTCTGAAGTTTTCTTTTTTTGTTGTGTCTCTCCAAGATTTTGGTATAAGAATAATGCTGGCCTTATAGAATGAATTAGGGAGTCCCCCCTATTCAACTTTTTGGAATAGTTTTAGTAGAAATGTTACCAGCTCTTCTTTATACATCTGGTAGTATTTGGCTGTGAATCCATGTGGTCCTGGCCTTTTTCAGGTTGCGATATGGTTTGGCTGTGTCCCCACTCAAATCTCATCTTGAATTCCCACATATTGTGGGAGGCACTCAGGGGGAGGTAATTGAATCACGGGGGCAAATCTTTTCCATGCTGTTCTCATGATAGTGAATGGATCTCAAGAGATCTGATGGTTTTAAAAATAGGAGTTCCCCTGCACAAGTTCTCTCTCTTTGCCTCCTGCCATCCATGTAAGGCATGACTTACTCCTCCTTGATTGTGAGGCTTCCTCATCCACGTTAAAGTGTAAGTCCAAGTTGACCTCTTTCTTTTGTAAATTGCCCAGTCTCAGGTATGTCTTTATCAGCAGCATGAAAACAGACTAATACAGGTTGGTAGGCTTTTTGTTACTGCTTCAATTTCAGAAGTTGTATTGGTCTGTTACAAGGTTTAATTTCTTCCTGGTTCAATCTTGGGAGGTTTTATGTTTCCAGGAATTTATCCAATTCTGTTTTCTAGCTCCGTGTGTACAGAGGTGCTCATAATAGTCTCTGAAAGTTTTTGGTATTTCTGTGGGGTCAGTGGAAACATACCCTTTGTCATTTCCAGTTGCGTTTATTTGGCTATTCTCTATTTTTTTCTTTATTAGTCTGGCTAGTGGCCTGTCTATCCTATTTATTGTTTCAAAGGACCAACTCACACATTCATTGATCTTTTATATGGTTTTTCATGCCTCAATTTCATTCAGTTCAGCTGATTTTGGTTATTTCTCATCTTCTGTTAGCTTCAGGGTTTTTTTGCTCTTGCTTCTTTAGTTCCTCTAGTTGAGATGTTAAGTTCTTAGATTGAGATCTTTCTAACTTTTTGATGTGGGCCTTTCATGCTATAACCTTCCCTCTTAACAGTGCTTTAGCTGTGCTCCAGAGGTTCTGGTATGTGGTATTTTTGTTCTCATTAATTTTAAAGAATTTCTTAATTTCAGCCTTAATTTCATTATTTACACAGATGTCATTCAGGAGCAGATAGCTTAATTTCCATGTAGTCATATGCTTTTGAGCGATTTTCTCTGTATTTATTTTTATTTTTATTGTGCAGTAGTCAAAGAGTGTGGTGGGTACAATTTGTTTCTTTGAATTTGCTGAGTATTTTATGTCCAATTGTATAGTTGATTTTAGAGTATGTGCCATGTGCAGATGAGAAGAATGTATGTGCTGTTGTTTTGGGGTGGAGAGTTCTGTAGATGTCCATTAGGTCCATTCAGTTAAGTGTCAAGTTCAGGTGCTGAATATCTTTGTTAGTTTTCTGTCTTGATTATCTGTCTAATACTGTCTGTAGGACGTTGAAGTCTCCCACTATTATTGTGTGGTTTGCCAAATCTCTTTATAGGTCTCTAAGAACTTGCTTTATGAATCTGGGTGCTCCTGTGTTGGGTGCATATTTATTTAAGATACTTAAGTCTTTTTGTTGAGTTATTTACCATTATGTAATGCCTTTGTTTGTTTAAAGCCTGTTTTGTCTGAAATTGGACTAGGAACTCCTGCTTTTTTTCTGTTTTCTGTTTGCTTGGTAGATTTTTCTCTACCCCTTTACTTTGAACCTCTGGGTGTCATTGCATGTGAAATGAGTCTCTTGAAAACAGTATACCAGTGGGTCTTGCTTCTTTTTCCAAGTTGCCACTCTGTGCCTTTTAATTGGGGCATTCGTCCATTTTCATTCAAGGTTAGTATTGGTACAGGTGGATTTGATCCTGTCATTGTGTTGTTAGCTGGTTATTATGCAGACTTTGTGCGGTTGTTTTATAGTTTCGTTATTCTTCAAGAAATTTAACCAATTCTTGTAAGTTTTCTAGCTTGTGTGTGTGTGTTTGTGTAGTGGCTGGTAATGTTTTTCTTTTCCATATTTAGCACACCCTTCAGAATTTCTGATACGGCAGGCCTGGTGGTCATGAGTTCCCTTAGAATTTGCTTATATGAAAAGAATCTTATTTCTCTTTCACTTATGAGGCTTAGTTTGACTGGATATGAAATTCTTGGTTCGAAATTCTTTTCTTTAATAATTATAAATATAGGCCCCCAATCTCTTTTGACTTGTAGGGTTTCTACTGAATGTTCTGCTTTTAGCTTTATGGGGTTTCTTTTATATAGGTTACCTGCCCCTTTTCTCTAGCTGCTTTTACCATTTTTTATTTTATTTCAACCTTGGAGAATCTGATGTCTGTGTATCTTGGGGGTGATCTTCTTGTATAGTATTTCACAAGGATCCTCCACATTTCCTGAATTTTAACACTGGCTTGTTTAGCAAAGTTGAGGATGTCTTCATGTATGATATCCTGAAATATGTTTTTCAAGTTGCTTGCTTTCTTTCCCTCTCCTTCAGGGACACCAGTGAGTCATAGATTTCATTTCTACGTAATCCCATATTTCTCGAAGGTTTTGTTCATTCTTCTTTGTTTTTTCTTTATTTCTTTCTGACTTAGTTATTTCAGAGAGCTAGTGTTTGAGCTCAGAGAGTCTTTCCTCAGCTTGGATGATCATGCTGTTAATACTTGCAATTGTATTCTGAAATACTTGAAATGAGTTTTTCAGCTTTATCAGATCCGTTTGGTTCTTTCTTCAAATGGCCATTTTGTCTTTCATCTCCCGTATTTTTTTTTTTTTCCTTAGAATCTTTGGATTGGGTTTAGACTTTCTCCTGAATCTTGATGATCTTAGTTTTTATCCATATTCTGCATTCTATTTCTTTCATTTCAGCCAATTCAGCCTATTTAACAATGATTGCTGGGGAACTAAGGCAGTTGTTTGGAGGTAACATGACACTCTGGCTTTTTGAGTTGCCAGAGTTCTTGTACTGTTTTTTTCTCATCTCTGTGGGGTGATGTTCCTTCAGTCTTTGAAGTTGTTGTCCTTTGATTGGGTTTCTTTTTTTTCTTTTTTTTTTTCTGAGATGGAGTCTTACTCTGCCGCCCAGGCTGGAGTGCAGTGGTGTGATCTCAGCTCACTGCAACCTCTACCTCCCAGATTTAAGCAATTCTCCTGCTTCACTGTCCCAGGTAGCTGGGATTACAGGCATGTGCCACCATGCTTGGCTCATTTTTGTATTTTTAGTAGAAATGGGGTTTCAGCATGTTGGCCAGGCTGGTCTCAAACTCCTGACTTTGTGATCTGCCTGCCTCAGCCTCCCAAAGTATTGTGATTACAGGCATCAGCCACTGTGCCCAGCTGGGTTTCTTTTTGTTTTATCTTTTTTGGTGTCCTTGGGGGTTTAGTTGTAGTATAATGTGGACTCAGTTGACTGGCTTCATTGCTGGAAGATTTTACTGGGCCATGTTTCAGTTCAGGACTCCTGGACTGCATGCTCCATCTAGGGGGCTGGTAGCAGGCTCCCAACTTTTTTCTCTTGCCTCTGGGGGTTAGGAAACTGCTGTGCTGGTGGGATTGAGGTGTTCTTGGCCCACTAGGCACAACACTCTGATGGGTGGTGCCAGCCAAAGTGCTTTGTTGGGGGCCGATAGCGGGATCTATGCTCATTTCTACACCCCAGCAGCAGCAGTATTGTGGCAGGGTGCACATTCATTGGCTGGGGCTGGGCACACTCAATGACTGGCATGAAGGCCTGCTTCCCTCCATGCAGGCATTCATAATGGTGGCATTGGTGGTGCAGTCTCTGGTGTGAGGTGGAGCCAGTGACATCTGTGTGCATGTTCATGACAGTGGTGTTATCAGTGCAGTGGTAGGTTACTGGTGGGTGTTAAGCCAGCACCTCCTGTGGGTACCTTCATGCTGGCAGCAGTGGTGGGGAAGCACAGGGGGTGAGGCCACTGGTCTCTGTACATGTGCTCGTGCTGGCAATGCTAATATGGCGGGGTGGGCAGGATGTGCTTACATCAGCAGCAGTGTCATGGTGGGGTGCATGTGCACATGCACACCAGCCAGGAAGGAGAGGCGAGGTCTACCAATGCACATGCATGCAGGTGAAGCGGTGTTGGGGGTGGTTGTGGGCAAGTGTGTGCTGGCAAAGCAGCATAAGGGAGGATGCAGTGGCGCTAGGGTGTGGGTAGGCTGGTGTGCATCTGCAGGGGCCATGCTGTTGGAGTTCTCTGATGGTCAGGTGTGGTCCGCCAGCACAAAAACTATAATGGCGGCCTCAGGAGGCACCCTGGCTGGGCATCCAAGGCTTTATGGCAAGCTGGCACTGTTCAGGCTGGGGCCCTGAGAGAGGCCAGCAGACAATGGGACCCTCAGGTTGGACCAGCCCTGTTTCACAGGCAAGATCACCTTGCTCTGGTTGGGGCCACAGTTCCTCTAAGGCTAAAATCTCCTAGGGAAGCAAGGCGAGCCTTGGGGTATGGGCATCCCTGCCCGTGCTCCACTGCAGACATTCCTGCACCAAACCTTCTGAACTCTGCAGCAGCTGGAGTTCTGCTCCTACCACCTCTCTAAGCATCTCTCCCTTCTAGCTCAAATGTCCGTGGTGGTCATGGGGTCTCCTGCTCCCATGTTTTCAGAGGTCCATGGCAAGAGCAGGTTGCTCCTTGCCTACTCAACTCACCTCTTCCCCAAGAGTCACTAGGGGCCAAGAATGAGTCCTGGTGCATGGTATCACTGTGCAGGGTTCCCAGTTTCCTCCCCCTTCAGCCAGCATCTGTGTCCTCCCTCCATCCACTCTCAATGCCTTCTCTCCAAAGATACGCTCAGAGTTTGCTAGTCTTCCCAATGTCCCCTTCCTTCAGTGCTAGGTGTTCCTTCTGGCTGCATGTAGTCATCCCTCTTCCCTCCTTCTCTCTAATCTTTTTATTGAGAAAAAATTTTATTCTGTTGACTCATAAATAGTAAGAAAGTAAAGAAAGGTAGTTTTTACTCTTCTAAATTTACATCACCTTCTTTGCCTCTTTATAGCTTTTGATGTGATTATTTTATCTCATTTGAGGCATACAACCACCCTTTATGGTAGGTTAAATGGAAGTATGTCTATGATGAGAAGGCTGAGGGTCACAGTGATTAGTGATGATGGAGTGGGAACTAGAATCCATATTTAGTGACTAATTTCAGTGCTTTTTAAATTGTTGCTTCACAGCCAATTACACTTTCACTGCACACATGCTAACCCTAGAATTTTGGCATTAGGAACTCAGGGTAACTTAGCCAAGTTAAAGGACTCTGTTGGCCTAGATGGACCTTCATGAAACTTAAAAAGTGCCTCACCTTGGAGGACATATGAATTTCCATACAAGTATGAGTTGCCAAGCAGAACTGTATGTGTGTGTACATGTGCACACATAATGAAAGACAGCTTCTCGCTTCTTCCCTGAGGATGCAGACTTACGCCAGAGTGCTTTGTCAGGTGAGGCCAGAATGATTCTAAATTGATCACTTTCCTTCTCAACACATCACCAAAATAAGGACAGTATGACTCTAAATTTCTGCTTTATATTCCCTTCTTGGTGTGTCTAACATGCTTTGTGTTTTCTTCCACATCTGCTCTCGCTTTTTAAAGGGATAATAGCCATTTTAGAAAATATAAATGAAAATATATTTAAACAGAATATAATAGTTTTCAAATATGAAAAAGCATAATTTTTATCATGATGAGATGGAAATTGAGGGCCTACCAATTAGGCACAATAATGTTTTGAACAGTCTGTGTTTTAGTCATTGAACTTGTCTTCAGCAAATTATACCCCCTTCATTTTCTGTAAACACTTTTCTGTGTGCATCTGTTTCCACAGGACACATATCCCTGCTGTTTTCATGATCTAGTGTAATTTTGTGGATTTGGAAACAATATATTTTCAGGGCGTCCACATTAAACAGGGTTAGGAATATGTCACAAATGAGTTTGTTTCTCAAATTTGTTCTCTCATATGAGTTGGGTAATTGCTCCTAAGGAATAAGTCACTTTCTTATCTTAAGAGTCTTGAGACCACTCAAGTAGCAATCAGGAATGAATAGACTCACACAGAAAATAATTACAACTTTTTTTTTAAATCTGTAGCAATTTTGAACAGATCCTTCTCAACTCTGTTGCAGCTTATGGTAAGATATAGATTCTATGAAGACAACAAGACAATTCAGTTTTGCTAAACTCAATTTGAGCTTATAATTTTAAGCCAGACCACCTTATTATCTCATTGACATAAAGCCAAAAGACAAATTTTCAAAAAGAATGTAAAATATGCCTGTGTATCATGCAGCAGTCCTAACTCCCCCAAATAAGAATGTACTCATATCCATATCATTTTGAGAGACAACTTTCCATTTTTGAAAACGATGCATTTATTGATATTTTACTGTCAACTGGGTTTTCTCTATATATTTTTAAAAAGTTATAAATATATTTTTAAAATAGGACATACAAAGGTGAAGCCACATTTACACAGAAAAGTAATAACAATTGTATTGAGATATTACTCTGTAAATCAGAAGAGGAAAATAAAAAGCTCCTGATTTGTAAGGATTTTTATGACGTTGAAAAATGTTTATTATCCCTGAATCATAAATTGGATAGCAGAGGTCAACATATTGATTCTAAGTTTTCATTTCTGGGATCCAACTTTGCATCATTTGACCTATGAAAGACCAATAGCAGTGGAGCCATATTCCATTTTGGTCTATAAAGAAGATGTCAACATTAGGAAAGATAGGAGTTAATTTGAATCCTAGCAGCAAATGAGGAAACATTCATTTTTATTACAATATCACAAGTTTTTTTTCTGTATTATCAGGGCGTGCTAATTTATGAAAAGATATGAAATAATAAAAAGTCCTCCAATGTCAATGACTTGAAGCAATAATATGGTACTTCTTACTCTTTGTGTCTGGGAAAGAGGTAGTAGATGGGAAAAGTAAATGAAAGATTTCATGACAAGGATTTTATAGGCTAGGCCTGGAGGTGGTGTACATTGCTTCTGCCTATATTCCATTCTCTAAGACTTGAACTTGTGGCTACACTCACAACAAAGAAGGCTGGTAAATATGGACTACCTGTGTGCCCAAGAGGAAAAGGGAAACTTTCTGGTGCACAGCTAGCCAGGCTTTGCCACCCATTGTCTTTATGATTTAAGACTTGATGTAACAACATGAATTTAATTCCTTCCGATTTACCTGGTTCATGACTGAGGTTAGTTAGTCTCTCCATGCTGCAGATACTCATTACTAAAATAAGACCATTTTTTATTTAATTAGTCAGGTGGCTAAAATGTATGTGGAATAATTCAATTCAGAGGAAAAAATATAATAAGGTTTATTATGTTAGTTCCCAGACTATGTCCAGGTTATTCTAGAGTTAATTTTCCAGGACTTCAGCACTGGTTATTATTCTATTATGTGTTTTTATTTCATATTCATTGATACATTAAATTTTGTGGTTCTAAAGTGTTCAGATATGGCTGAAAGGTTGGCTTTTCTCTTCAGTTGCATATCTAGCTGTAGAAGGTAGGAGAAAAATAATCAGAGAAAGAGACAATGTAAATTTAAAGGAGAGATACTTCTTGTGACTGCAAGTGAAGTGTTGGGGGTTTAAATGTATTTTAACTAATTTAATGTTAATTTAAATGTATTTAACTTTTAATTTTGTGTCCTAGATTTAAAGAATACATGTATAAGTTTAGTGTCAACTGACTTACTCAATCATCAGGTTTCTTTTCTGGGAAGTTAGCGTATGCTATACTGAGTTCCCAATTAGAAATGTGAAAAATTTCCCCACCAGAGACTTGTAGCCACTTCCCCTTGCATAAATTCTAGTGGGAGATCAGTTTAGGTAAAAAATTAGCCATCACTCTCTAGGTAATTAGTAATGTCATGGTAATCAGGGATATCATGATGCTAAGGTTTCCACAGGAGCCACAGTGAGCATCTCCCAATTCTTCAATCTGTTAGGAGAGGATTGATCTATCTAGCCTCAGTTCAGCCATACCCAAGGGGTTTATACCTCATACCTTCTCCCAATAGGTCATGTGCAGTAAAGATCCTGCACAAAGTTTGCTATCTGGTTTCGACTCAAAGAGATTGGTGGATTCTGGTTCTTTATCCAGGATCTTCTTGTCATGATTACTGAATCCACACCAGCTTCTTCTTTGCCTATCTTTGGCAAAATCTCTACTCTTTCTTATGGCATGTACCACAACCCTCTAGTATGACTTGAGATTTACAGCTGAAATTGTATTTCTCTCATCTCATCCAGCCAGTAATAATTGTTTTCAATAGTATCTTCTCTCAATACTCTGCAGTTGAATCATGGGCTGGTCCATCCTGATTTTAGCTCCATTAGTTATTAGTGGTCAGTTATTAGTGGTCAGTCAGACCCTAAAGAACTATCTAGGATTAGGCTAATTTCTTCCAAACCGTAAAGATACAACTCAGTACAAAAGAGTTTACCTCACTCAGTTGATCTTCATTTTGTTTTTTAGACTCATTTCTAGGGTCAGATCCTTCTGTAATGCCTAGAATGGACATTCACATCTTCCAACTCCTTTCCTAGGATTATATCTCCAAAACTAGGTTTCAGAAAATACTAATATTTTCTCTAGATGTTAATAGATATAAGCTATCCTCCACTGTCCATCCCTGAAACAGAATTTGAGGGTCAAATGCATTTGGGAACTACTACATAATGTTTGTTTTTTTAGTAGTATCACATTACACATTAGCTTATTAAGGAATCAGAGAAACCTTTCATTTAAATACTTGTAGCATTGTTTAACAAGTATTTTCTATACACATTTGAACAAACACATTTGTAAATAGGACACTTATGAGTAATACAACTTGGATAGCTTTATGCCAATAGCTTTATATATCTAGGAAGGGAGGACAACCCCCATGTCTACTTAGCTGTCATCGGATGTTGGGGGTGTGTAAGTATGTGATCTGGATTTGGGCCATGGAATCCAGAAGGGGATAGGGAAGAATCTGGAAGGGGCCATGATCTCAGGGGGAGTTACATGCAAGGAGTATTTCTCATAAAAGTTTTTCTAAGGAGTGCTGTTATTTCCCTTCTCAGAAAGATAGGATATTTATAAAACTATCCCACCATCCCCAAGATTTTTGTTCTTTATAATGAAAACATGAGATAAAAGGAAGAGTATAAGCATTGGAGTGTAAGAGAAAATAATCTTTATCCTATCCAGGGTTCCTTAACCTCTTGCAACTTCAATTTCATCAACAATAAAACAGGGATAGTAACATCTATTTGTTAAAATTATTTTGAAAAATAAAAGAAAGGATATGTAAAGTGCAAAGTCATAGCACAAGATAGAACTTTATAATAAATCCAGCTTCCACACAAAAGAATTTTATTCTTTCCTCCATTGCAAGGATAAGAGATAGATAAATTGAAGTTCAGCTCTTTTTGTGTGTCAAAGGTAAGAAAATCCTACTGACTCTTCTGCTTAAAAGAAAAGGGGACATATATTTCCTAGAGATGTGTAGGAGTTTGCAGAGTGGAATTTTACCCGAGGCTCTATTTCCCTGGCTTGCTTATATAAGAAAGAAATGATTTTGAATTACGGCATGGTGAAAAAGTGAGGTCAATCCTCTCTCTCTCATTATTTTTGGAGAGTAGGTAGTAGGATACTTATATTTATATTCATTTTCTTTTAGGTTTTCCTCAAGTCTTACCTTCTATAGAAAGACTTCCCACACCATTGCAAGCATTAAAAGCTTTGCTTACTAGTTCTGAATTCTTATAGAATTTAACATTCAGTTATGTATTTTCCCATATTTTCTAATCATGCCATACATGTCTTGACACTTAAATAGATTCTAAGTGGCTGTAATATTTTATATTTTATTTTCCCTTATATCTCTGCACATGGTCTAGCACATGCGGGATGTATTAAAAATCATTGTATACTTGTTGATTGCATGTAGCATCACAGAAAAAAATATTTTGCTAGAGTTGAGAAAAACTTCTCATTTTCTCACCCCTTTTTTCTTAAATGCTTGCCTCTCAGAGAGGTGAAGAAGGATGCTAAGGGTAAAAATAGTGTTTCTATTTTCCAGACAGATGTAAATAATTCGGGAGGACCAACCTCTATCTTTTCTGACCTATGGCCGGTCAAGAAGCGGGTAGGTTGTTTCCTAATACACTATAGGTCATTGAGAAAGATGAAGAGAATGATGGGCTTTTGTAATTGGGGAGTGTCCTGCTGGTCTCTGGTCCACGCTGTCTAGTGGTCCAAGTGAGCCTCACCGGTTCAATAGGAAATGGGTGCTATCATTCAGTACATGGCATTGTATTATCTTCCCTAGTCTGACTCCACAGCGAGCTCCACTGCATGCTGGGCACTCTTTACTCAGCAGTTAGTGAAGCAACTTAAGGCATTACAGAAGATGGAGCAGAACTGATAAATATGGTTTCCTTGCAAGAGAAAGAGGCAAGGGACAAGACAACCTTGGATTTTACACTGTAATTTAACTCTGACTGCTCACTCCACCTACTTAATTCAATGGACCCTTCTCCCTCCACCTCTCTATACCATCACTTTTCTCACTCAGGAAACTCTACTCCTTCTCATGTAAGAAAGATGTTCCTGAATTATATATCTTCTTGAACATCCTAATATACCAAGCTTTACCCTGATGTTAATGAAAGCTTTTTCTGGCTGAGGAGTCAGTTGAGGATTCAGCTGACTCCAATTAAAGAGGTAGAAATATGGTGATTAGGGTTCCAATTGTAGTTCTAAATCATAACCAACAAGACTTTGGCTGGTTTCCTACTTTCTACAGAGCAAACAAGCCTGAAATGCAACATATATTCTTTTTCAAATTTATTCTAGAGTAAAACCAGTAAAGCTGTACATAAGGGAAATATATTCTTTATATGAACTTCTCTTTGCTCTCCATGTTGTTAAAACTTAATTCTGACACTGAGAACCTTTTGATACCTTCTTGGGTAGATTCTTATCCAAAGGACCTTCACATAAGATGGAAATGTTTCTGGCAGAGTAAACATGAAGTGGATGACGCCATGTCATCACCCACAGATGTTATCCTCTGATCCCTAAGTTTCTCCCTTGTTAAAAAAGGGGAGAAGAGATTTTCATTCATGTTTTTCTCACTAGAAAAAAATGACTAGAAAAAGTCTAGAAGGTCTGTTTTTTGTAAACCTATAGCCTGCTGCTACTTATTAGATTCTGTGATCAGTTAAATCAAGTCAAATTCTTTTAAATATGTTTAAGGAAAATACTAGAAGTTGTTATTTTACTAGAAAATAACAAACATATCTGAGTAAAACCTTAAATTTTTATAACTACACAATAGTAGATTTTCTATGCTAATATAGTAAAGGGATATCTTGCCAGACTTTAGAATTTTCCAGTTATGTACACGTTTTCTTCGGAGAGTTTCTAATGTGAACTTACGGGAATTTGTACAAAAATAATTCAAGAATAGCCCTCTCTCAGCCCACTCTCTCTCTATATATTTTTTAATTCAACTTTTATTATAGATTAGAGCGTACACATGCAGGTATGTTACCTGGGTAGACTGAGTGATGCTGAGGCCTGGGGTCCCAACAATCCCATCGTGCAGGCAGTAAGCATAGTACCCAACAGGTGGTTCTTCAGCCCATACCCAAGCATCAATATATTTTAATCAAACTCAGCTACTTGCCTCAAAATATAAAACAATAATACAAAAAATTCAGAGAGGGTGGTGGTGGTGAGTGTGGCATTGGTAGAAAAACCTTTTAATAATCTGAATATTAGAAATGCATTTGGTTTAAGAGACAATGAAATATTTAAAACATCTGTGAATATTAGATCTTTCAAAGGTAAGTGACTGTGAGCAATGATAAAAAAAGAGCCTTCAAGAGTGACGTCATTTAGAAAATAAATAATGTTTACATTGGTATTTTGTACAGATTATTTTCCTACAATATACGAGCTATTTGTAGTTGTCTTGTCCACACTCTGAGTCAGGGCTCTGGCACAAAGAGATACTTCTTCAGTTTCAGAAATGCAGATTTATAATTATATTTAACTCAGCTCACAAGACATTCATTTTCATTTCGTAGTAAATAGCCCTCACGTGATTTCAATTACAATGTAAGAGCATGTGAATTCCCTTAAACTGGATATTTAGCTTTGGTTGGTAGCTTTTAAATTTCTGTAACCTGATAGCTAAACCACTTTAATCATTATTGACAGTTTCCATTACAGATGTAGCTTATTTAAATGATTTCTGTATGGTAAAAGAAAAGATTAAAGAAAATCAAATGGCCTTCAAATTCTGTAGCTCCTTTAAGTAATCCTTCCTTCTTTGCCAATAAATCAACAAGAAAGGTGAATGTGAAAACATGATGTTATAACTTGAGGAATATTTAATATTCTTATATTATCATTTAAACAACCTAGTACAATATAGGTAGAAAATGTAGAAAACACTGTTTTATACTTACGTGGGTTATTTTTGAATGAATTGTTTACCAATTGAAAATCTCGAGTATTTTCTTCTAATATGTTTTCTGTGGATTTGAAAGAAATTTTATTTTAATTGTGGAATGAATAACAGAGGCAACTAGAAAGAAGTGACTGACCATTTCCAGAAAATTAACATTAGGTTCAGTAGTATTACACACATTATGGTAGTTTGTATCAGGGGCTTATACTAACTTTAAGGGCCAATGAAACGTTTTTTATACATTCAGTATTATGGTCATACTTCCTCTGAACTCCCAGGAATTGTTTTTGTTTGTTTGTATTTTATCTCCCTTTGTTCCCCTTGGGTTCACACGTGTGTAATCTTGGGATCCCAAGGTGGGAATTAGTTTGGGTTTATGTTCTTTTATGTGTTGCCTATTTGATATCAGCCAGTGTCCCAGTTTATTCCCTCAATACCTTGCACTTGGTTGATAGGAACGTCTTCTGATCTGCTCTTGTTGATCTTCATTCTATTGTAAACACTGTGAAGTCTGAATTAGCTGATCTTAAAATGCTTATCTGATTTCCACTGATGCCCTGAGTCATCGATTGGTAGTCTTATGGAT
This sequence comes from Homo sapiens, assembly GCF_000001405.40. Classification (NCBI taxonomy): domain Eukaryota; kingdom Metazoa; phylum Chordata; class Mammalia; order Primates; family Hominidae; genus Homo; species Homo sapiens. The sequence goes on along the minus strand of NC_000005.10, from coordinate 102,069,001 downwards.
AAAGGGCAGTTTCTTTTTCAGAGCCTCCATGATGTGGTCTTTGCCTCTCTTTCTCTCAGCTCATGTCCTGCATCTCATCACTTGCCTCCAAAAACTCCTGTCATATCTACCTAACCTCTGGCAATCCCTTTAATTTTTCAAGTTGTTTTTGGGATTTTTGTTTTTTACCTATTATTTTTTGTGACTTAGAATCTTTTTTTTTTTTTTTTTTTTTTTTGCCTAGTGAACTTCTGTATATACCTGAAAGCCCAATTCAGTTATCTGCTTTATGAGCAGGTGGATACTCTCCACCCAATGCCTGCTCTGGGATATATTATACTAACAGTATGGTTACTGTTATCTATTTACATGCCAGTCATGGCTACCAGTCTGTTCATTTATTTAAAGACATGAAAAATAAAAATGGAAATGCATTATTCATTTTGGTATCATCAGTACCTAGCCTTGCAATTTAATACATAGAAGGTGCTTATATAAATATTTGATAAATCAATCAGTGTAGCTCATACAACATTTTGGATTTTGATAGACCTATAAAAGATACTTGCCTTTATTTACAGTTATTACACATGAGAGCAAACCATATTCCATTTGAGCCTGACTAATAAGTAACCTGACTTGATCCTTCTGTTTTATTGTCAGGTATCTGAGTGGGCAATTAAGATTTGGAAACAATCTTCATGTATATTAATGAAGGAATTCCGGCATCAAAATGCAAAGGAGAAAAATAGCAATAAAAACAAGTAAACTAAGGATTGATAATGCATACTTTGTATTATTAAAGTGATTTTGATGATTTTGAACTTCTGTTAAAATATAATTCCATGTTTTCTGACAAAATATTTAATCATAATAACAGCTGGCTTTGTTAAGTGTAAGTACTCTTTGTGTGGTAACTTGGCATTAGTATATTCATTAAGTAGAGAAAATTTAAAATATATTTGAATAAATCCATTAAGATAAACAACATATGCCATCCATGGGCTTGTCTTGTAGAGTGAAAAGACTCACTTATTTTTCAAGGTTAGGTAAAAATGCCATGTGCAGAAAAGGGTTGTGCTGTTTAAATTATTCTTCTTGAGGTATAGTTTTAAAGTAAAAGTTTGAGTATGAAATTAATATATCTTTTATGACATTTTCAGTGTTTATGACTTATGTTTTTCAATATTTGTACCAGAATCTTTAGCATGCATTGTACAGGAGAATAAGTTAACCATCACACATCCTGGAGGATGTTTCTGCTTTGACAGTAACATTTCCCAAAATAATGAGAATCATATACTTACTATGCTTATACCAGGTACAATTTTACTGTTTGAAAGCATATGTGTCAGAGTAAAGTGAGGAAAAAGGCTTTTAAACTATTTTTCTTTCCTTCTATAGTACCTATTATTTTCTTCCTGTTTAGTATGAAAGGGTCATTAAATGTTAATGCTTTTTAATGTAATGCTATATCTCCAGAGTACTAAAGAGATTTAAACTTTGGGGCTATAAACAAATAGGTATCTTTGGAATGCAATCATTATCATTTTGATATTGCCTGATGCATATGTATGTGTGCATGTCCTTTTATATAATAACTGAAATCATCTGCGCGGCAGCAGAATTCACTGCTGAATTTAAAAGGCATTTGATAGTGAATATTCAAAACTGTGTGAACACACCAATATGTAATAAGTTGACAAATCTGTTTCAATATAAAACTGCATATTCTGGGGTCCTTTCAGGCTTGCCTTTTTTATTGCATATTTACTAGAGCTGCTCTGTTTCTGGAAAAAGGTAAACACAGTTCCCCCAAGAGAAGATTGGATCATCCACTTCCCACTTTAACTTTGTTTTCTAACCTTAATAGCATCTGCTCCTGACAGCAGCTACTTGGCAGTTTCCTGGGACTCAGAAGTGTTCTTGATAAAGAAGAAAGATGACTTGATTGCATTAAGGCCAGTGAGTTCCACTCTCATCCTGGAAACAAAAGAATATACTTCTAGTAGAGCAGATCTGGCAAATGATAGATGGAGAAGGCAAAACAACACTACTCATGCCTTAAGCCTGCTGCTTTCTTAAATTGAACACACAAGAAAAAAAAGATGAAAACAAGTATTTTGTTTTTACATAATTTTATTTCAAAATTTTAAGTTTCAGAAAAGAGAGTTGCATGATGTATTGTTATAATAAGAAATGCTACTTGAAAGGACTTTTGAATAAATTGAGAAAAACAAGAAAGTGATACCAAGGAGCACTGAGACAGAGATGGCTTAATCAGCAGATAGCAGTTATCTTGCTGAGAAAATAACACCCAATTCTCTTTATTTTTCTCCTCTTCCTCCTTCTGCTTTTTCTCTTCTACCTTCTCCTTTTCCCGCTCTTCCTCTTCATTCTTTTCTTTTTGTACTCAGGAAACTCACCCATTTTTGGATTCATTTGCCCTTGGATCTAATTCTAATGCTCATGTTGGTTAAAATGCAGTACTATATCTTATCACTTGGAGCTGTTAAGCTTTCAACTCCTTCTAATTAAAATATGCTGCTAATTTTTTAAAAAATTACAATTGATTATATGTTGAAAAAATAAATGGCTTCTTCCGGTAGAAAATACAAGATATAGGTGGCTATTTTATCTTTTGACTGAATGAGCTATGTGGGAGACCAGAATATATCACCCCCAACTACAAAGAATTGTTGCACTGAGGGCAATTAAGAAACAGCAGATGCAGGAAAGCTCTCTGCCCTTCCTTTCTTTGTCTTAAAAGCAGGACATAACTGTACAAAGACCAAGGTAGCCTGCTTCTGCTTACACCAGGGAGAACAAAGGTTAACCACTGAAGACAACTTTAGACCATTATTGCCTTTAATATGGCACAAGGGAAACCAATATGGCAAGCTTTACTAACTAGCCTTTCTCTACTAGTTATTTGCCTTCCACAAGTTGCTGCCCCTGTAGACTCAAAGTCCTTTTCTTTTGTCTTGTCACTTTTTAAAAAATTGACTCTTCTTTGTTGAAGTAGCTATATAAACTGGAATTCAAAGCCACTTCTTTGATAACTACTCATTCTGTGGATGTTTCCTGTGTGTATGTGCAATATACATGTTAATAAACTTCTGTTTGTTTTTCTCTTGTTAATCTGTTTTTTGTTACAGGGGTCCATTCCAACTAAGAACATTTGAAGGTTCGAAAAAAATTATTTTCCTTTCCCTACAGCTACATACTTGAGAATTAAAATACTTCTATGCTGATTACCATTTTTATTTAGAAGAATTGCTATTTCTTCCTTATTTGGCATTTAAAAAAATTGATTATATAAATAGAGTCCACATGGTATCTAATACCTGTCATTAAATATATTATATCATTAAAAATGTGATAAAGGTCTGGAATATGTTGCTAAGTAAAACTATGAAACTATGATGAACTCTGGATCAGCTTGGGTCCAACAGAAGAGAAAAAAAGACACAATAATTTGAAGAGGGAAAGTTATATAAATAAACTATGTATAATAATGGAGTGAAGTAATGAGAGATTTGGTAGTAAGAATTAAAGAAGGTAGAGAATGTAAGAAGAGCACATACAAGGATGGTCACTAAACTTAGGGCTAAGACAGAGCACCCAAGAGAGCCCCCACACTCCTCCTTTCCCCAAGGATGAGTCCAGACCCTGATAGAGATGGCACAGCCATGGATCACTGGATAACAGATAATCCATTGTGGTTCCACGCCAGCAGAACTTACTGGAAACCTGCACTGAAAGTGCGTGGAAATGCTGTTCATAAGGAATTATCTCCTTGATGCACTCTACTAAAATGTTCCCATGGTGAGTGCTAAGGAAAGCTACTGGCCACTGAGTGCTGTGGCCTCTGTGCTACAAGACCTGGGCACAGGTGTGTGCTGCAGGTGTCTGCCAAGAGAGCACACGGGAACCAGGTAGCAGAACCTTTTCCTGCTGAAATAACTCACCAGTGCCCTATCTGTTAAAGCTTCAGTGCCTGCTGGTAAAGGAAAAATGTTTAGAGGACTGATACTTATTTTCAGTAAGGAAGTAAAAAGGGTCAATTTGGAGCTGAGAGACAATACATTAAAACTGGCACACATTTCTAACAACTTTTGTGTTTTTGAAGAGGGAAAGGAAAGAAGATTGAGATTTTCAATGAGAGTGATGAGAAATGTAAACTCATAGTACCAGAATGAATTTAATAAAAGCTGGGCTCAAAATCAGTCCAAAGTGGAGATGGGATAATGGTAGTGGCGCTAATGGGAGGAGCAAAGATTGAATGATTTATAAAACATTTTTAGACCATTTTTAAATGTAGAATTGAGTAATTATTAAATAACTCTTAAGTCATTAATATTGTGTTAGGCCTCTTGGGGCAGATAATAACAATTGAATACAAGGAGAGGAAGATAACAAAGGAGGAGCATTTTGGGGAAGATTGTAATATGGCAGGCATTCTGCTGTATTTTAGTGACTTTGCTCATATAAACCTCTTAACAAACCTAAGAAGTAGGAATTGTTTTCATTACCATTTTATAGATAAGATTCAGAAAGGTCAAATCACTCATCCAAAGCTATAGACATAGCATTGGTGTAGGGAAAGTCTAAATCCTGGCAGACTGACTGAAGCTAAAACAAGTCTCATCTTTTGTTCAAAACCAAAACCAAATCAAACTGAAAGAAAACTTTCCCTCACTTTTGTGGAGATAATCCACAAACGCAATGTAAAAGTATATGATTAAGTGTGTGTGTATATATATATACACACATATGTATACATATATATGTATATGTATATATACACACACATATGTATACATATATACATATACATATGTATATGTATATATGTATATATATGTATAGATATATATGACATGGACTATTAAGTACTGAGGAATTAAAAATAAGTAACTCAGTGAACACTGGAATAAAGACAATTTAAAAATATTTTTATTTAAAAAAATGTTACTGAGGCATGATTGACATACAAAACAGCTGTACGTATTTTCTTAATTCATCTTGAGTTTGAAGATGAGTATACACCAGTGAAAACATCACCATAAACAATGCCATAAACATAACCATTATCTCTAAAATTTTCCTTTCTCCCTTTTTTGTGATAACATTTAATATAAGATGTATGTGCTTAATACATCTTTAAGTATACAATGCAGTATTGTTATCTATATGTATTATGCTACACAGTAAGGTCTGTAGGACTTATTCATCTCACATAACTAAGACTGTGTACCCTCTGACCAATACTTACCTAATTCCCTGTTGTCCCTGACCATGGTAAGCATCACTCTATTCTCTGCTTCTGAGTTGACTATTTTAATTTCCTGATGTAAGAGAAGTCATGTAGTATTTGTTCTTCGGGTCTGGCTTATTTCATTTAGCATAATGCCTTCTAAGTTTCTTTATTTTGCTCCAAATGACAGGATTTTCTTTCTTTAAGGCTGAATAATGTTTCATTTTTTGTATATATATATATATATATATATATATATATACACACACACACACACACACACACACACACACATACATATATTGTATATATACTGTATATACATTGTGTATATATCTACCTATTTGTCTATATATGTATATATCTCCACATTTTCTTTGTCCATTCATCTGTCAAGGAACATTTAACAACACGGGAGGCAGTATCAGTAATCCAAAATCCTCTAAGAAAGAAAAGTCCAAGACAAGATGGCTTCATTATACTAAACATTTAATAAAGAATTAATATCAATACTTAAAAAAATTCCAAAAAATGGAAGAGGTCAAAACTCACTTAATGAGGTCAGCATCACTCTAATACCAAAGCAAGGACAAAGACACTACAATTAAAAAAAAAAAGACTACAGGCCAATATCTCTAGAAAACATAGATGCAAAAGCTCTCAACAGAATACCAGCAAACCGAATATAATAGCACATTAAAAGTATCATATACCATGACTAAGTGGGATTTATCCCTGGAATGTAAGGATGATTCAACATACACAAATCAATCAATCTAATATACCACATTAACAGGATGGAGGATAAAAATCACATGATCATTTCAATAGATGCAAAAAAAATTTTTGGCAAAATTCAACACTCTTTTGTGATAAAAACTCTCAACAAATTTGGTATTGAAGGAGCTTACCTGAACTTAATAAAGGCCATATGTGAAAATCTCACAGAAAACATCACGTTCAATGGTAAAAAACTGACAGCTTTTTCTCTAAGAGTCAAACCAAGGCAAGCATGCTTATTTTCAGCACTTCTAATCAACACAGTACTGGAAGTTATAGCCAGAGTAATTAAGCAAGAAAAATACATTAAAATTATACAAATCAGAAATGAAGAAGTAAACTTGTTTCTGTTCGCAGATGACATGATCCTAAATATTAAACCGCAAAGAGTCTATAAAAAACTTAGTAGAACTAATTAATGAATTCAGTTAAGTTGCAGAATACAAAGTGAGCATACAAAAATCAGTAACATTTATTTACATTTACAATGCACTACCCAAAAGGAAGTCAACAAAACAATTCTATTTACAATGGCATTAAAAAGAATAGGATACTTATAAATAAACTGAACCTTGTATATTGAAAAATGTGAAACATTGATAAAAAATTGAAAGAGATTAAAAAATTGAAAGATGACCCATATTCATGGATTGAAAAAAAATTATCAATATATTCATACTACCCAAAGCAAACTACAAATTCATGCAATCTGTATCCAAAATCCAAGGGCATTGTTTACATAGAAATATAAAAAAGAACCTTAAAATTTATATGGAATCACTAAAGTCCCTGAATAGTCAAAGCAATCTTCAGAAACAATTAGCAAAGGTAAAACCAGCACATTATCTGATTTCAAAATATACTACAAAGCTTTAGTAACTGAAGTAGTATGGCATTGGCACAAAACCAGACGAATAGACAAATGGAAGAGAACAGAGAGCCCAGAAATAAATTCACCCATTTACACTTAACTGATTTTTTATAAAGATGCTGAGAATACACCATGGGCAAAGGACAGTCTTTTTAACAAATGGTTTTGAGAAAACTGGATGTCTACATGCAGAAGAATGTATTAGGCATTCATCTTATACCATTTAAAAATCAATTCAAAATGGATTAAAGACTTAAATGTGGGATCTGAAGCTGTAAAGCTAATAGAAGACAATAGAGAGGGAAATTGCTGTGACATTGGTCTGGGTAATGATTTTTTTTTGGATACTATCCCAGAAACACAGACAGCAAAAGTAAAAATATACAAATGGAATTAAATGAAACCAAAAAGGTTCTTCACATCCAAGAAAACAACAGAGGGAAGAGACAACCTGTAGAATCGTAGAAAATACTTGCAAACTATATATCTGATAAGGAGCAAATATTCAAAATACATAAGGAACTCATACAACCTACCAAGGAAATAAATAAGCCAATTAAAAATGGGAAAGTAATCTGAATAGACATTCCTCCAAAGAGGACATAAAAATGGCCAACAGATATATAAAAATGTACATCGGTAATTATCATGGAAATTCAAATTAAAACGACAATGAGTTATCATCTTACATCTGTTAGAATGGTCATTATCAAAAAGAAGAAAGATAAGAAGGGTTGGCAAGGAACGTGGAAGAAATGGAACACTTGCACATTTTCGGTAGGACTATAAATTGGTGTAGTCATTATGGAAAACAACATGGAAGTTCATAAAAAAACTAAAAATACAACTAACATATGATTTAGCAGACCCATCATTGAGTATATATTCAAAAGAAAGAAATCAGTGTGTCAAAGAGATATGTGCACTCCCACACTTATTGCAGCATTATTCATAATAACCAAGATATGGAAACAACCTAAGTATCCATAAATGGATGAATGACATAGACAGCTTATTAAAAGAAGTTTTGAGTTGGCCATTCAAGGTGGACATTGTAGCGGAAGGGTGGGGAATAAAAGCATCTCCGTTAGGAAAATATTAAGAAACAAGGCACAGTGCCTAAGGTACTCATGGGACAAAAGGGACAAGAGGATTAGATGAAAAGGTATGAATTTACAGATTTCCAATAAATTGTAAATTCTTTTTAGATTTCCACATCCCTTTCTGCAGCTCCATCCACAAGTTATATTAGCACAAGTCACTGGGTTATGAAGTAAAGTACTGTTGGAAACAAAAATTAGAGGAATAGCTCTTGGTGTTCATTCTTGAAATTGACTCATTCAACACTGAATAATTCTGTTTGTTTGGTGATAATCAGCAATGTGGCTTGAATAGCTATGTGCATTTATAGAAAAATAATGTCATTGTATATGGGAATTGTGGATAAAATGCAATATGTAATAGGAAAGTGACAAAGGTATTTTCAGTCAGAGTTTTTCCTTGAAGTGAAATGTGTTTCCTTGAATGAGAACAGATTACTCTAAATATGATATTTCAGTACTCATTCCATTCATTGATTACCTTAGATATAAATGTGGAGTGTAAATGTGCTACAGATAATTTTATAATGTGGTACTAGAAGATAGTTCAATTGAGGGGTTGGGTAAAGATAAGGGAATTTTACGGAAAAGGAGATAAATACAGTGAACATAAGTTTGCTGCACAGTGAGATGAAACCTCAGGATTATCTATTGGAAATATAAAATAATCTGTTTCTATTACTATTGAAATTTATAGCATTGCTCAATGCTTGCTTTTCTGTTTTGTAATACCAAATTTAAAAATATTTTCTCTACATTAAATCAGTAAAATGAGAGTAGAAAAATGTTAATTAGAGGATTTTAGGCTTAAGAAGTGGACTTTTATAAATCAATATAAAATGTATAGTATTAGACATAGGGATGCCAAATTTTAATTTTTTCCAAGAAGTATTCTGTACAAAAAACAACAAAATCTTCTTTCTACTCTCTTATTTCATCATTTTCTAAAATAATTGGCATTTAAAAGTTAGAATACATTATAGAGATTTAAATTTAATATTAAAAAAATGTACTCTATCTTTCTTATTTTTTTTCTCTTTTCCTCTTGAACCAGTTAAAACTTTGTAAGGGACTGGTGCTAGTCTGTGCATGAGTACTGAAGAATATTGACATAGGTGGTTTTAAATTTATATTTCTTACAGCTCAGGGGATGATGATCAGAGACCTTTGTGAGACAGAAAGGGATGAACAGCTGAGACTGGGAATACCGCTTTTACTTCAATAAGACTAGCTGTACTTTTATTTTCTTTATTTATGTGTCTGGTTTATAGAATGACCTGGTCTCAGCATAAAACGATATGGAAATTGCTTTTCATTTTTTTCAATGTTGCTTTCACAATTCACTTTCCCAGATCTCCCATTTCTCTTGCCAATATTGCAAGAATATCTCATGTACTTCCAGTGATTTTTCAGCTGTTACAACAGTCTCATCCTTTCAGCTGTTCAAATGTTTTTGTCTTTCAACAATTAAAACAGTTTCATTGTTAAAATATTCTGTCCAATCTAAATCAAAATTTTAATCTCTCAGCTAATTCAGATCTCCTTCTGCCCAACTCCTAGGATAGTTAGACTAATAATGGGGTGAAAAGCATGGTGTGTCCTCTAGCCCTTGTTATTCTTCCTCTCCACTAGCTCATTCTGCTCTTTTTGGCTCATCCATTGTCAGAGAACAAGGGGAGAGCAGATTAGAGAGAACTTGTAAAGTATTTCTTGCCTGGGGTTAATTTAACCTGGCTATCACTGGGTCCTATATGATAGATGGCTAAATGTTGACTGTCTTTTGCATGAAGTACTGTCTTTTGCATGAAGTTTTTTTTGTAGGTTCTTTGAAAACTCTTCCTCTAGAGACTTCTGTGTTGCACCGTTCTCTCTGTGGTTAATATCTCTAAATAACCTCTTTTTTTTTTTATTTGAGAAAGAGTCTCGCTTTGTCACCCAGGCTGGAGTGCCATGGCGCAGTCTCAGCTCACTGCAACATCCACCTCCTGGGTTCAAGTGATTCTCCTGCATCAGCCTCCCGAGTAGCTCAGATTACAGGTGCCCACCACCACACCCAGCTAATTTTTGTATTTTTTTTATAGAGACAGGGTTTCGCTACGTTGGTCAGGCTGGTCTCGAACTCCTGACCTCCCACCCGCCTTGTCCTCCCAAAGTGCTAGAATTACAGACATGAGCCACTGTGCCCGGCCCTGAATAACCTCTTACATGTACTCCTAAGCTCCTGCCTTCTGGCACCATACCTCCATTCTATCTACTGGAGTACCTCTATCTGAAAGGCAGATATCCTGGGCAAAGTCTACAAGATGATTCAACATGCCACAGAACATGTGGTTCACAGGAATTCACGCATCACTTCTCCATCCAAACCTGGAAGTGCAGGCCACTCCTGTTTCTTTGCTTTCCTTATCCTGTGCTATGGGAAGCTCCAGCCAGCCACTTATCTTCACAGTTCAAGAGAGAATTCAGTCCCAGTCTCTATGTTCTTCAAAATTTTAGATAACCATAACAACCTTTTCAACTTCTTTCTCATTGTGGATTACTCTGGTGTCATAGCAGAGTCTCCCATTTCTACAGCTCAGCAAGCTTGCCAGTTGGAGGAAAACACCTATCTCTCCTTCCAGAAAGAAACCCTGCCCAATCACACCAGAGCATTCTCTCGATGCCCATCTTACTTGACTACAGTATTCTCCACTGCTACAATTTTTTTTCAAAGCATCATCTTCTGTACTAATGAACCACTGGCCTCTCTTATTTAGCCCGGGTGGAGTGGCATACACTGAACTATTTTGGACACGTCTTTTTTTTTTCATCTGAACACATTTTATTTTATTTTATTTTATTATTATTATACTTTAAGTTTTAGGTTACATGTACACAATGTGCGGGTTTGTTACATATGTATACATGTGCCATGTTGGTGTGCTGCACCCATTAACTCGTCATTTAACATTAGGTATATCTCCTAATGCTATCCCTCCCAGCTCCCCCCACCCCACAACAGTCCCTGGAGTGCGATGTTCCCCTTCCTGTGTCCATGTGTTCTCATTGTTCAATTCCCACCTGTGAGTGAGAACATGCGGTGTTTGGTTTTTTGTCCTTGTGATAGTTTGCTGAGAATGATGGTTTCCAGTTTCATCCGTGTCCCTACAAAGGACATGAACTCATCATTTTTTATGGCTGCATAGTATTCCATGGTGTATATGTGCCACATTTTCTTAATCCAGTCTATCATTGTTGGACATTTGGGTTGGTTCCAAGTCTTTGCTATTGTGAATAGTGCCGCAATAAACATACGTGTGCATGTGGACACATCTTATTAATAATTTGCAATGATGCCTAGAGTGTGTGGGAACTTAATATACAGTGCACACAGTGTGGGGGCTAAAATCTTTAAGCAGACAAGTAAAGCCCTTTTAACAACGATTACACTTATTTATACTGTCACAAAATATTTTGTTTGAATGGAGAAAAAATAGCGCTGATGAAGATACAACATTGTCATTGGGTCTAGAGAATTAGTGAAAAATTGTTACATAAATTATCAAATTCCTTCAACTTAAAGAAATTAAATAGCCCAGCTGTGCTTGTTTTGAAAAGGAGCATAAATAACAGCAATTTTCTTCCATCAGCTGCTTGGAAACTAACCTGTAAAGCTCTTTGTCAATAGTTCCAAGTAGTATCTTGAGGTAGACTCCTCAAATGTAGTTTGTGGCTCCTAACAAAGATTTTATAAGGGACTCTCATAATATTCTTAGTGAAGAGCTGTTTTAAAGTTTATCTTAACACTGCCTTTGTGCAATATCCCCTAAACCTATGTCTCTTGTAACGATTTGTTTATAGCCCTCCTTATAGAATTTAAATTAACATTCTGATTCTCCATTAAAAGAAATTTTTTTTTGTTTCATTGGCATATGTTTTCCCAGCTTTGAGAACAGACTCTAAGCTGCCTTGATGGCCACAGGCTAATTCTTTGGAACCAAACTCTATCGAAAAATAAATATAAGAAAAAATAGAACATCATAACACAAAATTGATGGTTACAACCTTCACCCTGGGTTTCACTTTGCAGATTCACCTGGTTCATCATTCCTACCTGACTCATAATATTGGTGATGGCAGTGAATATGATATATTGTTATCTGTCCACTAGATATTATACAGAAACCAAAAAACTAATGCCACATGGCTTTAGATGTTTCTGTCTTAAGCTGATATGCTTGTAATGGTCTTTCAGATAAGGAGGCATAAAATAAAATGATGACCTTCAATTTTATGGAGTCATTTAATGTCTGAGAATGTTCAAATAAAAAACAATGCAAGAATGGAGGCCAGAACATTTTTTTCTACATCCACAGAAATTTCTTGTAACCCTAGGATAGCAATTTTTTGTATGACTATAGATAACTTGAGAACACTGGAAATTAATAACTTTTAAACTAGATATAGCCACAATATATTAATAGTTTCAAAAGTAAAGAAGGTAAAAGTGAACTCTGTTCTAGTACTCCAAATGTCATAGCAAATAATAATGTTATTTATTATATTAACATAAAGATATACCTTCTAATTAGGTTTCGATATGATCTAATGCAAAAAGAGTAGATACCATGTTAGTAAAACTGCCAAATTTTCAACACTTTTCTTTCTCTCATTAATTGATAAACTAAGGACATGAAATGAGGGAATAAAATGCTCAGACTCTGAAATGGTAATGTCACTATTGTGATTATTACCTTGGACTATGATTTAGCAGCCAGTTTGAAAATCATCTTATCAGAAGTAATAAACATATCACTATTTCTAAGGATATTTTTGACACTATATTTGGAAACAAATTTCCTGTGGAGGCCTCATACAGATGACATTGTTTAATAAGCTTTATATTAATTGCAAAATATATGCTCAATGGTTATGTTTTGTAATTAAGACTAATAAAAGCTTATAGCATCACATTCAAACATAATTTAAAATATTTTTTCCAGTTGAAAATTTAATTTACATGTACTATGCTTCTTGAGTTTCAGATTTTTTTAAATAAGCTTTATTTTGTAGAACTGTTTAGATCCATAGCAAAATTTGAAAATACAAAGCGTTCTCATATACCCCTTGGCTCCCTATATGCATGGTTTCCTCATTGCCAACATCTTCCACCACAGTGGTACATTTGTCACAATCAATGGATAATTGACACACTATTATTACTAAAAGTGCTTAATTTACATTAGGGTTCAATCTTGGTGATGTACATTTTATGGGTTTGGGAAAAATGTATAGTAACATGTATCCACACTGTAATATCAGTAGGGAAGTAGCTTTACTGCCCTAAAAATCTTCTTTGTTCTACTTGTTTATCCCTCCCTTCCCCCGACCTCAGACAACTAGTTCTTTTACTGTTTTGCCTTTTCCAAAATGCCATATGATTGGAATCATATAGTATGGAGTCTTTTCAAATTGGCTTCTTTAGCTTAGTAATATGCATTCAAGCTTCCTACATGCCTTTTCAGGGCTTGATAACTCATTTTTTCTTTAGCACCAAATAACATTCTGTTGTCTGGATGTACCAGTTTATCAACTTGCTTATGGATGGACATCTTTGCCACTTCCAAGTTTTGGCAATTATGAATAAAGCTGCTATACACATCTGTGTGCAGAGTTTTCTATGGGCATAAGTTTTCAGCTCCTTTGTGTAAATACTGAGGAGCACAACTGCTATATCATATTGCAAGAGTTTTGTAAGAAACTGCCAAACTGTTTTCAAAAGTGGCTATACCAATTTTGCATTCCCACCAGCAATGAATGAGAGTCCCTATTGCTCCACATTCTTGCCAACATTTGATGTTCTCAGTGTTTGGGATTTTTATCCTCCTAACAGGTGTAAACTGGCATCTCGTTGTTTTAATTTGCAATTCCCTAATGACATGTGATGTGGAACGTTTTCAGTAGGCTTATTTGTCATCTGTGTATATCCTTTTGTGAGATGTCTGTTTGATCTTTGGTTCATTTTTAAATTGAGTTTTTTTTTTTCTTGTTGTTGAGCTTTGAGAGTTCTGTTTATATTTTAAATAACAGCCCTTTATCAGATATGTTTTGCAAATATTTTCTTTTATTATGTGGCTTGTCTTCTCACTCAAATATAGACAGTGCCTTTGCAGAGCTTAAGTTTTTAATTTTAATAAAGTACAGTTTATCAATTATTTATTTGATGGATTGTGCTTTTGGTGTTTTAATTAAAAAGTGATTGCCAAATCCAAGGTCATCTACACTTTTTCCTGTGTTATTTTTTAGGAGATTTATAGCTTTGTGTGTTACATTTAGAACCACGATTTATTCTGAGCTAATTTTTGTAAGAAGTGGAAGGCCTGTGCTTAGATTCATTTTTGCATATGACGCCCAGTTGTTCCAGCATCATTAGCTGAAAACACTATCTTCACTCCACTGTATTGCATTTGCTTCTTTGTCGAAATCACTTGACTATATTTATGTGGGTGTATTTCTGGGCTCTCTATTCTGTTCCACTGGTCTTTTTATCTATGTTTCACCAAAATCACACTGTATTGATTATGTAGCTTTATAGTAAGTCTGGATGTCAGAGAGTATCAGTCGTCTGACTTTGTTCTTCTCCTTGAATATTGTGCTGGCTGTCTTCATCTTCATATATACATCGGAATGGTTGGTTGGTATTTAGAAAATAACTTGCTAAAATTTCAGTTGGGATCACATTGAAAATATAGATCAGATTGGGAAGAACTGACATCTAGACAATATTGAGTCTTCTTATCCATTAACATGGAATGTCTCTCAATTTATGTAATTCCTCTTTAATTTCTTTCATTAGACTTTTGTTGTTTTCTTTATAGGAATATTTTACATATTTTATTAGATTTATACCAGTATTTCATTTTATGGTCTTGTTAATATAAAGGTTTACATTTTTAATTTCAAATTACACTTGTTCATTCATTGCTGATATATAGGAAGTGATTGACTTTTATATTAATCTTGTATTCTGCAACCTTACTATTGCCACTTATTAGTTCCAGGAGTATTTTTGTAGATTATTTATGATTTTCTATGTAGATAATCATGTTATCTGCAAAAAAAGTTAGTATTATTTCTTTCTTTCCAAAATATATGCCTTTAATTTCCATTTCTAGTCTTATTGCATTAGTTAGGAATTCAAGTACTATGTTAAGAAAGAGTAGTGAAAGGAAATATCTTTGTATTGTCCTTCAAGAGTGGCAAGTTTTCTTTTTTTAAAAAAAAATTTTTTTTAAAACAGGTTTGTAGTACCTTTATAGAAACTTGAATTTAGAACTTACTTTTACATTAAATGTGTAGATATTTGGTAGTCTATTACTTTTTCACTAAGGCATGTGTTGGTTAGCGCTTTAAGGAACATAAACCCACTCACATCAGCAATAACCACTATCTAAAAGTAGAGATTGTATGTGATAAGAATATATTTTCTTATTATGGTATGTGGATCTGAAGGAATTCTAGGAAACAAGAATATAGTGTGTGTGTGTGTGTGTGTGTGTGTGTGTGTGGTACTGGCAATTGACTTTAGGATTGGTGAAATTTTAATATGCTGTCTTATTGCAAGGCCAAGCCTCTGAAAAGTTACAAATAAAATCACTCTAAAATGAAAAAATTTAAAAAATAGAAATAACTTCATTTTACCCACATAAAATTTTGTGTAACAAATGAATGATGGGCTGCTTCGTAGTATTACTTTTTTGTATGTGTCAAATAACTATACAAAGCATAAAATGAAATTAATGGATTTAAGTTATCTCAGTTTTAAAGAGAATATATTCTTTATGTTAATTTTTCTGCCTTTGAGAGTGGATAAGTTGGAATTTTTACAGTTACAGATAATATTAACTCAAATTACATGTTTGATTTAAAGCGAAATATTTTGGCTCATAAAACTAGAGGGTACAAAAGAGTGAATCTCATTAGCTTAAAGCATGACTGGTTACAAGATTTTAAATGACAGCATCATTTGAAATTATGCAACTATTGATCTTCATTGCTCAGCTGTGTTCTTTTTTAATGTATTTTTATGTTCATGTAGAATTTTGACATGAACGTGTGAGAAGGGCACCCAGAGTCTCATGCATATATTCTACCAGCTAATATGCCAACTTGAAGAGAGTACTTCTTTCTTGATAATTCTAGCAAAAGTCCCAAGTTTCACTCTTATTCCAATCTCCTAGTTAAAACTATTATGTGTTTTCTTAATGAAATGACAATAGAGAGGAATGATTCTCATTCCAAAGGTAGGGGGTAGCACGGGGAAGATATATGATCAGAAAAAAAAATGCTGATTAACAAAGCAAAACAGAATAAAACAAACAAAGCTACAAAAGGCAAAAACAAACCTAAATAAAACAGACATAAACAGCTTCCCCAATGCAGAAACATCAGTTTATCTAACTCATTTCATAGATGAATGTACTAAGATTAAGAAAGTTAACCAAGATTTTTAACAAGTGTAAAGTCCACTGGAATTAATCATAGATCCTAAACGTCAGTGTATTTTATCTATGGTTGATTGAACTTCTAATTCTGTGATTTTAATCACCCCACCCCTACCTGTGTGCACGTGCACACATACACACACACACACAAACACGCACACGTGCACACGTGCACAGACACACACATGGAAATGGAAAAAAATGGTGAGAAAATTCAAGTTAATAATGGCCAAATTGCCTAAGAATATCTATGACTTTTTCATATGAGTAGGCCAATATCGTCTGGTTGCCAAGTTGTAATATATTTACACATGTGAAAAGAGTATGCATTGATTTCACTCCCAACAGGATTGTGACCACAGATTTGATGTTGTAACATCCCAGGTAGATAGAATTATTACCCTTCCTATTGTTTTGTTTTCAATTTATATTTTCTGGCACCTGAAAAAATGTTTAGTAATTATCTTAAACAGTATCCTTCTTTTTCTTTGTTGGTGTCATTACATAAAGCCATCCTTTGGAAATTGTGCATAAATAACTACCATAAATCTGAAGTCATTATTAAAGACTGCAGAGTTTCCTGAGTATGTTCTCTTTTCTTAATTCCTTTGGAAAACTGATGAGATCATGGTATTCAGAGATGATCAGATTTTTTATTGCTTAATGGAATATGAAATTATGCACTAGAAATGAAGTTCCCAACTAGAAAGTTAAATCACATTGCAATTAGTTTAAGATATAATGGTATTTAATGGATGTAGTAAAATGCAGGGTTATCAGTCTCTGGATTCTTCTATCTATTTCTCATACATTTTTTTTGCAACAATAGAACTCAATGTTCCAATCTATTTAATATACAAACTCTCTTCTTCTAAAAAGAGGTTATAATTGATGCTACACTCACTTCCTTCCCTTTCCTGAAAGCCATGGCTATATATATGCTTAGTAACATACAGCTTAGGTGTAACACAATTATTTTTACTATGCTAATTCTTCAAGACATGAGAATGGAGAATGAGCATTTTACCAGTACTGCCTAATCCTATAACGTATTTGACACTATACTTCCTATTGCTACAAATTAATCATCATCTGCGTAAGAAAGTATTGAATTGGGATAATTTCAATCTATTTTCTTGGAGTAATGGGATAGAGGTTATTTCACTTCAAATATATATAGCCATGGCTTTCATAGCTATATATATATAGAGAGAGCTATATATATATAAAAATATATATAGAGAGAGTTATATATATATATAAATATATATATAGAGAGAGCTATGTATATATATAAATATATATAGAGAGAGCTATATATATATATAAATATATATAGAGAGAGCTATATATATAAAAATATATATAGAGAGAGCTATATATATATAAAAATATATATATAGAGAGAGCTATATATATAAAAATATATATAGAGAGAGAGCTATATATATATAAAAATATATATATAGAGAGAGCTATATATATAAAAATATATATATAGAGAGAGCTATATATATATAAAAATATATATATAGAGAGAGCTATATATATATAAAAATATATATATAGAGAGAGCTATATATATATAAAAATATATATAGAGAGAGCTATATATATATAAATATATATAGAGAGAGCTATATATATATAAATATATATAGAGAGAGCTATATATATATAAATATATATAGAGAGAGCTATATATATATAAATATATATAGAGAGAGCTATATATATATAAATATATATAGAGAGAGCTATATATATAAATATATAGAGAGAGCTATATATATAAATATATAGAGAGAGCTATATATATAAATATATATAGAGAGAGCTATATATAAAAATATATATATATATATATATATATATATATATATATATATATATATTGCTCTGTGTCTTCAAATAGGGGAATTCTGATATTTGCTTTCTTCCCTTTTATGCTTTTGGGTTTGTTTCATGAAGTAAGTTTTTTTGATAACTCCAAATAATTGTTTATTCTGCAAATTTCTAGGCATCCCTAAAGTCTCATTGTTGTTTTTCATGCTACATCCAGGCCATGATTAAAAAGCTGTTACCATAGACACCCTATAGTAAGTCCCTAGAACTCTTAATTTCTATGTATTAATTCAAGACACCACCAGGAGTTGTTATGCATATTCTAAATGAGTTGACATTATTTTTTATTTTTATTTTTATCTTTTGAGACGGAGTCTCCCTCTCTGACCCAGGCTGGAGTGCAGTGGCACGATCTTGGCTCACTGCAAATTCACCTCCCAGATTCAAGTGTTTCTCCTGCCTCAGCCTCCTAAGTATCTGGGATTACAGGCAGCCACCACCACACCCGGCTCATTTTTGTATTTTTAGTATAGATGAGGTTTCACCATCTTGGCCAGCTGGTCTTGAACTCTTGACCTCAAGTGATCTGCCTGCCTTGACCTCCCAAAGTGCTGGGATTACAGGCATGAGCCACTGCGCCCGAGCAAACTTATGTTTTTTGTTTTCATTTTTTTTTTTTTACCATAGTTTAATTATTTTTGGTCTCATGTTGCCTTGTACAGGCTCTATCAGGATGTTAAGTGAGAAGAGTCAGTTTTGCTAGATTAAAGCATGTATCTTAAACAGTAACTATTCTGTACTTTAACTTATTTATTTCCCTTTTTCTAAATGTTGCTGCCTAAGCTCACCATGCCTGCCTAGATGGGGTTTCTGAATGGTAGCATAATACCAACAATCATGCTGAGCATTTAGTGAAACACAGACTGTGGAATCACAGGAAGCAGGTGCAATTCCTATTGTCAAGATTGATGATGTGTAATGTTGCTTAAGACAGGAAGAGCCTAGCACTGTTCTCTCATGCCAACATCTGCCAATGTAAAATAAACTTTAGCCACTAGATGCTGCTTGTGGATATATCTTCATGGACAAATACCATAGATTATCTAAGGCTTCTGATGGCTCTAAAAACTAATGATAGTTAATGATTTACCAACTTTGAGGTAGATAAAAATATAGGCAAGTAACATATAGCTTAGGTGTAACACAATTATTTTTACTATGCTAATTCTTCAAGACATGAGAATGGAGAATGAGCATTTTACCAGTACTGCCTAATCCTATAACATATTTGACACTATACTTCCTATTGCTACAAATTAATCATCATTTGCATAAGAAAGTATTGAATTGGGATAATTTCAATCTATTTTCTTGGAGTAATGGGATAGAGGTTATTTCACTTCAAAGAGGTGATTTGTGGGACAGTGACAACAGTGATTACTAAATCACACATCTCTACACTTAACAGATGGCTGCCTGAGAACTTGAACTTGATAAATGAGCTTTCTGTCTAGAGCACTTGCTACTTTAATGCCCCCAAAGGAGGCATATGATTGGAGAGCATCTAAGGAGGGAAGTGGTTTTCAGAGAGTGATGCAATCATTACAGGAATGTAGTCCAGAAGTAATTTCTGTCCCTCTGGGTTAAGAGAGACTCTCCAGGGGAGGAATAATCTGATTTCCAACAGAAACATATTAGGATTGATTTTTGTATAACTTGCTCTTACATTATCCGGATTAATATTTTGCATACCTGGGTATTAAAAATAAGTGTGTGATATTTGCCTTGATTATTAAATAGTCATTTAAGGTACAGGCTTAAAATAATCTTTACCAGGAAGTTTGACTTATTTTCCTATTAATTTTGGGAATTCAAAGATAAAGAGAAAAGCAAGAGTGGCTTTCTTCTAGGTTTAAGTGATCACCACACAAGGCTGATACAGATAGCTCTGTGGGATTTTAAAAAATTTATCCCAGTACTCTGTGTGTGTGTGTGTGTGTGTGTGTGTGTGTGTGTGTGTGTTTCTTGTAATAATAATAAAATTAATTAATAGATAGAATCAAAGAATGTACATAGCCAAAAACAGATTGGAAAAGGACAAATTTATTTTTAAAAATGAAATTAAAAATAATAAAATTATATATTTATGTTGGAGATTTTCTGCATTCTATACTGATTTTAAGATTTTAAGTTTAAATCATAATGCTTTCTTAGAATATAGCCAATGTTGGCCTGGCGTGGTGACTTACAGCTGTAATCCCAGCACTTTGGGAGGCTGAGGCAGGCCGATCACGAGGTCAAGAGATCGAGACCATCCTGGCCAACATGGTGAAACCCTGTCTCTACTAAAAATGCAAAAATTACCTGGGAGTAAAATTACCTACTTGGGAGGCTGAGGCAGGAGAATTGCTTGAACCCAGGAGGTGGAGGTTGCAGTGAGCCAAGGTCACGCCGCTGCACTCCCACCTGGTTACAGAGCAAGACTCTGTCTTTAAAAAAAAAAAAAAAGAATATAACAAACTTCTCTATCAAAGCTTTGTGAAGACAGATCTTGAAATTTTAATACTAAATAACTGCAAATAATCTATCCCACATTTCAGAATAAAATTAATATGCAAGTAATCTTCTAATATACAGTTTACCATATATTGCCCAGGCAATGGAACTAGGAAGTAATCTTAGAGCTCCTACATGTCTAAGTATTCATTTAAGATAATTAATTGCTTGAATTCATAAAACTATGTCAGATGCTTGATTTCAGATGAGATTGTTATAAATCTGCCGCCTCATCTTTTAAGATGGGGTTAGGGGAAGCACAGATAAAGGGGACTGAGAAGACATTTTAGACCAACTTGCAAAGGTCAAGAACTGCCATAGATGTGAATTGAAAACAGAGGTTACCAATTGTGGAAAATGAAATCAGCAGTGAACAATAATAGCCTATCTAAAAAGAAAGGTGTCCGTTTAGACACTGATTTAAAGATCCTTTCATTATTTTGTAAAGCTATGTCTAATTCATTTAGAAAGCATCCTACTTATGAAAACAGCTTACTTGCAGCTACATTTAAAAAGTAATTATGTTTACTTATTTATTTATATTTTTAAATTATATTTTAAATTCTGGGATACATGTGCAGAACTTGGAGGTTGTTACATAGGTATACATGTGCCATGGTGGTTTGCTGCACCCATCAACCCATCATCTACATTAGGTATTTCTCCTAATGCTATCCTCCCTTAGCCTCCCACCCCATGACAGGTCCCAGTGTGTGATATTCCCCTCCCTGTGTCCATGTGTTCTCATTGTTCAACTCCCACTTATGAGTAAGAACATGTGGTGTTTGGTTTTCTGTTCCTGTGTTAGTTTGCTGAGAATGATGGTTTACAGCTTCATCCATGTCCCTGCAAAGGACAAGAACACATCCTTTTTTATGGCTGCATAGTATTCCATGGTGTATATGTGCCACATTTTCTTTATCCAGTCTATTAGTGATGGGCATTTGGGTTGGTTCCAAGTCTTTGTGATTGTGAATAGTGTAGCAATAAACATATGTGTGCATATGTCTTTATAGTAGAATGATTTAGAATCCTTTAGGTATATACCCAGTAGTGGGATTGCTGGGTCAAATGGTATTTCTGGTTCTAGATCCTTGAGGAGTTGCCACACTGTCTTCCACAATGGTTGAACTAATTTACACTCCCACCAACAGTATAAAGACGTTCCTATTTCTCTGCATTCTCTCCAGCATCTGTTGTTTCCTGACTTTTTAATCATTGCCATTCTAACTGGTGTGAAATAATATCTCATTGTAGTTTTGATTTGCATTTCTCTAATGACCAGTGATGATGAGCTTTTTTTCATATATCTGTTGGCTGCATAAATGTCTTCCATTGAAAAATGTCTGTTCATATCCTTCACCCACTTTTTGATGGGGTTGTTTGTTTTTTTCTTGGAAATTTGCTTAAGTTCCTTGTAGATTCTGGATATTAGCCGTTTGTCAGATGGATAGATTGCAAAAGTTTTCTCCTATTCTGTAGATTGCCGGTTCACTCTGATGATAGTTTCTTTTACTGTGCAGAAGCTCTTTAGTTTAATTAGATCCCATTTCTCAATTTTGGCTTTTATTGCCATTGCTTTTGGTATTTTAGTAATGAAGTCTTTGCCCATGCCTATGTCCTGAATGGTATTACCTAGGTTTTATTCTAGGGATTTTATGGTTTTAGGTCTTATGTTTTGTCTTTAATCCATCTTGAGTTAATTTTTGTGTAAAGTGTAAGGAAGGGGTCCAGTTTCAGTTTTATGCATATGGCTAGCCAGTTTTCCCAACACCATTTATTAAATAGGGAATCCTTTCCCTATTGCTTTTTTTTGTCAGGTTTATCAAAGATGAGATGTTTGTAAATGTGCGGCATTATTTCTGAGGCTTCTGTTCTGTTTCATTGGTCTATGTATCTGTTTTGGTAACAGTACCAAGCCGTTTTGGTTACTGTAGCCTTGTAGTATAGATTGAAGTCAGGTAACATGATACCTCCAGCTTGTTCTTTTTGCTTAGGATTGTCTTGGCAATGCGGGCTCTTTTTTGGTTCCATATAAAATTTAAAGAAATTTTTTCTAATTCTGTGAAGAAAGTCAATGGTAGCTTGATGTGATAGCACTGAATCTATAAATTACTTTGGGCAGTATGGCCATTTTCACGATATCGATTCTTCCTATCCATAAGCATGGAATGTTTTTCCATTTGTTTGTGTCCTCTCTTATTTCCTTGAGCAGTGGTTTGTAGTTCTCCTTGAAGAGGTCCTCCACATCCCTTGTAAGTTGGATTCCTAGGTATTTTTGTTCTCTTTGTAGCAATTGTGAATGGGAGTTTACTCATGATTAGGCTCTCTTTGTCTGTTATTGGTGTATAGGAATGCTTGTGATTTTTGCACATTGATTTTGTTTGTATCCTGAGACTTTGTTGAAGTTGCTTATCGGCTTAAGGAGATTTTGGGCTGAGAGGATGGGGTTTTCTTTTCTTTTTTTCTTTTTCTTTTTCTTTTTTTTTTGAGATGGAGTTTTGCTCTTGTTTCCCAGGCTGGAGTTCAATGGTGCGATCTCAGCTCACCACAACCTCTGCCTCCAGGGTTCAAACTACTCTCCTGTCTCAGCCTCCCGAGGAGCTGGGATTACAGATGCATGCCACCACACCCAGCTATTTTTGTATTTTTAGTAGAGACAGGGTTTCCTCATATTGGTCAGGCTGGTCTCAAACTCCTGATCTCAATTGATTGGCCCACCTCGGCCTCCCAAAGTGCTGGAAATACAGGCGTGAGCCACTGCGCCTGGCCTGACGATGGGGTTTTCTAAATATACAGTCATGTCATCTGCAAACAGAGACAATTCAACTTCCTCTCTTCCTATTTGAATACCCTTTATTTCTTCTCTTGCCTGATTGCCCTGGTCCGAACTTCCAAAACTATGTTGAATGGGAGTGGTAAGAGAGGGCATCCTTGTCTTGTTCCCGTTTTCAAAGGGAATGCTTCCAGCTTTTGCCCATTCAGTATGATATCAATTAATGATTAATTTCCATCTAATCAGAAGGCACAGAGCATTTTAAATGAGACTTCTGCCCCTTAACACTCTATACAGGCATTCACATAATATTAACAGTTCGGTAATTTATACATAGCTATAAATACAAACACTTTTTTACATTATTCTTCACATATCTAAAAGACCCTATGCAGAGAGATAGTAACAAAATGTTACTCTCTCAACATCTGTTAAATGTATTAGGAAACAAAAAATTAATTTTACTCATTTTATGTACGGATAACAAAAATAGCATGTAATTTTGCAGAAATTATAGTAAATTATTAAATTACAGAAATTATTAAATTAATTTCATAAATGTTTGCTCTTAACAAAGGGGTTACTTTTCCCTGTTAAATTTTGCAATAACAATGTGGAAAATGAAACTAAAGTTTTTAAAACTTTAGGTATCATTTTTGGGAATAAATAAAAAATAAGATCAAATTACTGATAATGCACACAAGATTTCATTTCTTTAAAGGAGTAACAAAAGACCATATAGTTTTATTAAATCTCTAGGCTGGAAAGAAACTTATATTTTTTGGTATTCCACTGAAAATCTCCATTTTTTTATATAAGACTTTATCAAAATAGTTGTCCAGTCTCTAAATAGTTATTGGTTTGTCATAAATAGCTCTTATTTTGAGATACGTTCCATCAATACCTAGTTTATTAAGAGTTTTTAGAATGAAGGGGTGTTGAATTTTTTTGAAGGCCTTTTATGCATGTATTGAGATAATCGTGATTTTTGTCATTGATTCTGTTTATGTGATGGATTACGTTTATTGATTTGCGTATGTTGAACCAGCCTTGCATCCCAGGGATGAAGCCAGCTTGATCATGGTGGATAAGGTTTTTAATGTGCTGCTGGATTCGGTTTGCCAGTATTTTATTGAGGATTTTCGCTCTGATGTTCATCAGGGATAATGGCCTGAAATTTTGTTGTTGTTGTTGTGTGTATGTTAGGTTTTGGTATCAGGATGATGCTGGCCTCATAAAATGAGTTAGGGAGGATTCCCTCTTTTTCTATTGTTTGGAATCGTTTCAGAAGGAATGGTACCAGCTCCTCTTTGTACCTCTGAAAGAGCTTTTCTGTAACCAGTAATAGAGAAGTCCTAGCTAGGAGCTAATGTGATAAATAGAACACATGAACAAGCAGGTATAACATTTTTTGAAACATTATTTAGGATCTCTTCTAGAGTTGCCTTGAGACAAAATTCTCACATGATAAAAAAAATTATTAAAGGCCTGAATCATGGCAGACACATCTCTTTGAGTCAAAGTAATTAGTCAAGCCAGATATTATCTCGTGTTTGTACAAAAATATCAAACAACACATTTTCTTTTTTACTCAGAAGACAAACTTGAAAATTTACCTGAAAGTGCAAGGTTAGTCTATATTTTTTCTAAGAATTGTATAAAATAATAAATACTAAGAAAATGGCTTATTTTTTTGTAGCTTATTAATATCTTAATAATAGTGTCTGTGGGTTGCCTAGTTTTCAAAGTATGTGATGATACAATATAGCAAATACATTTCTGAGAAATTAAATTTGTGTGTGTGTATAGGAGAATAGTATTGATTGGGAAAAAATAATATAGACAGCCAAGGTAGGTAGTTTACCTCGAGGTCATTGAGCACCCACAATATATACATTGGTCCCAAATATTTAGCAACATCTTGAATCAGAGAGTTTCTTCATGATCTTTGGACTTAAAATGCTCCATTAATTTTTAAAATGCTTCTTGAATACACAATTTTTAAAACTATTTAATAAAATGAGATGTGCTGTTGTAAGTTTGCCTTATTAAATAGATATATCCTGGCCTAGTTTGGGTGTTTGCTGTTCAGAATCTTATAAACAAAATACATAATTCTTTGTTTTAAATTTTACATGTATCTAAAAAGCACACTATGACAAACTGAACATTTTGATGTAGTGAATGTAGGCAGCAATCCCGTAAATGATAAAGAATTACTCCTTAGGTGACTTAATTATATCATATGTACTTTCAGTGCTGAACTATAACTATATAGTATCAACTGTAATGCAAAATGGAATGTTTTAATATCTCATGATAAGATTGCTTTAGAGAAAACAAAGTCTGAGAGTTACGTAAAAAGTGCATGGATTTATGTATGTATCCATTGAGACATTTAGATAATTCACATTATGAAAATCCCAATATTCATGGTTAAAAAATAAACAATTATCAGGCACTTGTTTTATGAAAAATTCTTCAAAATGCGTACAAGACAGGGGAAAAACACTTCAGTATTCACTTGATACAAAACAAGTTGGTTTCTCATCACAAAGAAACATAATACGAACTTTTCACAAATATTTGCACGGGACTATTGCACTAAAACTCCCTCTTTGATAGTGTTTTCTGGATTTCCTCTCAATGTCTACCGAGAAATAGCACATATGTAGAGATAGGCATATAAAAATTCATGCATATGGGTACATTGGCCTTCTGTAGGAACATTATTGTGTGAACTTATTTCTGAAAACATGTAACACTAAGGAAAGATAACAGATTGAACTGAACTGGTATGTTTGTGGCTCATTAATTCAGTACAGATGTTGAGAAATCAAGGGATCAATCTTACACTCATAAAGAATGATAATAAATATTATATTATCACAAATAGAGATGCATTTTGGAGTAGAATGCAAAATCTTTTTAAATTTTAAAAACAAATTCAAGGCTCTCATAGAAACTCGAGCTTTTGAAAAGTTGCTTGGGATGATCCAATCAGGCTTGGATGGTATGCTCATTCTGTCTCTTCTGCTGGTAAAAGTAATTTCTTAGAAAAGTTAGAGAAAAACATGTAGAGTCCAGTCATCGTACCATCTTCATTAGCTTTTTTTTTTTAATTTAGCTTTATTAAGGCATGGTTTACAAAATTGTATATGTATAAGGTGTACAACCTGATGATTCGATAGTCATATACATTGTGAAATAATTATGACAATCAAACTAATTAGCACATTCATCACCTTACATATTTCCCTTTTTTAGAATTTTATAGTAGGAACACTTAAGATTCTTCTCTGAAAACTATTAACTATAGTTAATAATAATTACTATTATTAACTATAGTATTATTAACTATACTCCCCATGTTCAACATTAGAGTTATAGCAATTATTTATCCTTCATAACTGAAAGTTTGTACCCTTTGACCTGCATCACTCCACTTCATCCTCTCTCCAGTCCTTGGTAACCACCATTCTACTCTGTTTCTATGAACTCGACGTTTTTAGATTCCACATATAAGGGAGATCATGCAGCACCTGACTTATCTCACTCAGTGCAATGTCCTCCAGGTTTACCCATGGTGTCACAAATGGCAGGATTTCTTTCTTTTTTAAGACTAAATAATAACTACATTTTCTTTATGTATCTATTGATGGATACTTACGTTATTTTCATATCTTGGCTATTGAGAATAATGCTGCAATAAACGTGAGTGCAAATGTCTTTTCAGCATACTGTTCATTTCTATTGGGTATATATGTAGAAGAAGGATTACTGGATAATGTTAATTCTATTTTTAATATTTTGAGGAACTTACATATTATTTTCTATAATTGCTGTGCCAGTTAACAGTCCTACCAACAATGTACAAGGATTTCTTTCTCTCCACATCCTGATCAATATTTGTTATGTCTTGTCTTTTTTATAATAGCCATCCTAACAGGGGTGAGGTGATACCTTATTGTGGGTTTAATTTGCATTTCCCTGATGATTAGTGAATGATTGTATTAGCTTTCTGATTGCTTATTAGCAGTGAGATTTCTGTCATGGAACTTATTTAGAGACTGGACAACTATTTTGATAAAGTTTTATATAAAAAAATGGAGATTTTCAGTGGAATACCATAAAATATAAGTTTCTTTTCAGCCTAGAGATTTAATAAAACTATATGGTCCTTTGTTACTCCTTTAAAGAAATGAAATCTTGTGTGCATTATCAGTAATTTGATCTTACTTTTTATTTATTCCCAAAATGATACCTAAAGTTTTAAAAACTTTAGTTTCATTTTCCACATTGTTATTGCAAAATTTAACAGGGAAAAGCAACCCCTTTGTTAAGAGTAAACATTTATGAAATTAATTTAATAATTTCTGTAATTTGATAATTTACTGTAATTTCTGCAATGTTACATGCTATTTTGTTATCTGTACATAAAATGAGTAAAATTAATTTTTTGTTTCCTAATACATTTAACAGATGTTGAGAAAGTAACATTTTGTTACTATCTCTCTGCATAGGTTCTTTTAGATATGTGAAGAATAATGTAAAAAAGTGTTTGTATTTATAGGTATGTATAAATTACCGAACTGTTAATATGTGAATGCCTGTACAGAGTGTTAAGAGGCAGAAGTCTCATTTAAAATGCTCTGTGCCTTCTGATAGGATGGAAATTAATCATTAATTGGCTAACAAATGTTTTAAAAAGCTGAGGATAAACAGAAACACTAATGGAAACAATGATTACTTCCAAGGTTTGCAGAAGCTAGCATCTTTGAATGTTGGGCCATTACTGATAATTAAGAGCCTTTTTGTCTGGTTTTCCTGCTGTGCATGTCATTTTACTGTGAAAAGCAGGGACTAGTGTGGCACAGTGGGAAACCAAGCATGGCAGGATTCTAGAGTCTACAACATTCTAAAATTTCCTTTAATTTCCTCGCATGCTCATTTAAGAATGCAAATGCTTCCATCCATCATCCTTGTGTGTATAGAGGGGAGGGGGTTTCTGATGAAGAATATTACTTAAAATGTTGCTTGAGAAACCTGGTTAATAATAATGGTGATGATGATGTCTGGGAATTATAAGACTTTTGCTTTAAAGTGCAATAATTGGCTCTGATTTTGTAGATAATTTTGTTCATTGATTGGAGCTGGAGATTTGTTAACTACTTTATGACACCAGTCAATTTTATAAATATTATTTCCAGGAAACAGCAGTTTATGCAACAATCTCAGACTGTGCATCTGTCTTAAATTTTCTTAATTTGTAGGTCACCTTGGAGGATCCTTTCAACTATGTATTTTGTTATTTTGATTGGAAAATATTTTTCATATTATTTTATTTGAAATATCATGAAATGGTAAATGCAGCACATTATTTATTTTGGGTATTTCATGTATTGGGGGCCTATTTAAAGGTTCTGAAGTGGTGTAAATATCCAATGAGTTAAAAATACCAAAAATGTTGCATAATAAATGCATGAAAATAATATGTACTAGCAAGAGAGAACCTCACATAAACTATGGTCTTTGAATGATAATGATGTGTCAATGTGGGTTCATCAATTGTAGCAAGTATACCACTCTAGTGCAGGACATCAGTTATGGGGGAAGCTGCAAACATATGAGGGAAGAAAATACATGGCAAATCTTTATCTTCTGCTCAGTTTGGCCTTGAACCTAAAACTTTTCTAAAACAAATAATTTTTTTTTGAAAATTAAGTTTATTGCAAAAAGAATATGTACAATGCAATGGTTATTGCTATGTTTAATTAATTTTGGAAATGATTGTGGTGCAATTTGTAATATATTTAAAAATTTAAAAAGTCGATTTATTTTCAGGCCATATGAAACATAAACATCATTGAAATGTCTATCTTAGCAATAATATGAGAGTGAACCAATTTTTAAAAAATTCAGAGTAAAACAGACATTAGACCTGATCAGCTTGAGGCTGTGTAAAACAAGCAGAACACACCTGTACCAAATAACACTAAAATATACATTAATTAAATGAGCAATCAAGCCTGTGTAGCATTGACCTAAAGTTTTGAAAAAATGGGAGAGAAATAACATGAACACAAACTCCTGACCATTAAAGCATTTGAGAAATAATAAAATCAAATGTCTGACAACCCTTAACAGCATAATATAACACACTAATGTGGCTAACAATAACATATTGTTTAATACTCTTGAGCACATACTTTGTGTAATGCAAATTATTTTAAACAGTTCATGGCTATGAACTACTTTAATTCCCATAAGGTACAGTGAGAAAGATACTGTTTTAATCCCCATTATACAGATAAAGAAACATGCACAAGAGGTTAAGTAATTTGCACACCATTTCACAATTAAAATATGGCAAGAAAATCAGGGATATACAAATGAAAATATATATATATATATATATGAAAAGGAGACTCTTTGGGAAGGCTTTTTGTTGCTGAACTATGCCCCACTAAATTTAGAAGTCAGTGTTTTCCCCATCTAAATTTAATCCAATAATTATCTTGACCATTCATTGCTTTTAATATTAATTTAGCTAAAAAATTACTTTTGGCAAGATACTTGTTTTTAAATTAAAGAATAGATTTTTCAGCTTCCATGTGAGGTCAAAGAAAATATAAGCATTTGTTTTCCTGTTTCTGGATTACGATTAAGATCTTAATACATCAGCTTTCAAGAAAGTATATTAGATTAACTGTTTCTTTTGAAGCATGAACACTATTATTACGAGACTCCTTTATGGCTTCTCTCTCTGTCTCTCTCTGTGTCTCTCTCCCTCTCTCTCCACTCCCCACCAAAAATATAACACACACATTGTGTAAATGAGGTCTCATGGGGATCTGATCTCTCCCAACTCTGTGCTTATCTCCCTAAGACGTGGAGTGAAGACATGGTACTAATTCTTTTTTTTTTTTTTTTTTTTTTTTGAGACAGAGTCTTGCTCTGTCGCCCAGGCTGGAGTGCAGTGGCGCTATCTCGGCTCACTGCAAGCTCCGCCTCCCGGGTTAAAGCCATTCTCCTGCCTCAGCCTCAGTAGCTGGGACTACAGGTGCCCACCACCACGCCCGGCTAATTTTTTGTATTTTTAGTAGAGACGGGGTTTCACCGTGTTAGCCAGGATGGTCTCGATCTTGTGACCTCGTGATCCGCCCGCCTCGGCCTCCCAAAGTGGTGGGATTACAGGCATGAGCCACTGCGCCCAGCCGGTACTCTGGAAGATATCTCTAGAAGTGTCAGACCATCTCAGATGTCCTTCTGTGGTTTTGTTTCTCTTGTTGTATTGTATTTAACTTTTATTAAAGTTTTGTGAGATTTGGTTAGCCCCTGAAATAATCCAAATGTGCATAATTAACAAAACTGGCTATATAAAAATTTATATACACATATATGTATGTATAAAATGTACGTATGCACATTTCATCTATTTATTTATTATATGATCCGTGATTATTGGTTGTAAGCCAGACACTGACTGAAAAAATGATGCAACACAAAGATAAGCAAAATGTGATCCTTCCTTGAGCTACTCACACTTCTTTTTGCATGTTAGTAAATTAGTAATGATGATATTAGGTAATTAAGGAGTCAAGTACTGTCACCCCAAAATATGGCATCCTTTTATACTGAGTATTTTGTAACTAAAATACTTAACCATTCCTTTCAGTGAAAAGGTCCCTAGAGGGAGGTGTGGCTACATTCTAGAGAAGTGTTTTGCAGATTATTGTGGTGATGAACTATTCCACTTTTCTTATTTCCAAATTATCCCATCTAATTTTTTTTTTTGTAAAATAGGCCAGTGTGTACAGAGTGTAACACCTAGTGATTTAAATAATGGGAGACCTTTTTATTAAAAAAATCACTATGGTAATTCTACAATTTACTTCTACCAATGAAAATACATTTCTAACAATTATTATTTAAATTAGCGAAAAAAGCAATATAAGGCGGGGGAGGGGAGTAGCTAAGCTACTTGTAGCAGCCTCCAGAACAGCCTGTTCTGTTTAAAAATACTTGATCATCTGCCAGTAGTGAACTCTCAGTCACACTAAGTGACTATCCAAGATCCATAGTAAAAACATCACCCTATATAAAATGAAGATTGTGCTTTAAAGTATATTATAGTAATCATATGTCTTAGTCCATTTGCACTGATATAAAGCAAGGGTTCCCAAGCCCCAGGCTGTGTACTGGTACTGGTCAGTGGCCAGTTAGGAACCAGGCAGCACAGCAGGAGGTGAGTGGCCAGTGAGCCAGCATTACTGCCTGAGTTCTGCCTCCTGTCAGATCAGTAGTTGGCATTAGATTCTCACAGGAACATGAACTTGTGAACTGTGCATGTGAGGGATCTAGGCTGCACACTCCTTATGAAAATCTAACTGATGCCTGATGGTCTGAAGTGGAACAATTTCATCCAGAAAACATACCCTCTCCACCCACACACACCCCCACCCCACAAAGTGGTAGAAAAATTGTCTTCCAAGAAACAAGGCCCTGGTGCTAGAAAGCTTGGGGACTGCTGTAAAAGAATACCCGAGTTTGGGTAACATAAATAAAAGGTTGATTCGGCTCACAGTTCTGCAGGCTATACAAGAAACATGGAGCCAGCATCTGTTTCTGCCAAGGGACCTCAGGAAGTTTTCATGGATGTGGAAGGCAAAGGGGAGCAGGCATCATAAAACAAGAGAAGGAGCAAAAAAGTGAGGGGAGGGGTGTCATGCTTTTTTAAATAAGCACTTCTTGCATGAGCTAACAGAATACTCACTCTTGAAGCCTCCAACCATTGTGTAAGAAGTGTTATTTTCCAGAAATTACTGTGCTATGAAAAAGTTAAAATTAGCCAATGCAGAGAGACCACTAGAAAAGCTTGAGCAAGGAATTAAAATAGTCAGGCTGTGATCCATTTGTTTTCTGATTGAGGAATCAGGGAGAAGTACTTCCAGGGGAAAAAAGATAAGTGTCTAATTCCATTGTAACTAATGGATCTCCTGGTAAATGGACAGACGATAATTTCTGGGAGGGGAGTGCTGACCTATGGAATGCACTGTAAAGAGTGTTCCAGGTATAGGATTGTTTGTAGTAAATACACTTTTACTCAATTCATTTATTAAGTACTTCTCCTTGGAGAGAATCATATAAGTTATACAACTCCCTGATGGGCAAAATTGAATGTTTTATCACATAAAAGCATCTTGCTGGGTGAAGTAACTTGCAACTTTACTGAGAGACATCTGTGCTTCTTGATTCTTTGCATCCTTAGTTATTAGGGAGACTTTGTACCAAGTTGTGTGGTTTGTTTGAGTCTCATTTGACAATGTGATGTTTTATGTTTGCTTAATTTGAACTGCTGTACTGTCAAATTATATTAAAAAGTAGTATGATGTAGACTTTCAATTCTGATGCCTTAAAATTATCTTTCTGATTCTGGACCAGTAAAATACTTTAATTAAAAATAGATTTTAAAATATTGCTTTCAAGTATTTTGTGGAGAAACTCATCTCTTTCTTTACCTCTCTTCAAATAATTCTTGGTGATGTTTTATTTTTCCTATTCCAAGATACATTTAATATAATTTTTGTCAAGTCCCAGAGATAATTTTACAGATGGAATATAATATTTATAATATTTGGATTTCCTATCCTGGAACATCAATAATTTTTCTTCATTTCTTCAAATCTTCTCTTCCATTTTCCACAGATATCTCTGTATTTTTATTTAGATAATGTCTACAAATTAACGTTTAAAAGCATTGATACTGTTTCAGTTCTTCTAAGTAATATACCAATTTCCCTTAAATGTTCTGTATTTTTCAACAATTAAAAAAGAGTAATGCATGTTTCATTGTACCAATGTATAAAAATAAAGTTGCAATTGTTCCTAGTCTCTTCCATTGTCCCTGTACTGTTTTAGCATAGCAGTGTGTCCCTCAACAACTTTTTTCTTTGTGTTGATATAAAAACAAACATAAACACAAATGTGCAGACACACACACACACAGGTGTTTACTTCTTCAAAATCGTATTATGTAATTTGCATGCATCCCATTCTGTTTTCTGCTTAGTAATATCTGTTATATAGAAAAGGTTTTACTTTTATAAAATGCAGTGTTTTTTTTTGTCACTTTCAGGTAAATTATCATATGTAAATAATGCTAACAATATCCATATTCCTACTTTTCATAAATGTGCTTTTTATTTTTTTCACATTAGCTAGACCTTAAGAAAAAAAAAAGATGAAAATGGTGTTAAAAACATTATTGATATTGTATATTTCCTAATTATTTTGATAATTTCAGTAATTTTTCTCTTATCATAATCAGAAAAATATGCATCTTTTCCAGATTACTGATTTTCTGGTGGTACAATTCGATAGAAAATATCATCATATATATCACAGTCTATCAAGGAAATGATAATTGAATAATAATAGAAAGACAAATTATGTTGTTAAATTTGCTAATATTTGGCATTTTTTAAATCTTAAATACGACCAGTTTAATTTCTTTTAAAAATAATGCATGTTCAGGAAGAATAGCTAATGGATGCTAGACTTAATACCTAGGGGGTGGGATAATGTGTGCAGCAAACCACCATGGCACATGTTTCTCTCTGTAACAAACCTGCGCATCCTGCACATGTACCCTGGAACTTAAAATAAAAGTTAAAAAAAATACAGGGTTTTAATTTTTTGTTCTTGCTTCAGGTTTAAGTTGGATGTTCAGTGCATTAATATTGATTAAAATAGTAAAACCGTAAGTTTTACTCTGAGTGTGGCTTTGTGAAATAGCATATATTAAGATAACATATTGAAGATACCATAAGAAATCATAGACTAAATGCCATGTGTTAAGAAACTACATATATAGTAATTATATATGGTATATAAATATATAGTCATTTTTTAAATAGTCTGTAATCATAATTTAGATAAGGTTCTTTCTATTCTTTTGTTATTTAGGAATTTTTATAATTGTTTTAAATGGTTTGGATTATTTGGAGTTGAGTTTTTTGGTCAGTTTGGAAAAAAACGTAGCTAATTACATTCCAGTTAGTGTATATGCTCTTGTATTATTTCTTTTCTAGAAATTTTTCTGTATGTATCAACACAGGTAACTGTTTTTTGAACTTTAGAACACACACACACACATGCACACACACACAAATACAGTGTATTAAAGCAGCCTTAACAATATCAGCAGTCCTCAGTATATGCTCTGTGATCTCCTGGGGGACTTAAACTCTTTCAAGTGGTCCACAGTTGAAAACTATTTTCATAATAATACTATGATGTTATTTGTGTTTTTTTTGTTACATTGATATTTAGACTGATGTTGTAAAAACATTAGTAGGTCAAATGCCTGGCTCTTACACATGAGTGAAGGCACAGGCATTCTGTTGTATTAGTATTAATGTAATCTTTACCACCATACACTCACAACTAAAAAAAATACATTTTCATTTAAGAATGTTTTGTTGAAGCAGTGAAAATTATTAAAAAATCTTTAGCTTTGAGCATTTATATTTTTAATATTTTAATAAATATTTAATGAATATACATATTTTTAATAAAGCAGTTCTGCTGCAAATCAGAATATGTTTGTCTCTGGGAAAACCACTTGTGAGGTTGAGGTGTAGGATAAACTAGCCACTTTTTTTATGGAGCACTATGTTCATCTGGCAAAATGACTAGCATGCAAACTATTGTCATTCGGACATGAGTAATGGATTTCCTTTTGAAGAAACAAAGTGAATTTGCTGCTGACAGGGAAAATAAGTGACAGCATTATTGCCAAAGTGAGAAGTATATCTGTTAAAGAAAAATTTGAGTGTTGAATTCCTCAAATCTGCAGCCCTGAGCATGACAGTTTATCAATATTTAAAGACTTCTGATGAGGTTTGTGGAGTATTAAAAAATGTGACTTTTTTATGTTACCAAGATTCTTCATAATTCACTATCATCACAAATGTGATATATTATATGATACTTTACATTAATTATTGCAAAAAATCCTCTTGGTTCATGAAATAGTAATAGGAAAATATGCGTTAACATTTATTATAAAATGTTTAAAATACTATAAAAATGATTAGTAAATACGAAAGGTACCATTTTCACAAAGTAATCTTTACATAATAAATTTGCATGTGCAAAATAAATGTCCAAATAAATCTATGATAATAACAACTGATTTTCCAAACAAAACACACAATTCAATTAGTACTTTTGTCTTCTTTGGGAAAAACAGTAGGTAGTTTAGATATAAGAAATAAAAGAGTCAATCTATCAAGGATGACATTATAATACAGCAAATGTCTTAGTAGGAAACCTAAATTGATTTCTATGCTTAGGATCTATTTTCCCTTTAGTCCCATTTATCAGTCTGGCAACTGTGAATAACCTTATGGTTTTCTACTCTTATTACCTTTTTAAATAAGAATAAACTTTGCTTTACTTTTTCAAATAAGACACTTAGCAGGTACAGTCGAGCAGTGAGACAACAGGGCAGCCGCTGTAAGGGAAATATTTCCAAAGGTTGTCAAACCTTTTAGCCAAATTTCACCAGTCACAGGATGATTATGCAATCAAATCTGTTCATGCTCATACCTCGCTCTTAATAGTTTTAGATGAAATATATAACTAGAGATGCCAACATGTTATTGAATTTTACACCTACTTTCTACTAGATATGTAGGTGTTTTCAAAATAGGTGCTTCAGCCACAGTGATTATGTGCATTAGACATGTGAAAACATGTCATTGAGTCTAGTGTTTTCAAGTTTTAAACTAAAGTAACAGTGTGGGTGTGTATTAATACATTTTCACGCTGCTGATAAGACATACCCAAGACTGGGCAATTTACAAAAGAAAGAGGTTTAATTGGACGTACAGCTGCACTTGGCTGGGGAAGACTGACAATCATGGCAGAAGGCAAGGAGGAACAAGTCACGTCTTACATGGATGGTGGCAGGCAAAGAGAGCTTGTGCAGGGAAACTCCCATTTTTAAAACCATCAGATCTCATGAGACCCATTCACTATTATGAGGACAGCATGGGAAAGACACACCCTGTAATTCAGTCATCTCCCACCGGGTCCCTCCCACAACATGTGGGAATTATGGGAGCTACAGATGAGATTTGGGTGGAGACACAGAGCCAAACCATATCAGGGTTATTCCTGCATGCCAAGAATATGTAGCTTCATTCCTAGGGGACATATTTCTAAATAATTTCCAAAATAAATTCTTCGTGATGAGCAATAGGCACCAGCATTTTATATGACACAAAATGTATGGACACATTCACCTCACCACTGAGGAAAGCAAAATCAGTATTTTTTTTGCATACTACATGGCAATCATCATGGAATACAGTAAATGAGAGACAGTAAAAAGTTACAAAGTACATATGTTTGACAGGGTTCGTGGCCTCTACCTTTACAGCCTGGTTGAGAAAGAAGACACTGTCCCTGAAACCTATGTGTAGCAATGATTTCATGTAAATCCAAGTGTTAAGGAAAGAGCCAATGAGCAGGTGTTGAAAATGCTAAAAATGATGTAACTCAAAAGACATAGTAGTATACTGCCATTTAACAGGTTTGCTGAATACTCAATACTCTGAATATTCCTAAGGGTGAATATTAGAGATGTTTTTATGCAATTGTTGTTAGAAGGTTTTATTAAGATCATCAATTTCAATTTTCCCTTGTCAGAAATCTCAAAAATATTCTGAGTAGTAATATTATCGATTTTTTTAATAATTAGCACCAGAAGGCATCAATGCTTTTGCTAAATTTATTGACATTTTATGGGATCCTAAGATCTACTCTCATAAGATAAACATATTATAATTGTTTACTCTGTGAAAATGGCTATGCTGTTTATTTTATTTAATAATGTATAAATTATGAGGCATCCCTTTAAAGTGTTTACTTGTATGATAGTAGTGGTAGGCAGAATAATGGCCCCTACCTCTACCCCTCACAAGATGTTTATGTTCTAATCTCCAGAACTTGCAAATGTTTTACCTTACATGGGGAAAAGGACTTTTCAGATGTAATTAAGGGTACTGACCTTGGAATGAGGAGATTATCCTAGATTATCCAAGTGGGTTCAGTGTAATCACCTGAGTAAAGCCAGTAACTTTTCCTGACTGGGTCACAGAGATGAGAAGAAAGAAGGAGGAGAAATTCAAACCATTAGAGAGACTTGACCTGCCGTTGCTGACTTCGAAAATGTGTAAGGGGACCATAAACAAGAAATGTGGGTGGCTTCTAGAAACTAGGAAGGCCCTCAGCTGCCCACTAGCAAGAAAACAGGTATCTCAGTTCCACGGTTGCAAGGAACTGAATTCTGTGAATGACTCAAGTGAGCCAGAAGTGGAGCCTCTCCTAGAACCTCCAGAAGTAAACAAAGCCCTGCCAAAAATCTTGATGTCAGTTCTATGAGACCCATGTCAGATTTCTGACCCACAGAACTATAAAATAGTAAACTTAGATTGTTTAAGCCACTAAGTTTGTTGTAATTTGTTATAACAGTAATAGAATATTAATAACTTTTTCTACCCTATCCACTTGGATATGAGACTCTTCCATTAATCATCTTTTGCTCCAGAAATCCTGCATTCAGTTGTACACATTTAAGTTTTCTGTCTTTTGATGATTGAACAGATTTACACATGCATTTCTAATGTAAACCGCTTTAATTACTCAGAATATTTAAATATAAGTTTTCATTTAACAAGATTTGTTATTCTTATGATTTCAGCCATGAGTGATGGTTTCACCAAGGTCCCAGCTTTGTTTGCATGCATGTAATCAAGTGAAGTGCAGCCAGTGTTCACAATTTGTTCATTGCCTTTGATACCTTTGCTAATTCCAGAAAAAGAAAATGTGTTCTGAAGATTTGGTATTTAGTTTTGCTCCCAAAGGATCTCGTATAAAGGTTCTGAACTTTACATTAAAAAGTTTGTTTTGTCTTATTAATAAGAAATATTCTTATTAGATTAAACACAATAGAGCCTTGAATAGTATTTATCCTTTTATAGAAAATGAATTCACATTTAAGACATCAAAATTCCAAACATAATACTCCACATGAACACCGTGCAATAAATCTTCTTTGAAGAAACTTTCTCAACCCAAAATTTTGAACAGTATAATAAACACTATGGTAAAAAGTGGTTCATTCTTATTGTCATAAAGAAAGGATATGAAGAATAGATGTTTTTCTAATTCATCTGATATTCTAGCAATATAGTTTGCTACTATAACCTGCAGAAATAAAGATAGAAAAATTAACTTTATTGAAAAAGCCTGAAGTTTATATTTTAAAGTAAATACCTGGTTAAAAAATAGTTTTTTTCCCCCATTAGGAAGATGGCAAAGTTCTATCTTTATCTAACATTAGACAATACATTGTTATGGACAATACATTAAGCCAACTTTTTAATGTAGGAAGAACTCATTTGTAATTTATATGTTGAGTGGCTCAACAGTAATTTCAAATCTTGACAACCTAAGTAACACCATGAAAACATAGACCACTTGGAGATTATAATATTAATAAAAAAGAAATACACAGATAAAGTATAAGGCAATTAGAAGCAAATGGAATGAAGATGGATCTGAAGTTAATCCATAAGTTTCTGTGTAGGTAGCTTTTGCTACACACTTTCAGGGAGGACTGCAATGTGTAATAACAGACTGGATATTAAGGAACCAGAGAATAATGCATGTTGAATGATTAAGAAGCTCGTCTCTCAACATTGGTTCAGCCAAGAAAAAAAGAAGGAAGGAAGGAAATAAAGGAATGCTTTAACTAATCATTGGAATTATTTTAATTTACTCAATTTACTCAATGCTATTGAAAATTTAAAATAGTGGAGGTGATAGCTGAGGAGTCATGGGTGATTCAATTATGGATATTACAGCCCATCTTATGATTATGTACAATATTATTTTGCTACAGGCTATATCTTTATTTGGTCAGTAACAGGAATGATGACAGGTGAAACAAAGACAAAGGAACATCATGTAGGTCTCAAATAAACACTCTTTTTTCTCCCCCCAAAATTTATGGCTAATTTAAAACAGAATAATATATGATCTAAGTACCAATAAACTTAAGAGACTAGACCTATGAACTAATGCACTGAAATAGAGTTTGCATGGTATAGAAGAATTAGTCAATAATTTTCATTAAAAATTGAATTTTTACAAATTTACTGACAATATTAAATACTGAAAATGTGCCAAGATACCATGCTAGCTGGTAGAAAACACTAGTAAATGCAGTATTTATTGTTCCTACCATCTTAGAATTTCTGTTCTAAGGGGGAGTATAGTCAGTACACAAATTATATAAACAAATTAAATAATTTGTAATAACCAATATTAAGCAGATTTAAAAAGTGACATAGAAAACAATGTGAATTTTGTTTGTTTGTATTTTGTACTTCTTATAGTCAGGTAGATCTATGCCAAACTAAGTTTTAGACTGAAATATTTTGCTATCTAACATAGAGGTATCTGATCAAAATAATCTCATGAATGGATATCCTAAAATAAGTTTGTTGAGAAGGACATGACATTTCTATTTTGATAAATGATTATAACATACTTGTATATTTTTCATGTAGTTACTTATAATCAGATCAAACTGAGTGGTGATAAACTCGTAGAAAGCACAAAGTAATAATAATAACAGTAAATTATTGTATGTTA
This sequence comes from Homo sapiens, assembly GCF_000001405.40. Lineage (NCBI taxonomy): Eukaryota > Metazoa > Chordata > Mammalia > Primates > Hominidae > Homo > Homo sapiens. Next base: position 102,028,620 of record NC_000005.10, on the reverse strand, counting down.
GGTTTATCTGTTTCAAATTGTATAGATTTCAAATAGAAAATCATGAGATTTTCTAGTACATTAGTAGAATGTTAGTCAAAATATTTAATTTCCTGCATGAAAACAAATATTTGCTTTTAAGTGAGCTGACCAACTTATTTTCTTTTTTCAAATTACTTTTCATATTGACAACTTAGTTTTAAAATAGCAATGTATAATTTTCTTAGCTGGATTTAGACTTTTCCTCAGGAAATAGTTTAAAATATTTTCATCAATTTTAAGCTTTGCTTTTGCTTAATTAGCTTTCAATTCCATGTCAGTAATAACCTTGTCTCTATGTTATATGAAAGAATGAAAGAGCTATTTAAAAACTTGCTTATGTCTCAGAATTGCTGTGAATATGAAGAAGTCTTTTACTGATTTATAGTAGGTTTTATATTAATGTAAGAGGCTATCATTGGCATGCTTAATACCATTATTGATAACAACATGTCTTTTGAGTTAAGTGAAAATAACAGAAGTGGTTCTTGGATACATAAAAATATTCATAGCTTTTTACATTAAGGAGAATGTTGTCTTTCATAAAATCTGTAGAAAATAAACAAATTACTAAAAAGTAGAAAATGTTGGCATTAAAACCTAGTGCTTAAAACACTATTTCTCTTAAGCCTGTAACTATGTAACCATTTCTCTTATGCCTGTAACATGTAAGTTACATGTACATATATGTATATATGTATGTTTTAAGTTCAGGGGTACAAGTGCGGGTTTATTACATAGATAAACATGTCATGGGGGTTTGCTGTACAGATTATTTCAACACCCAGGTATTAAACCTACTGAAAAAATTGTCAAACTCTAGGTGACAAAATCACAGTTGAGAATGAGGCACAAAAAGCATTTGAAAGGAAATATATATATATATACACACACACACACACACACACACATATATATACACACACACATATATATAACTATGTAAAGGAAATATATGTATTTACATATTGCTATATATAAAGGAAAAATATATATATTTGAGTTTGAACATGTTTAATTTACTGTAATATTAGAGTCAAAAGAATTCTGTCATTTCTTGCAGATTTCTTTAACATTTATTTTAGGTTCAGGGGCACATGTGAAGATTTGTTACATAGGTAAACGCATGTTATGGGGTTTGTTGTACAGATTATTTCATCACACAGGAATTAAGCCCAGTAACCAGTAGTTATCTTTTCTCTTCCTCTCCCTTCTCCCATCCTCCACCCTCGAGTAGATCCCAGTGTCTGTTGTTTCCTTCTTTGTGTTCATAAGTTCTCATCATTTAGCTCACACTTACAAGTGAGAACATGTGGTATTTGGTTTTCTGTTCCTGTGTTAGTTTGCTGAGAATAATAGCCTCCATCTCCATCTATGTTCCCACAAAAGACACGATCTCGTTCTGTTTTTATGGCTGTATAGTATTTCATGGTTTATATGTACCACATTTTCTTTATTCCATCTGTCACTAATGGGCATATAGGCTGATTCCATGTCTTTGCTATTGTGAATAGTGCCGCATGTGTCTTTATGGTAGAATAATTTATATTCCTCTGGTTATCTACCCAGTATTGGAATTGCTGGGTTAAATGGTAGTTCTGCATTTAGCTCTTTGAAAAATTGCCATACTACTTTCCACAATGGCTGAAATAATTTACATTCCCACCAATGGGATCACTCTATTTGAGAGGAAAACAGGCACCTGTGTGAAATATGTCTAAAGTCCATATGTAATGAAATTGTTTTCATTTTGAGAGAGTCACATTTGGGTTAAATGTTAATAAATCACAGCCTAAAATTTAACTAAAAGGCGGCTTCCTTCACCATCTGGCCACAGCAACTTTTATAATATGCTAGATATTGACAGTCAATATTTTCTCCTCTCAAGTGTGAACCTCTGGAAGAATCAGTTAAATGGCAAAATGTACTCCAAGATTTTTATTTTTTCCATAACTATGTTTTCCAATGATGCTTGGAGATTAGAATCCAGATGTATATTATGAAGGTAGATGACCTCCTCCTTTATGGCAGAAACTTTTTAAATCCATTGCAGTAGTTTCATTTAAATAATTTTAACACTGTATTTTCAATATCCACCACACTGAAGCTTAAAATACCTAAGTAGAAGAGAAATAGAGGAAGTAATTTTTAGCTGAGTGGGTACTACCTTACAACTTTTATTTTACCTTATATATTAAGTACTTATACATAAAGGAAGCTTAAATTACTTAATAGAGAAGCCAAAAAACCACATAAAAATCACTGAGATCTTGTGAGACACTGGAATGATGGAACCATTCTATGTATTGATATGGTGGTGATTATTGACTATGTCTATACTGGTCATAGCATATTGAAATTTATGGAAAATTTGAGGAATTGTAAATAAATGATCACTTAATAAAGCTGATTTTATAAAAAAAATACAACTTGGCAAGTTGGAAGTGCTTTACAAAATATTTCAGCCTTAGAGATAATACATATGCATAATATACTTAGTTAAAACTGAAATAAAATTACTATTGGAAGAGCCAAACTATAAAACCAAAAGCAATATGAATACTTATGGGAGCATCTTTCCTTACATTTTGTTGTTAAAGATGCTGCTTTTAGGAACAAAATCTTTAGACGTATCACAGACATTATAGTAGCATGTTTTGTGAAGGAACAACATGGCAAATGCATGTTAATCACTTTACTTACATCCTACACCCTACAGATTAGACAACTGATGCCTAGAGAGGGGAGATAGCTTGATCAATGTCACAAAGCTACTATGTGCTTGAGTCAGTAGATAACGGTTAGAGCTTTTTTCTTTACATGATTTTTAAAAATGTGTTTCATTTTTGCTATTAGAATGACAAAAATTCACTATCTTTTCTCATTAGACATAGACTTTCTTGAGATAGGTATAGAGTTTTAATTAGACCCTAGAATTTAGCTCTCTCAAATATATCACTATGTTTTAAAGTCGTGATGAATGTTCCAAAATATGCATCACTATCCATTCATTATGCTTTCTACCTGGAAGGTATTATGCTAATACTAAATATTGTATGTAAACTATTTTAATCCACCAAATCCTGCAGAGTCAATATAATTTCTAATTTGAAATTAAAAAAAAATGAAGCTTAGAGGGTAAGTTACCTGTCTAAAGTTGCAGAGCAATTAAATAGTAGAGGTTAATAAAATAAAATCAGCCATCACATGCCAAAAGTTGATCTCATGTGTTGGCATTGTCATAATGATGATGTTTTTGGTTACAGTATCTTTCCACTGCTAGCATCTGGGAAAAATAAGAAGAAAAACAAGAGGAAATATCACTCAAGCCAAAGTTATGAATGCACAATAAAATTATTAGCCTATACTTTTTAAAAATATTCAGGTCATTAATTACAAAAAATGTGAAGAAATTGTTCCAGATAAAATAGACTAAGGAAACATGACAGCTAAATTTAATGCATATTCCTGGATGGTGTTTTAGACTGGGGAAAATAGTCATAATAGACATTTTTGCAAAAATATGTGAAAATTATGAACTATGGAGTAGAAATTAGCATTGTGTCTATATGGAAATTTCTGATTTTGTAATATGCTTATATAAGAGGAGTCGTCATTCGTAAGACACACATACGTATGGGCAAAGTAATATAATACCTGCAACCTACTCTTTTTTTTGTACATTAATTCAGGAGGTGTAATTTACTTCACACCTACTATTCCTGTGTTACAAACAACCCAATTCTTGCTCCTTGGGAACATTCTCAGATTTGCTTTGTTTTCTGTTTTTTTTTTTTTTAATTATCATATTTTAAGTTCTGGAGTACATGTGCAGAACATACAGGTTTGTTACATAGGTATACACGTGCCATTGTGGTTTGCTGCACCCATCAACCTGTCATCTACATTAGATATTTCTCCAAATGCTATCCCTGCCCTGGCCCCCGCCCCCTGACAGGCCCCGGTGATACTCCTCACCCTGTGTTCATGTGTTCTCATTGATCAACTCCCACTTATGAGTGAGAACATGTAGTGTTTGGTTTTCTGTTCCTGTGTTAGTTTGCTGAGAATGATGGTTTCCAGCATCATCCATGTCCCTGCAAGGGACATGAACTCATCCTTTTTTATGGCTGCATAGTATTCCATGGTGTATATGTGCCAGATTTTGTTAATCCAGTCTATCATTGATGGGCATTTGGGTTGGTTCCAAGTCTTTGCTATTGTGAACAGTGTCGCAATAAACATATGTGTGCATGCATCTTTATAGTAGAATGATTTATAATCCTTTGGGTATATACCCAGTAATGAGATTGCTGAGTCAAATGGTATTTCTAGTTCTAGATCCTTGACAAATTGTGACACTGTCTTACACAATGGTTGAACTAATTTACAACAGTGTAAACACATTCCTATTTCTCCACATCCTCTCCAGCATCTGTTGTTTCCTGACTTTTAATTATCGCCATTCTAAGTGACATGAGATGGTATCTAATTGTGGTTTTTATGTCCATTTCTCTAATGACCAGTGATGATGAGCTTTTTTTCATATGTTTGTTGGCTGCATAAATGTTTTCTTTTGAGAAGTGTCTGTTCATATCCTTCACCCACTTTTTGATGGGGTTGGTCATTTTTTAAAATTGTAAATTAGTTTAAGTTCCTTGTAGATTCTAGATATTAGCCCTTTGTCAGATGGATAGATTGCAAAAATTTTCTCCCATTCTATAGGTTGCTTGTTCACTCTGATGATAGTTTATTTTGCCCTGCAGAAGCTCTTTAGTTTAATCAGATGCCATTTGTCAATTTTGGCTTTTGTTACCATTGCTTTTGTGTTTTAGTCATGAAGTCTTTGCACAGGCCTATGTCCTGAATGGTATAGCCTAGGTTTTCTTCTAAGGATTTTACAGTTTTAGTTTGTATGTTTAAGTTTTTAGTCCATCTTGAGTTAATTTTTGTATAAAGTGCAAGAAGGGGAAACAGTTTCAGCTTTCTGCATATGGCCAGCCAATTTTGCCAACACCATTTATTAAATAGGGAATCCTTTCCCCATTGCTTGTTTTTGTCAGGTTTGTCAAATATCAATGGTTGTAGATTTGTGGCATTATTTTTGAGGCCTCTGTTCTGTTCCATTGGTCTATGTATGTGTTTTGGTACCAGTACCATGCTGTTTTGGTTACTGTAGCCTTGTAGTATAGTTTGAAGTCAGGTAGCATGATGCCTCCAGCTTTGTTCTTTTTGCTTAGGAGTGTCTTGACTATGCAGGATCTTTTTTGGTTTCATATGAAATTTAAAGTAGTTTTCCAATTCTGTGAAGAAAGTCAATGGTAGCTTGATGGGGATAGCACTGATTCAATAAATTGCTTTGGGCAGTAGGGCCATTTTCATGATATTGATATTTCCTATCCATGATCATGGAATGTTTTTCCATTTGTTTGTGTCCTCTCTTATTTCCTTGACCAGTAGTTTGTACTTCTTCTGGAATAGGTCCTTCATATCCCTTGTAAGTTGGATTCCTAGGTATTTTATTCTTTTAGTAGCAATTGTTAATGGGAGTTCACTCATGATTTGGCTCTCTGTTTGTCTATTATTGTTGTATAGGAATGCTTGTGATTTTTGCACATTGATTTTGTATCCTGAGACTTTGCTGAAGTTGCTTATCAGCTTAAGGAGATTTTGAGTTGAGAGGATGAGGTTTTCTAAATATACAATCATATCTTCTGCAAACAGAGACAATTTGACTTCCTTTTTTCCTAATTGAATACCCTTTATTTCTTTCTCTTGTCTGATTGCCCTTGCCAGAACTTCCAATACTATGTTGAATAGGAGTTGTAAGAGAGGGCATCCTTGTCTTGGACCTTCTCAGCACCACATCACACTTATTCTAAAATTGAAGGGAATGCTTCCAGTTTTTGCCCATTCAGTGTGATATTGGCTGTGGGTTTGTCATAAAGAGCTCTTATTATTTTGAGATACTTTCCATCAATGCCTAGTTTATTGAGTGTTTTTAGCATGAAGGGTTGTTGAATTTTGTTGAAGGCCTTTTCTGCATGTATTGAGATAATCATGAGGTTTTTGTCATTAGTTCTGTTTATGTGATGGATTACATTTATTGATTTGTGTATGTTGAACCAGCCTTGCATCCCAGGGATGAAACACACTTGATCATGGTGGATAAGCTTTTTGATGTGATGCTGGATTTGTTTTGCCAGTATTTTATTGAGGGTTTTCACATCAATGTTCATCAGGGATAATGGCCTGAAGTTTTCTTACTTTGTTGTGTCTCTGCCAGGTTTTGGTATCAGGTGATGCTGGCCTCATAAAATGAGTTAGGGAGGATTCCCTCTTTTTCTATTGATTGGAATAGTTTCAGAAGAAATGGTACCAGCTCATCTTTGTACCTCTGGTAGAATTCTGCTGTGAATCTGTCTGGTCCTGGCCTTTTTTTGGTTGGGAGGCTATTAAAGGGTGTCTCTATTTCAGAACTTGTTATTGTTCTATTCAGGGATTCAAATTCTTCTTGGTTTAGTCTTGGGAGGGTGTATGTGTCGAGGAATTTATCCATTTCTTCTAGATTTTCTAGTTTATTTGTGTAGAGGTGTTTATAGTATTCTCTGATGGTAGTTTGTATTTTCATGGGATTGTCGGTGATATCCCCTTTATCATTTTTTATTGCATCTATTTGATTCTTCCCTCTTGTCTTTTTTGTTAGTCTGGCTAGTGGTCTATCTATTTTGTTGATCTTTTTAAAAAACCAGCTTTTGGATTCATTGATTTTTTGAAGGGTTTTTCATGTCTCTATCTCCTTCAGTTCTGCTCTGATCTGAATTATTTCTTGTCTTCTGCTAGCTTTTGAATTTGTTTGCTCTTGCTTTTCTAGTTCTTTTGTGATGTTAGGGTGTTGATTTTAGATCTTTGCTGCTTTTTCTTGTGGAGATTTAGTGCTATAAATTTCCCTCTACACACTGCTTTAAATATGTCCCAGAGATTCTGGTACCTTGTGCCTTTGTTCTCATTGGTTTCAAAGAACATCTTTATTTCTGCCTTCATATCGTTATTTACTCAATAGTCATTTAGAAGCAGGTTGTTCAGTTTCTATGTAGTTGTTTGGTTTTGAGTTTCTTAATCATGAGTTGTAATTTGATTGCACTGTGGTCTGAGAGACTATTACGATTTCCATTCTTTTGCATTTGCTGAGGAGTGTTTTACTTCCAATTATGTGGTCAATTTTAGAATAAGTGTGATGTGGTGCTGAGAAGAATCTGCATTCTGTTCATTTTGGGTGGAGAGTTCTGTAAATATCTGTTAGGTCTGCTTGGTCCAGATCTGAATTCAAGTTCTGGATATCCTTGTTAATTTACTGTCTTTTTGATCTGTTTAATATTGACAATGGGGTGTTAAAGTCTCCCACTATTATTGTGTGGGAGTCTAAGTCTCTTTGTGGGTCTCTAAGAACTTGCTTTATGAATCTGGGTGCTCCTCTATTGGGTGTATATATATTTAGGATAGTTAGCTCTTCTTGTTGCATTGATCCCTTTACCATTATGTAATGCCCTTCTTTGTCTCTTTTGATCTTCGCTGGTTTAAAGTCTGTTTTATCAGAGGCTAGGATTGCGACCCCTGGTTTTTTTTTGCTTTCCGTTTGCTTGGTAAATATTCCTCCATCCCTTTATTTTCAACCTATGTTTGTCTTTGCAAATCAGATGAGTCTCCTGAATACAGCACACTCATGGGTCTTGACTCTATCCAATTTGCCAGTCTGTGTCTTTTAATCGGGACATTTAACCTGCTTACATTTAAGGTTAATGTTGTTATGTGTGAATTTGATCCTGACGTTATGATGCTAGCTGGTTATTTTGCCTGTTAGTTGATGCAGTTTCTTCATAGCGTCAATGGTCTTTACAATTTGGTATGTTTTTGCAATGGCTAGTACCAGTTGTTCCTTTCCATGTTTAGTGCTTACTTCTGGAGCTCTTGTAAGGTAGGCCTGGTGGTGACAAAATTTCTCAGCATTTCCTTGTCTGTAAAGGATTTTATTTCTCCTTCATGTATGAAGCTTAGTTTGGCTGGATATGAAATTCTGGGTTGAAAATTCTTTTCTTTTTTTTTAATTATACTTTAAGTTTTAGGGTACATGTGCACATTGTGCAGGTTAGTTACACATGGATGAAAATTCTTTTCTTTAAGAATGTTGAATATTGGCCCCCATTCTCTTCTGGCTGGTAGAGTTTCTGCAGACAGATCCACTGTTAGTCTGATGGGCTTCCCTTTGTTGGTAACCCGACCTTTCTCTCTGGTAGCCCTTAATATTTTTTCTTTCATTTCAACCTTGGTGAATCTGACGATTATGTGTCTTGGGGTTGCTCTTCTCGAGGAGTATCTTTGTCGTGTTCTCTGTATTTCCTGAATTTAATGTTGGCCTGTCTTGCTAGACTGGGGGAGTTCTCCTGGGTAATATGCTGAAGAGTGTTTTCCAACTTGGTTCCATTCTCCCTGTCACTTTCAAGTACAACAATCAAATGTAGATTTGGTCTTTTCACATAGTCCCACATTTCTTGGAGGCTTTGTTTGTTTCTTCTCACTCTTTTTTCTCTAATCTTTTCTTCATCCTTTATTTCATTGAGTTGATCTTCAATCTCTGATATCCTTTCTCTGCTTGATCAATTCAGCTATTGATACTTGTGTATGCTTCACAAAGTTCTCATGCTGTGTTTTTCAGCTCTATCAGATCATTTATGTTCTTCTCTCAACTGGTTATTCTAGTTAGCAATTCGTATAACCGTTTTTCAAGGTTCTTAGCTTCCTTGCATTGGGTTAGAACATGCTCCTTTAGCTCAGAGGAGTTTGTTATTACCCACCTTCTGAAGCCTACTTCTGTCAATTCGTCAAACTCATTCTCCATCCAGTTTTGTTCTCTTGCTGCTGAGGAGTTGTGATCCTTTGGAGGAGAAGAGGCATTCTTGTTTTTGGAATTTTCAGCCTTTTGCGCTGGTTTCTCCCCATCTTCGTGGATTTATCTACCTTTGGTCTTTGAAGTGAGTGACTTTCAGATGGGATCTCTGAGTGGATGTCCTTTTTGTTGATGTTGATACTATTCCTTTTTGTCAGTTTTCCTTCTAACACTCAGGCCCCTCTGCTGCAGGTCTGCTGGAGTTTGCTGGAGGTCTCCTCCAGACCCAGTTTGCCTGGGTATCACTGGCAGAGGCTGCAGAACAGCAAAGATTGCTCCCTGTTCCTTCCTCTGGAAGCTTCATCCCAGTGGGGCACCCATCAGATGCTGGCCAGAGCTCTCTCGTATGAGGTGTATGTCGGCCCCTAATGGGAGATGTCTCCCAGTTAGGATACACTGGGGGTCGGGGACCCACTTGAGGATGCAGGCTTCTCCCTTATCAGAGCTGGAATGCTGTGCTGGGAGATCCGCTGCTCTCTTCAGAGCTACCAGGTTGGGACGTCTAAGTCTGCTGAAGCTGAGCCCAAAACTGCTCCTTCCCCCAGGTGCTCTGTCCCAGGGAGTTGGGGGTTTTATCTGTTAAGTCTCTGACTGGGGCTGCTGCCATTTTTTTCAGAGATACCCTGCCCAGAGAGGAGGAAATCTAGAGAAGCAATCTGGCAGCAGTGGCCTTGCTGAGCTGCAGTGGGCTTCACCCAGTTCAAACTTCCTGGTGGCTTTGTTTACACTGTGAGGGTAAAACCGCCTACTCAATCCTCTGCAATGGCAGATGCCCCACCCCCCACAAAGCTTGAGTGTCTCAGGTCTAGCTCAGACTGCTATCATGGAGAGAGAATTTCAAGCCAGTGGATCTTAGCTTGCTGGGCTCCGTGCGGGTGGCACCCACCGAGCCAGACAACTTGGCTCCCTGACTTCAGCGCCCTTTCCGGGGAAGTGAACAGTTCTGTCTTGCCGGCATTCCAGGCGCCACTGGGGTATGAAAAAAAAAAAACTCCTGTGGCTAGCTCGGTGTCTGCCCAAATGGGCTCAGAGTTTTGTGTTGGAAACCCAGGGCCCTGGTGGTGTAGGCACTGGAGGAATCTCCTGGTCTGTAGGTTGTGAAGACTGGGAAAAGCACACTATCTGGGCCGAAGTGTACGGTACGGTCCCTAATGGCTTCTCTTGGCTAGGAGAGGGAGTTCCCTGAGCCCTTGCACTTCCCAGGTGAGGCAGAGCCCCGCCCTGCTTCGGCTGGCCCTCCTTGGGCTGAACCCACTGTCCAACCAGTCCCAGTGAGATGAACTTGGTACCTCTGTTGGAAATGCAGAAATCACCTGCCTTCTGCATCAATCTTGTTAGGAGCTGCAGACCGGAGCTTTTCTATTTTGGCCATCTTGCCAGCTGCACCTGCAATCTACTCTTAAATGATTAAAAAAGTATTTATCTAACACTCTATCTATCCATCCATACATAATGCTTTGTAGCTAACCATTTATCATTTTATCAGATTAAAAATACGCACACCTTTTTATTTAACAATATTATATCAACTAATTGAAATGTTTACCACAATTATCTCTGTAAAATATTACTTTTTCTGCTTTCAGTTTCACAGATGTATGAAAACTTCCCATTTCCACACCCCTAATTATATTTCAGAACTATATTCACATAAAGCATGCTTGCATATTATTAAGTACAAATTTTGCTTCAGTAGCTTTCTAGTAGATTGGACTGACTTCACATACATGTATTTTGTGCCAGCACTACTCAATGATTAATGTGCATTAGAATCATCTACTTGTTAAAGTGATGATTTAGATTCAGTAGTTCTGGAATAAGCCTAGGCTTCTGTCTTAGGGTTCTACATTTCTTCAAAGATCTCAAGGTGATGCCATTACTAAAGAACACTGTGAGACAAGGTCTAGAATTTACCTTTCTCTAGCATCTTTTCTGAAGGCATTTCCTTCCTCTGAATAGCCCCCCTAAACCCTCTTAATAATGATTTTCAAGAGGATGTATGATTGAGCACAAAATGGGCACAACTTAGATTTATCTCAGAAAAGATGAACTAGGGAATCTGTATTTATCAGGGTTCTTGAGAGAAATAAAATAGTGTGTACACACACACACATATACATATACACACGTACACAGAGATAAATATATAGAAAGAGGCACAGATATTTTTTCTGGATTCCTTTTAATAATAAATAAACTTATGAATTATCATATGTTTTATAGCATGGAGATTTGTTATGAGTATTTTCCCAAGTGGTTATGGAGGCCAAGAAGTCCCACAATCTACTACCTGCAGTCTGTAGAACCAGGAAAGCTGGTACAATTCAGCCTGAGTCTCAAGGCCTGAGAACAAGGGGAGTAGATGTGTAACTTCCAGTTCTAGTCTAATGACTTTAGAACCAGGGGGTTGTTTGTGTAAGTACCAGTGACCAAAAGCTGAAGAACTGGGAGCTCCAATGTCTAAGGGCAGGAGAAGATGAATGTTCCAGCTCAAAGAAGGAAGAGCAAATTGTCTCTTAGCCTTTATGTTCTATTTGGACCTGCAACAGTTGAATCTTCTTTACTCAGACTACCAATTCAAATGCTAATCTCATTCCAAAACACACTCACAGAAATATCCAGAAATAATATTTTATCAGCTATCTGGGTATCCCATAGCTCTGTGAAGTTGACACATAAAATTAACTATCACAAAGTCATTTCTCTTTGAATAAGTTTAATTGAAGAAAAAGATCAGATTAAGAGTGGAAGCATGGAATAAAATTTGAAGAGAACTGGAGCAAAATTTGGAGAAAGAACTTGACTGTTAAATATAGTGACTATAGTGATAAAATGCAGGCAAATATTTCTCAGGGCATCCAACATACTTCAATGCACTTCAATATCCAGATTTTTACATTTCTTGTTTAAGAAAAATTTATTTTTAGTATTTCACACACTAAAAAGGCATCAAATGTCCAGGAAATTTTAAGATTCTTCTGTCTCAAACAGCTGCACAGAAAATTTTTTGTCTGAAAAATTGTCTTTGTTCACTTTAATTCTCTTTGCATTTACCAGATGCATTTGCAGCTCTACAATTATTACTGTTGAAATGCATATGACTTTATTTTGTTTCATTTTGCTGTCTCTTTAACTGATATTTTAAAAATTGGCAACTGATATTTTAAAAACATAGGTTATCTTTAGTTTTTTTGATGAGGTGGAAATAGCAGGATCTATATACTAGCATATAGTTTGCAGAAGATAAAAGCTGAAGATGCACAAAATAGACATCTCAGCTACTGCATAAATCTGTCTAAAGAAATTTGTTTTGCATTATGGTTGTTTGTGTCAGTCAACCAGTGTTAGTTCTGTTGAGATAGAATATTGTCTTCTTTGTAATATCATTGATGACAGGCTGCTCTTTAGAACAGAAAATAATTGAGTTTTATATTGCACTTCAGGTTTTCCTTTCTTCCCTGGACATTTTTATAGGTGTGTTATTTACAGCATAATTTCATATATTAGTTATTTATGTGACTCTTCAAATTCTCATCAGATACAAGTAATACCATGAAAGTATCTATATTCCAACATGTCACATATAATTTAATACACTAGAGTGTTCAATCTTTTTTTCTTTATTGAGGCACAGAATTTTATTCTGAATTTCTTTTAATAGTAAAAAACTTTATATGTTATTTTATATTTTTATAGTGTGCCCCATAATATTAAATTTTACCTCACTGATTTATCTTGATATATGCAGTTTCATTAAATTAATAGGTACATAATTTTAGGTCAAAAATATAAATGGATATGCTATTTAATAAAGTTTTTTAAAACATGATATGTTTTTGTCTCAGCTTTTGTGATGTGTATATATGGAGAAAAGCAAAAGTTATTGGGTGTGCTTTTAAGAATATCAGATTAAAGAAAGGGGCTATGAAATGTCAAAAAGAACTGGGACATAATAAGTATAAATTGATGACAAGATAAGAGTGGAAAAAAACTGGTTAATTCAACTATAAGTTAGACATAAAATGTAAAATATCTTCCAATCTTATCCTTCACCACGAGTTCTACAGGGTTCTCCATTTTTCCAGTGAATTTATTGAACTTCAGAGAAGACTCAATCCTGACACTCTCCCACCCTTTCCCATGCACTTTGTGGTTTGAAATATGATGAACATATATACATCCATGTGCTCATACATATTTTCCTATGGCTTATGACAACTCATAAATGCATAGTTTTTGAGGATATCATGTCTAGTAAATATTTTCCATGAAACTTAGTAGCCTAGTTAATACAATTTCAGGGAGGAAGGGTAAAGACCTGTAGCAATGAAAACCAGAGAAAGTAGCAGTAAGAATGGAGAAAAATATGTAGGAAGAGAGTAACTTTTAAATATTAAGAATAATAACAGTTTGGGGAAAGAATTTACTGACCTTATGAGATTAAGTAACTTGAAATATGAATTTTATATACATAAGATTACACACACACACACACACACACACACACACATATATATATATATATATGTATGATAGTGTTTCTTTCATCTAGGCTGGAGTTCAGTGGTACAGTCATAGATCACTGTAACCTGGAACTCCTGGGCTCAAGCTATCTTCTCCTCTCCTGCCTCCCAAGAGTAGCTAGGAAGACAAGTGCTCACCACCATGACTGGCTAAATTTTTATTTTTACTTTTGTATCATCAAGGTCTCACTGTGTTGCCTCGGCTGCTCTTGAACTTCTGGCCTCAAGCAATTCTACTGCCTTGGCCTCCCAAAGTGCTAGGATTACAGGCATGAACTGTAACACCAGGCAAAATAAAAAAAAAATTCAGCAAAAGAATATAAATCTTTCTTGATCCCACATCCTCCTGAAGCTACTATCCAATTTCTCTTTCCGTCTTTATAAGAAAAATTTCTCTTTCCTTCTTTACAGGAAAAAAACTTTCCAAAATTCCTGTAGCATTTTGTGTTCTAGAATTTGAAATGTTTGTGGTTGAAAATTTGTACACAATAATATTCAAATATCAAAAATAATAGCATTCTTTATTTTTTACAGGTAGTTTCCCTTCCCTTCCCTTTTCCCTTTCCCTCTCCCTTCCCTTTTCCCTTTCCTTCCCTTTTCTCTTCTTTTTTCCCTTCCTTTTTCCCTTCCCTTCCATTCTCTTTTTCTTTCTCTTTTAATCTTCTGGAAGGCATGTTGGGGGAAGAGTGGAAGGAAATAAACAATTCCATAATTTTAAAGAGTCATATGAATTAATCTATATCATAGCTTTTGATACACATTAAATGTTTTAGACTCTCTTATTTTCCATTTTTCTAGACAAAAGAGATCTTGCCAAAGAAAAAATATTTGTCTCCTTTCATGTTAACAACTCTCTCAGCTGTTTGTAAACTCACAAGCTCAGCGATATTCTGGTGTTAGGCTGGATGCATTGCCGAATACATTTGCACATATCCCAATCTTCCAGAAATGTTTTCAGAATCCACCAGGATTTCCCATTAACATCTCTAGATATTTCTAAACACATTCCTAAGGTATTAGGGATGAACAAACACTTGGTCTAGCCCCTTTCTCTCTTCTAATTCCTCATCCACTTAATGGGTGGGAATTTTAGTATAGCTGTGGAAATAGGGAGTGTGGGGGAAAAATGGATTCCTTGAAATAGAATAGGTCATTCTGCATTGAGGTTAGAGGCTCTGCATTGAGCTGTTAGAGCAAGGTTCTCTTGGAGATGCACATTTTCAATCATGCTTTTTTTTCTGGTACCCAAAATTATGTAATGCCTCTGGCTATATAATTTTTTAAGCTAAACCACTATAATCTATTAGAGATTAATAATGTAGTAAGATAGTATAAAATAAAATGTGCTTGTATTATATAAATTCTCATCATTAAGGAATAAAATAAAAGTAATTTAAAATGCCACGGTTTGCTTTCATGTAAAATAAGAAAATATTTTTATTTTCTTTAAATAATATTCAAAGTTTAAAAAACTGTGTAATAAAGGCCAATTCTAATTTTACATGTTATATATGCATAAAATAAGAAATTAAATACTTCAACAGCTGTTTTAACACGAGGTAGATTTTTTTCCTCCAGCGAGGAAAAACCGGTAAACCTGGAGAGATGCTTATTTATCAAACCCCCAACTTGCTCTCCAAAATTGTGACATCTTTAATTTAGCACTAGATTGATATCGACTTCTTCATTTTATTTTTATATAACCTGAACAGTAAATTTGTCTTTTCTTGAAAATGTAATATACAATTTTATAACTTTCAAACATTAATACAATATAAAATTAAATTTTGTTATAATTTATTAAATCAGTAAGTTGAGACAGGTTTGTCTTTTTTTTTTACATTTATAGGTTCCCAATATTTACCTTAAATTAGTGCACTTACTTCATTAATCAAGACTATTTGTGTGGCATATCCAATATTTTTATCATTCTGTTATTTAGTAACCTTATTGAGTTATAATTTACATATCATAAATTCAATCCACATGATTAAACGATTTTAGTAAATGTCTAGTTGTGTGCCATCACTACAACTTAGTTTTAGAACATTTCACAACATGGTTAACTTTGCCTGATTTTTCAGGCTTTCCTGGTTTTAACACTAAAAGTCCCACATCCCATGAAACAATCCAGACAAACCCAAGTGATTGGTCACTCTATATTTCAATCATTCTGAATGTAGCTTCCTATCAGGGTATAGTCAACATAAAATGTCTCTTCATTTATTTAGATATTTAGTTTTCTTCACATTTTATATTTTTCAGTGTATAAATGTAAGATATATTAAACTTAAGTTCCAAAGGAAAATATATGAAAGAGACAGAGGAATTCTTGGGAAAGGTAGGAAGTTCAGGGCATTAGAGTGTTACAAAAGGCAGAGACTGGTAGGAAGACTGGGCTGGAAAACAGAATTTAATCCCAAAGGTTGTAAATTCAATGGCAGGAGAAAAATAGAAAAAGATACAGATTTTAAAACACTGTAAATATGTGTCCTTATAATTTCTGAAGTTTTATGCTTCATAATTCCATAGGGATTAAGGTAATTAAGGGGTTGAACAGGAAAAGAATGAGATATATGCAAAATAATTTTTTATTGGCTCAGGGACATAAATTATTGCTAGAGAAGTCAACAAAATCAAGTTAAAATTGCTTAATTTTATTTTGTTTTAAATATTCGGGAATTTTTGTTGTGTTTTTGAATGAGAAACCACTAGCAAAGAAGAGATGGAATATTTTAAAAGAAGAAATAAATGTGGTCGTACAATCCTTCAGGAGTAAGAAATTGGTGGGAGTTGAAGCCCAGGTGCTACAATTTATTTGAAGAAATGGAAAGGCATTTTTCTCTTATTAAATAAAGAAAGGTGAGAAAAGGCATGCCATGAGAATGAAGAGTCCTAATAGATTGAGCTCTCAACGTCTTTCTCTAATAGCAATATTTTTTTTCTTTTTTCTTTTTTTTTTTGAAACGGAGTCTCGCTCTGTCAACCAGGCTGGAGTGCAGTGGCATGAACTTGGCTCACTGCAAGCTGCACCTCCCGGGTTCACGCCATTCTCCTGCCACAGCCTCCCGAGTAGCTGGGACTACAGGCGCCCGCCACCACGCCGGGCTAATTTTTTGTATTTTTAGTAGAGATGGGGTTTCACTGTGTTAGCCAGGATGGTCTCGATCTCCTGACCTCGTGATCTGCCCGCCTCGGCCTCCCAAAGAGCTGGGATTACAGGCGTGAGCCACCGCGCCCGGCCGGCAATATTTTTAATATCAGAACTGAAGGGAAAAGTTTGGGAGGTGAGAATTATACAAAGTTATTAATAATTAGATCAAAGTAAAATGAAAGTTGAATTTTGAGTGAGGTCAGTAAAAGGCTATTTATGCCGTTCATATAGGGCAGTAATACCAGAAAATAGGCAGTAGTTAGGAACTCTATTTAATAAACTGACAGAAAATAAGTAAATAGAGAGTCTGTAAGAAAAGATTATTTTTCTTGATTTCTGAAGAGATCAGCTTCAAAAGCTGATTTTATAAAAATAACTATACTTTAGAGGAAGACTACCTATCTCTCCTCACCAACCTAACACAAATTGTTTCTTAAATAATCTAGAAAATATTCCTAACATAAAATAATTGATGGCCTAAGCACTCTTTGAACTTCGTATATTATTTCTCTATTTACTGGTTAAATAAATGTTTAAATGACCCTGAATAATTGTGAGTAAAATTATACAGACTTCTTTTAACTTCTTTCCATTTAAAAAAGAATAATTTGTTTAAATTAGTGTACGTAGATAATGGCATCATGTACCAGTATGTCTATATAGCCGAAGATGTTTTTAAAACAAAAATTTATCTGTATATAATGTGTGTTTCATTTCAAATATTTGTGTATTATTAAAACATATTGCTTTGGGAGATCATAAACATATAAATTTGCTTTATAATTTTTAAAGTTTTTCTTGATAATTTATAAGTAGTAAATCATAAAGATCATCTAGCCCCAAATTTTCAGTAAATGGATAATTATTCTTAAAATTGCTAGTTTCCCTAATATGGATTTTAACCATCTCTACTTTCAAAATCATATAAAAATTGAGGATATCTTAAAGCATAGTTTTATTATAAAATCCATTTATCAAAACTAATTGAGTGAAATGAGTGAAGGAGTTACCATGGCATATTTCTTAGTACCTAATGTTCTCAGATTTATAAGTACAGATAAAGCTTTAACTAGGTTTACATAATATTCTATGAATAGAAAATGTAGGAACATCAAATGGGCTCTAAAAGCTCTGCAGAACTTACCAATTAAATTAAGAGACACATAAAACCCTTGTGTCTCCACTAATAGAGATGTAATGATTAACAAGTGAACACAGTTCTAAAGACATGATGTCAGTAACATGGTTTTATTTGAGTTGAATTTTTATCATTATATGCATCTTCAAATTTCTAAGCAAATATGTTTTTTATGTTTTATCATGAAAGACTGGTTATCACACCATTTCCCTGATTTTATAATACTCTTATTATTCCTATTGAATTAAAATTAAGCTGGGTGTGGTGACTTATGCATGTAATCGCAGCTACGTTGGAGGCTGAGGTAGGAGGATTGCTTCAGCCCAGGAGTTTGAAGCTGCAGTGAGATATGGTCACACCATGCACCCCAGCCTGGGCAATAGAGCGAGAACCCGTCTCCAAAAAAATAAAATAAAAAATGTATAAATTGTGTTAGGACTTATTTTATTTAATAGTCTGTGTTAGGGTTTATTTTGTTTTACTATGTATATACATATATATATACACACACACACACACACTATATCATTATATTGTGTAGTGATATCTATCACACATATATATGTATATCTATCTATACACACATATATATGTATATGACTACATATAGGAAAAAATTACATTTTTGTGTCCTTAAATGTAAGAAACAGTAAATTCACAGAGTTAATTCCAAATGAAATTAAACATCTGCTGTATAATCATTCTAGAAACAGGATGGATTAAACGTAAGATTTTTTATTTTTAACCTGGGAATACAAAATTCCTGTACTTTGTTTTGGGGTAGTTCAGCTAGGTAGGATTTTTGTCATTTTGGAACATGGTAGGCATGCCATTTTCCCCAGAAAGTTCTTTTGTTTATTTATTTATTTATTTTCTCTCTAAAGTGACAATAGAACAGAATGTTCTTAAAATATTGATCAGATATTATTAACAGTAAATGTTCTCTAAATGATCTCACTACTAAGTAATTAAACTGTTTAACAAAATGTGCAGCTTACTGACCATAACCCTATTGAAAACTCCATGTCTAAAGAGATCCAAGAATAAATATGTTTCCAAGTCATACCAATTCTTGTGACATTGCATGCCCTTAACCACTATGGACAAAAGATCAGTTCATCAGAGGATATTTTCCTAATAAATTTCTAGCTACTATCCTGCTCTTCATAAAACTTCATGGTTAGTTTCCCTGATTCAATCTTATAAGGACAATAATACGATATTACCTGGAGTTCAATATTAATTAAATACAAAGCTTTATTAAGGATTCTAGCAAAGCAAAATCTAAAAGGTAGGAATAAAATTCTGTTGATACTGATTAGCAAAATTGTGAATTCTTTTTTAATGATTCCAGGAACAATGCAATATAATCAAAATGTTAATGTATAGTTCCCCAGTACTTGATACATTCTAGAACATACTAACTCAAAGAAGAGTTCCAGCAGCAGCAGCCCTCCCTGATCTCTTATTAAAAATGCAAAATGTCACACTCAACCCAGACATCAGAATCTGCATTTTAAACAGATTTCTACTTAGGTGATTTTTGTGCAAATGAAAGTTTGAGAAGCCCTGATTTAAAATATTATACTTTCATCCACCAACCATAGTCTTCTTGAGTACCACAAATATACGAGACTCTATGCTAGACATAGTGGGTATTAAGATAAATTATTCCTGCACTGAAGAGTCTTAACACAGTAGAAGGAGAGAAAAGCAGCCACTATGGTGATAGTTGGGTGAACAGAAGGAACCAAGAAGAGAAAATAAGTCACCACCCTGTGATAGGCAGAGAATAAAGAGATCGACATTGCCACTGGGCCTTAAAAGGTGGGAGTATTTCTCAAGCTTTCAAACTTTTATCAGCAAAGGATAGAAGGGAATTCTGTTTCAGGTAAGACAAATTTCCCACAAAGTCTTCAATTCTCTCTACATGCTCTAAGTAATTCCACACAACCCCTGAGCAGGATCTTTACCCCTGTACATTGGGATACTCACTACTCCATGCCTCACAGCAAGCACATTTTTGCTAAAACTATATAACTGGATTTTACTATCATTAAACTCATAAGATTGTTGCAAGTACTACAGGAAGCCCCAAACTTTCTTATACCTCCTGGGTTATCTCTTGAATACTTTCTAAACTCGTAGCTGACCTTTTTAGTCCTCATCTCTGACCACTCTCAAACTCTCTACGATTCATATTGTCAACCTCTTTTCTGAAATTTTTCTTCAACATTTTACTCTAACAGAAACTTGGATCTCTCCTGATGATACCTCTTTTCCTGAAACCCTCTGAAGTGATACTTTTTTTTTTCAGATTTCTAAAACCACCAGAATTAAAGATGAAGTATTTGTCCTTTAGGTCTCTCATTGACAATTCCAGACTCCCTCCATTGTCCCTAAAACTAACAATTCTGAATCTCCCATCTTACTGTACATGGCTATTTCTTATTGTGTTATTTACAAATATCTGGAAACTCCCTTCACCTCTCGATGATTTCTAGCTATTATCTCGTTGTTCTTACCAAATCTCCTTACATCTTATTTCCTGATGATTTGAATAAAGAGATGATTCTTCCAACCCTTTGGCCTCTCCATTACTTTAAATATTCCCCTGCAAGGAGCTTGACCACCACTGTCTCAGCCATTCACTCTTATGGTCAGAACCCAGAGCATGTCAATTCCAATACGTGTAACCTTTCCATTATCTCAGTTTCATATATCTCATTCTTTGATTACTCCTCTTTCTTTCTAGTTCACTTCCTCTAGAATTCCAAATCTAACAAGTTATTGACCTACCGTGACCTCCTGTCCATCAAACCTACCAGTCTCTTTGCCGGTCTTTCTTCTTTTCCTTACCCTTTGCACCATTTTTTTTTTCTGTCTACACTCACTCCCTTGGTGATCTAATTTCATCTGATATATTTACATAGCATGTATATACTAATGATACCCAAATTCACGTCTCCAACCTACAGCTCTCTTTTAAACTCCAGACACAACCTAATATATCCCACATAGACAATTCGTTTTGCTTTTGCTGTTGTTGTTCATTTGTGTGTTTCAGTTGTTTGAGCAATGTCTGGAACATGGCAGGCCTTTAATAAATGAATAGATGTGATTTTTTTTTTCCCACCAAAGCAAAGAAATAGGGTAGTAGATGGCTTACTGAAATAATTTGGAGTAGTATTATATGGTAGACATGAAGAGTTCATGTATATTTGTAAGGATGGGAATATTGATTGGAGTGAATTTTAAGGAGATTTTACTTTATTTTTTAGACATAAAGGAATCTGATTATTTTAAGCATCTGAGGTTTCTATCTTCAGTTAGCAGGTATATGGTGAAGCAATCAACACAGAGTGGGGAAAGAGTTTATGAGGTAGTCTTTCTTAGTTTGAATTGGACATCCCTGTGAGATAACCAAAATATTAGCCTTTAAACAACAGCATAAGCATTAAGCTGGCAGTGAAGGGTAGTGTCAGCTACAGATAAATATCGGGAAGGAAGGATTATATTCCTAAGACATATTTTATGAATAATTTTAAGTACTGATTTCTTTCAGTAAGGTACATCTTTATGTCAGTTTACTGGTGTGATTCACAAAAACACCTTTCTTTGAGTGGAAGTCATACAAAAGTACAGGAGTTTTAGGGAAAACATAACACATATCTTCAAAAGTATTTAACAATAATTTATTTTATATTATAGTAATATAACTTATTTATTAAAATAAATATAAATATAAAAATAACATCTTTTGTGACTAGCTGGTCTAAGTTCATTAAATAAAATTATATCATTATATTTAATGGATATATAAATGTTTTATATAAACATGGACACAAGCACAAATACATATGTATCTATTTGTGTATGTATACCTATATGTGTATCTATGCATACACACATATTCTGACCATGTCTCTAATTTTTGCATTTATGTGTTCAATAAATCAAAAGATTCAGTCTTTATTAAAGTATACTTTGTTATCATAGTATCTTAGTTTTTCATAGAATTATAGAATAATAAATCATCCTCAGGAGAGAATTCATAGCCTGAACTTACATATCATGGTATGTTATCTAGCATGTCATGTCTATTTCTATGAAATTAGTAAGCAAATAACCATGTAAACTATAGCTGTAAAAAGTATGATATACAGCAAATGTATGAAAAAGGCATAGTAAACGTTCATGGACAAATATATATACGATGAATATAATATCTTGATCATCATAAAAATTTAAAAATATTGGGATGGAAGAATTTGCATTCATGTGTACTTTAAGTGAAGTACTTGATAAGAATTGGGAAAAGATATGATACTTTATGCAATTTTATTGCAACATAAAAATGTTTTTGCAGCTGTAATGAATGGCCCATCTTGTTGTAAAAGAGAGGTGAATGGTAGAAAATTGGCCAGACTTTAATGTCATAATACCATGTTTCCTCATCTTGGCTAAAAAATCATTAAGTTTAATATCAGCCTGAACATACTGCCATTCTTCTTTCCTAACACTGCATAGGCATGAATAACAATTCATAATAAATGAGGGATTCATTAATAAAAGATTTATTGGATATGGGCTACAGGTAGTGAGCTTTGCTTCACTGCAGCAACCATATGTGTCAATGCACTTTTTCAGCACTCAGCATATAGTCCCAGTACAAGAAGCAGAATTAATTTTTTATCTGGTTTCTCTTAAGAAATGTGTCGAGGTATTATTAACTTTATAGTATCTCCGGAAAAGTATATTTTATGGTTACATCAGTGAATTAGTTGTACTTTTGTACATAAACTTATTTCTGTTTATTAAATGTACCTCACCATCTATTACCAAACTATTGTAAAACTGCTTCAGTATTTTTTGTAATATATCCCAAAATGTTATATCAGTTAATATACTAAGTGGAATTAACTACAATTCTTTTATTTCCATAAAGTTAAAATAACACCAATCTTCAAAAACAGAGAGATCACCATAGTAATATCACTAATATTATAAAGGACTATTATGAAAATCTTCATGCAAAAAACTGATAACTTAGATGAAATAAGCAAATTCATAGACATATAAATTACAATTCTGTCCCAGCTTTCCATCAAGAAGTGGCTCCTGCTTCACCAGTCCTTGAATCTGGATTGGCCATGTGATTTACTAAGCCAATGGGACTTCAGTAAAAGTGGCAAAGATAGATGCTTGAAAAATTTTGGCATTTGATGCTGTTTTGTTATTGTTAAATGTGGAAATCTTAAGGTGAAGAATCCAGTGTCTGCTGGAGGATGAGAAAATATGTGGAGAAAAGCAATGCACCTGAGACAACAGTTTGTCTATGGCTATAAACCTAAGTGAAGACACTTTAAATCTTCTGGGTACCTCATGACCTAGCAACTGACAATAGATATATGAGAAGGCTAAGCAGAGTCCACCCAAGATGATCTAGTTTATAAAACCACCCATTAAAACCCCCAATTATGAGATAATTTAAATTCTTGTTTTAAACTTCTAAGCTTTGGAATAATTTATTATAAAGAAATAGCTAACTGATGCAGCAATGTGTTTTTCTTATTGATACTCTCTTTACTATAAAAGCACACAAAAAAGAAAAAAATCTGACATACGCTTTTAAACTATCACTTGTCAGAGCCTGATTAAATAAATAAACTAGATAACATCTGCTTTCTCCATTTCTAGCTGGAAGTTGAGAGCACTAACATAGAGGCAGAATTTCAGGGTTATGAATAAGAATCAAATGATTAAAAAGCCCAAATTATATTTTGACTTATTTCAATACTTCATTTGAAGTATGTTTCAGAAAGAGTTGTTTAGGATAAATTTATGAGAGGCAGAGAGAGAAAAAAAAGGGAGACTGGGAAAAAATAGAGGTAAGAAGACCAATTAGAGGACCCTTGCAATGATATAAGTGAAAGATAAAAGATTCTGAATTATGATTGGCAATGAGAATTAGTTCAAGATTGGTTCAAAAAGATTGTGAATGAATCATTAGCTTATAAAAAATTGCTGTAATGCAAAATCTGGTGTTACTCAGTCTAAGCTAAATGAGGTAATTTATTTTCCTGAAAGAAATAATATCAAAGCTTAAATAAATTAAATATTCCAGAAAAATATTTTAATACATGAAAAATAATATACCTTTTAATTATATATTAGTGTTGAAACTCCATTAAATAATACAAGGTCATACTTTTAATATAATTTTTATCTTTTTTCTTTACTTCTTGAATTTTGTGCTTTTCCTCTTCCTCTTCTCCCTCTGCCTCCCCCTCTCTGTCATCCTCCTTTTTTTGGATACTTTTTGGTTATAATATAGACTTCTAGCACCCTGTCTTCAGTAATCCATGGGAAAGAATACATTATAGTGGTGGATGGTGGACTCAATGTTTATGGCTCAGATCCAGCACCTACTAATTTGGTAAACTTGGATATGTTACTGAAACTCTCTGTAACTCTGTTCTAATATACATATGGAATCACAAGAGACCACAAATGAAAAATCAGTCTTGAGAAAGAACAACAAAGCTGTAGACATTACACCTCTTGATTTTAAAATATATTATGAAGCCACAGCAAACAAAACAGTATGGTACTGGCATGAAGTCAGATTTCTTTAGTTTCTATGTTTCTAAAATTAGAAAACTTTGGAAACTATTTGTGTCTATGTTAATCTTATCTAATTTCCTTAAAAAACATCCTCGCCAACCCTTCTTGTCTTTCAACAATGGCTTATTTTCTTGCCACTTTTATAATAGTTTTAAATTTTTAAAATTAAAAATAACAAACCACTGTTGCAGCATGGATTCAGTAGACTCCTACTTAAAATTCAAATTACATTTTTGCAGCATATTAGAAAGTACAAATGAGCAAGGATTCACTAATTTTTTTTAGTCTAGTAACTTTTATACCCTTTAGAAATAATATTTTTGATGCTTAAATTTCATATTATGAAATTTGTATACTTGCACATGAATTTGCATTTTTAAATGAGTTGGGTTCAAATTATATGGAACATATCACAGTATATTTGGTGTTAACCAAGCTCAGGTGACATTTATTATACCAAGTCTTACGTATAAGTGCTCTAATTAGTTAAATTGATTATTTATTCAGAAAGGAATGTTTCCAGAGATTTAATTATAGAATTAAATTTTG
The DNA here is from genome assembly GCF_000001405.40 of Homo sapiens. Taxonomy (NCBI): domain Eukaryota; kingdom Metazoa; phylum Chordata; class Mammalia; order Primates; family Hominidae; genus Homo; species Homo sapiens. Next base: position 102,003,667 of record NC_000005.10, on the reverse strand, counting down.
TATTTTCAGATTCATGCTATGTCAGAAAAGATGAATCTATCTTAATTCAAATATCATCCATTTACCCTGTGCATATATTGACTCTTACATGGAAGCTTCTATGTATATATGAAATTCAAATATTTCAGAAAAAAGGCTATTTATAGCTGAATCTAAATTCGTGATTAAAATTATTTATGAAAGTGTTGATTTTATCATCAGCCATAGGAATAAGGCATAAATGAACAAAATCAATTTATACTACAATTATTTATCTCACTTTACTGACAATTTCTTTTTTATAGCTTTATTGAGACCTTATCAGTTGCTACTTATATTTATTAGTGGTTTTCTTTGCTCTTTGTCTTTTAGCTAATTAGCTGTTTGAACCTATGTGAATTCAAGAAAATGTCTTTATGCTTTAATATTCCATTAGTCACACTTTACTTATATTAATAATGTCCAATTTAGCAATGCAGCAATTGTGGAGGTGAGATATTGCCTAATGAAACATTCATCAGCTTATTACCTTCTTCCTCACTAATTTATGCTCTGCCATGTGTTTTATTTCATTTTCATCTTATTTTATCTATTTTGTTACCTGATCATCTTTATTCAAAACTGAAATAAAATTGTAATTTAATGGGAAGTTTCCTGGAACAAAATTCACCAGAGATAAAATAAGTAGGATGGGGAAGATTTTAAATGTTGTTCTAGATCTTAGAAGATACATTTTTCTTCTTTCTTTTTTGAGTTTTTAATGTTCTGTGAAACTCTGTTTTCCTCTGACTAAACACATGTTCAAAAGAAAGATTGAAGTAATTATTTAAAAAATATTTTTTCCAAAGTTGTATGTAATATAATCCAGCATAAGGTGGTAAATCAAAAGATAGACACTTCAAAATTAAAAGTTGAAATCCTGATTATGTTACCTTGCACTGCAAAACATGCCAGTGTTTGTGAAGCTAATTAGTTTTCTATAATGGAAAACAGTATAATTGAGTCTATATGGTTATGAGATAAAATTGAAAACAATTGCATATTTCCTGAAATTTATATTCCTAAATTATCAAACATAATTGTTTTTAGTTTTGCAGATAATTGACTTGCAATTTTATAAAGTTATTGGAGTATATTTCTGCTTCAAAATCTTTTCATAATCCATATTCCAATAATTTCATTTCAAAGACTTCAGAATGTTACATTTTTAACCCATTAGTTGGCTGCAAGAATTATTAATTTTACTAAATGAGAGTCACTTTATGGATAAACTAATACTTTCTTATAAATGGCAACAATCCTGTTTATTATAAAGTCAACATAAATATTGCAGAAATGTCAAATTAGAGGGGGGAAATCCTTAATTCCAAACAACCTGAAATGATAGCATTGCAATGTTATTGTATTGTTGAAACTGTTGTATGAATTTTTATATAGCTATGTATATAAACATATAATGTCTTTTCATTTGTTTATATCTTTAAGTTCCTTCATCAATGTTTTTAGTTTTCAATATACAAGACTTTTACCTCTTTAGTTAGTTTTATTCCTGAGTATTTTATTCTTTTTGATACTGTTGTAAATGGAATAGTTTTCCTGATTGCCTTTTCAGATAGTTTGTATATATAGAAACACAATTGATTTTTGGATATTGGTTTTGTATCTTGCAATTTTATTGAATTTGTTTCTTAGAACTAACAATTCTTTTTTTTAAATGAAGTTATTAGGCTTTTCTGTATATAAGACCATGTTGTCTTGAAACAGAGACCATTTTACTTCTTCCTTTCCAATTCGGATGCCACTAAATTGACTTTTCTTGCCTAATTGCTCTGACTAGGACTTTCAGTACTATGTTGAATAGAGAGCACAGAAATAATTTCATGTAAATGTGGCAAACTGATTTTCAACAAGGGTGCTAGGAATACACAACAGGAAAAGGATGATCTCTTCAACAAATGGTATTGGCAAATTGGATATCCACATGTAAAAGAGCGAAATCTGACCCTTAACTTACCCCATCCGTTAAAATCAATTCAAAATGGATGAAAGACTTAAATGTAAGACCAGAAACTGTAAAACTCTTTGAAGAACATATAGGGAAAAAGCTTCATGACATTGATTTTTCAGTGATTTCATGGATATGACACCAAAAGCACAGGCAACGAAAACAACAACAAAATAATTAGGACTATGTCAAACTGAAAAGCTTTCCAAAGCAAAGAAAAAAAATCAACACAGTCAAAGGCATCCAATGGAATGAGAGAACATATTTGCAATTCTTATGTCTAATAAAATGCTAATGTACAAAATATATAAGGAACCTCTACAACTCAGTTGCAAAAAAAAATAAAAAACTAATAACTGAACTAACAAATAGACTAGGACTTGAGTATACATTTCTCCAAAGAAGACATACAAGTGACCAACAGGTACATGAAAAAATGTTCAGTGTTACCAATTGTTAGAGAAATGCAAATCAAAATCACAGTCTCACAGAGATATTATCTCTCACATATTATAATGGATATAATTTTTAAAAGCAAAAAAAAGACAAGTATTGGCAAGAATACAGAGAAATTGGAATGCTTGCACACTGTTGGTAGGAATACAAAATGGTACAGCTACTATGAAAAATAGTTTATAGATTCCTAAAAAAATTACAAGTAGAACTACTATATGATTCAGCAATTTCACTTCTGGGTATTTATTCAAAGGAACTGAAATCAGGATCTCGAAGAGATATTAACACTCTCATGTTTATTGCAGCACTAGTTACAATAGCTAAAATGTGGGAAAAAAACTGAATGTCCATTTCAGAGATCTACGGATAAAGAAAATGCATTATATACCTACAAGGGAATACTACTTAGCCTTAAAAAGGAAGGAAATTCTGCAATATGCAATATGCATATTGCATAACAAACCACTGTTGCAGCATGGATTCAGTAGAATCCATGCATATTGCATGGAATATGCATATTGCAATATGCAATAAAATGGATGAACCTTGAGGACAGTATACTAAGTGAAATAAGCCAGTCACAGAAAGACGAATAATACATGATTCCACTTATTTGAGGTATCTAAAATAGTCAGATTCATAGAAGCAAATAGTGGGATGGCGTTCGCAAGCGGGTGGAAGTGGAAGAAATGGAGAGTTACTAATCCATAAGCATGAAGTTCAGTTAAACAAGATAAGTAAGTTCTAGAGTTCTGCGGTACAACATTTTACCTGTAGTTAATAATATGGTATACTACACTTAGAAATTTATTAAGTGGGTAGAATTAATGTTAAGAATTCTTACCACAATTTTTTAAAAGAGGGGTCTCTAAATATTTTTTAAAATTTCAAAATATATCTACTGTTATTTATTTTTAAAAAATAACTGAATATTTTTAAACCTGAAAAAAGCCAACTTTTCAAAGAGCTATCTATATAATAGAATATTTACCTTTCAAAAGCCAACATTTTATATTTTCTGCAAAATTTGAAAGAAAGCATGAATTTATCCTTTTCTTTGCTTCTGACTATTATTCTCATAGCTGCAGAATAAGCCAGGCTCTAGAAGGCGGGGGAGAACCCTGGGCAGCAAAGACTGCATGTTTTTGATCTGATGAAAATCAATTCAGTCAAAACTCACTAGCCAAATCAGTAAGGAAATAAAATCATATATTTTATTTGATTGATTTAACCATTTGAGTCTTTTGTGATGCTTAATCTAGAGCCAGCACAAGTAGAAAAAAAAGAAACTCCCTATGCTTTCAAAATAAATTTTCCTGAATCATATATTTAGGTCAACTTAATTATTTTTTGAACTTATGAGAATTCTTTCAGTTTCCAATCTTCAGCTTTGAAGTTTTCTTTCATTGCTAACCTTCATTATAAAGTATGCCTGCCTTTATTGTCTTTCAAAAGATGAATAATGAATATATTTTTGAAGGTAGATAAGAAATCTGTTCCTATAATAACATTCAGAAATATGTTTCCTCAGTATAATGAATATTTTTATTTGGTCAGTAGATCTTTATTTTTTTCTTGATATTGGTAAATTGTAGTGTTTTGGGCTGTATATATTTATCCTTTATATAAAATGGCTTTGGAAAATTAGACTTTCCTTGTCTTTCTCATAGTAGCACATGACTTTGAAAGGACATTTATTTTCTCTTTCTTGAAAATTATTGGAAAACAGGCCTTTTCCTCTAGACTTCTATTGCATCAATAAATGTGGCCTAACAGTGACATTTATAGCATGAAGTCCTCCTGTTCTGCTTAGGATCTCTGTTTACATTAAATTGCCATTGTGCTGCTTTCTTATATGCAAAATAAATAGAAAAGACTACTGTTTTAACATTTTATTTTTAACATAATATATTTTTATGAAACATAATCTACCACTCTTGTTTCCCTGATCTGGAGTCATTTCTGCCAAATGCAGGGATTTTAGTCACAGGACTGATAGACCAATGGAATCAGTGAATTCCAAGATACTTTCCAGCTACAAAAGTCTGTGGTAATTCTAATTTTTAATAATGGGAAATTTTCAGAACTTTTTCAATATATTGTCTCTGCTTTCTTTTTCTGGAACGTCCTCTCTCAGGCTAACACACTTGGAAGTTCCTCCAGAATCTATCTTTAGAAGTCATAGCTCAATTTCCATTTTCCACAAAACATCATTGTCCTTCAAAGAAAATTAGGCTCTATGGTCTTTGTATTTCTCTAGTCGATACTCCAGTTGGCTATCATCAAATGTTTGTCGAATTGAATTGTTGAAAGGAGAAAGAAAAGAAATAGATGAAAATCAAAACATTGTTTGAAGCAGTGGTTACAATAGCTAAGATGTGGGAAAAAACATGAATGTCAGCTTAAGAGACAGATCAATGGATAAAGAAAATTCTCTATATACTTAACAAGGGAATACTATTTAGCCTTAAAAAAGAAGGAAATTCTGCAATATGCAGCAACATGGATGAACCTTGAGGACAGTATGCTAAGTGAAATAAGCCAGTCACAGAAAGTTATTGGAAGAGTCCATTGAAATAAACAGTACAGAAAGACAGCGTAACATCTGTCAAATTTACTCTGTGTCACAAACTCTAGTCACCAAATGTTTTATGGCCATTATCATCAGCCATTTGTGTAGCAGCTGAAGGAAGGCCTCCATCCTAAGGGAAGAGGTGTTATGGGTAGCGTGGTATCCACTACATCTGTCAGAAACTGCAGAAAGTTTGAAACTTTAAAAAGGCAAATTACTCAGCAACTATGTGTATCAAAGTAAAGACAAAATAAATTTACATTTAGTTTTGCTCTAATATGTAAAGTAAATGATTTAATAAGTTCTTCATTTAGCATGAACTAAGCTATCTTTAATGCCTTACATTCTCTGGAAAGCATTAATTTCATAAAACAATGAATTACATTTTTTCAAGTCATTTCTACCATGCATCACAGAATAACATAATGACCTGACAACAATTTTTACTAAGAGCATCAGTTGCTATTTCTAGAACATATAAGGGTAAAATGTCAAAAGCCAGGAGTCAACTAAAATGTCTCTATGTAATGTTTGCTAGCTATTACCAGAAACATAGAAAATAATTTAAAATACTCAATGATAATGATGTGGATAAACAACTTGGAATCTAACATTTCCAGGTTACCCATCAGAAACAATTATTTGAATTAATATGAATTTTCCCTTTTCCGCTGACCTGTCTTCTCACTTTGGCTTCCATTTTCCATAAACAATCTATAAAATAAAATCTCACATTTTATAAAAAGTTTTTCAAACCAGGAGCAGTATTAACCACTTTTATTATGTGTATCGAATGTGTTCATTTACGGTTTCTGTAATGAATAGGTTGATAATAGAAATGCCAAAATAGTCATCACTCACAAATTTACTAAGAAATTATGAAACGTGCTTTAAATACTAATGGAATTTCTACCCTTATTTTGAATATGATGATCATCATTGTGAAAGAAAAGACTCATGGATATAAATAAATTCAGAATTAGGATAAATTTGGCGATTAAAGTAAAGATTACACACTGACAACTCTTTTCATAAGCCAGCTTATTTAATGAAATTAGTAATGAGAGGGAGAGAAAGAGGTGGGGAGTTGGGAAGGAGGGAGGGAGGGATAAGTTGCAAGGGAGAGAACACTAAATAGGATGCGAAAGAGGTAAGACTAACAACACTGATGAATTTATCTTTCCAAATATATACAACAAAGGATAATCATGAACAAATACATTCTGGCACAGGATCCATTAATGTACATATCCAAGTGATAAAGTGCATTTTTTTGTGTGTGAGAAAACCTGGATTCTTCTATCCCTCTGTTCTCTCTTTTTTTTCCTCCTTCTCCTTTTCCTCCCACTTGTTCCTCATCTTCCTCTTCCTCCTCATTCTTTGTTCCTTATCCCCCTTCTTCTTCTCTTTCTTCTTCTTTTTTATTTCTTTTTCTTTCTCTTTATTCTTTCTTTTTCAAGTGCCTTATTCATGTTTAGAACTTTGGCTTAATCTTTTAAAAATTATTTGAAAAGTAATTTTCCTGTTGCATGCAAAGACTTCATCTAGCATGAACTAAGCTAGTTTGAATGCTAGCAACTTATAACTGCTATGAAACAAATGACTCACAAAGCATTCTCCTCTTTGAAAAATGTAAAATATACTGTAATAGTTTAGCAGTCTTCAACTGCTGAATTTAAATTCACATTTTGGATTCATTCTGCCGTAGCTGATAAGAGTCTGAGGATAAAGGTGTTGTGAGGAGTATTCAATGGCAGTTTTGGACAGACTGTAATGTTATCAACTCCAGCAATATTCTGTCATCTGCCTTGGCAGCAGGAAAAGCAAAGATCTATCTCACAACAACAACAACAACAAAAAAGCAGCAGTAAACCAAAATAAATGACAAAAAAAACTACTCAGAAAGTCTTGAATGTCATTGGCCTTGTCTGGGACCCTGCTATGGGGTCCTGTTATATTATACTCCACTAACAACAGACAATTTCAGAAATGTTAAAAGAAAAAAAAAACATTTTTAGCCTTGACAATGGTCAAAGTTGTAAGAAATATCAGCAGGATGACGATATCCCTATTGATATGGCATGGATTATGTAGGATGATGATGTGAGTAGAAAAGTCAGCAGCTTCTCACCCTAAGTCCTTATTTTCTAAATGCACAGTGTCAGGGCAGAAATCTTTGATAGATCAGTTTTTAACTTTGAAATTTCATTGTCAACAGAAAGGGCTTAATGGTTTATGGCACATCTTAACATATATTATTTTTCCAATGGTAACACTGATCATAGTCAGTTTTATGCCTGTTTTAAGATCTTAATTGTCATACAATATCACTAATAAAGTAAGTCTTGAGAGGTAATTATAGACACTTATCAACAGGTTGTGTTGGTGGCAGAGGACAATTCTGTTTCAAACAGTATATTCAATTCTGTTTCAAACAGTAATTTCAAATAATATTGCTATGTTTATTTGTAAGTAATATAAAATTTTTATTTAATGCTCACATTTTAACTCAAACTAAATATAAATCTTATTTGAGTCATAGCCAATTTTCTTAACATGTCTTCTCATAGTTTTGATAATTTCATTAAACTTTCAGGTTGTAGTGTGTTCGCATGCTGGACAACCAAAAATAAGATTCTCATGGGAGTGACAAAGACATTCTCCTTGACCAAACCTTAGGCTTCTGTGAGCCTTGTTCTTGAGTACACCTCAACATTGGCCTTTTGTCTTTATCTTTGCCGAGAACAGTTTTAGCAAGAATTTTACTAAGCTTAGCAAGAATCACCTACCATTGAGAGCTGATAAATTTCTTCCCACACCCTTAATACCTAAGTCCTTTGTTTGCTTTAGCAAGAATCCTGTTAGGCCAGTTTTGCAAGAATCTCCCTATTCTTTATGTCTTCTGGTAGTAATTTTCGATTTACTGACCACTTAGCTCTACTCCCTTGCTATAAAACCCCACTTTTCCTTCTGTTCAGAGTCCAGCTCAATCTCTCTCTTTATTGCAGCAGCCTTGAAGGAAGTCTTCCTTACTGTTTTTAACAAGTGTCAGAATAATTGTTCTTAGACAGGAGGGATACTTTGATTCTTCTTCCTTGTATTTCCATGACATGATTTTTGTTCTAAACCTCCAATCTCAAGAGGAAATAGTATTGGGAAAACTACGTTTGTTTTTTCACTCCACTTCTCTCATTGATTTCTCCCCTCAAAAAAAAAAAAAAAAAAAAGGAAAGAAAAGGAACGAAGAAGGTAAATATATAGAAAAATTTGTTGAAAAATGAATTCCTATTATGTCTACTATTACTAAATATCTACTGCTGTGTTTACAGTCATAGTTCCTGTATGGCCCCATATCTTCTCATCCCCTTTTCTCCCCTCTCTCTCTCTGGTTCTCACTCATGCTATCTACAGTTAGCTCATATGTCTTCCTCTGATGATCCTCACCAGTCACTACTCACTTTGGGGCAAGGCTTCTTTATATGTTTGAGGATAAGTGGGGTCTGTATCCTTCCAACTGTTCCATTCCCTACCAGGGTGGCTCCATCGGTTGAATTCTGAGAAAAGGGAAAAAAAAAAGAAACAATTTAGGATCATTTTCAAACCTCTGCCTCCAACCCACTATTGTTTCTGTAGTGAAAACAAAGTCATTGAATTCTCATATGGTCTCAGTTTAGAATACAATAGTGAGGAGAGTTCCCACTGTCATCTCTATAAATAATTAGGGTTTATAAGAAACCTGGAAAACAAGATCAAGGTATAGCAATAACTTGATTAATGGGGTCAGAAAAACACCCAATAAACTTCATAGAGGGGGCTGCTCTTTGTTAGATAGGAGATGTGCCTTAGCTTAGCTTTGATTTAGAAAGATCTATAAGAACATCCCCTTCCCTAAATCAAATCTACAGGTTCCCCATCAGTATCTTATACAATGTTTGCCTGGGGCAGTCATTTGTCATCCTATTGGGAAACCTTGATCTGAAATTCTCCCCCAATTTTAAGTAGACTTTCTAACAGTAGTGCTATTTTTATTCTCTTTAAAGCATTATGTCCTGGTGGGTTTTTTAACCTTTATCTGCAGGTAAAGAATATATAGGTTTCAGTATTTCAACAGTGGGTCAATGCCAGATATTCTTGACCTGTCAAATTGTACTTTTGACATGATGATATGAGATAAATGGGCATTCTAATTCTAAAACCTCTACTTATTAAACAAAACATCATAATTACCTCCACTTTTTTCTTAATATGCATCAGCCAACATTCCTTTCAAAGCTTCCCTTTCAGTTCCTTTATTAGTTTTATTTTTATTCTGAACTCCTTTCCGTTTGTCTGACACACTCAAATAATAATATAAAACATCTTACTTATATCCAGAAGGATAGGACATCTTTTACAATGCTACTTAGAGAAGATATGACAGCTGCCTTCCTCACAATGCAAAGCTCTCAGTGTGACTCTAAAACAAGTGTTACCAGCGTCTGCATTAAACACATAAAAGTATCATTTGATAATTACATATAGTGATACAATTAATTAATTGGTTCATTAGCAATGTCTTAAAAATACTTATTTCTTCAATGTTAAAATAGGAACAAGTCAGTAATAATCATTTGAAAATAAGTATTAAAGGGTTGTACTTTTGGCTATGACTGAGTGATTTATGATCAGGAAATATGCTCTCCAAAAACAACTATAAAGTTGTACCAAATGGACAGAAACAAATATTTCAGCACACCAGAACTTAACTAAAGTTGTAGAGAAGACTGAAAAGTGTTTGTTTTTAAAAGTATGCTGAATATCAAAGAGTCTATTAGAGAAGTAGATGGCAAGGCTGAACTGTAGTTTATAGAGTGTAATGAAAAAGATTGGGATTGTGGCTTAAATACAATAATCTAAATAACTATATGTATCCAGCTAGGCGGGGAATCACAGCAATCAAAAACCACAATCTGCTTATGACAATATTGTTGGCAAAATTCTGTTCCCTTAGAATTATGGGGAGCTCAATTATCTGTGTGTTTGTGTATAGTAGGTACAGGGTTAGCAATACCATAATGGAAACATATATAGGAAGAAAAAGAAAGCTCCAATGAGAAAGTGGTCAGTTTGGTTTTCTCTGTAGGCAGCAAGAACAGCAAGAAAGCCTTCATAAAGATGTCACTCACAAAAGTCCTGAAGTGGAAAAGATGAATGTCTGTGGTAAGATGTGTTGGACAGGGGATGAAAGAAGAAAGGGCATTTAAGATAAACAGGCACAAGGACAATACAAAGATATAATTTGGTCGGCTAGTCTGTCAAATGGTGATTCAAAGAAGTTGCAGTGCATTTTGAAGATAGTTGGGCACCAGACCCAGATGGCCTTTTTCGTAAATGGACGGAGAGTCATTATTAAAAAGCTGGTTACTGGTGAGTCTATACTCACCAGTATCAGTTGTACCTATTAGAAATTCCAGTCTGATAACAGCATGGATAGACTGAAATGAGAATGAAGTCAGGGAGACCACTTGGGAAGGTTGCTATAATCATCCAATTAGTGTATAATGAATATATAGACCTAGAGCTGCAGTTCTCAAGCTGTTTGGTCTAGGGACCTCTTTACACTGTTAAAGATTATTGAGATTGCAAAAAGCTTTTGCTTTTTTTTCTTTCCTTCATATTTTCTGTATGAAAAATTAATACAAATTTTAACAATTAATAATTGTAATTAAAATATCAATAACAAAGTTACTACAGAATATTTTACATTTCTGGAAAGGTAATTATATTTTCCACATTAAAAAAAAATCAGTTAAAAGAGTAACATTGTTTACAGTTTTGTAAATCTTTTCAATGTTTGCCTGGATCTTTATATCTGCTTCTGCATCCAAAACAATCAATTTTCTTTTGGCTGATGGTTATGAAAACAACTTGGCTTCACATAGATCTGAGTTGAAAAAGGAAGGATTATTTTAATTATCTTTTCAGATCACCCTTAGTATTCCTCTTTAACATTACACCAAAACTTAACAAGCGAGAGTTCATTAAAGTTTAGTTTTAATATGAAATCTGAAAATACATCAATAAACTTTTCATATCCTCTTACGTTAAAATTCCTTGATCATCTTGCACTTTAGTAGATCTTTGTTCCATGAATGACTTCATAGCATAATTAACTGGTCATTTGGAAAGTACTGAGCCACTACATTTTTCACCTTTCAAATATTGAGACATATCATTATGTAATATTTTAGGAAATTTTGTTTGTTCTATCAGATCTCATCAGAAAAGCCTTTAAGAACTGGAAGCAGTCAAACTAATGGTGATGAAAATTGTTTTTCTAAAATTTTAATTTTCAATCGAAATCTCAAATGTCATTGGCAACAAATATCATCAGTTGTTTAAGTTACAGGCTCACAACATTGAATTGTGAAAAAGTGTCTGACAAATACCGAAGTCTGAATAACAATAATTTGTCCAACAATCAGTCATTCTATCAGGTAAACATGTTGTTGTATGAAAAAAAAAAAAAAGGCAACCCAAAACTTAATCACACAATGGTTTTCTTCCAGATTACCATTGTACTTCAGTATACAAAAGAAATGTTTTGTGTGTACTTTCCATTTTCTCACACAGAAGATGTATTCATTGCTAAGGTTTAATTAAATTTTAAACAAAAAGTAAACTTTTTGTTTCATAAAGGACATTTTTTTTTTCTGAGATAGAGTCTCACTCTGTCACCCAGTCTGGAGTGCAGTGGTGTGATCATGGCTCACTGTAGCCTTGAACCCCTGAGCTCAAGGGATCCTCCTGCCTCAGCCTCCTAAGTAGCTGGTATGTGCCACCAGGCCTAGCCATTTTTTTTAATTTTTTTTTTTTTTTTTTTTTTTTGTAGAGATGGAGTCTCACTATGTTGCCCAGGCTTGTCTGGTCATGAAGGACATTCTTAAGTGTAACTGCTATTTATTTTTCCTGAGAGTACTCAGCCTCCTAAGTAGCTGGGTGTCAGGTGTGTGACACGAGGCCTAGCCAATTTTTTTTTTTTAACATTTTTTATAGAGCTGGTAACTTACTATGTTGCCCAGGCTTGTTTGGTCATAAAGGACATTCTTAAGTGCAACTGCTATTTATTTTTCCTGAGAGTGCATGGCAGTGAAGAATAAAATGACTAAAAATCAGTGTACTTTGTTTCCACTTCTAAAAAGCCATCAATTTTACCTACCATTGTGTTTGCACTGTTAGTACAAATAACAATATGACAAGAAAAACAAATAATATAATTGTATGAATAAAAAAATGATTTTTACCTGTAGACTTCCTGGAAGGGTGTCAAGATGACCAGGAGTCCGTAGACCACACTCTGAGAATCACTGACTTGGAGTAGAACAGAAGAGAAACAAAGTGTGAATGAATGCAAAAGATTTGGATAAATAAAATTTTTAAGAAAATGTCTTTTTTATCCTTTCAAAATGCTGATGTTCATCTATTTGAATTATACAGGGTAGCCCTTTTTGTGTGCTTCTCTGTATTCTTTTCAAATGGTTTCTCTGTACAATTTGTCTAACTGATCTACTTGTTAAAGCTTTGGGAAAAAGAGTCTGTCTTTTTCTGTAACCATGTAGAATCTCCATAAATGTTGGTCACGTAGTAATTACACACACAGTTAATAAGTTTTGAATTAGTTTGTAGCTACTGAAATAGACTGAAGGAGTTGTACAGTAGATTTGCACTCATGTAATCTAATATTATTTTATTAAGAACAACTCATATTTTTAAATTACTCTGAAATTTAGAACTTTCAAATACTAAAGTTACAGCTATTGTCATATTAATTTTTAAAATTTAATTACAGATGACTTTTGAATAATGCAGGGTTTAGGGGTGCTAACCCCCTATGCAATTGAAAATCTGTGTATAACTTTTGACTCCCCCAAAACTTAACTACTAATAGCCTACTGTTCATCAGAAGCCTTGCTGATAACATAAATGGTCAATTAACATGTATTTTATGTGTTATATGAATTATATATTGTATTCTTACAACAAAGTAAGCTAGAGAAAAATTTTATGAAGAAAATCACAAGGAAAAAAACTGTATTTGTCGATACCATAAGTTCATTTAGCCTGTTTACAAGGTGAATTGTCTCTCTGAAATGGCAGGTAACTACAGCTGCACGACACAGCTGCATATCAAGCAATTCAACTTCTTCTTGTAATGACATGACTTTTCTCTGCTTCTTGAGAGACTTCCATGATCACTAATGGCACTTTGTATGGGTCTTATGGTGTTATCAAAGGTCCACGGTATCACACTAACAACAATGAAAAATATATGACAACCATGAGAGGTCACTTTTTACTGTGATACGCAATTTACTGAAGAGATGAGCTGCTCATACATAGATGATTAGAGTCACATACCTATAGACTTCAACATGATTTGAATAAAAGCAAAGTTATTAAATAAAAACTTAAAGCAAAAGGAAGGTGAAAGCTCTAAAGCTGGAGAATTTAATGCCAGTAAAGGATGGTTTGATAATTTTAGAAAAATGTCAAGATAGAAGAAGAAGTTGTTTCTGCTTATCCAGAGATAGCACACAAGTTCCCAGGCATTATTAAGACAATCATTGAGGAGAAATTATAGCTTCCTAAACAAGTTTTTAATGCAGGTAAAAGTGTCTTATCTAGAAAGAAAAAAAAAAGCCACAGAGAACATTTAGTAAGGAAGAGAAACAAGAAACAGGATTTAAGGCAGGAGGAGATAGGCTAACTCTACTGTTTTGTGCAAATGTAGTCAGTTTTATGATCAGGATTGCCCTTGTGTATAAAGCTGCTAACCCTTGATCCTTGAAGGGAAAATATAAACACCAGCTACCAGTGTTTTTATTGCATAACAAGAAATCCCACACAAGAGAACTCTTTTTGTGGGTTGGTTCCATTGATGCTTTGTCGTTGAAGTCAGGAATTAACTTGCAGGTAAAAAGGACTGCTTTTTAATGCTCCTTTGATATTGAACAATGCCTCTGGCAACCCCGAACCCCCTGAGTTCAGCACTGAAGATGTCAAAGTGGTCTCCTTGCCCTCAAACAGTCTGTCTAATTCAACCTCTACATCAGAGAGTCATAAGGACCTTTAAGGCTCATTACATGTGATATTCTATAGAAAGAATTGTCAACACTATAGAAGAGATCCCAGTAGAGAGAACAACATAATGAAAGTCTGAAAGGATTACATCATTGAAGATGCCATCATTGTTGTAGGAAAAGGCTATGAAAGCATAAAGCTTAAAACACTAAATTGAGTAAATTCCTGTTGTAGAAAACTATATCCATATGTTTTGTGCATAGTTTCACAGGATTTATAACAAAGCTAATCAAGGAAATCATGAAAGAGATTATGGATATGAAAAAAAGGGTGGGGCATAAAGGATTTCAAGATACAGATCCTGGAGAAATTCAAGAGCTCATAGACATGACACCAGAGGAATTAACCGATGGAGATTAGTGCTTCCAAACCACTGCCAGACAGTGAGGGAAAGACATGGAAGATGCAATACCAGAAAACAAATTGACATTGGAAAATCTGGAGAAAGATTTTGATTACACAAGAATTGCTTTTGACTTATTTTATGACACTGAGCCTTCTAAGATATAGGCACCAAAACTAAAGCAAAAAGTGGAAGGATTGGTACTATTTAGAACATTTATAGAGAAATGCAAAAGCGAAACAGTCAGAGATTACAGTGTATTTTTGTAAGTTAAGCTGAGTGTGCCTGGATCTCCTGCCTCCCCTTCCACCTCCTCTGCCTTTTCTGTGTCTGCCACCCTGAGACACCAAGACCAACCCCTCCTCTTCGTCTTCCTCCTCAGACTACTCAACGTGAAAACAACAGGATGACCTTTATATTGATCCATTGCCACTGAATATATAGTAAATAATATTCTTTCCTCCTTATGGTGAGACTCCGTCTCAAAAAAATAAAATAAAATAATAAAACATTTTCTTTTATCTTGCTTATTTTATTTAAAGAATACAGTGCATAATACATATAACATACCAAATACGTGTTGATTGACGTTTATGTTACCAGTAAGGCTTCTAACCAACAATAGACTATTAGTAGTTAAATTTTGGTGGAGTCAAAAGTTAAATACAGATTTTTGGCTGTGTGGGCAAATTAGTTCTCCTAACTACTGTGTTGTTTAAGGGTCAACTGTACTTTCAAACTTTATATAAAAAGGCCCAACTCTATCTCATAATGAGCAAATAATTTTAAGACATCACAACTTATAGGAATATTGATAATAACTTCTAAAATAGGATGGCAGATTTTCTATGGATTAGTTAATGCTTTCATTCTGTTTTAGCATCCCCAAATAAGCATACATGATGCGTGACGAAGAAAACAAGAGCATAAGGACATCTCTTTCTCTTTCTTCCTTTAACTCTGCCTCAAAAATTGGCCTCTATTACTATAATAAATAGCTGCGGGTGCTTGGAAAAAAATTAGACCCGCTTTCCAAGCAGAACAGGAAGAATGCTTCAGGGAGTCAAAGTTGCCATTTGTAGCCCTGATAAAAATGGAAAAGTGTAAACTACTTTAATCAGTCTTACCCTGCACTTGCTTGTGCAGTTATCCTATAAATTCACCTTTTCTCTAATTGTATATGAATTGAATGTGGCAGGTTTTTTGTTTTTTTTTTTTTAGACGGAGGCTTGCTCTGTCGCCCAGGCTAGAGTGCAATGGCGCAATCTCGGCTTACTGCAACCTCCGCCTCCTCCCAGGTTCAAGCGATTTTCCTGCCTCAGCCTCCCGAGCAGCTGAGAATACAGGCGCCCGCCACCGCGTCCAGCTAATTTTTGTGTTTTTTAGTAGAGACGGGGTTTCATCATCTTGGCCAATCTGATATCGAACTCCTGACCTCATGATCCACCCGCCTTGGCCTCCCAAAGTGCTGGGATTACAGGCATGAGCCACTGCGCCTGGCCGAATGTGGCAGTTTTTGATGGAATTAACATATGTTGCTTCTGCCTACTTGATTGCTATGTCTCCTTTGTCACACAAGGAAGTCTTGATTTCTTTGTGAGGGAATCATTCTTCTCACTCTGTGTCTAGTGTTCATGGCAGAGTCTGAATGTAGTCAGACCTGAGTCAATCAATTATTCAATTATTTTTCAACTTATTTTGTCATCACCTAGGCAGAGTGATTTTTTCAGGAAGGGCTCCTGACCTACTTCTGGCCAGCTTCCCATAAGTCCTGATTTTATAGACACCTTTTGGAAGGAGAAGGTCTCTCTTCTCTTTTTTTTTCTGTGGTTGCTGACAGAATACGATATAGGCTTAGAGTTAAATAGCAAACATGTTTTCCTGTGAGGTAAGTTGGTTTGTGACCAAAAAAAAGAGTAAAAAATCTTAGTTATAACTGAACTTTTAACTTATAATAAAAACTAAAATTTTCTTCTCCGTAAGCCATTTCAAGTACGGCATCTTATTATTTTGCATTTGAAAATTTCACTCTAATACATAAAACTCTCTGCTGTCCCTTCATATTTCTTTACGTGTACATTATCTTAATAGAATTAATTGATTTTACAACTGCTAAAATTAAAATTAAATTTAATTTAATTAAAATTAAAATTTTTCTAGTGTCCCTATGAACTGAGGACATAAACACACACACACACACACACACACACGAGATCATAAACTATCACAAATAGTCTCTCAAATAGCTCATTTAGTTAAAAATACAAAAAAGAATCTAGTACTTTGCTTTAATCTTTGATAAAAGCATGGTTTGCTAGATAATTATATTTGTATATTATCTATTCAAAATTTAACAATAATCCATTTCAAAGAGTATTGTGTATTCAATTATTTTTGAACTAATTTTTCACATGTAGATCACACACTAAGGGAAATAGTACTAAAAAACATAGGTATAAAATAAGTGGAAAGAATTAGTATGCATACAAAATATTCTCATGAGGAGAATTTAATTTGATCTTTTTTTCATGCCTTGCCTTGAAAAATAATTTTGATTATAATAAATGTAGCTTAAGTAGTTATAGCTAATTATATCAAAACTTATAGCTGTGTAGAACCTTTGCTTAACATTGACCTTGAGATAGTTCTTGTGTCTGCCAAGAGAAGATTTATCCATACTTGAAATGTTGTAGCTTTCTCAGCCTCAAAGAAATTGTATCCTGTGAAATTTCCATTATGGTATTTTCCTTGGGATGGAGCTATATTTTCTGTCAGAGTAATTGAAATTGTGGCTATATATTGATACTGAATAGCCTAGGGCTTAAAAGACAGTGCTGGACAAATTCGTATTATCTACACCCTCAAAAAATGGGTATGACAGCAAAAAAAAAATTAATCATGTCTCTCACTTCAGGAAGATGAAGGAGGCAAAGATGAAGAAGTGCCGCTCATTGAATGCAGTTTCCATTCAATTATAAAATAGAAGTTAAAGCCTTCCTATCATGTCAATGAGCTTACGATCCAAAAAAGATGAAAAAATAATATGCTGAGAAAATGTATATAATTCTAAAACAAAACTGTCTGATAAGACATATAAGACTTAGGATTTACCCTGGGTAAAGTGGGAAGCCATTAGCAGGTTTGGAGCAGAATGACACTCTGAAATATTTTATGAGGAGGAATTATTCAGATTTCTTTGTGGAAAGTGGGCTGTGGAAGAGCAAGAGTGGAAATAGGGAGAGCATTATCAAATCTTTTAAAATATTCCAAGTAAAGGTAATTGTGTCTTGGACTAGGGTGGTTGCAGCGGAAGTACTGGAGAGTAGTTGGATTCTGGATATGTTTTTATAATATGATGTGCTGTTAAATTAGATGTAAATGTGAAAAAAAACAAAATAACAAAGTGACTCCAAATTTCTTGTTCTGAATATCTAGAAAATTGGTGGTATCATTTACTGAGGTAAGAAGGAAAGTAAGACAAAGATTTGTAAGACAGGCGAGTATGGGGTGAATTGTTTGAGATATCTATTGGTCATGTAGATGGAGATATCAAGCAGGCTGATGTGTACATGGAAATGGAGTTAAGAGAAAGTCAGAGAAATAAATTTGACATCATCAGAAATAATTAATATTTAAAGCCAAAGAACCATATATGATCATCTTCATAGTACATGTAGACACAGAAGTATCCAAGAATAATTCCCAGGACATGTGTATTTAGAGATGGAGATGAAGAAATCAGTGAAGGAAACCCGGAAGAAACAAAGAGTGTGTCAGAGGCACAACAAGAGAGAGTGACGTATCTGAGCAGACAAATTGATAGTTGATAAGGGAGAATTCAAAGATGATACTGAGGTTTGTCTATAATCAGAAAGCTGGTCATGCATTACCTAAAACTGGGTAAAGAGAGTATAATTATGTGTGGTTATTGTTTTTTCTATTCTAAATTGGAATGCTTTTTTTTTTGGCCAGGTATGGTGGCTCATGCCTGTATTCTCAGCACTTTGGGAGGCTGAGGCAGGAGGCTTGCTTGAGCTTAGGAGTTTGAGACCAGTCTGGGCAACATAATGAGAAAAAAAAAATGAGCCAGGTTATGGTGGTGTGTGTCTACAGGCCCAGCTTACTCAGGGAAGCTGAGGTGGGAGGATCACCTGAGCCTGGGAGATTGAGGCTGCAGTGAGCCATAATCATACGCTGCACTCTAGCCTAAGTGACAGCCTGGTCTCTAAAATAAATTAGAATGCTTTTTGTATAAGTTGTTATAGATAAAAGAAGCTGAAATAAATACCAATATTCCAAATATGGGTCATTTAAAAGATAGAACAAATAATATATTAAATTCTTTTAAATTCTTAATACATGTCCTAAAATTTTAATGATTTTTT